>NC_000009.12:134877066-135568596 GCF_000001405.40 Homo sapiens
TTCTTCAGTCTGACTAGAGGTTTATAAATTTGATTTACCTTCTCAAAGAATCAGCTTCAGGTTGTATTGATTTTCTGCACTTGTTCATTATTATTCATTCTCTTTTTTCTACTTTGGATTTAATTTACTCTTGTTTTTCTAGTTTCTTGAGACGGAAGCAGAGGCTGTTGACCTGAGACCTTTCTTCCTTTTTAGTGAACATTTCACACTGTAATTTGCCTCCCAAGGAGTGCTTTAGGAACACCATGCAAACTGTATTTTACTGCCTTTTTGTTTTCATTCAATTCAAAATTCTTTCTAATTTCTCCTTTGGCCTCTTCTATTTCCTATATCTTATTTAGAAGAATGTTATTTAGTATCCAAATATTTGGGAGGATTTTCTAGACACCTTTCTTTTCTTGATTTCTAATTAATTCCATTGTTGTCCGAGAACATACTTTGTATGGCTTGAATCTGTAGAAGGTTGTTATTTTAGTGGCCACGTTAGAATTTGTAGTAAATCTCTTCCATGATCACAGTTTACCTTCCGGCAACATGAAGCCACTGCTGTCTGCTACAAGAGTCTCATGGCCGTGTTCTCCATTTCTCTCCTCCTGGCCTTTGTGAGATGGTGGTCATGTTAGAGACCTCACAGATGGGATCCATGCCTGCCTGGTCTGTCTCCTGTGTACAGCATCACCTGTCCTAGAACAGCCGGCACCCTGAGGGTGGAGACCTGGGCTGAGGCACAGAGGTAGCTTGTGTGGGAGGGAAACTTCTGGAAGGGGGATGTGATGGTTAATACTGAGTGTCAACTTGATTGGATTGAAGGATGCTAAGTATTGATCCTGGGTGTTTCTGAGAGGATGCTGCCAAAGGAGATGAACATTTGAGTCAGTGGGCTGGGGAAGGCAGACCCACCCTCAGTCTGGTGGGCACCATCTCATCAGCTGTCAGTGAATAAAAAGCAGGCAGAAAAATGTGAAAAAGCGAGATGGGCCTAGCCTCCCAGCCTACATCTTTCTCCTGTGCTGGATCCTTCCTGCCCTCGAACATCAGACTCCGAGTTCTTCAGTTTTGAGACTCAGATTGGGTCTCCTTGCTCCTCAGCTTGCACACAGCCTATTGTGATCCTGTAAGTTAATACTTAATAAACTCCCCTTTATATATGCCTATCCTATTAGTTCTGTCCCTGATTAATACAGGGGGGTAGAAAAGGCCCTAGTTGGGACCCGAGGAACTAGGGCTGGAAGCCAGCTCAGCCATGAACTGGCCATGTGCCTTGCGGGAACTTCTGCCCTTCTCTGAGCCTCAGCCTCCTTGCCCGTAACAAGTGACGTGACCCCTGGAAGCACCCCTGACCAACATTTACACTGGTGCCTGTGAGGGCTTTGGTTTTTGTGTGTTATCATCTGTGGGCAATTTTGAGTTCACCAAAGACTTTTCAGGTCTTCCTTTGCTTTCTAAAACGAATTCAAATTTAATTATGTCCATTTATTAAAAATCTTACTTTAGGGCCTGGCGCGGTGGCTCACACCTGTAATCCCAACACTTAGGGAGGCCAAGGTGGGTGGATCACCTGAGGTCGGGAGTTCGAGACCAGCCTGACCAACATGGGGAAACCCCATCTCTACTAAAAATACAAAAAGTAGCCGGACATGGTAGTGCCTGCCTGTAATTCCAGCTACTCGGGAGGCTGAGGCAGGAGAATCGCTTGAACCCAGGAGGCGGAGGTTGTGGTGAGCCAAGATTGTGCCATTACACTCCAGCCCGGGCAACAAGAGCGAAACTCCGTCTCAAAAAAAAAAGTGTACTTTAAAAGCTGCATTCTGCCTTCATTTTAAAAGTGTGACTTATAAACCTTATTATTCTATCTTTTAATAACCACCTATAAGGAGCCTGTGAATAATTCTTGGTCCATTCCTTAACTTAGCCAACTAAACACCTTCAAACATTGTTACTGCATTTATACATTTAATAGAACCACATTTATCCTTTAGTACCTTGTCTAACTTTAAAAAATCCTTCTGAATATGAACTGCTAGAAATGTAATCATTTAAATTCAGCATGTGATAAACTCAGAGTTCCAATAAAGTGATTCAATAGTTTATATGAATTCGGTAAGTTTTCCGCATAAATGCACTCTGCCAAATCAATTACTCAATTGGCCATTTTCTGTTGAAGTTATCCTGCACCCACTCCAATAGGCCAGATTCTCTTGATTATTGCAAGTACTTTAAATAGCATATTTTTTTAGATTTCTGAACACTAAAATATTAATATAATGTCTTTGGGCTTTTAAAGCCTTCTAGACTTAATTTTAAGTCATCTAGGTTTGAAAGATGCTTCTATTAGGAAGGACAAATAGCATGCAGTAAAGGAACCTGCCTAAGGACTCGGAATTTTGGCTGCTGGGGTTTCACTGGGCAGCTCTGGGGACCTGGCTCCTCTGCAGGTGACTTCAGGACTTTGAGGAAGATGCCCCCAAGCCATCTTTCTAGGTTCCATATCTGCATCTCCATGGAGCCTGTGTCTTCCCCAGGTTCATCCCTGGACCTCATCTGCATCTGGCATAGCCTTAATTAAGTCTTGAGAGGTCTGCCCTAAACACCACGGAACCCGAGGGGGGTCTTAACTAGTCATAGTCTCAGGACCACACATCTCCATGGGCATTGAAGGAAAATCCGATGGGATTTTGTTTCTCGCGTGGCTTTGCTGGGCTGGGGTCACAGTTTAAAATCCTTCTACTGATCTTGCCAAGGAAGAAGGCACCTCGGCATCCCGATGGCAGCAGGTGGCAGGGTGCGGTGGTGGTAGTGGGAGGTGCAGTGCTGGTTCCGTCTCTGGGGGCTTTAGGTATACGGCCTCTGGGGCCCCACCTGCTACTGTCTCTGTCTCTAACCTGGCTCAGTCCAAGGCGAGAGTGCACCTTCAGGCCAGCTCTTCTCCAAAAGGCGAACACAACCACTGAAGTAAGTCCACAGCCATCCTACAGGTGGGATGTCTGGCCTCAGGGCTCAGGGGGTTCCCTGGGCCCTAGGAGTGAAATTCACCTACTCTCATCCTCCCTACAGGCTAAGCCCCTGCATTCACACTCAAGGTCTCCCCTTCAGATGTGTACCTGGGTCATAGTCCCCCAGGCTCCCCACTCTTCTCTCCTTTCCCTCCTGTTCATGTGCCCCTGTGCTCTACATACTGCCCCAGGAAACAGTGGACACACACGCATTTTCCTCTCCTTTTCACCCTGGCAGCCTGCCTGGACCTCATAGTGGCAGTTTCCAAGCCTCCTGAGGAGAGTCCCAAGTCTGCTCATGATGTGGTGAGGGTTACTGTGTAAGGCCCACACCAGTGGCCCATGACCAGCCCTGGCCATGAGGACTCTAGGTATTCGGATAAGGGAGAGAGACCTCTTTGAAGCAGAACATCTTTAGCAAACCCTTCCTTGTTCCCCGTTCTCAGCTCATGGTGACATCTGCTCACCGCTGAACAAAGGTGGGAGGATGGGCCTGGGCTCTTTGCCCAAGGCCACAAGCAAGTCAGCCTGTTCCCTGGAAGGAGACCGTCCCCCTGCAGGGATGACAGTCGCCATGGGATCCCCAAGGGGCGGGGGGTAGGGAGCAGCCCTGGAGATGATCTCGCACCTCCTGCTGGCGTCACCAAGCCCGCGGAGAGGAAGCGGCTGTCACTCGGAAGATGAGAAATTGGAGTCTGAGGGAGGCTGGCTTCTCTAGCCCTATAAGAGGGCAGGCACCTTTTGAAGCAAAGACCAGAAGAGATGGAGCTGGACAGAGCTGTGGGGGTCCTGGGCGCTGCCACCCTGCTGCTCTCTTTCCTGGGCATGGCCTGGGCTCTCCAGGCGGCAGACACCTGTCCAGGTAAGGGCACTCCAGGGCCTCCTCCTGGAAACTTCTCGTCCCTGAAAGCTGGCAGCTTCGTGATTGGTGGCTTCCTGGCTTCCAGGCCTTGCACCAGGCCGTGTGGAGCATCGTCTAACGAGACAGCAGCTCTGCATGCCTCATCTTATGTGAACAAACGCAGAGGCCCCGAATGGATGTGGCATCTCAGAGACGGAGCTTCCTCTGCTTGCCCTCCCATAATGGAAACCGAGGCAGGTTTCCAGTCTCCCTGGGCCACATGTCCCCCTCTAAGCGTAAAAAGCGTAGTCATGGTGTTGTGTGGGGAGGTGAGGCTTGTGGTGCCAGCTGGGTAGACACCAGTCAGATATTCTGCCATGGTCGCCATCACAGAGAGACAGGGTGTGAGGTGGGGATAAGCACCCGGAAAGACAGGGTGTCAGGCGGGGATGAGCACTGCAGGACCTTTCCATCCAGGACCTGCTGGGCTCTGGAGATGGCAGTTCCCATGGTGTCCCTGATGCGGCACAATAAGGGTGGCATTGTCCCCGTGAGTTCTGGACCTCCTTCGGGGCTCCCGAGGGGACACTCGGGTGCCAAACCATGGGCTCCGGCGCATGCGAGGGCAGGTTGAAAATGCAGGTTCTGGAGTCAGGTCCTGACTCCGTCTACCCGGGGCTGGGATGCAGGGTCAGGAATTTGTGATGCTCCTGATGCTTGCAGAGATTCGTGTCAGGATTTCTGGAATGCATGTGAGACACAGAGCTCTGCGGTGTGCTGTGACTAGCATCGCATTCAAGGAGCAATCCGTGGCGTGAAGTGTGACACAGGCCAGGAACAGCGGGGATTCGCTTGGAAACTCCTAGTGGCTCGTTGTGGAGTGGTGGGGTTAGGGTGGCATTATTTTCTTCCTTAAATACTTCTAGAGTTTCTAAATGATCAAATAATAGCACGTGTTATTTTTGTAACACACTCACTTGAATTTGAGTTATCTAATTAAAAACAACAAGCTGCATTCCAGCTCTAGTTTCGCACCAACTTGTTCAGTGTCCTTGAAGGACGCCTCCCTCTGTGGAGGAACAAGGTGGACCCACAGGAGCCCATCCACTCTCAGATCTGCTCCAAGATCAGGCGTGGGAGTTGCAATGGTAGCCTCTCTCCCTGTGTCCTTCTCACCCGATATTGATTACAATGATATGATAGATGAGAACAGACGAGATTAGGATGCTGTCTTAAATGGTAGGAGCTGAAATGAACCTGCACCCCTCGGTAGGTAAGGGAACAGAGGCTCAGAGGGGTTAAGGGACTTGTTTCAGGACACACAGTACTGAGGAAGTAAGGTTTGCCTTCAGGCAGGGTAGCCTCCAAGGCCAGGGTTCTGCCCCAAATCACCTTTCTGCCTGACCAGTGCCCAAGAGGTGAGGACAGACCAAGTGCCCACCAGGGCAGGAAAACCTCCCTTCCAGGTGACCCTCCAGCTGAGGGAGGTGGCTGTGGCTATAGCCATCTGCCCAGTCCTGATGTCACCAAGATGGCAGATGCCTTTCAGTTGAGTGGTATATCTATGGCTCAGTGGAGTCTTCAGGCCCAGGTGACACTGAGTGGCCACCTGTGTTTTTCTGCAGAGGTGAAGATGGTGGGCCTGGAGGGCTCTGACAAGCTCACCATTCTCCGAGGCTGTCCGGGGCTGCCTGGGGCCCCTGGGCCCAAGGGAGAGGCAGGCACCAATGGAAAGAGAGGTAGGTGCAGGCATGGCTGGGGGCACTGGCTCTTGCTCTTTTTGAAACCAGATGCTGAGTTGGGCAACACCCCCACCATGGTTCCTAGATCGAGAGCTGGGTCAGGCCCCTGCAAGAGCCAGGAAAAGAACTGACTCCCAGGGCCCAACAGGGTTCTGACATGGAGGGAGCGTCTTTCTTAGCTATTTCATGAGCTCACATTTGGACATGCTTCTGTAGCTCTGTCTCCTAGTCCTTGATCCAATACCAGCTTTGCTCGGCCGCTGGCACGACTTCAAGCTCTGTGTCCCTCCACCTTCCCACCTCAACACGGAGGCCATGACACTCTTCTCCACCTGTCTCAGATGAGGAAACTGAGGCTCAGAGAGTCCAGGGATTTCGCTCTGTTCTCACACTTGGAAGGAAAAGAGCCGAGATTCTACCCATGGTCTCTGGATTTCCAGCTCCCGGCCCCTGAGTGAACAGGAGAGCCCCGTGAGGCCTGGGTCCTGGATCTAGAACCTTCTGGTGCAGGATGGGCAAGCCTGGGCGGGGCCACAGTCACGTCGTAGCACGAGCAGGGTCATGGTCATGATTGGAAATGACAGCCGCCAGCTCCAGGGTGGGCCCTTTGATCCTGGGCTGGGCAGTTTTCCTCAAGTCAGTGTCTTTGGAAATTGCAGGAGAACGTGGCCCCCCTGGACCTCCTGGGAAGGCAGGACCACCTGGGCCCAACGGTAAGGAGGGGACAAGAGTGAGAAGCGGCTTCAAGGCCCTTCCAGACCTGGCTGCAGAGGAACGTGAGGCGGGTCTTCTGGGGCTGCCACGCTGTCCTCGCCAGAGCCAACGCCTGCCCAGGCAGGGCTCTTGGGGCTTAGTCCAGGGCAGGGGTCTCAGTGTGGGGGAAGGGGTCTCAATGTGTGTGTGGGTTCTCAGTCTGGGGGAGTGGGGTTATCAGTGTGGGAGCTGGTCTCAATGTGTGTAGGGGGTCTCAGTTTGGGGGAGTGGGGTCATCAGTGTGGGGGCAGGGTTCTCAATGTCGGAGGAGGGGTTCTTGGTGGTGTAGGGAGAGGTTCTTGGGGTGTGTGTTGGGGGAGGGGTTCCCGGTGGGCAGGCTGTGGGGAGGTGTTATCAGCAGGGAGGGAGGAGCTGTCAATATGGGGGAGAGATTCTGGGATGGGGGAGAGGTTCTGATTATTCGGGGAGGGACTTTTAGTGTGGGGAGGGGTTCTTAGTGGGGGGGCTGTCTGTATGGGGGGGTTCTCAGGTAGGGGAAGGTTTTCAGTGCAGGAGCATCTGCCCTGTGGGTGGGCCTGAGACCAAATCCTGTCCCTCTAATGTGGAAGTGGTCTTGAGAGGGTGGGGGGGGATTGTCTGCCCACCTCTCTAAGCCTCACTCAGTCCTGGCCTCTGTCCCCTGAGCATGAGGCCCTGTCTTGTCCCCTCCTCCTGACTCTGCTTGAAAACCAGGATCAGCCCCGGATGGCTTGGAGAACCATGCCAACAAGTTCCAAACACAGAATTAGTGGAAATTCTCTGCTTTAAAACAAAGAATTTTCTGATATATTTTCTTGAGGAATAAATTTTGAGGAATCGGAGAAATACGCAGTAGGAAATTGAAGCTCCCTTTACTCACTCACCTTTACCCACAGACCTACTCAGAATAAGACCACCCTACACTCACCAAACCCCAGGCTCAGTCATGGGTTGTGTCTAAACATAAAATACGCAGGTTTGGTGCCCACACCGCAAACAACACTCCCCACATCATATTACTGTGTCCACCAAGATGGGCTGTTTGCAGGCCTTGGGGCCTCAGGAGAAGCCTGAAGATCCAGGCTTCCTTTAGTTGGCATGTGGAGGCCTCAGCAGTCTCTGGGATGGTGGCCTCTGCTTCCCCAGGAACCTCTGAAAGGGGTGCATGTGGTGGAGGGGCCAGTGTAGGCATCCCTCGAGGGAAAGAAAAATTTGGTCAACAGAACCAGGGTCAGGGACTCCTTGGCTGGACCCATACCATCACCTCCTGGGGAGGCCCAGAAAATGGTGTCCGCGGACCAATGGGGGCTGAAGGGCTCTGATTTCCAAACTGTGACACGTGTGTCCTCTCTCATCCATGAACAGGAGCACCTGGGGAGCCCCAGCCGTGCCTGACAGGTGACTGACCACCCCCACACTCCTCCCACGGCTTGTGGCTGCCCTTGGCTGGAAGTCCAGGGTCATACGACGCCATTGCCAGAATGAAGTGACAAATATGAACAGAAGAAAATGGTTGCTTGCCCGTTTCCTTGTCCCCTAATTATTCAAGGAAGTGACAAATATTGTCCAGACAACTTACATACACTCCATGGCAATTTTTTTCTATTTATAATCTACGCCAGAAGGCCGGGTGCCCAGGAGCTGAAGGTGGGGGTGACACTGGGAGGTGGGAGGGCCAGGCCAACTGGCTGCGGCCATCACAGCTGCGTGGCCCTGGGGGCCGTGTCCCTGTCCAGGCCTCAGAGTCCCGCTCTGTTCATACAGACGCCTATGGCCCTGCTTCTTCCTCCCAGGCCTCCCTCCTACTGCCTGTGCCCTGCCCAGGGCTCCTGTCCTGCAGCCATTCCCCGGGTTCCCTTCCCAGGCCCGCGTACCTGCAAGGACCTGCTAGACCGAGGGCACTTCCTGAGCGGCTGGCACACCATCTACCTGCCCGACTGCCGGCCCCTGACTGTGCTCTGTGACATGGACACGGACGGAGGGGGCTGGACCGTGAGTGTGGGGCTGGGCAGAGGCGGTCAGCCTGGGAGTCCCGGAGGCCAGGCTGCACACCTGGTGGGAGAACACACTCTGGAATTCTCTATTCTCCTGGTCGGGGACAGTCAGAGATGATGGGGGAGATGACCGGTGGGTAAAAGTCCAGGCCTTTGGGGGAGGCTGGGAGAGGTTGGGTGCTCTCCTGCTGTGTGGCTTGGGGCTTGTTGCCTCCCCTCTCTGAGCCCCCATTTCCTCCTTCATCCTGTGGAGTCTGTGAGGAGAACAGGTGGGCGTGCTGGTGACCCCGCCTGTGATGCTCTGCCAACTACAAATGCTGCTCCTCTGGAGGGCGGGTCCCCCGTGCTGTGGGACGTCGGCCTGGCCCCCCCGGCTCCTGTCCCCTGGCTTCTCCACAGGTTTTCCAGCGGAGGGTGGATGGCTCTGTGGACTTCTACCGGGACTGGGCCACGTACAAGCAGGGCTTCGGCAGTCGGCTGGGGGAGTTCTGGCTGGGGAATGACAACATCCACGCCCTGACCGCCCAGGGTAGGGCCGCTGCTGGGGCTTGGGGGTCGGGGGCCCTGAATGGGGGTGCCCCTGCCTCTTGGGCCTGGGCTGCCTGGAACACAAGAGCCTCTTGGCCCACAGGGGATTGGGCCCTGAGCACACTCAGGGTGGCACTGGGACCTCCGAGGGCTTCGTCCCTGCTGCAGGCTCTGGCAGCATCGGGACGGGAGAGGGTCAGAGCTCTGGGATGAAGGCCTCTTCAGGTCTTGGCCCCACTGGCATCTCAGGTCCTGAGAGGGGAAGGAGGGACACAGTGGCCCCATAGTGGAGTTTGGGCCCAACCCCAACTCTGCCTCTAATCCGCTAGGATTTGGGAGTCAAGAGTCTTGCCCTGCTGCTCAGCACACCCTGCCGGGTCAGAGCTACACAGGCCCCGGGGATGCTGCGGTGCTCTCCGCCCTCTGCCTCCATGGAGTCCAGACCTCCTTCCAGGCCCTGCCCCAGATCCCCAGCTCCCATGTCTAAAGGTAGAGAGCCCTTCCGCTGAGACCCTGAAACCTTTCTCTAACAGGAACCAGCGAGCTCCGTGTAGACCTGGTGGACTTTGAGGACAACTACCAGTTTGCTAAGTACAGATCATTCAAGGTGGCCGACGAGGCGGAGAAGTACAATCTGGTCCTGGGGGCCTTCGTGGAGGGCAGTGCGGGTGAGTGTCTGCTTGGGGCTGTGTGGCCTGGGCTTCTGAGGGGGGTTTGGGAAGTGGAGAGAGCGTGCTCAGTGTCCTGGTAGCCTTGTGGAAGAGGCCTCACCTCTCTGAGCCAATTCGTCCATCTCTACATGCAGACACTAACATCTGTGCTCTGTGTAGCATGGGGGTCATGGGACACATCAGTGTATGACTGCAGAAATCCCAGCAAGGGCATCTGGTAGGAAGGAAGTCTCTGCAGAGCAGGGACCTATGCACGGTGACAGCAGCTGATATCTCTGCGGGGCATGGCTGGAAGGGGTCTGCCATGATGGAATCCAGAGTAGAGAATGATGATCCTGACCCCTGCCTCCTGTTCTTCTGTGAAATAAACATAGTACACATTAGGTGGCAGGGCTAGACCTAAAGACAATTTGCCAAGACCACTGCCAACAGCAGGGCAGTATTCACTGGAGTCATGGATTGCACTTCTTGGATTGTGCAGTGCACAACCTGCCTAACCATACATGGAGGACACACCAGGCCAGGCCTCAGGTATAAAGACTTATACTGTCTGTAATGATGTTACTGCCTGTAACGATGCTCACATTTCCTCCTGCACAGGAGATTCCCTGACGTTCCACAACAACCAGTCCTTCTCCACCAAAGACCAGGACAATGATCTTAACACCGGAAATTGTGCTGTGATGTTTCAGGGAGCTTGGTGGTACAAAAACTGCCATGTGTCAAACCTGAATGGTCGCTACCTCAGGGGGACTCATGGCAGCTTTGCAAATGGCATCAACTGGAAGTCGGGGAAAGGATACAATTATAGCTACAAGGTGTCAGAGATGAAGGTGCGACCTGCCTAGCCCAGGCCGGCCTCAGGGTCAGGACGCCTCCACACATAGTTGGTTGGGGGGTAGGGTTGGGAGCTTGGCCCTACGGTTTGTAAAAGAAACACATGTCGTGATTCTAAATTGGGTTTGTCTTGCTGTGCGGAAGAGGTTCAAATCCAGCTCTGTTTCCGCAATCAACCCTTTCAGATTTGTGACATTAACTCACCTCAAACCTCTGTCTTTCCTTGACAATGAGTAAGAATGTGTTCCTGACCATGCCAGCAGGAACCTTCCTTAAGGACAAATACAAGACTTTGAAGCTGCGATGGGCTCAGAGTGCAGCCCTGCTCAGGTCCCTGGGCAGGCTAAACGCCTTCCTGGGGCTCGACCATCTGGGCTTCTCTGTGAGCTGGATGGCAGGGAAGTCAGAAGGCACATTGGAGAGGAAGTTTCTCTTGCACTCAGAGATGCCGTTGCCTGTCCAAGGCCCCCAGCCTCGTAGCCGCAGCTCTGCTCACTCTCCCCCGTCACCCAGGCTTCCTGCCGCCTGCTGTCCTGGGTATTCGTGGGATCTGCTCGCTACTTCCTCACAAGCCGAAGCAAGAGTGGCAGTGTGCCTGTGACTCCCTCATCAAAACGGAGAGAGTGGTTACATGAGGCAGGTGTGAGGGACCCGAGCACTCCTGAGGAGGGAAGAACACTCCTCTTGGCCATGAGTGTCCATCCCAAAGCTGCCCTGCAGCCTAGCCCAGTGCAGATTGAATCAGAAAGCCAAAGCCCCTTCCACCCGCTTCTCTCAGGCAAGCTGCCTGCAAGAGAGAAAAGTGTATTAGTGCAGGAGCTTGTGTCTGCTGAGGATGGCACCTGGCCCTCTCCTCTCACCACGTCCGGGTCCTCCTGAGGACCGGTCCCCTGTCCCCGGTCCCCAGCCAGCTCAGCCTGACCAGGCTTTTAGAGGCTCCGCACCCCAGCATCGGCCAGTGCTGACCCTTGTACGGCTGTTTGGGTCCCCGATCACTCTCATAACAGCCCTGCCCTTGTCCTATACCCTCTACTCAGAGAGGATCCAGAAGGGTCCAAGGAGGCCATGATCCCTCCCTGAGCTTTTTCACGCGGGCCCCCTCCTTCCCCTACGAGGGTCCGTCCTGGGTCTTAGCTGGTCTAAGCCCTACACAAGTCATGGAGAGGGCTGTGTGTCTGGGACTTCTCGGGGGAGAGTGCACTGTTTCCTCTGAGTTCCTGGAGGGGGTGCGCCATGAAGATCAGGACACAGCCATCTTCACCTTCCCTCCTCACTCTGGGTCCGAGGCCTGGGATGAGCCAGGACAGCGGGAAGCAGGGATGGCCCTGGGCGTGGCACTTCCTTCCTTCCTGGGCCCGCAGGAGGGGGCCACACCACCCACCCAGGGGGCTGACCCGTCCTCAGGACAGAAACTAGCAAGCTGTCAAACCTGAGGGTTTATAACTAAATGACGGGGTGCTGCCCCTGGAAATTACACCCAGACATCTCTTTTCTCGTAGACCTGGGTCCCTAGCTTTTAGACAGGATGACAAATCACTGACAGGTGCTGACTTTACATGCACTGTGGCCTCACGCTTCAGCCATTCACTGCCAGGCAGTCTTCTAGGGCAGCAAAGAGCTCAGCCACACAGCCCGGGCCACTGTCAGGATGAGACCTGGCGTCAGACCTCCTCTCAGCGCCGCTTACCCCCCATTCTGGGCATTTCAATCTCCAACAGGAGATTTAAATGAAGAAAACACGCACCTCACACAGCTGTAAAGGGAGGAACTGGGAATTTCTCCCAAATCTTGACCCTTGAGTTCTAGAAATGGGGTTCTCCCTGGAATGCATGATGGCATTATTCTGGAAGGCAAAAATAAAGCTATTTAATATAGAAATGTTTTTAGCCTGACAAGCCAGAGATTTTTAAAAATATTGTTTTTTTAAATTTTCTTAATTGAGAGATGAGCTAAAAAGTAACTTTTTCTAAATATTTAATGTAGCTTTGCTATACTTTATAAATACTGTCAAGCTTTGGGGGGGTTTGTTGGGATAAGAAAATGTACTTATAAAAATGCAGTCAGTATGTCAGGAGGCTGGCGTAATTAACACAGCACAGGGAGGTCATGGAGGCTTGTGTAATTAACCTAACATAACATAAATGTATTTGCATGACACGTGCATCGCATGTGCATACGTGTGTGTGTGTGTGCACCTGCGGGGCCTCTGGGAGGTGTAACTGAGGCAGGCATCGGAAGGGCTCTGTAGGACCAGCTGGTACTGGGTGGGCACCTGGGAGCCACAGGTGCCTGCTTCTCCCATCCCCTGAAAGACTTGGCTCCTTCAGGCCACCAGTGCTGCCTCAGGGTGTCTGGCTCCCCTCCAGAGCAGGGGGCTGAGCCAGGTTGGAGCCTAGGCCAAGGCCAAGAGTGTCCCCAGGGCTGGGCTGTCCCTGTCCCTCTGCTGGGGACCGCTGCCTCCCTTCCTGCTCTTCAGAGGTCTCAGGCCTCTGCTGTCGGGAGGGCTGGAAGAAGGGGCAGCAGCTGGCAGGGGGCCTGTGCCCACTAGACCCTAGATTCTTAACTGTAACTGTGGTTTCTGTGGCCAGGCTGGGGGTGACAGAGGCATTCAAGCCAGACTCCATCTTGAATAGGGGCTGGGTGAAATGAGGCTGAGGCCTGCTGTGCTGCAGTCCCAGGAGGTTAGGCATTCTTAGTCATAGGAGGTTGGCAGGACGGGTATCACAAAATACAGGTCAGGATGCGGTAAAGAAGACGGCCAAATCCCACCAAAACCAAGACAGTGACAAAAGTGACTTCTGGTCGTCCTCACTGCTCACTATATGCTAATTATAATGCGTTAGCATGTTGAAGGACACTCCCACGACAGTTTGCAAACACCATGGCAACTTCCGGAACTTACTATGTATGGTCTAAAAAAGGGAGGGACCCTCAGTTCCCTGCCCCTTTCTTGGAAAACTCATGAAAGATCCACCCCTTGTTTAGTATGTAATCAAGAAATAAGTATAAAAATAGCCAGTTAGCAGTCCTCAGAGCTTCTCTGCCTATGGAGTAGTCATTCTTTTGTTTCTTTACTTCTTTAATAAAGTGGCTTTTACTTTATGAACTCGCCCCAAATGCTTTCTTGTGAGAGGTCCAAGAACCCTCTCTTGGGGTCTGGATAAGGATGCTTATTTTCCCCAAAGCTGTGAAGCCTTGCTTTGGCTGGAGTAACTGACATTGAAACCGCCACTGTAAAATTATGACTGAGACAATGAAAGAGATCTGACTTAACCAACTCCATCTTGCTTCTAACCTCCAAGCTGTGCTTGTTCATTCCTAGGCATAGGCTGAACTAACTTTGGGAGGAACTTAGTTTATAGTTCAAAACAAAGATGATAATAGCCCTTTCCCAAAACCTCCTTCTTGCCTGAGGACTAGACTCCTTTTGTAGGACAAATTAGCCACAAGATTAGAAATTATGGTTTAGGAGTCATGCAGCTGAAGGCTACACGATTCTGACCCTCTCTCAACTGCTCCTGAAGTCAGTACTTGGGATATTTTGCAGACCTTGCACTTGATGGATCAGCTGGCACCACCCAGCTCAATAAACTGGCTCGTCTGATCTTGTGGCCCCCACCTAGGAACTGACTCAGTGCAAGAAGACAATTCTGACTCCCTGTGATTTCATCTCTGACCAATCAGTATGTCCAGCTCTTTGGCTTCCCCCCAACCCTGACCAATCAGCACTCCTGGCTCATTCGCTTCCCCCCAACTCACCAAGTTGTCCTTAAACACTCTGATCCCTGAATGCTCGGGTAGACTGATTTGGTAATAATGAAACTCTAGTCCAGTATCCTGCACGGCGGCTCTGCGTAAATTACTCTTTCTCGATTGCAATTCTCCTGTCTTGATAAATTGGCTCTGTCTGGGCAGCAGGCAAGCTGAACCCACTGGGTGGTTGCAACATCAGGAAGTCCCCGTCCTTAGGATGAGAAAGGAGCCCGCCCTGCAGGGCTGGAACCCCATGTATCAGGAAGGTGAAGCAGTGTACTCAGAAAGCTCCTCTGCAGGAGAGAGGGCCATTTAACAAATCTAGGCCCAGGGCAGTCCTCCACCTCTGAGGACTCTCCCCATGAAGGTGTGATGCTCTCTGGGAATGGGAGCACAACTTGACCCTTCCCTGGGATCCTCATTCTCCACCCTGCCCCTGCTACACCTTTTCCAGACCTCATTCTCACTCGCCTTCACCTCTCCAGAATCTGATGTGCTTTCTGGTTTTGTCTTCCCTGTGCTCTGCCTTCCGAGCAGTAGCGGGTGCTCTGTGGAACCCTAGGACCCTTCCATCCTGCCCTTGGGCTCTCAGCCCTTGGGCGATGGATTTGCTGCAGCCTGATCCCCACCCCCTCTTCCTGTCCAGTCTTCAGGAGGAACTGACCGAGCATGGGGCTCTGTGAGGCCTCCTGGCCTTGGTGTCAGTGGCCCTGCCTGGGGCCCTTTGGTCCCTGGTCCTGTTCAGCTGCCTGTACGTGTTTATGGAGACATTGGCCACGTGGCACTATGTGTGGCTTGTGCTCCCAGGCAGGGTCTCAGAGTAGAACTTGCCTCCTTCAAAAGCAAAGTCTCTTCATTTCAGCTGTGAAGTGCAGTGGCATTTTGCCCTCACAGACCTGGGCTGTGTGGCCTTGATCTGTGACCTGACCTCTCTGAATCTTCCTTCTCGTGTAACATGGGATGGCAGGGTGGATTTGAAGGCCCCGGGGAGTAAGAAGAATGTGCTCCCACACTGGGTTTGCAATGTGCTGAAGGGCCAGGAAGCGTAGCACAGCATCACACACCCGGCCCAGCTGCCAGTCCTCCTCCTAGGGCACCCCCTGCCCAGCTGACAGCCCTTGCCCGTGAGGCCTCCCCTTCTGTTCGGGCCTTTCCCTGGGCGCAGGAGCCCTTGGCTATAGGTCTTTGTTGTGGGCTCCAGCCCTGCCTAGCCCTGCCTGGCCTGCCCCTACACCTCCTGTCACCTGCCTGTCTCCTTGGGCTGAGAGTCCAGGCTGTTCTGTTGAGGGTGTTGGGAGCTGTGCCTTGGCATAGGGGTGGCGGGCAGGGATTGACTCTGTTGTGTATCCAGACCTGGGAGAGGAGGATGGAGCCACCTGCTGTGGGCCAGGCTCCAGCAAAGGCCTCCCTCACCTGCTGCCCACACTAGCCAGGGCGGGCTCCCTGGGGTCAGAGCAGAGGCCAGGCTGTCTGCCTTTATTGCCTTCAGAATCTGCTTGAGGGAGAACTGGCTCTCTTCTCTCTCTCCTGGCCTGAGGGACACTGTCTCCCTCCAATAAGCTGATGGTTGGGAGCTGTGACTGATAGGCACCCAAACCCTGAAACCAGGTGTTCTTGCCTCCATTGACCCAAACCCCCGTGTCCCCTGCCCCTTCCCTACCCCTCACCATGGGTTTCTGAGTTCTTCCAATGACTCCATGCCTTAAGTGCAATTTATAAAAAAAAGAACTGGGAAAGGGCCGTCTTGTGGATTCCAGGCTCAGCTGGCTCTAGGCAGAGCGTAATGTTGCTCACCAAAGGTAGGATGTGGTTTTAGGCTGCATTCACAAAGGCCTGACATCTAGAACAAGGAAGATGCCACACTCGCCTCTGCATAGGTCACTCCCCACCTGTGCCCTGGGTTCTGAGTTTTGCACTTTACAGCAACCAAGATGGAAACACTGCTGGGGAATGGGAGTGGAGAGCTGGAAAGAGCATTCTGGGAAGTGGCCGAAGGCAAGCAGGGAGTAACAGGCAGAAAACATGGCCTGCTGCAGAGCATGAACTGTGCATTTTGGGAGGTGACCCCACGCTAGGAGGACATCACTGTTCCAGGCTCCTGGGCACTCAGGGCCCCTCGCATCTCTTTGTCCCCAGCCTCTCTGGGTGTCTGTTCTTGTCCCTTTATTCCTCTGCGTCCTAGGCTTCTTTCCTCTCCCAGTAGCCTGTAGTCAGAAAGAGTGGGGTGGCCAACTTGTGCCAGTGAGCCTGGGCCTGCCCAGTTTTAGCACTGAGCATCCATCTCCTGGAAAAGCCCTAGCCACCAGGATGGTCGGTTGTCCTAAGAGGAGTCTCAGTGGCCCCAGTCAGATGCAACAGGTAAAAAATCCCCAAAACCACTGGGCACAGTGGCTCATGCCTGTAATCCCAGCACTTTGGGAGGCCGAGGAGGGTAGATCACAAGGTCAGGAGATCGAGACCATCCTGGCTAACACGGTGAAACCCCGTCTCTACTAAAAAAATACACACAAAAATTAGCTGGGTGTGGTGGCGGGTGCCTGTAGTCCCAGCTACTTGGGAGGCTGAGGCAGAAGAATGGCGTGAACCTGGGAGGTGGAGCTTGCAGTGAGCCGAGATCGCACCACTGCACTCCAGCCTGGGTGACAGAGCAAGACTCCATCTCAAAAAAAAAAAAAAAAAAAATCCCCAAAACACTGCATGCCCTATCCTCAAAGTCAGGAAGACACAGAGTTCAGGACACCTGCCCCACTGACCTTCACCTTCTCTTTTCTTCACTAGAATGACACTAATCACTTAGTGAAGAAAGACTAAGCCAAGCCCTTCTCCCACTACCCCCATGGAACATCTGCTGGGTGCACAGCCCTCTCTGGAGTACAAGGCAGTGAATTCCTGCTCTGAAGGAGCCTGCCCTCTCACCAGGAGAACGAGGCCTTTTCCAATAGCATCAGACAAACGGCCTAAATGGAAGACTCAAAGCAGTGGCTCCAGTGAGTCCTGTCCTGTTTCTTTCTTCCAGGCTCAGCCTGAAGTTCTCCTGAATCCTTATAGGAGCCAGAACTCCCCAGTTACTCTCTCACTGCCTGTCTGACCTGAGAGAGAGTTAGGAGGCGGGACGTGACTCTGGAGGCAGGGATTGGACACTGGATCAGATGAGGACTAGCTGAAACAGGGCCAAGGTGAAAGCAGCTTTCAATAAGACACACCCACCCATGTGCCATGTCAGTTTACCATTGCCCACGGCAACACCCAGAAGTTACCACCCCTTTCCATGGCAATGACTTGATGACCCAGAAGTCACCACTCTTTTCCTAGAAATTTCTGTATAAACCACCTTTAATTTGCATTTAGTTAAAAGTGGGTATAAGTATGTCTGCAGAACTGCCTCTGAGCTGCTGCTCTGGGCACACTGCCTATGGGGAGCCCTGCTCTGCAAGGAGGGTAACTTGGCTACTGCTGTACATGGCCGCTTCAATAGAAGTTGCTGTTTGATGCCACCAGCTCACCCTTAAATTCTTTCCTGGGTGAAGCCAAGAACCCTCCTGGGCTAAGCCCCAATTTGGGGCTCACCTACCCTGCATCAGGTGGATGTCCAGATTTAAGTGCAAATACAGACAATTCACATTCCAATCCATACACAAATGGCAAACCCTTGGGGAAGATGGCTGCATCGTTACCGTACGTGCTCCCATCACTCCAGGAGAATTTCTCATTATTGTTTATAAAAGGCATGCCTTGTGGCATTGAGACAGACATAGTGTTATATGTTCACTAAGCCTGTTTTTCCCCCTCCTGAGGGTACAAGAAGGCTGCTTTTCTAAACCTCTCTTGCAGTTAGATGAGACTATATGATGGAGATTTAGTCAATGGGATGTTCACAGAGATTATGCAGACCCCTTTCTAAACTGGCCCCCCAAACCTTCTGTCCCATGTCCTGGTGAGGAACCCCAAAGCCCTCTGTAAACCTGCATTGCACTGCATGGGCCCTGCATTGCAGCACAAGGGGAAATGATGACACTGTGATCCTGAGGGGTTGTTTGTTATAGCAGCTATTTGTGCTTACACTGACTCATGCAGAGATTGGTACCAGAAGTGCAAGAGCGTGGCAACAGACACCTAAAATCCAAGGCACTGGCCTAGCAGCCACATGGTGGGTGGAGGGCTGCAGAGTTTTGTTTGATGAACATGTTGTCTTCAATAACTTGGAAGGCAGTTCCTTGGAACGTCTCTTCCAGCCCCAGGGGATCGACTTGAAAAACAGAACTTTCAGTGTGTGTTTATTTTTATTGGCTGTCTGACTAGGTGTTACAAGAGAAAGAAGAGTTTAGAAAAGAAATTAGCAAGCAGGAAAAAAAATGGATTAAAGAGACTAGGAATTGGAAATCTCGCAGAGTTGGAAAATGCCTGAACATTGTTAGACTCCAAACAGTACGAGATGAGGTTTTAAAAGCACTAGGGTAAGAAGGATCAATGGAATACGTTGTTTTGAACAGAGTGACTCAAAATTGTAGTAAAGATCCTTCCTGCCCAAGCCTGAAAACTTTAAGAAAGACTTCCTTAAGATGAGAGATACAGGGAGGCATGGGGATAAATTGGCAAAGAAGTGCATCAAATCTGAATGAAATATGAGCCAAATTTCTATCTCAGGAAAGAAGATGCCCAGAAGAAATCTGGTTTTTTAAATCACTGCAGGAGTGATTCTTGTCACCATGTCCTGCCCTGGACTATGACCTGGGCAAGAAACAAACTTGCATTGTGTATCAGCCCTGAGATATTAAGATTGCCTGTTAAAATAGCTGCTGTTTCTTATCTTTACAAAGAGGTGGCCCAGGCGAGGAGAGGAGAAACCTGCATTCTCCTCCTGGTTCAAAAACTTACTCTGGGCTTTGTGCCAAGTTGGCCTCCTACTGATTTCTTTAGCTGCACTTGAGCTACTCAGTTTGGTTTTCATTGCCACTGTGACTCATCAGCCAGAGGCCATATGGGTGGGGGGCAGCCAGTTATCTGATTCCTGCAGCTTTACAGGAGGCTGGAAGCCCACCCGCCCACCCCAAGATGTGGCAGAAGTCCCAGTCGGGAAGCCAGCAGAGCCAAGGACAATCTGGATATGTCCATCTGTCCCAAGGTAGCAAACGGGCCCTCCCAGAGCCCTGTGCCTTCCATGACGGCATGGGTGTTCTACAATTTCATTGGGGTTGAAACATGAATCATCAAATCTGAGAACTGGAAATTAAGGGGCAGCTGCTCTGGGTGATCTTACCACCCAGAACTCAAGTCAGTGCCTCTGTAGCTCCCAGCAGACCCACAGGCACAAGAAGCTCACTACTGGCATGAGCAGCCACCAGATCAGTGTGGCCTGGGATGGTGGTGACTGACATTGGAAGGTCTTCCTCTTGTCAAATGCAGTTCTGCTTCTCCATAAAAGCTAATCTTCAAAGTGGGCCAAGTGACCTGTATGGCGGGAAGTCCAAGGTTGTTTACCCCGTACCGTCGGGAAGGGCCTCTACTGGGCTGATGGCCAAGACATGTGAGTCAAGGACAGAACGCACATCCAAAAACAAAAACAAAACCTGGAGCGGCCATCACGTATCCAGCATGCTTGGCTCTGATGAATGCTTGGCTCGGCTGATACCTACCTGGCTTCCCAGCTCCTGTTTCTCTGGGCTGTGCGAGCCTGGATTCTAATTGAAACCCATTTGCGTTAATTCGTTTATCTCTCTTTTCCCTTCCAGGATTGCTGTCTTCTTTAATATGAGTTTGCTCTGATGAGCCAGAAGATCTCCGGGTTTTGTTCGCTTGCACTAAAACCTTCTACTCGGCTCTCTGAAACTAGCACGCTAGTGGTTCCTCAACCTAACTGTCCGTCGGAGCCACCTGGGGAGGCTCTGAAAAATACAGATTCAGGGGCCCCATCCCAGACTTTTAGAACCAAAATCTCAGTGGGTGATGCCTAGAGCCCTCCCTCTTCTCCGCTGATGAGCTGTGGTAGGAAGTCACACAGCAGCACATCAAACAGAGATGACAAGTCAGCCTGCCTCCCACTCCATCTCCAGCCTTCTGTGGGCCATGTGTCCCCAGGCCCCCCACCCATCCCTCAGAATAAAGGTGAGAGAGATCCAAATCAAAAGCAAGTTGAAATGTTTTTAAAACATGCAATAAGGATCAAATTAATTACAGTGAATATTTACATGCCTTAGATAGATTGTTTTATGGGGATGTGGTATTATGACTTGAATCTGTTTCATAAGTGTCACTTATGACACTACGTGAACTTAAAGAAAAGCTTGTACCCTTTGAATCAATAAGCTTACCAGAGAACTTACTCTTGGAAAAAAAATGCAACGTAAGAGAAAAAAGCGTGTACATAAACGTGTTAATTACTGGCTAGGATATCAGTATTCAACGATAAGAGGAAACACTGGATAGATTATAAGTGTTCAACAATAAGAGGATGTCCATTTCCTCCAGTGAGTATTAAATGGCCATTTAAAAAAATGCTCAATGTGCAAGCTCTAGTGACCTGGAAACCTAAGTGTAAAATTAGATCATAGAACTGGAAGTGCCGACTTCTACTTCCAGTAATAATGGGTTAGAAAACAAGGCCAAACTTCCTTCTGAAATCAAAAAAGCTGGGCAAATTTCAGAGATACTCTTCTTAAGCACTAAAGATGATCAGAGTAATGAGGAATTACCAGAATAAGATTCGGCAGAAATAGAAACTCAGAGTGGAGTATCTGTGAGTATCTTTGTCTGGGGTCATTCACCAATCAGAGAGAAGCTTTCAAGTCTGTGTGGGAGTTTTGTCAACTCAGCAGGCTGAAGGGGACCAGGGTACATGTTTAGAGCCTGCCAAGAATGGAGTTTCAGGTTAAGGAACCTGCACTTTAGCCTGACAACTATGTACATGTGCATCCCAGAGGTAAGGATCACCTGCAAGTAAACCAGCTCTCCCCCAAAATTGCAAACTGATTTTAAGTCATATGGGTGCACAGACCATCTCTGGCAATGGCACTGGTTATTAACTTCCAGAACATGCCTGGAGAAGCAAATGAAACCTGTGTTGGAGGAAGACAAAGTATTGCTAGGTTTCAAGTGATCTACATCAACACTTAAAAAACAAAGTTCATAATTTCTATAGCAGTCAAGGTGGCTGTGTTAGTATTCTACTCATGCACAGCAAATTACCACAAACGGCACCCATTTATTAACTCACAGTTCTATGGATCAGGGGTCTGAGTGGGCTCAGCAAGCAAGGTCCTCTGGTTAGAGTCTCACAAAGCTGAAGTCAAGGTGTAAGCCAAGCCTTATGCTCAGCTGGAGATTTGGGGGAGAAGCAGCTTCCAGGGCCATTCAGGTTGTTGTCAGAATCCAGTTCCGTGTGGTTTTAGGAGTAAGGTTCCCATTTTCTTGCTGGCTGTCAGCTGGGAGCTGCTGTCAGCTATTGGAGGCCACTCTCAGGTTCTTTCTAAATGAACCTCCATCTTCAAAGCTTGCAAAAGTGTGTCAAATCACCCTCATGCTGCAAATCTGTCTGACTCCTCTTTTGCTACCTGCCAGAGAAAACTCTCTGCATTTAAAGGACTGTCATGATTAGATTAGGCCCACCCTGATAATCCCTTTTTTAATTAACTCAATGTCAGCTAATTAGCCATCTTAATAGCATCTCAAAATCGCTTTTGTAATGTAACATAACATGATCACTGGCATGATAGCCTGTATTTATAGCACTGGGAATTAGAGCAGAAAATCTTTGGGGTTGAGTTGCATTTTTGAATGATGCTTCCCACAATGGAGTGAGCCCACTGCAGCACGTCAGACATTGAACAAAACACAAATACCTGATGATTTGAAAAGTAACAAAGACAGATTGGAGAGAGAACACAACATTTGTGTAAATAACCTACACAGGGAAAGCGAAACAGAAGTTGCAATCTAAACTTAATTAGGTGCACTGCCTGCTGAAACAACAACAAAGTCAACATTTTCCCAGAAGATGTTTAAAGAATCTCATAACATAATATTCAAAATGTCCTGGCTACATCCAAAATTGCACAAGGGATGTAAAGAACCAGGAAAACATAGACAATTCTGAAGGAAAAAGGCAATCGACATTCACTAATCCTGATATGACCAAGTGCTAGAAGTATTGAAGACTTTAAGGCAGCTATTATAATCATGCTGTAAGGAGTAAGTGCTAACACTCCTGAAGTTAATGGAAAGCTAGACAGTCTCATCAAAGAACTAGAAGCTACAAAATAAATCACATGAAAACTTTAGAACTGAAAAATGTAACAATAGAAATAGCATTTCCCTAGATAGAATCAATACAAGAATGGAGATAACGGAAGAGCCAGTGAACTTGAAGACAGGTCAATAAAAGTCTTCCATTTTGAACAATGGAGAGAAAACGCATTGGGAAAAATAGAGACTTCTGGTTTTGGTAATATGGAGTAGACATACTTTTACCCTATTCCACTCAATAAATGTAACAGATATCCCTGACCTGAAGAAGCTGATAACCTGAAAATACCAAAAGGCACAGATAAAAAAAAAAAAAAAAAGAAGGCCAGTAAAAACCTGCTCTCTCTATCCAAAGGCTCAGGAAGAAGACAGTCCAGCAAGACAGAAAACTTTAGACAATAATTGCTCTATTCCAGTCAAACGCTGGAGGTGACCCATCTCCTCCCCTACAAGCAAAGGCTAGGTAGAGAGCTTAGATTTCCACCTTCATTGAGCTGTAATGAGGCATCCCAGCACCCTCTAGTGCTGGATGGGTTGGTATCAGAAAAGGCACTTTCATCTCCTCTGTGCACAAGCAGTAACAAGTCCCCTCTACTCCTGCAGTGTCAGTGGAGTCTACATGGGGAAACTAGACTTCCACCCCAACCCAGCAGTTATGAGTTGCTCAGCTCTTTCCCCACTGGCTGGTATCAGAGAGGCCTAGTGGAGATTCAGAACTTTCACCATCTCCCAGTAGCAGTGAGTCCACCCCTCCCCTTGTGGTGCCAGTAAAGCCCTCATGGAGAACAGAAAGGAGACACACAACCCTCCTACGCACAGAGGTACCAGGGAAGGTCTCCTGAGGAGCTGGATCTCCTACTCCCACCCAGCAGTAAGGAGGAGTCCTAACATTTCAATAATTACATAAAAGTAAATGGCCTAAATGAACCAATTAAAAGAGAGAGAGATTGTCAGAGTGTATTTAAAAGCCTGACTAAGCATATGCTATCTAAAAGAAACTTATTTCAAATATAATAATATGAGCAAATTGAAAGTAAAAGCATATGGGAAAATGTATGTTATGCAAACATTAATCAAAAGAAAGCAGGAGAGGCTCTACTATATCAGATAAAAGTGACTTCAGGCAAAGAAAATTACCAGAGACAGAATATAATAATAAAAGGTCAACCTACTAAAAATTTAGAGGTTTTTTAGTAGAATTGTTGGATTCTAAATGTGTGCACACCAAACAACAGAGCTACACATTATGTGCTATACAAATAAGGTAACAATGATCTAAACAGCTGCATGTTTCTTACAAGAAACCACTGGGGGCCAGATGCAGTGGTTCATGCTTATAATCCTAGCAATTTGGGAGGCAGGGCAGGTGGATCACCTGAGGTCAGGAGTTCAAGACCAGCCTGGCCAACATGATGAAACTCGTCTCTACTAAAAATACAAAAAAAAAAAAATAGCTGGGCATGATGGTGGGCGCCTGTAATCCCAGCTACTTGGGTGGCTGAGGCAGGAGAATCACTCGAACCTGGGAGGCGGAGGTTGCAGTGAGCCAAGACTGCACCCTTACACTCTGGCCTGGGCAACAAGAACAAAACTCCTACAGAAGAAGAAGGAGAAGGAGAAGAAGAAGAAACCACTGGGGCCAGGTGACACTAAAATAACTTTGTGGTTTTTTTTTCTTTTTTTTTTTTGGAGACAGGGTTTCACTCTGCTTTCTCACCCTTATTCTGCTGAATAAAGGGTGCTATTACATGTTGCAGTAGTGTGACCAGGGCTCGCTGCAGCCTTGACCTCCCAGGCTCGAGTGGTCCTCCCATCTCAGCTTCCCAAGTAGCTGGGACTACAGGACTTCACCACCACACCTGGCTATTACTTTTTTTTTTTTTTTTTTTTTTTTTTAGAGATGGACTCTCACTATGTTGCCGAGGCTAGTCTCAAACTCCTGGACTGAAGCAATCCTCCCACCCCCACCTTGGCCTCCCAAAGTGTTGGGATTACAGGCATGAGACACTGTGGCCAGGCTGGAATAACATTTTTAAAGCATGGGAAGAAAATAACTGTAAACCCAGAATGCTATATTCCGTGAAAATATTCTTCAGATATAAACTTGGAATAAAGACATTCTTTTTTTATTATTATTATACTTTAAGTTCTAGGGTACATGTGCAAAACATGCAGGTTTGTTTCACATGTATATATGTGCTGTGTTGGTGTGCTGCACCCATTAACTTGTCATTTACATTAGGTATATCTCCTAATGCTATCCCTCCCCCCTCCCCCCTCCCCACGACAGGCTCCAGTGTGTAATGTTCCCCACCCTGTGTCCAAGTTCAATTCTCACCTATGAGCGAGAACATGTGGTGTTTGGTTTTCTGTCCTTGCAATAGTTTGCTCAGAATGATGGTTTCCAGCTTCATTCATGTCCCTACAAAGGACATGAACTCATCCTTTTTTATGGCTGCATAGTATTCCATGGTGTACATGTGCCACATTTTCTTAATCCAGTCTATCATTGATGGACATTTGGGTTGGTTCCAAGTCTTTGCTATTGTGAATAGTGCCGCAATAAACATACGTGTGCATGTGGAATAAAGACATTCTACTTTTTTATGTTGTATTATTTTTATTTTTTTCTCAGAAAACTTCTGTATAGTTTTTTTTAATTATCATACTTTAAGTTTTAGGGTACATGTGCACAACATGCAGGTTTGTTACATATGTATACATGTGCCATGTTGGTGTGCTGCACCCATTAACTCGTCATTTAGCATTAGGTATATTTCCTAATGCTATCCCTCCCCTCTCCCCCCACCCCACAACAGTCCCCAGAATAAAGACATTCTTCAGGAAAGGAACAATATGCGAACTGATCATCAATGGAGCTGCTTTAAAAGAAATGCTAAAGAAAGTTCTTAGGTTGGAAGGAGAATGAAAACAGAGGGATGTGCAGGACTTCAGAAATGAAAGAGAGCAACAGGAATGATAAATAGTTGGATAAATATATCACACTATTTTTTTGCCTCAAGTTTTTTTAAAAATATGAATCACCATTGAGAGCAAAAGTTAAAAGACTGATGGGTTTTCGAGGTAGGCAGATCTAATACATTTAATAATTGCAACATATGGAGGTGGTAAAATGTAACCGATATCATTGCAAGTTTTCTATGTTTTCCTCGAAGTACTACAATTTCAACTCTCAGTGTACTGAGAAAAGTTAAGTGTATATATTGTCATGCCTACAGCAACCTGTAAAAGAATTACACAAAGAGATACAGTCAAATGTTGGTCAATTAAAACAGAATACTAAAAAAAAATTCAAGTAGAGCACAACTAGCAAGATAGTAGGTTTCAGTTAAACCTTATATATGAGTACATTATGTGTAAATGGTATAAACACAAAATTAAGGACATTAATTTTCAGATTGGATTAAAAAACCCAAATTATATGCTGTTTACAAGAAACCCAACCTCAACTAAAAAATATAGAGTTGCTAAAAGTAAAATGGGGGAAAAAACTTATCACGTAAAATCCAAGCGAAAGAAAATTGGAAAGGCTATAGGAATAACAGACAAAGTAAAATTCAGAACAAAGACTATTATCAAGAATAAAGGGTGCTATTACATGTTGATAAAAGGGACAATTCAGCAAGGACACAATACAATTCCAGAAGTGCATTCACCTAAAAATGCAACGTCAAAAATTGAGGAAACATCTGCTAGAACTGAAACGAGAAACAGATTAACCCACCATTATAGTTAGAAAGCTTATACTTCTCTGTTAGAGAATCTGTTAGTAATCAACAGAATGACTAAACAGAAAATCAGTAAGGCTACGAAAGTGGTGAACCAGGCTATTAATCAGTTTATTAATCTATTTTTTATATATAGACTTTTCAGTAGACAACAGCATAAAACATATTCTTTTCAAGTTCAAATTGAACTTTCACCAACATAGACCATATTCTGGGCCATAAAATAAACATTGGCAAATTTAAAATAATTGAAATCATATTAAGTTTGTTCTCTGACCCTGATAGAGGTAAGCCAGAAATCAAGAACAGAAAGATATCTAGAAAAATCCCAAATAATTTGGAAGTAAAAGAACACAATTTTAAATAAACCATGGGCCAAAGGAAAAGTCACAGAGGAAACTCTTAGAACTGAACTAAAATAGGTGAATTTTACTGTATTAAATTATACCTCAAAAAATCTGACTTAAAAAAAAATCCTCTCTGCCTTCCTGAATACTATGTCTAGCATTCAATCAAAACCCTCCAAGTGTGCCAAAAAACTAAGATTAAAAAGAAACAAAAAACAGAAGATAAGATCTACAGGCCACTGAGGTGTTTAAAATGTCTTTAAAAACGACTCTGACTGGTGTGTTGAAGAAAATGGAAGATGGTGAAAAAAATAGGTGAAAAAGTGGAGAAGTGGAGCCAAGCATTGGAGTCTACACTGGCTATTCTATAACTGAAATTAATAACTCAATCAATGGTTTTCTATTTATAAGCAAATTAGAT
The DNA here is from genome assembly GCF_000001405.40 of Homo sapiens. Classification (NCBI taxonomy): domain Eukaryota; kingdom Metazoa; phylum Chordata; class Mammalia; order Primates; family Hominidae; genus Homo; species Homo sapiens. Next base: position 134,903,913 of record NC_000009.12, read on the forward strand.
ACAGTGAAAAGCATTATTAGTGAACTGGAATATAGGTCAGCAGAAAATATCCAGACTGAATGTGAAAAGGAAAAAAGAATACAAATCCAGAAACTAGAACAAGAGACATATGAGACACGAGCAAACATTGGCCATTGGTGTAACTGAAATATCTGAAAGAGAAGAGGGAGTAGAGTAATAGCAATATTTAAGAGATAATGGCTAGCATTTTTCAAAACTCATGAAAGACATCAAGTCACAGATTCTATGAACCCCAAGCAAGACAAATTCAGAGAAAGTCTCATCCAGGCACCTTGTAGTAAAACTATCAAGGCAAAGAAAAAAAATTTTATAAATGTATTTTTTGAAAAAAGTCATATTACCTTCAGAGGAGCAACAAGACTTTCAGCTAGCTTTTCAGCTGAAATAACTGAATCTGAAAATACTGGACATCTGTATTTACAGTGCTAAAAGAAACTAATTGGCAATATAGAAGTCTACACCCAATCTAAATACTATTTAAAATGAGGCAAAATAAAGATGTTTTCAGATAATAAAAGTGGACAGAATTCATCCTCAGCAGACTTTCATCAAAAAATATATGAGGCTGGGCACGGTGTCTCACATCTGTAATCCTAGCACTTTGGGAGGCTGAGGCGGGTGGATCACTTGAGGTCAGGAGTTCAAGAGCAGCCTGGCTAACATGGCGAAACCCCATCTCTACCAAAAAATACAAAAATTAGCCCAGCGTAGTGGTGCACACCTGTAGTCCCAGCTACACGGGAAGCTGAGGCAGGAGAATTGTTTGAGCCCAGGAGGTGGAGGTTGCAGTGAGCTAAGGTCATACCGCTGCACTCCAGCCTGGGGGACAGAGTGAGACCCTGTTTCAAAAAATAAAAATAAAAAATATATATGAAAGGGAGTTTGTCAGGCAGCAAGAAGATGATCTCACACCAAAAATAATAATAATAATAAAATAGAAGAAGGAATAAAGGGCAACATAAAGTGTAAAAATGTGGTAAAAATGAATACGGACTGCACAAAACAATACTAATAGCCATTTCTTGCAGGACTTTAAATAAATGTATCATAGCATGGCGGCAAGAATGGCATAAAAAGCAGAAGGGAGTGAATGTAGTTAGAGGTGTTTCAAAGTCTTCATTGGTAAAGTGGTAGAAGGAATAATTTATAGTATACCGTAAAAAATCAAGGCTATATATTGCAATCGCAAGCATAAACACCAAAAGATAGGAAAAGAATGAACAAGTTATAAGCTGATAGAGGAGGTGACGGGATAATAAAAATATTCAACAAAGACGAGAGAAGATGAGGAAGGAGAGGAAAAGAACAGAAACAACACTATGTGGATGTCCACGAATGCCCAAATGTTGCTGGATGGGCCCACGCCTACACTCCTACTTGAGAGGTCCCATGGCCAGGAAGAAGAGCACTGGCCCAAGAGGAGGAGGGCTTGATTTCTTTTCACCCATTCAGCTTTATCCCTCAAATCACAAAAGCTCTCTCAGTTCTGCTGATGTGAGTTGGGGAGGAATTGGTGATGGGAAAAGACTCTTCATCTCTTCATAAGCTTGCTTTGCTTCTTTTATTTTGAGACAGAGTCTCGCTCTGTCGCCCAGGCTGGAGTGCAGTGGTGCGATCTCGGCTCACTTCAACCTCTGCCTCCTGGGTTCACGCCATTCTCCTGCCTCAGCTTCTCGAGTAGCTGGGACGATAGGCATCCCCCACCATGAACGGCTAATTTTTTTGTATTTTTAGTAGAGACGGGGTTTCATCATGTTAGCCAGGATGGTCTTGATCTCCTGACCTTGTGATCCGCCCGCCTCGGCCTCCCAAAGTGCTGGGATTACAAGCGTGAGCCACCGCGCCTGGCCGCTGCTGCTGCTTCTTCTTCTTCTTCCTCTTCTTCTTCTTCTTCCTCTTCCTCTTCCTCTTCCTCTTCCTCTTCCTCTTCCTCTTCTTCTTCTTCTTCTTCTTCTTCTTCTTCTTCTTCTTCTTCTTCTTCTTCTTCTTCTCCCTCTCCCTCTCCCTCTCCCTCTCCCTCTCCCTCTCCCTCTTTCTCCTTCTTCTTCTTCTTCTTTTTATTTTTATTTTTTTTTTGAGGCGGAATCTCGCTCTGTTCCCCAGGCTGGAGTGCAGTGGCACGATCTCAGCTCACTGCAACCTCCACCTCCCGGGATCAAGCGATTTCTGGCGGAGTTTTGTATTTTTAGTAGAGAGGAGGTTTCATCATGTTGGCCAGGCTGGTCTTGAACTCCTGATCTCAAGTGATCCACCCACTTCAGCCTCCTAAAGTGCTAGGATTACAGGCGTGAGCCACTGTGCCCAGCCTGCTTTGCTTCTTAAAATTAATGTTCAGTTTCTGAAAGCTACAAATTCAAAAACTCAATTCATCCTGAATATTTTAAGTTTGGCTTACAGTTCTTGTTTTTCTATTTATAAGACCTGCAAATCTTAAGAGTCACCTTTTTAGAGCTTTTGGATACCATAAATTTAGTTCTTTAAATAACTTCAAACATTTAAAATTGCAATAAGAAGTGGAATACACTCAAATTTCTCCTGCGGCATTTCAGCTGTCTAATGAGAAAACCCTCCTTAGCACTAATTAATCTTTAAAAATCTAATAATTTAACTTAAATCTTAAGAAATCTAATAATTTAACTTAGAAATGCAATGAGCTCAAAGTCTCTTAAATATGCCAATACCGTGTATAAACGCACTAAGATTTCCATGTAATATTACAAGATGATTTTGATTAGTTAGTTCCACATTTTATATTGGATTTGTGAGATTCTTCATAATAGGCCAAATTATTTAAACATTACAAGACTGTGAAAAATCAAACCTGTCCAGATTCCTTAATACAAAAGGCATATTTTGGCCAGGCACAGTGTCTCACGCCTGTAATCTCAGCAATTTGGGAGGCAGAGGCGGGTGGATCACTTGAGGTCGGGAGTTCAAGACCAGCCTGGCCAACACGGCGAAACCCCATCTCTACTAAAAATACAAAAAAATTGCTGGGCATGGTTGTGTGTGCCTGTGATCCCAGCTACTTGGGAGGCTGAAGCATGAGAATCTCTTGAACCTGGGAGGTGGAGATTGCAGTGAGCTGAGATCACGCCACTGCACTCCAGCCTGGGTGGCAGAGTAAAACTCTGTCTCAAAAAACAAACTAAAAGGCATATTTCTATGGCTATTTTATATTTATATTAATCATATTTATATTTTATATTTATACTAATCATTTCTAGACTTAAAGCTAAGTCTTCCTAGGTTGTAAAAATGCTTACCTACTGAGGGACGAAAGTACTATCCCAATAGTGGATTTTGTGATGGACTAGAGATTGTGGCAGGGGCGTAGTAGGGTCTGGTCAGCCCCCAATGGGCTACAAGGACCTCTCCTTACAGGTATTGAGTCAAGAACACTGGGCATCAGTGGAGGATGTGCCTGTAGCTCATGTTCCTGGATCCAAGCATGTGCAGTTTCTTTATAAGTAGTTTTTAAATTGTGGAACATAACATGTACTCAAAAGTGTATAAAGCAAAAGTACAGCTTAATTATTTTCATCACTAGTTAACAAACATCCTTACAATCACCACCTGGGTCAAGAAACAGAGCATTGCCAGAACCCCAGAGGCTTGTCCCTGTCCCTTCCCAGTCACCATGTGGTCCCACCCTCAAATACAATCACTTTCTTATTTTTCCTGTATACATTTACCACCTAAATATGCATCCAAAATACCATTGGCTACTTTTGCTTTTGAAAAACTTTATCTACAATGGAATCCATAGCACATACCCTCTTGAACAGGCTCCTTTTGCTGCCATGTTTGTGAGACTCATGCTCCTTGTGTGTAGGTGTCACTGTGTAATTGTCATGGCTGTATGGCGTTCTACCCAATGGCTATCCTTGCATTTTTTAACATCCATTCTCTTCCTGATGGGTATGTCGGCTGATTCCAGTTTGGTGCTATGGTGAGTATTTGGCTGTAAAGATTCCTGGCCATGCTCCCTGGTACACATGACGGCCATATCCAGGCCCTGATGTGGGACTGGCAGGTTAGAGGACTGTGTGTCTTCTTCTCCAACAGTTGATGCCAAGCCATTTTCCAGGTTGGTTCCATCAATTCGCATTGTTACTAGCAGTGTATGCAAATCTCCCTCCCACAGTCACCTTTGACACTGGTGCTATCCATCTTTCTAACTTCTGAGGCTCAGATGAGGGTGCCGCAGTGACTCCTTTGGGTGCTGATTTGCATTTCTCTGGTAAGTGAAAAGTGGAGCACTTTTTGATAAATACCTTGCTCCCCTGCATGTCATCTTCTGTGAAGTGTCTGTTCACATCTCATACCTTTTTTTATTTAACTGAGCTGCTCTAATTCTTTTATTATTTGCAGGAATTCTTTCAGGTATAAGCCTGTGATTTATTTATTTTTGTATAAGGCATGGTAGGCAGAATAATTCCCTGCCCCCACCACTGCCCCGCCAAAAATGTCCTGCCCTAATACACACAAAGTCAGAGCCTGCAAATACCTTCCATGGCAAAAGAGACTTTGCTGATGTGGTTAGGGATAGAGACCTGGACATGGGAGAGGATCCCAGATCATCCAGGTAGGCCTAGTCTAATCCCATGAGTCTCAGGAGTGGAGACCCTGTCCCATGGGGCTTGGGGGGAGAGGGGACAACGGATGAAGGGTCAGAGAGATGTGGTGCTGCTGGCTTTGGGGTTGGGGGAAGGAGTCCGGGCCAATGAATGCCAGTGACCCCTGGGGCTGGAAAAGGCAAGGAAGCAGGTTCTCCCCTAGAACCCTGGAAGGAGCCACCACTGCTGAGTCCTGCCTGCTGGCCCAGTAAGGCCCAGGGACTCCAGATCTACTGAGCCAGGAGGTGGCGAGTTCTTGTTGTTTCAAGCCACTCCATTTGTGGTGACTGGTTGCGGCAATAGTAGAAAACTAAAGATTTGTGTGCCGCACGTTGATTCTGCCCCTCTGGCCTTCCTTTGGTTCCCTTAGTGTCCTTCGGTAAGTGGGAGCTCTTGATTTGAATGGAGTCACACTTGCCACATTCCCTTTGATGCTTCTTAGGTCGTGGTTGAGAAATCTCCCCTGGCCTGGGAGCTGGAGAAGCCCCTTCTCCATCATCTCCTAGAAGCCTTGTGCAGCTTTTCCCACTGAGGTCCGCGGTCCCCTCTAGCTGAGGTCTGTGTGTGGGAGGAAGGCCTCTTCGGAATCTTCTCTGTGCAGGTGGCTGACCAGGCGCTCACTTAGTGAGTGCTAAGTGTTTATCTCTTCCCAGCAGCCAGCCAGCCCAAAGCATGAACTCTGCCGTGGTGGGAAGCAGAAAAGTTCCTACTAAACTTTCCCCCTTTTTAGTAAGTGTTTTCTGGACCCCAAAGTGACCTTTTTCAAGAAGTGTGAAGTGTTGTGAGTGAGGCATGGGGGGATGGGGGAGGCTTGGGGGTGGAGGTGAGGATCGCCCTGTGTCAATTACTGGAGGTGGAAAATCCTCGCAAAAGTCACTCAACCTCCCTGAACATCGGTAGTGCCATCTGCTAAATAAGGGTCCTGACTCTTCCCGACTTACCAAATTCCAGGGAAAGACCTGCCGTGCAACAGACACAGGAAAGTGATCAAAACCACTGGTGTTCAAGAAACACACATTGAAACTGGTAAAACTTTTCTGTCCCAAAGTAAACATATTTAGAAACATAATTCTCCCTCTGGTGAGGTTGTGGGCATGTGGCGGCTTGACTGAGCTGGGGGCAAAGGGGCAGCTGTGGGCGTCATGGGAGTGTGTCTGGCTGGGGAAATGGGGTGACTTCCACGACGCAGCGCTTGTGGGTGTGGCCTCCCCACTAGCAGGTGCATGTGGAGGGGTCCTGGCCCGTCTAGGCGGGCCGCACCTTCATCTCTGACACCTTGTAGCTATATTTGTACCCCTTCGCCGCACTCCAGTTGATACCATTGGCATAGCTCTCATGGGGTCCCATGAGGTAGAGACCATTGAGGTTTGAAGCATGACAGTCGGCGTACCACCAGGCTCCTTGGAACTTCTCAGCACAATTCGAAGAACTCACATCATTGTCTTGGTCTTTGGTGGAGAAGAAGTTGTTGTTGTGGCCCGTTAGAGAATTACCTGCTCACAGAAAATGTGGGGTTTGCAGATGCTGGAAAAAGCCCTGCCACTGTGAGACCCTCACCACATCCTGCCTCTGAGCAGAGCCAACCTCACTTTAGCGACGCATGAGCCGAGCTACAGGTGCACAAATGACCCACCCAGGCCTTGGAGGAAGGGGAAGCAGGAGGCAACCTCTGGCAACCTGGTCTGGAAATCTCTCTCCACAACCTGAGGCCCCTGCTCCAGCAACCACCTGTTTCCTCCAGGGCTCCCGCAAACTGTCAGGCCTCCTGCTCTCTCCTGGAATGACCTCCCTCCTCCAGCCTGCGCCGCTCCTTCCGGTCTCTCCCCACGTCCCCTGGTGGCCCTTGGTAGGTTCAGGACAGCCCTCACCTGGGGGCTTCTCCTCTATCTCAAGCCCTGAGCCGGAAGCTCATCCCTGGCTCCTATAGCTGAGAAATGTCACCCCCTGAGCCTCGGTTTTACCACCTGCAAAATGGGGGTGACCTTCCCTGCCCTGCTGCCTTCCTTGGAGGTCATGCGTGAGATCGTGCCTGTGAAAGGACTGCACAGACTCCAAGGCTGTCATTTCCAAGGCTCCCCTGGGACTGCCTTGCTCCATGGAGCAGTTAGTTACACAGACTTCCAGCTGCAGCAATTCTCAGTGCCTTTCACGAACGATGTGCACTGGGAATTCCCTAAGCAGACGCCCTGTAGGAAATGCCTCCCCAGATCGTGTAGCCAGAGACTCCTTTTGGTAAAGAATGTCCCACAAGGCTGGTGTTCCATGGAGCACAGTTTGGGAAACAGCTCCAAGGCACCCATGAGAAAAGGACGACGTCTTCCAGGTTTCAGCAGTGATGCTGGTGGGTCGTCTCAGCCCTGCCCAGGCAGCTCACTGTGCGGCAGACATAGCCTTAGGAATACCAGCCGCTATGTCCTGTGAGCCCCACGCTGTACAGAGACACAAATGCTAGTGTCTGCTTCATAGATGGAGAAATGGGATTCAGAGAGAGGAGGGCCCAAGGTCACCAGGGGAGACAGAGCCAGGTTCTCTCTGCTTTCCAAGCCCCACTCAGGCCACCAGCCCCAAGCAGACACTCACCCGCACTGCCCCCGACAAAGGCTCCCAGTACCAGCTTGTACTTCTCTGCCTCGTCAGCCACCTTGAATGATTTGTACTTAGCAAACTGGTGGTTGCCCTCAAAGTCCACCAGGTCTACACGGAGCTCGCTGCTTCCTGTTGGAAAAAGATTTTAAGGCCCCAGCCTTTAAGATCTTTCTGTCACCAGGCATGAGGGCTGGGGATGGGTAATTTTTTTTTTTTTTTTTTTGAGACAGAGTTCCGCTCTTGTTGCCCAGGCTGGAGTGCAATGGCACCATCTCAGCTCACTGCAACCTCCGCCTCCTGGGTTCAAGCAATTCTCCTGCCTCAGCCTCCCCAGTAGCTGGGATTACAGGTGTGTGCCACCACACACAGCTACTTTTTTTTTTTTTTGTATTTTTAGTAGAGATGGGGTTTCACCATGTTGGTCAGGATGGTCTCGATCTCTTCACCTCATGATCCACCAGCCTCAGCCTCCCAAAATGCTGGGATTACAGGTGTGAGCCACGGTGCCCGGCTGGGGATGGATATATTCTTAAGGGATGTCTGAACGTGGCATCCAGGAAAAAAATCAACCGGAAATGTCAGAAAATCCCTTGTTGCTATCAGGCCCTCAGGGATGGCTTTCTGTTTCTAAACACCTTTCCCGTTATTTCAGAGAACTGAACATGCCCCACTGGAGTTCACTGGGTGGAAGGGAGCATTCTTTCATTTTGAAAGTGTACCTTCTCCTTCTAAGGGTTGGTGAGCCACTAACACAGCAGTGGGCGAAGCTCTAATTGTAGTTTCTTTTGCAGGAATTTGAGGCACCTGAGTGGATTCCTTCAATCATGCCACAGGGCAGTGGGCAGGGATAATGGACCAGCAATTATACAGACTGCCTCAGGACCAGCTGTGAAACTCATCCCCTGCCCCAGAGGGTTGGGGGGAGGCCCTCTCACTCAGGTGAGTGCGGCTGTGGGGGGCCTGCTGAGGCGTGGGCTGGAGGAGGCGAGCGTGGGCTCTCCATGGGACTAAGATGCCAGCTTCAGAGGCAGATCAACAGCTGGAGATGGGGGAAGGCTACCCCAAGCCCCAGTGGTCTCTCTCCTGCTTCCCACTCTCAGGATCTAAGATGCCAGTAGGACCAAGACCTGAAGAGGCCTTCAGCCCAGGGCTCTAACCGTTTCCCTTCCCGATGTTGCCAGAGCCTGCGGCAGGGGACGCAGCCCTTAGAGGTCCCAGTGCCACCTGAGTGTGCTCAGGGCCCAATCCCCTGTGGGCCAAGAGGTGCTTATGTTGCAGATGGCCCAGGCCTAAGGGGCAGGAGCACCTCAGGGCCCCCCAACCCCTGAGCCACGGCAGTGGCCCTACCCTGGGCAGTCAGGGCGTGGATGTTGTCATTCCCCAGCCAGAACTCCCCCAGCTGACTGCCGAAGCCCTGCTTGTATGCGGCCCAGTCCCGATAGAAGTCCACAGAGCCATCCATCCTCCGCTGGAAAACCTGTGAAGAAGCCAGGATACAGAGTTAGGCGGGGCAGGCCGAGGTCCCACAGCACCGGGGACCCGCCCTCCAGAGGAGCAGCATTTGTAGTTGGCAGAGCATCACAGGCCGGTGCCACACGCACGCCCATCTGGTCTCCTCACAGACTCCACAGGATGAAAGAGGAAATGCGGTCTCAGAGAAGAGAGGCAACAAGCCCCAAGCCACACAGCAGGAGAGCACCGGTCCCCTCCCAGCCTCCCCGATGGCCTGGACTTTTACCCACGGGTCACTTCCCCCATCATCTATGATTGTCCCCATCCAGGGGAATAGAGAATTCCAGAGTGTGTTCTACAACCAGGTGTGCAGCCTGGCCTCCGGGACTCCCAGGCTGACCGCCTCTGCCCAGCCCCACACTCACGGTCCAGCCCCCTCCGTCCGTGTCCATGTCACAGAGCACAGTCAGGGGCCGGCAGTCGGGCAGGTAGATGGTGTGCCAGCCGCTCAGGAAATACCCCCGGTCTAGCAGGTCCTTGCAGTTGCGTGGGCCTGGGAAGGGAACCCGGGGAATGGCTGCAGGACGGGGGCCCTGGGCAGGACAGGGGCAGTGGGAGGGAGGCCCAGGAGGGAGGAGGAGGGCCACAGGCTTCTGTGCGGACCGAGCAGGACTCCGAGGCCTGGACAGGGACACGGCCCCCAGGGCCACGCAGCTGTGATGCCCACACCCAGTCTGCCGACCCTCCCACCTCCCAGTGTCTGCCCCACCTTTGCCTCCTGGGCACCCGGCCTTCTAGGGTAGATAATAGTAGAGCCCAGGTTGTCATGGAAGGGATTCAGGTGATAGCTGCCCATTACTCGAGTGATTGAGGGGGGGATGATAGGTGCAGACAGGGTTCTGTCCTTAGATTCCGTAGCGTGAACGTGTGCAGCTGGCCCCAGGGGTGGGGGCAAGGCTTGGGTACCGAGGTCAGGGTGTGATCAGTCACCTGTCGCACACGACTGAGACTGCCCAGCGTCTCCTGTGTGGGGAGAGGAGACACTTGTCATAAGCTTGAAATCAGAGCCTTTGTCCTGGTCAGCCCCAGTGGCTCCCTGAGCACAGAATAGAGAATGGGCAAAGGCAGCTCCTCTGATGTCTCCAGGACACGTGGCACAGGCCTAGGGAAGGATGGCCAGACTCGACTTCCCCAGAGGCACCAGCCACATGGTTGTCCATAGGCCCCTGCTGTGCAGCTTGAGCTTGGTGGGCTGTGGCAGGCGCTGCGGGTCCTGCTGGACGAACTGGACCCCTAGTGGGGCCTTCGCCACTGATAACAGCGGAATAACTCTTCAAGCCTGGCAGGGTCACTCCAAGCCTGCCCTGCCTCCGCCCTGGCCTCTGTTTCTTGGGACTCAGGTATCGGCGGACCCTCAGCCCCCGGCTCCGGTTTTCATTTGTGTTTGTGGGTGGAGCGTGGTACAGTGTATTAGAGTCTTGCACATTTGGCTTTTTTAAACTTTTACAATTTTTGCATAAATGAGCATAAGTAAGACAGAAATTGAAATATTGAAGTGTCACCATCTATGCACTGATGTGGTCCTGCTGGCCACTGGGAGTGACTGCTGTAGACACCAGGGTTTGAGCCCTCGTGGATTCTGACAACAAAGCCCGCTGGACTCCTTCCACCCCTCCCTGCCCACAGCCTGGATTGACAGGGACGTGGGCGGTGGGCAGGCGGACTGAGGCCTCTGAGACCCCTCCCCTGGACAAAGCCTGCAGAGACAACTGCCTGGGCCCACGGGTGGCTCACCTTTCTCTCCACGCATCCCCTTCTCTCCTCGGTCTCCTGGAGGAAGAGGCAGGATAATGAGCTTTTGACCCCAGATGTGTGGGCCACGGAAAGGCTGGTCCAGAGTGGGCTCCCGGCCTGGACACTGCATCTCCCCAGCCCTGCAGGCTCACTAAGGCATCACAACGCCCAGGTCTCAATGGTGGGGAGGGGCCCCGAGGCCTGGAATATCCCAGGGTCCCTGTCCGCCTGCCACTGTCTTTCTCTCTCTGTTGCCGTGTCTCTCTGTGTCTGTGTCTGTGTCTCTGTCTCTGTCTCTCCCTCCCTCATTTCATTACAGACAGCTCCAAGGTCCCTGCTCAAGGCCTCCTCGCTGTCTGTCCCCTGGTTACCTTTGGGCCCCACTGGTCCTGCCTTTCCAGGGGCTCCAGGGAGACCGCGTTCTCCTGAAAATTCCAAAGACATATCACTGAGAAAAATGCAACCTAAACAATTCTCCCTGGAAATCTTTGCCCCAAGTGGTTAAGTCCTGACCCTCCCCCACTCTGCCTTGAACCCCTTCTGGTTCCAGGAGCTCTCAGAATTGCTAGCCATGGATTTAGCCTGGGGGTGACTGCAGATGGAGGTGAGGGATTGAGGGAGGGGCCTGCACCCCACCTTGGGCTCAAGGCAAGGTGCACCTTGCTCCTGTTTGTGCCTTGGGAGCAACCTGGGTTTCACACTCTGTTGACCATAAGCCTGGACCCAAGTCACCCACACAGAGCTCTACTGCCTAGCAAGGGACCAGGTTCTGGAACAAAGAATGCGTCCTCAGAGAGCCTCATCCTACCACGTCCCCACACGGAGAGGGTGGGCGCCACGTGCAGCCGCTGCTGCCAGGGAGGATCCGGTTCCACCGTGCGCCTGAGCTCCTGGGGTGTCACACAGCGCTCCACGTGGTTCTGGCCAGAAAGGTGACCCTCCCGTCCCCGATGCCAGCCAAGAGGCAGCCCCCAGCCCGCTCGCTGACCCCAGTGGCTGGGGAGAGTGTATGGGGGCTGGTTCTTGCTTTAGGGTATATTAGCCAGCCATGCCCACTGGTAGAAGCCTGGTTCAAGGGAAGTCTGAGCCAGACTTGATTCTTCTCCTGCCAGGGAAGGTCTTCCTCCCCAGTGTTCCCTCAGCAGGGGATCGGGACCGCACTCTCAGGTCCAGCCTGCGGAGTGGGCACAGAGGACCTGGCCCCGGACACCCACACGGAAGCCTAGACACGTCAGTGAAAGTCCAAGTCATAGGGACATTTGAGCTTGTCCCATCTACACTGGGACATCCCCACCAAGTGCTCCGCAGGCATCATCTTGAATGCGTCCAGGCATGGGGAGCTCACCCCCTAAGGCAGCGCCCTTTCTGAGTTTTTGTGCACGTCTGCCTTATGCCATGCTTAGGGGGACCCAAAACCACCCAAGGCAGGTGCCTGCTGTTCATTCTCCCATGTTCCCTGCAAATCCACATGCAGAGCTCAGGGCTCAGGATTCGGGTGCCCTCTGTGCCCTGAAGTAGACCAGTCCAAGTCCCAGCCCCACTCCTTACTGGTTTGTCAAGTAGGAAAGCCTGTGACCTCTTTGAGTCTCAGTTTTCCCATATGAGGCAGGTGCAGAAGAAAGCGGTCACCTCAATTTTCAGGTGAGAAGGTGGAGGGACACAGAGCTTAGAAGTCGTGCCAGTAGCTGAGCAAAGCTGGTATTGGATCAAGGACTAGGAGACAGAGCTACAGAAGCATGTCCAAATGTGAGCTCATGAAATAGTTAGGAAAGACCCTCCCTCCATTTCAGAACCCTGTTGGGCCCTGGGAGTCAGCTCTGTTCCTGGCTCTAGCAGGGGCCTGACCCAGGCTCTTGATCTAGGAACCACGGTGGGGGTGTTGCCCAACTCTGCATCCAGTTTCATAAAGAGCAAGAGCCAGTGCCCCTGCCATGCCTGGCCTCCCCACCCGGCCCGCACCTACCTCTCTCTCCAATGACACCTGCCTCTCCCTTTGGCCCTGGGGCCCCGGGCAGCCCCGGGCAGCCTCGGAGAATGGTGAGCTTGTCAGAGCCCTCCAGGCCCACCACCTTCACCTCTGCAGAGAAACACAGGTGCCCACTCAGTGCCTGGCCCAACAGTGGCTGGGAAGTGAGGTTTTCTGCTCTGCTGGGGCCTTGGTCTGTCCTCACCCCTCAGGCACTGGTGAGGCGGAGATGTGATGGGGGGCAGAGCTCTGGCTTTGGAGGCCACCCCGACCTAGGGGAGCCCCATCTCCTCAGTGCTGTGTGTCCTGCAGCAAGTAACTTAACTCCTCTGAGCTTTGTGCCCTGGGCTGCCAAGCGGGGATAATAACAAGGTTGCGGCCAGGATTTGGTTAAAGAATGTGCATTTTAAATCTCTTATTGTAATTTATGGCATTTAGAAAGAGCTTAATAAACAGCGGGCACTTTCAATAACTAATGACAATCAATATTTCTAAGAAACTTGGGGAATTGGGGCTGACAAAGCATTTTCCCTCCCAGACCTTGGGAATGTGGTTGTAGAATTACTGGGCTGGAAGGGGCTTTCTAGGTCCTCTGGAGAGGGGCAGTGTGGGGTCCAAGGACACAGAGCCAGGTGTGGCACAGCTGCAGCCAAACCAAAGTTGTTTACTTCTTTGAAAAAATATTTTTCATTTTGTTCATTACAAAATCTACACGCCCTGCTAAGGGCGCTCTTAGAGACCATGGAACGGAGCAGTGCTCTCACCGGAGACATGGCACTGCCATTTTTGGGGTATTTCCTTTCTGTGTTTCCAGTCCTCCTTCCACTAGAGCAGGCTGTAATTTACTATTTATGTTTCCTTCATAAATATGTTATCAGCCAGGGGCACCAGGCCGTCCTTAGGAGCAGTCTCTTGCTGAGCGTCACAGAACCACCTGCTCCTGAATCAGTGAGGGAAACACCTTACCACCGTTCAAACCCTTGTCCCTATCAACTGATTCCGACTCTCTTGGAGGAGAGCCAGAAATCTGCCTTTTTAACAAACCCCCCAAGTCCGTGTGGCAGCCACCGTATTAGAGGGTCTTAGAGTGCCTCCCTGGTAAGCCCGTAAGAAGATAAAGTCAACAGTATTTTCTTCCTTCTCAGTGACAGATTCCAGACCCACCTATGAAGCTCCAATGGGCAAATCCTGGGCTTTCGAGGCAGACAGACCTGGTGACATCCCTCCCCTATCCCTCCATGACCCTGGGCAATGCCTCAGCTGCCCTGAGCCTCCATGTCCTTGCCTGAGGATAAAACAGATCTGTTGGGCATCTTCACAGGAAGATGTGCATAAAAGGTTTTGCCTGGGACACCCGAGTGTCAGTGAGTGGGGTTGTTACCAGCTTTTAGGGACCAGAAAACCCAGGTCTGTCTCACCTGGACATGTGTCCGCAGCCTGGGCAGGCAGGTTCTTGATATGCAGGAACAAGACTAGCAGGACAGCGAGCCCCCGGGCCATGGTGGCTCCACTCAGCTCCATGCTCTCTGGCCTTTGACTCTGAAGAGTCCCCCAGCTCTAACAGGGCAGAGGAAACCAGCTCTCGCCTTGTGCCACAGTTTCTCAACTCCCTGGGGGACACCCACTTCCTATGGGCTGCTTAGTTGCACCAACAGGAGGTATGAGGTCATCTCAAAGGATGTTTCCTTCCACTAGGCTCCAGCAAGATGCCCACCCCATTGGGCTCTCTTCCCCCAGCAAAGACACCCTGCTCCCAGTCCAGAGAGCTCCTGAGACTCCTCTGCTGGAAAGCATCGGCTTTGCTTGTGGCTTAAGGAGAACACAGCCCCCACACCCCCTTTCCATTCCCCAGCTGTCCCCAAGCAATACTCGGAAACCTTGACCTTAACCTTGGGGGATAAGGAAGGTTTTGCTGAAGACGCTTCCTTGCCTCATCTGTTCCCAGAAAATTCAGGGTTTGTCCGTCATCAGGCACTTATCATGGATGGAGAGGAAAAAAATGTTGAGCACTTGTTATGTCCCAAATACTATTTCCATCATATCATCTTGCACCAGCCCCATTCGGTGGAGTAAATTATTTGAAAGTTACAGCTGGAGAAATTGAAGTCACTCCACTAGTAAGAGCCAGGCATTGGACTCAATTCTGTCTAACGCCTTGTAGATCACTGGGATTGCTCATTTCACCTGAAGGTGGGGATGCCTCTTGTTCCCCCAAATCCCTGAGGCCATGTTCCTACTCCGCATCTCGTGCTGTGAATCATGCTTAGCCAGGCCACGCTGTGGACACTTTGTGCGGGATTTTTAGAACGTATAGAAATAGTCACTAACGAGAGTCAGATGGTAGCAGGACTAAGGAGCAGGGAGAGGTGTTGTTTTGTGGTTTGCAACTTCTCTGAGCCAGCGTGTGTAGACTGGGTTTCCAAACTCAAGGGCTCCCCAGGTGGGAGAGAAGTGGAGGGGCGGCCCAGGGGTGGGGGATCCAGGAGACACAGGACCTTGTGTCCAGGCTCTCTGGGCACCACAACGACTCTCGACTGTGTGTGTTTGTGTGTGTTGGCTCCAGCCTGTTGAGAGACAACGGCAGGAGGCTTCATTGCCTCAGACACCGCTTAGTGTCCCTGAGCTACTGGCCCAGGCGGGAGAGGTCTGGGTGTCAGTGGTGCGGCCTCCTTTCTTGGAGAGGATCCAATTCAGGAGCAGCACTCACCTGGGATTGGGTCAGAACAGGGAGAAAGCCAGCAGGTCTGTGCCCCTCAATTCCATTTGCCAGCTGCCCCCTGGGTGTGAGGGGACCTCCTCTTCCTTGCAACATCAATAGGTTTATTTCAGGTGAGAAGTCAACACCACCTTCAGATATCAAGTCAATGTTCCCAAGAGTATGAAAGAATGCAAGATTCTGGCAAGTTAAAATATCTTAACATTGGATCAACAAAAGTCATTTGATTCCTGGCAATGGCAGTTTAGGTATTTGGGGGCATCCTATTAAGGACAAACAGACAAAACCTTTAAAAAGAGATTTGCTCGAAGGCACCGTCAAGCTAGCTATGTAGTAAAGGATTACTTTGCCAAGCTCTCAGGAGCCACAGAAATCTTAGAGAAGTGAAACTAGTAGTGGGGACCTCTTTTTGCACAGGGATTTGCCAATCTCCAAAAGAGAGGTGAGAAGTTGGGCAGTGATTTCACCATCTTGCAGAGCTGAAGGTCAAAGACTGGGGCCTACGGCCTGCCAAAGGTATGGGTTTGGGGTTGGCTTTCAGAAGGGCTGCACCCTAGCAATAGGATGAGTGAGCAACAACCAACATTCACAAGGGCTGCAAACTGGTTTTGAGACATCTAAGTGTCCCAGGAAAGGAATCTCAACTCCTGGAATTATTGCTCATGCCCCCAGGCTCCTTGCTGAAAGAAACAAAAATCTTCTCTGAAGGAGAATGACATCATCCCAGGTCATTATTTCTGCAAAGTGTTTTATTTTTTTCAAATGAAATGTTAAAACACAATCAACGATAACCAGGCTCATGGGAATAAAAGACAATGTGTATAAGGACCAACAGAAACAACAGAATATAGAAAGAGGTCTTTGGAAGCTGTGGATACAGAAGTTACAACATAATTAACAGGAAAAATGGAAAACCATCCTCAGAGACTGAGAACAAATAAGGATGCTTGTCATCACCACTGTGGTCAACATTGTATTGCATGTCACTGTCCAGTGCAGTAGGCAAGAGAACAAAACCATAAAAAGATTGGAAAGGCAGACACAAAGTTGTTATTTTCAGAAGACATGATTGAGGATGTAGAAAATTCTAGAGTTTCTACAGATAAACTAGCAGAATAAAAAGTTTAGCAAAAATCAATTGTGCTTCTAAAAACTAGCCTCAAAGAATTTAAAAATGAAATTTAAAAAATTTGCATCAGCAACACCAAATTCAAATAACTGTGAATAAGTCTAACAACATCCATGCTGGTCTTCTGTGTACAAAACTATCAAATAGGAACAGAAAGACCTAAAAGAAGATTAAAATAATTAGAAGGATATTCTATATGTGTGGATTAGAATACCAAATATAGGAAAAACATTCATCTTCTCTTAATTTATCTAAATATCCACTGTATTATCAATTAAACTACCATTTTCTGTGACAATTGACATGGTGAATTTAAAATTTATATAAAGGGCCGGGTGCAGTGGCTCACACCTGTAATCCCATCACTTTAGGAGGCTGAGACAGGTAGATTACTTGAGGTCAGGAATTCAAGACCAGCCTGGCCAACATGGTAAAACCCTGTCTCTACTAAAAATACAAAAATTAGCTAGGCATGATGGTGGGCACCTGTAAACCCAGCTACTTAGGAGGCTGAGACAGGAGAATTGCTTGAACCCAGGAGGCGGAGGTTGCAGTGAGCCAAGATCGAGCCACTGTACTCCAGCCTGGACGACAGAGTGAGATTCCATCTCAAAAAATATATAATATATATATTTAGCAGGGTGTGGTGGTACATGCCTGTAGTCCCAGCTACTCAGGAGGCTGAGGTGGGAGAATTGCTTGAACCCGGGAGGTGGAGGTTGCAGTGAGCCGAGATTGCACCACTGCACTCCAGCCTGGGCAACAGAGTGAAACTCTGTCTAAATAAATAAACAAATAAATAAATAAATAAATAAAATTTATATAAAGGCAAGAGGCTGATAGCCATGCTATTCTTGAGCAAGAAAAAACAAGGGTGAGTTGCTTGAAGTGACACCAGCAGTCATTATCAAGCGATAGTGATGGAGACAGTGTGGGGCTGGCTTAGGCGTACACAGCAAACCTAGGGAAGTGAGTAGGGAGTGCAGAAGCAAATCCAGGCACATACGGACCCTAGATTTATGACATGGTGGCTCTAAAGAGCAATAGTGAAAGAATAAACTTTCAATGAGTGGCACAAACTACTGGAGAGTCATATGGAAAAACAAGAAGTTACACTTGACTTTTATCAGATGAAAAAAAAATCCACATCAGGAGAAGGGTAGACCCAAATGTGAGAGGGAAAACAGCAGTTTTAGATCATATTATAAGATCTCCAATAGCCTTGCAGTTATTTTAAATAAGATGGAAAACCACAAACCATAAAGGACAAGTGGAAAAATTGATCATGAAAATAGTATTATTTCTTTTTCAAAATACACCACCGTGGGAGGGAAAAGACGAGCCAGGGTGAGGGAAGAGAGGTTTCAACACACAGAAGTGACAAAAGGCTTGTATCCAGAATAAAGGGTTTCTGTAAATCAACGATGTTGTAGAAAGTGGGAAAGTGACTTCAACAAACGCTTATAAAAGATAATATTTAATAGATGATGGAAGTATGAAAACATGCTCAACTTCATAACTAATCCAAGAAATGAAAACTTAAATCTCATGAGATGACTGCAGACACTAAAATTTTTCTAAACAGCCAACTCTGCAAGGTTTTGGTGAAGAAGTGTCAGAAACCTTGGTACAAGCACTTCGGAAAACTGGCAGTATTCCCAACAATTCCCTACGACCAGCATATTCCATAACCAGCGATGTTCAGCTCAGTTCTACTCAACAGAGAGGTGTGCCCAGCTGGAAAGAAGACACGTGTGAAAATGTCCAGCCCCACGCCGGAAACAACCCAAACGTCCATCCGCAGCAGAATGGGGCCGTCAGCTGAGGTTCGTTCATACTGGAGCATCCTGTAGACCCATAAAATGATCGGATTCCAGCTTCACGCAAAAGCTTTGTTGAAATCCGCAAGCACACGGAGCATCCAGGGCGCCAGCACTAAGGCATGCGAACTGTTCATTTGCATCTGTACAGAGTTTGAAAGTGGGCAAAACTGAACAGCAGTGTGAAGGAATGCATGCTCGGTGGCAACGTGGAGAAAAAGGCCCAGACCATGCCAGTGAGATGACCGCTCCCTTAGCAGGGGCCAGTGAGACGACCGCTCCCTTAGGAGGGGGAGCCCTTAGGCCTGGAAGGGGCACGGGGGGCTGGAGATGGGTTTTGGCTTCATTGGGTGATGCAGGTTTAGTTTATGCACTCTGGTGAATGGGTGTTAAATTTCACTTAAAAGAGCAAGCTTAAATAAACTATTTAAGTAAAATAAATAGAACACATAAGGGTCACCATCGTCCTGTATTGCTCCCACCACAAGCTATAGCCCAGCTGTCTCTGGGAGGTTTGGGGATGTTGAATGCCTGCTGGTTCACTTCCCTGTTGCAGCTCAGGCTTCTGGGAGGTTGAGCAACCCCTAGCCTGGCTGTTGCTTCACGTGCTGGGTCTGCAGCCTGAGATGAGCCTTGGAAGGATACAGAGGGAGAGGCCAGCCAGTGAGGCTGGTCAGAGTGGGGCTGGTCAGAGTGGACAGAGGGAATTCCTTCCCCCTGGACCATGCCCACCCCCGAGGGGTTCTGACCCCATGGGTCAGCAAGGCAGAAACTCTCACACTGTAAAATGCAACAGTTTATTATGAAGAGAAGAAGTGTGGCTGCAACCAAAAGAAAATATAATCTAGCAAAAAGCCTGGCTGCCCAAGCCCCAGGAAGGGTCCTTCTGGCAGATGACACAGGATCAGTCACAGGCTGCTGTGCGGATCATTGGGGATATGCCCTCACCGCACCCTGCCCCTCGAGATTACAACCAGGGCAGCCAGAGGGGTCCTGCTCCACTTCCTCCTGGAGTTAGTCATCCCCAGGACAGCCTCTGCGGCCTCCTCACCCCCAGGGTGTGCCATGTGGTACTTCCTCTCTGCTCTAGTGGACCTGGGGGTCCTTGCTGTTTCTGTTTTGTTTTTTTTTCCTGAGACAGAGTCTTGCTCTGTTGCCCAGGTTGGCGTGCAGTGGCGTGATCTCGGCTCACTGAAGCCTCTACTTCCCGGGTTCAAGCGATTCTCCTGCCTTAGCCTCCTGAGTAGCTGGGATTATAGGCACCTGCCACCACTCCCAGCTAATTTTTTGCATTTTTAGTAGAGACGAGGTTTTGCCATGTTGGCCAGGCTGGTCTCAAACTCCTGGCCTCAGGTGATCTGCCTGCCTCAGCCTCCCAAAGTGCTGGGATTACGGGCTTGAGCCACTGTGCCCGGGTGTTCCTTGCTATTTCTGAAATCAAGAAACATCCTTATAACTGGTTTATGCTTGCCATAGGGGTGCCACACTGTGCTCACCTGTTGAAGCTCAGGTAATACAGCGACAATGCCACGGAATAAGAAGCCACCTGAGAGAGGGTGGGGCTCGCTGCACACCTGCTCTGGGTCCACACACCCCAGGAGCTGCATGCAGATGACTGCACAGAGGAGCCCTCCCAGGCACGTTAGTTCAGGACTCCACGTATGCGGGAGGAATGGCAGAGACTCAAATGACACTCTCCAAATATCCCCAACAACTGTGGACAGGACAAAGTTGAGTTCCCGGCTCACCACAGTGAGGGACAGTGCCAGCTCAGAGTGCTACAGCAGTGCCTCAGATCAGGAAGGGAAGGAAAGGGAAGGTCCAGCTTCTTGAGAGCTCCAAGTCTGGTTTAGGGTGGATCTTCCAGAGGGCTGGGTCAGGGGATTTCGATGTAATAGTTTTGGGTGGGTGCACACAGTACAGCCAGTACCTTGAGATGAAGAGGGTTCAAGAGTCCTGGAGCATACACTCTGGATTCCTGTTGAAGAGTCAACGGGAAGAGTCTCTTGGTTGCAGAGATTAGTCCCACCATCAAGGACTTGAAAGACATAGGGGTGGTGTTTCCCACCACATCCCTGTTCAACTCTCCCATTTGGCCTGTACAGAAGACAAATGGATCTTGGAGAATGACAGTGGATGATCGTAAGCTTAACCAAATGGTGACTCCAATTGCAGCTGCTGTACCAGATGTGGTTTCACTGCTTGAACAAATTAACACATCTCCTGGTACCTGGTATGCAGCCATTGATTTGGCAAATGCCTTTTTCTGCATTCCTGTCCATAAGGCCTACCAGAAGCAATTTGCCTTTAGCCTGCAAGGCCAGCAATATACCCTCACTGTCCTATCTCGGGGGTATATCAACTCTTCACCTTCGTGTCATAATCGTGTTTGCAGAGGTCTTCATCGTTTTTCCCTTCCACAAGGTATCACACTGGTCCATTACGTTGATGAGATTATGCTGATTGGATCCAGTGAGCAAGAAGTAGCAAACGCACTGGACTTATTGGTGAGACATTTGTGTGCTAGGGGGTAGGAAATAAATCTGAGTAAAATTCAGGGAACTTTTCCCTCGGTAAAATGTTTAGGGGTCCAGTGACGCAGGGCCTGTCGAAATATTCCTTCTAAGGTGAAGGATAAGTTGCTGCATTTGGCACCTCGTACAGCGAAGAAAGAGGCACAACGCCTCGTGGGCCTATTTGGATTTCGGAGGCAACACATTCCTCATTTGGACATGTTACTCCAGCCCATTTATTGAGTGAACAGAAAGGCTGCTAGTTTTGACCTACATCCTGAACAGGATAAGGCTCTGCAACAGGTCCAGGCTGCTGTGAAAGCTGTTCTGCCACTTGGGCCATATGACCCAGCAGATCCAATGGAGCTTGAGGTGTCAGTGGCAGATAGGGATGCTGTTTGGAGCCTCTGGCAGGCCCCTATAGGTGAATCACAGTGGAGTTCTCTAGGATTTTTGAGCAAGGCCCTGCCATCTTCTGCAGATAACTACTCTCCTTGGGAAAGACAGCTCTTGACCTGTTACAGGGCTTTAATGGAAACTGAAAGTTTGACTATGGGTCATCAAGCCACCATGTGACCTGAACTGCATGTCATGAACTGGGTGCTTTTTGACCCATCTAGCCATAAAGTGGGTCACGTACAGCAGCATTCCATCACCAAATATCTACGTGATTGGGCTTGATCAAGTACTGAAGGCACATGTCAGTTATATGAGGAAGTGGCTCAAATGCCCATGGTCTCCACTCCTGCCACCCTCCCTTTTCTCCCCCATCCTGCACCGATGGCCTCATGGGGAGTTCCCTATGATCAGTTGACAGACAAAGAGAAGACCAGGTTCACAGATGGTTCTGCATGATATGCAGGCACCTCCCGAAAGTGGACAGCTGCCGCACTACATCCCCTTTCTAGTACATCCCTGAAGGACAGCGGTGAAGGAAAATCTTCCCAGTGGGCAACTTCGAGCAGTGCACCTGGTTGTGCCCTTTGCATGGAAGGAGTAATGACCAGATGTGTGATTGTATACTGACTCATGGGCTGTAGCCAATGGTTTGGCTGGATGGTCAGGGACTTGGAAGAAGCATGATTGGAAAATTGGTGACAAAGAAATCTGGGGAAGAGGTATGTGGATGGACCTCTCTGAGTGGTCAAAAACTGTGAAGGTATTTGTATCCCATGTGAGTGCTCACCAATGGGTGATCTCAGCAGAGGAGGATTTTAATAATCAAGTGGATAGGATGACCTCTTCTGTGGACACCTCTCAGCCTCTTTCCCTAGCCACCCCTGTCATAGCCCAGTGGGCCCATGAACAAAGTGGCCATTATGGCAGGGATGGAGGTTACACATGGGCTGAGCAACATGAACTTCCACTCACCAAGGCTGATCTGGATATGGCCACTGCCGAGTACCCAGTTTGCCAGCAGCAGAGACTAACACTGAACCCTTGATACGGCACCATTTCCCAGGGTGATCAGCTAGCTACTTGATGGCAGATTGATTATATTGGACCTCTTCCATCATGGAAAGGGCAACCATTTGTCCTCGCTAGAATAGACACTTCAGATATGGGTTTGCCTATCCTGTACGCAGTGCTCTGCCAACACTACCATCCATAGACTCACGAAATGCCTTATCCACCATCATGGTATTCCACACAGCATTGCCTCTGACCAAGGCACTCACTTTACAGCTAAAGAAGTGTGGCAGTGGGCTCCTGCTCATGGAATTCACTGGTCTTACCATGTTCCCCATTGTCCTGAAGTAGTTGGATTGATAGAATGGTGAAATGGGCCAGGCGCGGTGGCTCACGCCTGTAATCTCAGCACTTTGGGAGGCCAAGGTGAGCGGATCGCCTGAGGTCAGGAGTTGGAGACCAGCCTGACCAATATGATGAAACCCTGTCTCTACTAAGAATACAAAAATTAGCCGGGCATGGTGGCATGCACCTGTAATCCCAGCTACTCAGGAGGCTGAGACAGGAGAATCGCTTGAACCCGGGAAGTAGAGATTGTGGTTAGCCAAGATTGCACCATTGCACTCCAGTCTGAGCAACAAGAGCAAAACTCCGTCTCAAAAAAAAAAAAAAAAAAAAAAAAGAATGGTGAAATGGCCTTTCGGAATCACAATTACAACGCCAGCTAGGTGACAATACTTTGCAAGCCTGGGGCAAAGTTCTCCAGGAGGCTGTGTATGCTCTGAACCTGCATCAAATATATGATACTATTTTCCCCATAGCCAGGATTCATGGCTCCAGGAATCAAGCAGTGGAAGTGGAAGTGGCACCACTCACCATCACCCCTAGTGACCCACTAGCAAAATGTTTGCTTTCTGTTCCCGCAACATTATGTTCTGCTGGCCTAGAGGTCTTAGTTCCAGAGGGAGGAACGCTGCCACCAGGAGACACCACAATGATTCCATTAAACTGGAAGTTAAGATTGCCATCTGGACACTTTGGGACAGGACCTCCTCCTGCCTCTAAGTCAACAGCCTAAGAAGGGAGTTACAGTGTTGGCTGGGGTGATTGACCCAGACCATCGAGATAAAGTCAGTCTACTGCTCCACAGCGGAGGTAAGGAAGAGTATGCATGGAGTACAGATTTCTTAGGGTGTCTCCTCTGTGATTAAGGTCAATGGGACCTCCTGCCCTGTAATTAAGGTCAATGGGAAACTACAACAGCCCAGTCCAGGCAGGACTCCAGTTGGCCCAGACCCTTCAGGAATGAAGGATTGAGTCACTCCACCAGGTAAAAAACCATAACCCAGGCCAGGTGCGGTGGCTCATGCCTGTAATCCCAGCACTTTGGGAGGCCGAGGTGGGTGGATCACCTGAGGTCAGGAGTTCGAGACTAGCCTGACCAACATGGCAAAACCCTGATTCTACTAAATACGAAAAATTAGCCAGGCATGGTGGCGCATGCCTGTAATCCCAGCTACTTAGGAGGTTGAGGCAGGACAATGGCTTGAACCTGGGAGGTGGAGATTGCAGTGAGCCGAGATCACACCATTGCACTGCAGCCTGGGCAACAAGAGTGAAACTCCGTCTCAAAAATAAATAAATAAAAAATAAGAACCACAACCCGCTGAGGTGCCTGCTGAAGGCAAAGGGAATACAGAACAGGTAGTAGAAGAAGGTAGTCATCAGTACCAGCTACAACCACGTGACTAGGTGCAGAAATGAGGACTGTAATTGTCATGAGTATTTCCTCCTTATTTTATTAGGAATATGTTTGTGCATGTATACCCTTGTACTAAGAAAATATCTTCACTTTATTTCTTCTTTTTCCTTCTACCATGTGACATAAGATTTATTGACTTCATATCAACATTTAAGTGTTGTTAACTTTATATAATATCATTTAGGTTAAGGATTAGTGTGCTTCCAGTTGTACGAAGGACAGCTATATTATGTTAGGTGTAATTATGACTTTATTATTGTCTTTATTTGAAAATTACATATGATACCAGGAGAATGTGTATGGGTTCAAGTTGACAGGGGGTGGACTTGTGATGATTAATACTGAGTGTCAACTTGATTAGATTGAAGGATGCAAAGTATTGTTCCTGGGTGTTTCTGTGACGGAGTTGGTAGAGGAGAGTAACGTTTGAGTCAGTGGACAGGGAGAGGCAGATTCACCCCCAATCTGGATGGACACCATCTAATCAGCTATGAGCGCGGCTAGAATAAAGCAGGCAGAAGAAGATGGAAGGACTAGACTTTCTGAGTCTTCCAGCCTTCATCTTTCTCCTGTGCTCGATGCTTCCTGCCCTCGAACATCAGACTCAAGTTCTTCAGTTTTTGGACTCTTGGACTTACACCAGTGGTTTGCCAGGGGCTCTCAGGCCTTTGGCCACAGACTGAAGGCTGCACTGTCGGCTTCCCTACTTTTGAGGTTTTGGGACTCAGACTGGCTTCCTTGCTCCTCAACTTGCAGATGGCCTATGGTGGGACTTCACTTTGTTATCGCGTAAGTCAATTCTCCTAATCAATTCCCCTTCATATATACATCTATTAGTTCTGTCCCTCTAGGGAACCCTGACTAATACAGGGTCTTTAGGGAGATTCCTGCAATGAGCAATGAAGTCCTTTGCAAGTTTCATCTTCCTGAGCAAGAGTCTCAAGGAACACTAAAGTTCTGCTAATGCAGACCTTGGGGGTAGATGTCCAAGTTATGGCCTCAGCAGGTGAAGCAACATCACCAAAAGCCCAGCGGAGAGCCGTGGAGTCAGGAACCGACTTAGAGTGACACCTAGAGCCAGGTTCTCCTTAAAATGTGCCACCATTGCTGGTGGAGCTTTCCAGGACCCACCGGCCCCAGTGGGCACCTGAGAGCAGCAGCTGTGTCCCCTTCACCCACCCAGAGACCTGGCTCCTCCAGGCACCAGAGCTGCCACAGGGCAGTTGGCTCCCTCCGGAGTGGGGGTTGGAACCAGTGTCGAGCCCAGGCGTATCCCCTGGGCTGGGCTATCCCCGTCCCTCTGTTGGGACACGCCCCCTCATTTTCTGCTTATCGTGTCTGGCTGGTGGTGGGAAGATGGACAGCTCGCCTGGCTGGACCCGGTGGGGCCCTCCACACATTACTCTTTAGGGTCCTGTGAGGAAGCAGAGGGCACCTTTGCTTGGCTGTGAGGACAGACTGTGCCTGCAGCCCTGCCGCTGGGGAGAGGTTCTCTGCCGAGTCAAACCAGAGCCCAGACCCCAGGAAAGGGACCAAGGGCTGCCTGCTCCACCTCTGTTTGGTTATTTCTTATTGGGGGGAAGAGGAATCCAGGACTTTCCTTGAGCAATGCCAGATGCGTCCACACCCATGGGCTTCCTCTCCTCAACCTCAGGACACACGGCCCTGCTTCCTCCTTGTGGCTAACTAGCCCCACTTCTGCCCCTGCTTCCTCCTTGTGGCTGACTAGCCCCATTCCTGCCCTAGGTTCCTCATTCTTTTCTCCAGAGAGGCACGCTCTGTCACCATGTGCCGGCTCCAGGACAGGGGTTTTCGGAAGACCCATGGAATTATTCCATCCCCAACCCCTGGGCAGGGACCCAGCAGCTCACGGAGTTGACCCAGCCTGACCCCTCACTACCTCTTCCTCACCAATATCCCACCTCGTCCAGTCCTCAGGACAGCCCAGGCCACCCCTGCCTCCTGACTCAGGCATCAGGCCCCAGCCTGGGAGCATGAGGTTTATTGAGCACCTGTTATCCCCCTGAGTGGGAGGCCTCCCAGCAGCCCCATGCCTGTGTGAGGAGCAGGGACTGTGGGTCCACACAGACCGGGGCTCTCCCCACCTGGGATGCGGGACCTTGGACCAGCTCCTGGCAGGCCATGCCAATAAGGGCAGGTGAGAGCTGCAGCCCCTTCTGCTGAGAGGGAGAGACAGCCCTGCTGAGAGTTGGGACAGTCATGCCAAGAGCAGGGAGTAGTGGTGCTGAGTTTGGGGGACAGTCATGCTGAGTTGAGGGAGAGTCGTACTGCACAGAGCAGTCTTCTCCCTCCCCTCTCCCCGTGTCCCTAGGTCCAAGCAATGGTTTCTCTTGGCCTTCCTCCCCTTTGCTCCATCTCCCAGACAAATGGCCATAGTCCTCCCAAGGGTTCTTCCAGCAAAGGGAGCCACCTGGATGGAATGCCAGTCCTCCTCGGGTCTCCAGGGAAGAGTGGGTAGATTTGCTTTCCCCACCTCCTGGTAGGTGTGCTTGGGGGGAATGCTGCTGCAGAGAGCAGGGTGCGAGGATGTTCTGGGGCTCTGCAAACACCAGCGGACACCAGAGAAGCCAAAAATCCAACCTCGAAAGGCCTGGGGCCGGGGTAGGCACCATTATCCACCAGTGCCGCGTCCCCACAGACTCCTTTCTCTCCCTCTCCCTTTATCCCACACTCCTTCTCTTTCCCTGCCTCTCCTCCATGCCTAAACAACACTTTCTTGTGTTTAGTGCATAGCTTTTTATTTTAACCATGTTCTTTCAAAATGAATCTGTGTGTGTGTATTTTTAACTTAGGTAAATGGCATCTGTGGCACCTGGCTCTGAACATTACTTCCTCCACCGAATTTGCATCATGCACGTGTGACTTTTACCATCACCCATCCTGGTGCATCTGCATTCAGCCCGACGCTTTCCACAGCCGTGCCACACTCCCCGGGCTGCACCTACTGGGTGACCCAGGTGGCCTGTAAGCCTACCTTCACTCCCAGCGCCAATGCTGCAGTGCCACCCCCGCCCCCAATCGCCGCCTCCCCCCCCTACCCGCCCCCGACGGAACCTGTGTCAGAGTCCTCCTGGCTCACACCAAGGTGGGGACTTCGAGCAGTAAAACTGGACTGTATAGAAAGGCTGTGCTCCAGTGGGGGCCGTGCTGGCTGTTTTTTTTTTTTTTTTTTTTTTTTTTTGAGACAGAGTCTCGCTCTGTCGCCCAGGCTGGAGTGCTGTGGTGCGATCTCGGCTCACTGCAAGCTCCGCCTCCCGGGTTCACGCCATTCTCCTGCCTCAGCCTCCTGAGTAGTTGGGACTACAGGCACCTGCCACCATGCCCAGCTAAATTTTTTGTATTTTTTAGTAGAGACGGGGTTTCACTGTGTTAGCCAGGATGGTCACGATCTCCTGACCTCGTGATCCACCCGCCTCGGCCTCCCAAAATGCTGGGATTACAGGCATGAGCCACCCCGCCCGGCCCGGTGCTGGTTTCTACATTTTCCCACCGACTCTTTGCACGCTCCTGCTTCCTGAGTGTGCCCGGGATTTGGAACATCTTGCTGGTGCTCATGAGCTTCACAGTGGACAACGTAACTGCTGCCCGAGTAAACTGCTCCTTCCTAGCTTTCTCTGCGGGAACTGCTGCCTTTCACTGCTCATGCCTTAGCTCTAGACATCGACCTTTGTGGGCTTCAGACATTGCAAATCTCTTCTTCCTTTCTATCAGCTCTCCGTGGACTTTGCCCCCTACAGTTTTTTGAGCTAGTAATTTTGGCTTCTAAAGTTTTCTTAGCTGAGTGTGGTTGCTCATGCCTGTAATCCCAGACCAGGTGTGTGCGTGTGACCCGTGAGGCTCTGCAGTGGAGAAGACAGACCAGGTGTGTGCCTGTGTGTGTGTGTATGTGCACGCACACCGTGCTCCCCCCTCAGAGCCTCGGTTTCCCTATGTGTAGCGAGTTTGAACCAGAATCCCAGCACTTCAGGAAGCCAAGGTAGGAGGATTGCTTGAGCCCAAGACTTCAAGACCACATGGCGAGACCCTATCCCTACAAAAAAATAAATTAGCCAGGTGTGTTGGTACATGCCAGTAGCCCTAGCTGCTCAGGAGGCTGAGGTGGGGGGATCCTTTAAGCCCAGGAATTCGAGGCTGCAGTGAGCTGTGATTATACCACTGCACTCCAGCCTGGATGACAGGTTGAGACCCTGTCTAAATAAATAAGTTTTCTTTAAGAAGGCTTTTGCAGCCCTTAAGCCCTAAAGATACTCTGCAGTCTTTTGGCTTTCTGATTTTCTACTTTTCCAATCTGGCCCTTTAATCCATGGAGTCCTCCCGTGTCTGTGACCCACAGGTGTAGAAATTCATTGCTGACCTCTATCTGCTAAGCAAACATCAACCAGACCACATGCTCCTTCCCCATTGGATTTGCAGTGTTGCCTTTGGGATTTAAGTTCCCACTTGGGTCAATGTTGGCCATGTCTCTGGGCTCTTGGTTCTAGGCCGTTGCTCTTCTTGCCAGTGCCACGTGGCATTTATTGCTGCGTCTTTGCAGGGCATCTTCCTATCTCACAAGACAAGCCCACGCCCTTTGCCCTTCTTTTCTAATGTTGAGCTAGCCATCTGAGGACCTTAACTCCTCCATCACTGCTGAGCTCCACAAGCACTCTTGATTGCGATTGCGTTGAATTTGTGGGTTCGTCTGGAGACACTCGGCATTGTCCTGACATCAGGCCGCTGCTTCTGAGAGTGTGGAGCGCGCAGAGCCCTGCCCGTCTTCAGACTGTCTTCCACATCTTGTATCAGAGTGGACATTTTTGGTTGATTCCTAGATACTTAATGAATTCTGTTCCTGTGGTGAATGGCATCTTTTTCAGAATTATATTTTCTAATTGGCATTGCTGGGGAAAAGAAATGGTTTGGACTTCTGTAGGCCCAATATGTCTAGCAGAAATAGGCCATGTATCTGTCAGTCCTACTGGTGTTTTTCTACATAGATCATTTGATTAGGAAGAAGTCAATGACTCACTAAAAACGAAGCCCAGAAAAACTAGTTCTCCATTGTCTAGAGTGGTAAGAACTCATTCTTTACACACGTGCACGAACGCACACATGAGTGCACACACACACACACACACACACAACCTGGTCTGTCTTCTCCCCTGCAGAGCCCCATGGGTCCTGCTTGGTGTTATGTCTCGTGCTCCATTCACAGCACACCAGGGACACAGGTAGCAGAGCTCAAGCCTGCTTGAACAAACAGGCCAGGTATTCATAGAGTTCTGGTAGCAAGGGAGTAAATTCTGCCCGATTTCTTTCCTCCAGCCTCAGAGGTGTCTTCTTCCTCTTCCTGGAGTGACTGGGGGGTGGCTACCAAGTTTGAAAGGCAAAAGCCGACCCAGCAGACCCAGTTCCCTGCCCCTGGTAGCCTCTCCAGAGGGCACCTGATGGCAGGCCCCTCTGGAGGATGGGTGCCTCCTGCCAGATAAACTCCCTGACTCCAGATAGTCCAGGCTGCAGTGCCCAGTGGCAGCCCAGGCCAGGGAAAGGGTGGGCGAGAAGCCAGGGCTCCAGTACAGCTTTGAGCAAGCTCTGCAACAGGACGGACTCCAACCATTGAGACCAGATGACCTTTCAGAGCCTTCTCTGCTGAAGCTGACTCTCCTCTCCACCCCCTGACCCCCCACCCTGCCCCGCTGGCTCCGTCTTCCAATTCCAGGAGTCACTGTCGCCGTCAGCTGGTGACCCTGCCACTACTCAGGCCTCATGGGCAGGCAAGGGTCCCCCGGCTCTTGTGTCAGGATCTCCTTTGCAGTAAGAGATCCTAACATCTGTAGAGAATGGGTTCAGCAAAAGGCACACCTGCCAACAGGGTGGTTTGTTCCAGTGCTCAAGGCAAAGCCGACCAATAACATGCTTAGGACGTGGGAATGTGAGATGGGGCAGCTGTGGTAGAAACAGGCTGGCAGCTCCTCCAACAGCCCCCAGCAGCAACCTTGGGAATATACCCAAGAGAAATGAAACAGGCCTCCACACAAACCCCCGCACAAGCACGTTCATAGTAGCACACTTCACAATCCCCAAAAGGTGGAGGTGACCCAGGTACCCTCAACAGAAAGGGATGAACACAGTGTGGTCTCCCCACAGAGGGGAGAGTCCTTCCCCGTTTCCTCTGTCCCCGTGCTGTCACCTCCTCCCTGCCCAGATCCCTGGGCTGGCAGCAACATTGCCCTTTATAAAGCCCCCTACCAGCTACAAAAGGTGAGGTGCTTATCAGCCCTTATGAGGGAGCAGAGGGCAACAAGAGTGAGCCACGGAAGGCAGGGAGCATGGGTCCAGGCAACAACAGGGCAAGCCCTCCTAACATGCCCCACATGAGAAGCCAGGCCACACAGCCCAGGATTCCACTGACGGGAAATCGCCACAATGGGCCGATTGACAGACAGAGAGAACATTCCTTGTGGCCAGGGGATGAGAAGAAGGGTGGCAGGGGGGTAACAGCCAAAGGGTCCAGGGTTTCTTTTAAGGTGATGAAAATGTCCTAAAACTAGAATATGATGATGGCTGCACGATCCTGTAACTATACAGAAAACCTGTGCACTTTAAAAGGGCGAATTCCGCCAGGCGCAGCGGCTCCCGCCTGTAATCCCTGCACTTTGGGAGGCCGAGGTGGGTGGATCACTTGAGGCCAGGAGGTTGAGACCAGTTTGGCCAACATGGTGAAACCCCATTTCTACTAAAAATACAAAAATTAGCCAGGCGTGTTGGCGCATGCCTGTAACCTTAGCTACTGGGGAGGCTGAGGCAGGAGAATTGCTTGAACCCGGGGGGTGGAGGTGGCAGTGAGCTGACATCACACCACTGCACTCCAGACTGGGCAACGGGGTTAGAATCTGTCTTTAAAAAATAAATAAAATAAAATAAAATAAAAGGGTGAATTCTATGGTCTGTGATTTACATCTCAACAAAGCCTTTACGTTGGACAAAGAGTGCTGGGATGAAGGTACCGAGTGGGCCTCCCCCAGCACCCAGGCCCAGGGGTTCTTAGATGGTGAGGAAGGGAGCCTGACTCTGAATACTTTAAAGGGGGGATTTTCTCTAGCCCAGGATAGCAGGGTGGGACAGGCCCTGCTCTGCTATGCAACATGGTCTTTTCTTCCTCTCCCCTCTTCCTTCCTTCTTTTCTCCTTCCCCTTTCCTCTGTCCCAGCACTGTCACCTCCTCCTTGCTCAGACCCCTGGGCTGGCAGCAGCAACATTGCCCTTTATAAAGCCCCCTACCAGCTAGAAAAGGTGAGGTGCTTATCAACCCTTACGAAGGAGCAGAGGGTGAGAGTGAGGACGTCGGGCATCACCACCCAGAGAGACAAACCAATTCATGCTTGGGACTATTTGGAGGTCAGCGTCGGCCTTGAGGCAGAGGAACCTGGGGCTCCAGCAGTAAGCATCCCTCACCCTGCGGCCCACTTTAATTTCCCAGAGATAATAGCACCGGCGCCGAGTATCTGCCGGGCACCTGAAGACGGATGGCCAGTGTTTGCAGGGTAATAGTTTGTGTCAGAGTAAACTGGAATTTATACCCCGGGAGGCAGATAATCCCCTTTAGAACTCTCCAGCCTCCCTGGGACTGGAGGGGCTTTCACAGGCCGCTTGCTGAAGACATAAACAAAGACAGCTCCACGGAAGCACCCTGCTGGCCCCAAGTCCTATTTTTAATATCTTAATTGAGTCTCCAAACCCTAGAACACGGTGGCGCGACCAAATCTCCAGCCTCCACCGACAGCTCTGTGTAGGAGAGAGGTCACTGTCACCTTCCACAAACCCGGGAAAAACAAACTGGGAAGCAGGGTCGGTTTTGGAGAAGGGGCAATTGCTGTTTTTTTGGTGGTGGTTGTTTTTGTTGTTCAGCTTTGTGTATATTTTTAAAGCTTATGAACAGATGAGAAAACTCCAGGCACGTATTCTCACCTAAGTTAAACTAATGGTTCTCAAAATCCCAAATTATTTTACTGCTTTTTGTTCCCCAGAACCAGCTCACAATCTGCTTCGCGCTTGATTTAAAGGCGCTGACAAGCTGCTGCCCGCTCCCCAGCACGGTGGCGAGACTGGATTGGGACTGTCATATATAATGCATGGAGTCAGGGCCGCGAGCCGGGTTGTACGCGTGTGTGATCCGCTCTGGAGCGCTGTTCCCAGAGCCATTGTGCAAACATATTTACTCTGCATAAAAGAATGGGATGAAGCTGCAAAGGACATTTGTTCATCGAAGTGGATTTAATTTTTAAACTCGCATTAGGACAGGATCAACCTTGCTGAAGGGTATGGTGATGTGGGTGGAATGTATAAAACTAATCTAGGATCCACGTTGCTACGGGAGGAGCGCTGGGTGGAATTAAATATTTATTGCACATAAATACCTTGTCCGCCACCTCCCTCACCCCTGCACAGTCACCTCTGTGTAGCGGGTTCTCTGCTACAGTAGAGGGCAGAGCACGGGACCACGGCTTCTTCCATCCTCCCAGCACCCCGATCTGGTCATGGCAGTGACAAGAGACAGCTGGGGGTGGGCACGTGGGTTTGCAGGCTCACACACGCACATGCACGCACCCACACACGTACACACACTGTCCCTGCCTGGGTTCTTTCTCTCCTTCTACAGAGGAGCGCTCTCTCAGAGGCAGAGAGAGCCCAGCCAGCCATGGTCACCATTAAGTCACCTCCATCATACTCTGTGAGTTAGGGGGGCAAGTGAGGATGTGATCCACCAATCCCCAACGAAGAATCCTAGGGAAGAATCTGATTGGCTAGTCACCTGCCAGTCATCACAGCCGAGGGAAAGGAGGGGTGGAGCAGCGACTCCACCAACTACAAAAGGTGAGGTGCTTATCAACCTTTATGAGGGAACAATGGGTGAAGACAATGACCAGGGTGCAGGCAGGCTGACCATCCCATCGGTTTGCCTGGAACTGTCCTAGTATTAGCAATGACAGTCCCATGTCCCCAGGGCAAACCAGGGTGGTTGGTCACTGAAGTTCAAGTCCCTCTAGACATTTCCAAACCTAATTAACAAGTTGGGGAAGCGAGCTGTAACCCGTTTCTCTAGCTCTTTATTTGTGTGATTTGGCCAGAAATTGCTTCAAGAGGAGACGTTCAAAAAGGAACAAAAAATCAGAACTGAAACAATGTCGGAGGGCACTTTGGGGTTTCTTCAGCAAAATGCAAATCCCTCCATTATCTTGTGGTTTAAACCAAAGCTGCCTTTTGGAAACTCCCGCTGATTCTCCAGCCTCATGGAGGGTGGCAGGTTCCTCTTTTAAGTGTTCCAGGCTAGGAGTTGCGTGGTTAACGCTGGGGTAATACACACTCTGTATTTGCTACCACAGCCCCCCACCCCTAGAAGTCTCCCAAGAGGAAATCGGTGGTGTGGTCATGCACAGCTCCTGTGCTCCTGATGGAGACTGTTGTGGATCCAGGGCCATCTAGACATCTAGGTATTTTCAGCTTTCTTCCCTTAGGACAAGAGGACCAAGGCCTGAGCAGCCCTGAATCGCTCCCATGATGGCCCAAACAGGCACGGAGGAGGGTGATTGGTCCCTGAGAATGTGGATGCCTGGAGCAGTTCACGGTACTGTCTCTGCCTCGTTCTGAGCCTGCACTGGGGCCTTGGGTCCCTGCAGAGCTGGTGGCCCACAGCTGGTAGCACTGTCCAGGTGCAGGTTTCAATCATCTTCCAGGTAAAGGACGTGCACGTGGCCTAACAATAGAAGCCGACCTTCAGTAAGAGCCACCTGGGATGGGGCAGGTCACCGGACCACCTTTCTTCACCTGTGTCCCATCTGCGGTGGGGAGGGGGGACTTCATTCTGCATTTTACATTTGAGGTAACTGAGGCAACCTGGAGGAGGTCACAGAGCTAACCATTAGTGGGAGAGCATCAGGCACATGAGGACCTGCAGCTTTGCAGGAGGAAGATCCTGATGCCCCCAAGCATCCTCACAGGCGCTCTCGGCTGGAGGTTCATCTTTCAAATCAGCCCTGCCTCCTCCAGTCAGCTCTGTCTGGTTTAGCTCAGCTAACAGGATGCGTCAGCTTACCTGAATAAAACACTTTACACCCCCACGTAAGGACCAATAAGCTTAACCTTTAGGGACAGGTTTGGTTTTTGTTTTGCCTCTTCCTGTCACAGGCTTCAGCTGCCACATGGATGAGGAAGTCAGGGAGGTAACTGACCAGACCAGCACACCTTCTCCCTGCCCCTGGCTGGCTAGCTGGGACCTTTCCCCCTCTGCCTCTCCAAACCTGAGGCTGAAAGGGGCCTATGGGGGTGTTCGGGAATCTGGGAGGTTGCCAAGCCCCATCCACCAAGGTGGGCCGGTTCTGTCCCTAAGTTGGAGCTCAGGACTGGCTTCAGCCAAGGCAGTGCCCAGAGCCTTTGAGAGACCCCAGGCTGGGGTCGGTGGGGTGGGCCTGGCTCTCTGGGGAAGGCTGCCATCAGGGAGCGTGGGCTGCCGCACACTCTCCTCCCGGTGTTGACAGTGACGGATGTGGTCAGGGCAGGACCCAGACAGGGAAGAGCTGAGGTTCCTGGTGGGTCAGTTTGGCTCTTCCCTGCTCTGCTCTGTGGCTGCAAATACAAACCTGGGGCCCAGCAGGGACAGGCATCCCCACCTGTCAAAGGCCTACGGACCCAGGGAGGGGGACGCCGTTCCTCACGGCCCTGGTGTCAGAAGCATGACCGGCCTGCTTTGTCAAGAGGCGGAGGAGGGCGGGATGCCTGCTGGGCATGTGGACTCTCAGCTTCCAAGCAGGTCCTGTTGCCCTCCTGCCCTCCAGGTGACAAAGCTGAGGCACTGTTGGGAGTAGCAGTCTGCCCGTCATCCCTGGCAGTGGGTCAACATGCAGCCTGGCTCTGGGACCTGGAATTGGACCTGGGTTATGCAGCTGGCCTGTGCAGGTGCCAGCCTCGCCTCTCTGGGCCTCCATCTCCTGAGCCACACAATGAGGACGAGGCCGGCTCTGCACTGAGAGCAAGGCCGACGGCAGAGGCCATGTGCCGCAGACCTGGACTCATCCCCTCACTATGCAGGCAGGCCCCAGCCCCTAGAAGCTCCTGGAACTTGGAACTCTGGGCAGAAGCCCTCAGAACAGAGCAGCCCAGTTCTGCCTCTTCCAGCTTCCCCAGGAGCCTGCTGCCTCGTCTGCAGTGGCAGGGAAGACCATGACGCCCCCCACACCCACATCCAGGCTGCCTTGCAATCCACACACCTGTCCATTTCACCTCCATCCACGTCCCTCTCCCCTGCGGCCACCACGCAGGCCCAGCCACCCCCACCCCTCTGCTGCTGCAGCCTGGAAGGTCGCTGCATGCTTCTCTATCCCGGGCAGTCCCGCACCGCTTGGGGAAGCTGGAAGAGTCCAGGTCTGCTGGCACCAGCCGTGAGATGGAGCATAAGGGGCATGTGGCACCCCTGAGCACAGACCCTCCTGGGCTGTCCTGTTACAGAGAGGGGCAGATCACCCTCCTCACAGCCTCCAGGCCCTCTGGGTCCAGCCGCGTTCCCTGCCCGACTCATTGTGTGAGTGCCAGGCACGTCCCCCTCCTGGGCACTCACCCTGCCACCCCCAGGCCTCCTAGGGCCAGAGTCTCTGCCCTGGACACGTGTATTTTCCTACTAACTGCCACTCATCCTTCTGTCTTGTCTGCCCCGGACAGTCATGCCTCTGCCATCTCCCCCTGGCAGGGCACGCTGCACCTTCTGAATCCCACCGTGGCCCTGGGAAAATTTCACTTGTCTCTCGGCACACCAAGGCCAGGCATTCAGGGATTGCATCACTTTCCTGAGCTATGTACCTGCAGCATCTGGCTCGGGGCTGGGTGTGTCACTGACCCACAACCACTGCTGAATGAATGATGAGTGGATGAGTGAGTGATGAGCGGATGAGTGAGTGATGAGCGGATAAGTGAATGAGCACAGGTGGGTCTCAGGAGGTCCTTCCAGCCCTAGAACTGACTCGGGGGCCTTGGTTAATGCCAGTGGGTGATTTTCTGACTCTAAAGGCAGATGTGGGGAGTGGAGACTCAGCCCTGAATGCATGCAGTGACCCAGCACTGAGAGAGGACGGTGGCTCTGGCGGGGTGGCCGCCTGCGAGATGCTCCCCGGGGCCTGCTGCGGAGATGAGTAAACATCAGAGTTTTGTGATGAGGGCTCTGCCAGGGGAAGCCCACGGTATCACGGAGAGAAGACAAGGGCATCCACCACAGGAGGATGGACAGGGTGGGCAGGTGTGGGCTTCGTCATCCATCATGGCCAGGGCTGGGAGTCCTCAGCGCTTCCAGCTCTGGAGACAGGCCCAGAACCCTGGAAAGAGGAGCTCCCATCAGCCCACAGGGGGCTGGGCCGGCCATCCAAGGCAGACATCCAGGGTCCTTCTATTTGAACCGATGGGTAGATGCTCAGCTGCTCCGGGGGCTGGTCCAGGCTCCATCCCAGTCCTGGCTGTCCATGCAGAACATGGTACCCAGGCCCCAGGACTAGCAGATAATCCTTCAAGAGGGTCCAGAAACGGTGTGCCGAGCACAGTTCTCCATGAGTCAGAGGCCTCTGGACATGAGCCTAAGGGGCCCACATTGAAATAGGACTCTCTAATCACAGCTGGGCACCAATCAGGCACCGGCTTCCATGGCTGAGGCCTGCTGGCTTCTCTCTCTCAGTGAACCGTGCTCCCGTCAGCCTCCGCGCGACATCCCGCAAGGCTGCAGCCACCTCTCGCTCTGCATCCAGGAGCAGGAGTGTCCGGGGTGGAGGCTCTGCTGCCCCATAGGCTGTGGGGCTGTCTGTGCCAGGAGGAAGGACCCCTACCCGCACCTGCTGTGTGCCTGCTCAGGGGTCGAGGCAGCTGCGCAGCTTACAAAGAGGACAGCACCCCCGTCTCAGGCTGCCAGGGCCTTCTGTGATCTCCTGTCCTTGGGCTCCTCTGCTGGCACCCTCCTGCTCCTCCTGAGCCGTCCTCGTGCCCTTGCCATCTTTCCTGGAAAGCCTTGCATCCATTCAGCACAGCTTCACAGCTTCACCCAGCCCGGGCCTCATGTGCCCCAGAAACACAGCCTTGAACACAACAGCGGGTTCCCTCTCAGGAGCTTCCCCACCTCCCCCTGGGTCAAGGAGAGGGAGACCAGCATTGGCGTGCACTGTGTCAGGTGGAGATCAATTGGAAGAAAAGCAAAGTGGGGTGGTGGTGGGCAGGGGACCGCAGGGGGTGCTATCTCAGAGGTTTCTGCAGGGCCGTCTGTGCAGAAGCCCATTGCTGTCGCTTGTAGCTCATCGTCCTTGTGGCAGCCCCATGCCAGTTCTGCAGGCCAAAGAACAAGGTTCAGAGAGGGTGAGCAGCTGGCAAGAGAGCACACAGCAGCTAGTGGCAGGAGCGGAGCCCAGTCTTCCCTCCAACCGAGCCCTTTCCTTCTCCTTAGCTTTGCCCACCGAAGCCCTTCCCATCTCCTTGCCTAGAGATGGTTAGGCGTGACGACTGTGTTCAGGATGACCCTGGCCAGGTGCAATAATTACAAGCCTAGGAAAAATGACAGAAAATAAACATTCCAAGATATTAGCAAGCTGGCGTGGCTTTCTCTTCTGCTTTACATTATTTTTTCCTTACTTTCCAAATTTTATGCGGTGAGAATTTATTACTTTCATTACCAGGTGCAAAAAATAGAAACAAACAAAAAACTCTGTCTGATCTTTCAGACTAGTTCGAATGTCTTCTTTTCTAGAACTGGGATGACCAGGACATTTGGGCGTGAAAGGGGCCCTACAAGCCTTAACAGATACTAAAGAACGTCAGACAAGCAGAATGAGGATGGCCCCAGGCAAGGTGGACCCCACCCCAGCTGCAGGGAACAGCAAGGCTGCAGGTCAGTGTTGAGTGGCCCTTTACAAAGGACTGTGACCCAGGCTGGGGGCAGTGGCTCACGCTTGTCATCCCAGCACTTTGGGAGGCTGGATCGCCTGAGGTCAGGAGTTCGAGACCAGCCTGGCCAACACGGTGAAACCCTGTCTCTACTAAAAATACAAAAATTAGCCGGGTGTGGTGGTGCACACTTGTAATCCCAGCTACTTGGGAGGCTGAGGCAGGAGACTAGCTTGAACCCAGGAGGCGGAGGTTGCAGTGAGCTGAGATTGCGCCACTGCACTCCAGCCTGGGCAAGAGTGAAACTCTGTCTCAAATAATAAAAACAAACAAAGAAACAAAAGCAAACACACACAAAACAAAGGGCCGTGACCCACATGGACCTGGGACAAGGCTTCGGCTAAGCAAGCCCAATGTCCAGTGGCTATGGCCTCAGGAAGGTCAGCAAGGCAAGTTCCCTATCCCTAAGACCGGGTCTTGAGACAGAAGCAGACAGTAGGCTCAACTCTCTGGAGGGCCCTGGCCAGGGCAACACAGGTCCACGTCCAGGCAAGGTCATGCTCCCTGCCCCGCTCTGCCCCTTGGAGCAGGCTGTCAGAGGGGCCAAGGACTCCTCTCAGCAGGCTCGGGAGGAAACAGGATCTCGAGTTCTATTTTTTAAATCACAAAATTAGGGCCATTTCTGTCTCTCCCTGGTCTGTCCCCTCCGAACCTGGGAGGCCCCTCTCCAGCAGAGGCTGCTTCTGTTCTCTCTCATTCCATAAAAACACTCCCGAGCCTTTCTGTTGCTGCAAAGAGAGCTTTGATTCTTTGCCGAGAATCTGCACCGCGGGCTCCAAATGGGAGCGTTTCTCCGGAGAGGAGCAGGAGGAGAATCATTTTGTCGACGGCAGGTAATTAAGTTGCCACGCAGAGAGGGAGCATGCGTTATACGATGATTAATCCCAGAGACGGCGAGGACATTTTTCATTTTCAAATCTCTCCTTGGTTGTTAATGAATCATCTCAGCTCCTGGGAGAGAAGTGCTGGTGCTCGCCCTAAGAGCAAGGGAAACTGAGTCGGCTGTGCCCACCGCCCCCGCCACACGGTGCAGAGTGGAAGCAGCCTCGGGAGGGCAAGTGCTGGGAGACCATGGGCTTTCTCCCCGGGCATCTCGTCCATGTGGCTTCCTGTCTCCCCAGCCTCATCTGGGCAGGAATTCAGGAATCAATAAAAATGTTATTTTAAATAAAAAGAAAGCCACCCTGCTCTGCTTGGCACAGGCTGCCATTGACCGCCTTCTGCACCTGCTTTTGTTCTGTTTTTCTCAGGTACCTGCTCATTTCCAGCTCCCAGCCTCCCTCAGAACACAGACTGCCTTGCCATTTTCTTAGCGAGCGGTTTGCAGCAAAGTGCTATTTTGCTCTCGAACGCCTTCCTTTCCAATTGGGACAAACGGCTATGAATACGGCACACCCTGTTTTGCATTCAAACTGTTGGGAAAGTTTTGCGGCTGTAAATATCATGCTCTTGGTGCTCAAGACAGAATTATTATTACTTTTTCCTTAGTTCTTGGAACCAGTGATAAATTAAACATTTCTTTTGCCCCCCCTTGCAGCCGGCAGGCAATGTGGAGCTGATTGCTTTGCCTCTGTCCTGACCCATGTGCCCCATCGGGAGAGGAACAAGACGACAGTGACTTGCCAGGGGCACAGGCACATGGATGGGGAGCAGGTCTAAATGGGGGAGGGGGCACGTGCAGGGGGGGCTTTCCTGAGATAGGGCTTCTCTTTGGTGTTTTCCCTGCACAATCTTCCAATGATGTATAGAGTTTACCCTCAACGCTCAGAGGCTGACATTTGACATAGAGGGAAACTGAGGCACAATGGAGGTCTCCAGAAGATTCTGTCCCCACACACTGTTCTCTTTCCATCGTCTGCTCTGGGTCAGATCCTGGGAAGTGGTGTTTTTCCTCTGGGGCGGGCGCTGGGCGTGTGGAGGTGGGAAAGCCTCACTCCTGGGCTCTGCCAGGTGGAAACGGAGGGCGCTGTGCCTCTTGGACTAAAAGGGTGAGCCTGGCAGGTGCACTGGCCTGACTCGCGTTCCTGCTTCGAGGTCCTGAGCACCTCCTCGGAGTCTCAGTTTCCTCACCTGCAAATGATCTTGAAGATGTTCAAATGCCTTCTTCCCTCCCGAGGTCCTGAAAATGGCTGGGGAGGTCCGGGGGGGAGGATTACGTGAGGCACACGGGATCCGCCGTGACTCAGGCCACAGGGTCCGCTGGGCACCCCGCCCAGACTGCCCCCCACCAAGAGCTGCCATGCACAGGTGGGTGGTGGAGGCTCCAGCCCCGCTCAAGCCTGCAGGCACACTTTCTCATCGACGGACCCCAACACATCCCTGTGTGTGGGCAGGGCTGGCAGGGGATTCACGCCCACCTGCCCCGCAGCACCCCGCCGTTCTGCCTCCACCCTGTCTGCCTCGCTCAAGTGCACGATGGCCAGGTGGATGGATGACCCTCCCAACCTCACCTCCCAGGTTTCCCTGAGGGAACGCAGCCCCTACTGGATCCTACTGGACCTGGGTTCTGAGATGACCCTTCCACATGAAGAAAGAGAGTCCAGGGCTGGTGGGGGCATCGCAGCTTCCTGGGGCCCTGCAGGAGACGGAAGAAGCCAGGGTGCTCATCACACAGGCCTCCAGCTTTCTCCAGGGGCTGGACCTGGGGACCAGCCTGGGGTATGGGTTCCTTCCTCTCCCCATCCCCAGCCTGCCAGCCCCTCCCGGATGGAGGTGGGAGTAAGATGCCCCCCCGCTGGAGAGCCTTTTTCTGTAGCTGTGCAGGGGTGGGAGTAGGGGAGACAGGGCTTTGTCTAATAAGAGGAATCCATCAAGTTTGCTAAACCACTTTCCCTCTGGAGCCATGCGGCTCCTCTCCAGGGAGCTTGGCCTGGCCAGGCCTGCAAGCGGTGCCTCCTCCCAGCCCCACCCTGCCTTTTGTCTTTGTCTCTGACATCTGCGTTCCTTCTGAGTGTGCTTTGCTTCTTTCTGCTGCTCGATGGCTAATAGGATTGAGCGGGAAGGCGCCAGGAGAGCCGGCAGCCCGGCCTGGGAGGGGCTCTCACTCTTCCTCTGCCAGAAGCCTTATCGAGCGCAGGGTGTTTGACTTCAGAAACACATCCCCACGGCTTTCCTTTCCGCCTTCCTTCTGGGACTGATTTGTTTACTTCTTTCAGAGGTTCGCCGTCCCTCTTTCTGCAGGGGTTTGCTGGATCACAGGTCCCCAGTGCCCCGGACATAGTGTGTGAGGAATGCGGGTATGAGAGATACTAACATAGGCAAAGTCGGCTCATCTCATCCAACCTCACCACCCTGTGCATTGCAACCCCACAGTGCAATGTAAAGATGGGGAAACAGGCCCAGAGACTCAAGAGAAATGAAACGAGTGGAGATTGAGACTGAACTGGACCGGGATCCGGGCCCCACAGCTGGGCTTGTCCCGAGGCTGTGTGCTGCCCCCGGAGCTCCTTGGATGGAGAAGCGCTCCCTGCCCCTCCCTGCTCCATGCCTGGCTTAGACACACGGCGGCCCTGCTCATGCCTGAAATTCCACCCTTAGCCACCCTCCCCTGTTTGGCATTGCCCTCGCACCCCCTCTCGAGGGACACAGAAACCCCGCGTGTGGGTGTCCTCACTGCAGGTCTCCCTACCTGGCAGGCGGGGAATGTTTTGGGGCAGGTGGTGGGCAATGGAGGAGAAACAGTAAGCAGGGATTTCAGGAAGAAGAAAACGCCAGCAAGGTAAGCAGGTCAACAAAACCTCACCTGTGTCAGCTTGCACACCTTCTGTCACCAGAAAGCCTGACCTTAACCTTGCACTTGTCAGATCTGATCCTGGTCCTCAAAGAGCATGGAGACCCTCTTTATACAAATGGGAATACT
Source organism: Homo sapiens (assembly GCF_000001405.40). Taxonomy (NCBI): domain Eukaryota; kingdom Metazoa; phylum Chordata; class Mammalia; order Primates; family Hominidae; genus Homo; species Homo sapiens. The sequence continues at coordinate 134,945,524 of NC_000009.12, forward strand.
GAGGTATGCAGTTCGAGAGGATTGACCGAGGCCATTTGGCTGGTTGAAGGTGGGTAAAGTCCTGGGTTCCTAATTTCTGCCAGGAGACCCTTGCTCCATTCTCTTCCCAGGGCAGAACCACACTTGGTCCTGGGGAAAGCCACCTGGAGAGCGGAGGGCAGAGGGTGGAGGGCAGAGGGCGGAGGGCAGAGGGCAGAGGGCAAAGGGCAGAGGGCAGAGGGTGGCGCGGAGGGTGGGGAAGCACCCCTGTCACCTCTGCCCATGCAGCCTACCCCGTCCCCAATTCACGAGACAGTTAACTTGGTTCTTGCCCTGAGCCAGGCCCTGGCCCGGAGCCTGGGGCCACAGGTGCCCTCAAATGCACATGGGACTCAGGCTCATCAGCAGTGGCCTCATGGCAGGAGGGTGGTCACTGTGGGCTGGGGGAGGCTGTGAGGCTCCTCTGGCAGCTCCACCTGCGAAAGCCAAGTCGAAGAGTGAGTTGAGTGTGTGCTGGCCCATCTGCCCCTTTCCCTCTCCGCTCAGGGCCCAGAGCCTCCCAAACAGGCAGCTGTGACTCTGATGAAGCCACCTGGTGCTGGGGGTGTGGGGTGGGGTTGGGGACAGCAGGGGAAGCCCACTACTTGGTAGTCCCAAATGTCACAGTCTGTGACCCATGAAGGATGGCTGGGCCACTCCTTGGGACAGGGTTACACCAGACACACACACAGATGTATTCACACCAGACACACACACACAGACACATTCACACCAGACACACAGACACATTAACACCAAAAACACACAGGTACATTCACACCAGACACACACACACAGACACATTCACACCAGACACACACAAAGACCATTCACAGCAGACACACACACAAAGACACATTCAGACCAGACACACACACAGACACATTCACACCAAAAACACACAGGCACATTCACACCACACACACACACAAAGACACATTTACACCAGATACACACAGACCATTCACTTCAGACAGACACACACACATTCACACCAGCCACACACAGACACATTCAAACCAGACACAGATACATTCACATCAGGCACACACACACAAAGACACATTCACACCAGACACAGACACAAACCATTCACACCAGACACATACACATTCACACCAGACACACACAAAGACCATTCACACCAGACACACACACATTCACACCAGACACACACAGACCATTCACACCAGACATACAGACTATTCACACCAGACACACACACATTCACACCAGACACACAGACACATTCACACCAGACACACACAAAGAGACATTTACACCAGATACACACACACAGACCATTCACTTTAGACAGAGACCATTCACACCAGACACACACACATTCACACCAGACACACACAGACCATTCACACCAGACACACACACATTCACACCAGTAACACACACAGACACATTCACACCAGACACACACAAAGATACATTTACACCAGATACACACACAGACCATTCACTTCAGACAGACACAGATACATTCACCCCAGACACACACACAAAGACACATTCACACAGACACAGGCAAAGACACATTCACACCAGACACACACACAGACACAGGCACACCCCTGCACACAGCCACTGTGCTCATGCATAGCCGGGTACACCTGCTTGCACACTCACACTCGCTCACCCCCACACCCCCCCCCCCGCTTCCTCACCCACTTTCTCTCCTGGTCCTGCAGTGCTTGTTCCCACTAGGTCCCTGGGGGGCCAGGGAGAGCCAGCCAGGCCCGCCACCATTCTCTCCCCGCAGAGCGATGCTGCGTGTCCAGAGCAGCGGGTGTGGGAGGCAGAGCCTGGAGCTCCCAGAGCCGGCGGCCCACGGCCTCGCCTCCAGCCAGGAGGGTGCGGAATTCTCCCCCACCCAGCAGAGGCTCTGGCCATCTGTCTCCAAGGATGCGGGGGAGCGGACCGGCTGTGCCGCTCTAGGGCTGCTCCGCCTGACAGACAGCAGTGTCGACCACCCATGTTTGCTGCACAGACTCTAGCTTCCACACCCCTCCCCACCCCAGCAGCCTGGGGAAGGAAGGCTGGAGGTCCCTGCATGACGGGTGAGGAGAGAGGACAGGAGCCCGGTGCTCTGAACACCGCCCCAGCCCAGCTGCACGTCAGGACCCCGCACTGGCCTCTTACATTGAGAAGCCAAGACCCACCCAAAACCCAGCTATCAAAGTCTCTGGGGACAGCACCAGCAGGGCAGAGGGCGTTGGTTCCCTTAGAATGTGCTAGAAGGCTCATCCCTGCAGGAGGTGCCCCTGCAGGCATCCTTGCCCCCACACTGCCTGGTGCTGCCCACCTGCTCACTTGCAGGTGACCCTAGTTTCTCAGTGGCTCGGCAGCCTCGCGGGCTGTTGTAACACTGACACCACGTCTGTGAGATCATTGGCTTGGAAGATTCAGCTCAGAATTGGATAGAAGGGCCCTGCCCTGCCAGGCACAGCTGCCGGCCCTTGTCACCTGCAGCTGCATGAGAAACTAAGGCTCAAACCAAATCCTTCTGGACAGAAAAGCAGGTCCCCCTCCACTACCCCTTCGTCTGGGCTCTCGGTCAGCGGGGTCAGGGTGGCCGGGACAGTCACTCTCATTTCCAGAGGAGGCGAGAGGCAGATGAAGGCCATGGACAGCAAGCCATGGGGCCACAGCACAGCCTCAGGTCGTTGCTGACACACCTGCGCCTCCCACAGCCCTCCCCAGGAAAGCCGCGGCAGAGCTCACCCCACTCCCAGGGTGCTCACCTGGGACCTCCTCACCTCTGCACCTGCCCTGGGTATCCTCAGCCGTGACCCTGGCCTGGCAGTGCCGGCGGACAGGTTGCAACCAGCCCAGCTCCCCAGGGGTGAGAGGGGCCCATCACCGGCCACCCACAGGCATCCCTGGGTCTGCTTTTTGGAGCAGTGTCCGGGGTTCCCTTCATATCCTTTATATCTATGTGAACCTGACCGGCACACTCACTCCAGGCCCAGGTGTTCTGTAAACACTGAACACCATGCTGTTAACCAAGGTTACGTTAAAAAGTGACTATGTGGCCAGGAAATAGATTTTGTATAGTTATGTGCTGTTAGGATAGATACGGGTTTTCGTCTGCGGCTCCTGGCTTATAACTCCCATAGCACTTGTTCCCATTTGCGTTAGAATGTTGGGGGTGTTGAGCCTCATGGGCAGCCTCTGCCTTCTCCTGCCCTCCTTTCACCTGCCCCAAGGCGGCACCCTAACTTTCTCCTGCCTTTCGGATTGTGGGTCTTAAGACCCTCCCATGAGAGGGTCCCATCCTATGCCATGGGGGAAGGAATGCTGACATCATGAAGCTTCCATAAAATCCCAAGAGGACTCGGTTCAGTGCGGTTCCTGGAGTGTGGCGCGCCCAGCAAGGATGTGGGAGCTCTGCGTCCCTTCCTCCCACTTCGGTCTACGCATCTCTTCATCTGCAATATTCTTTTTCATTAATCTATAAATGTGTTTGCCTGAGCTCTGCGAGCTGCTCCAGCAAATTAATAGAATTGGAAAGAGGGGGTCATGGGAATGCCAACCTGAAGGCGGCCAGTCAGAAGTTCCAGGGGCCCAGACTTGCGGCTGGTGTGTGTAGGGGCAGCCTTGGCGGGGGAGCATCACAGAAGTCTTCTCCTGTGTTGATGATTATTGAGGTGTGAGAGTAGAGGAGAAACACAGTTCAGGTGAGAGGCTTCCCTGCACAAGTTACCAACCATATGACCTGGCACAACTTTCCCAACCTGTGCCCCTTCCTCGCCTACTGGGGGGTAATGAGATCAATGCCGTAGCCTGAGCAAGAGCCCAGAACGGGGCTGGGTGGGTGGGCAAACCTCGAGAAACGTGAGCTCGTATGTGAGGCATATGACAGGCCGAACAGTGTGCCATGTCCGTGGTGCCATGCCCCAGCGTGGCTTTGAGCGCAGTGACTCTCTTAGATTTCTGATTGTAAAGGCCCTGTGTGCTGGGTAAAGAGTTTGGAGAAATGCAGAAAATTTAAAGAACATGAAGAACTGCCCAGAAATAACAACTGTGAACGTTTTGGAGGCCTCTCGTCCTTTCCTGTGTACCTCGTGGCACAGCTACACTGTGCCCTGCCTGGGGTCCCAGAACATGACAGCATCCACTGCCACCCTGACTCATGCCTGTCCTCAGCTGGGCTCCTGCGCCAACCACAACCCCACTCCCCCCTGAATGACAGCCAGTCTGTCAGGATATTCCTCCTCCGCTCAGGGCAGCCCCACTGCCGAGTCCCCAGCATGCATTGACTTGGGTACTCCCTACCTTGAGTCAACCATTAGGCCCATCACGCTGATGCAGAGCAGGGAGCCCCAAAGTGGGGCTGGGCCCCCAAGGATTCTTTACTTCACCCAGGAGAGACTTCAAGGGCAAGCCCCTGGTGGGGTGGGGCTTTATTGACGAGGCAGTGTTGCAGCTCCGTGACTGTCCCTACAGAGCAGGACTACCCCACAGGCAGTGCGCTGAGAGGAGCAGCTCAGAGCAGTTGTGCAGTCACATCTATATCTACTTTTAATTACAAGCAGATTAAGGGGTGGTTTATGCAGAAATTTCTAGATCCTGGGGTTATTGCCATGGAAAGAGGAGGTAACGCCCAGGTGTTGCCATGGCAGCGGTCAACTCACACTGGTGGGCGTGTCTTATGGAAAGGTGCTTCCACCCCATCCCTGTTATAGCTGGTCCTCAATTTGGTCCAGCATCTGAGCCCCGCCTCTGGAGTAGAGTGCCACCTCTCCACTGCAATGTGGGTGGGGACAGATCCCCTGGGGCACCTAGCTGAAAGTCACATCCTGCCGGAAGAGCTAAGACCACACCTGTCTGTCTGATTTCTGAAGCTGGGCTCTCATCCCTTGGATCTCTGGCTCCCTTCTTGTCCTAGAGGCGAAGGGGAAGAGCTAAATATTTCGTGACCTTTAGGCCATACTTGTAGAGGGGTGTGCAGGCGGGAGGAACTGAGGCCAGGTTCCGACTCTGGCTGGAGGCCTACCCAGGCCCCTGAGGTTTCTCCAGGGTCAACCCCATGGCCCACTGGCAGCTGAGTCACACAGAGTGATTGCTGGTCATGCCCTTGATTGAGAACGATGCACTCAGAGCGTCCTCCGCTCATAAATAGCAGGAAGCAAAGTACATTACGAGAGCATATGGTACCTCTAGGCCATTTCTGCCTCTGGCCCCGTCACTGCCACAGTGGCTGAAACTCATCTTCTGTTCTGACAGGTTTCCCTAGAAACCCATCAATTTATAGTGTCTATAGCTGGCCTTTTGGAGGCCCCAGACCAAACTGTGTTAGAAAACAACAGCAACAACAAAACTCCTATTTCTCCAAATGGCCCTGGAAGATGCACCGGCTGTGCCCTCAAGACGCTGTGTGTGGGGCATCCGCCTCCCTGGGCGCGTGGAGCTGGCTGATGGCCAGGGTGTAAGGGTGCATACTGGGCAAGGACGGGCTGAGGCAGTTGGCAAGGTCTGCATCACCTCCACCCATCCGTGGTCCCTGGTCATGAAGGATACGCCCATCCATCCACCTTTCTGAAACTGTTGTCAACGCACTCTGAATTCAGGAATGCTCTCCTCTCTCTTCCTTCTCCCCTTGGCAGACTCAGGGCGGAAATGGTAGCTGACGTTTTCCCCAAGAGCGAGGACAAGGAATGACCAAAAGATCATCATCCCAGGGGCTTTGGGAATGTGGGCCCTGCTGCATTTCCTTCAGCAGAAGGGTTTCTTTCCTTCAGTTTCCATCAGCTTTCAGGGAGGACAAAGGTCCCTTTTGCTAACTGATCTCTGTCTCACCCTCTGCAAACCCATCCTATAGGCTGCAGTCATGGCCCCACTTGGGAGTCCGCCTCCTTTCTCTCACTCCTGACTTCCCAAAACTCTGGCTGGTTGTGTGCTCCAGGGAACTTTCTAGGGTGATGGCAATATGCCATAATTTGGAGTTTTAGGGTGGTAGTTACGTGGGTGCCTACAATTGTTAAAATTTACTAAATTAAGATCTGTGCATCATATTGTGTTAAATTGTATCTCAAACAGAAAAGGACGAGAGTGCACCTTGTGGAGGGCAAATCTGTGCCGCACCCCCCAGCCCCGCCGGTGCTCTGGGGTTGGCCTCAGCTCATGCCCTGCAAGTCCTCGCCTGCAGACGCAGCTTGCTTTGCTCAGCACGCTCATGCGTGTATGCCACGGGTCAGTTGAGATCTGGACCATGGGTAGGTACAGAATCTTTCTTGGTTATTGTGATGGTTTTAACAGCTTTGTTGAGCTGTAATCTGCCTACTATCGAATTTCCCCATTTAAAATACACAACTCAATGCTTTTTAGTAACTGTCTCCACGAGCTGTGCAACCATCAGCACAGTCTAATGTGAGAACATTTTCATTGTCCCTTCCCAAAGAAGGCCTGTATTAATTAGCAGTCATTCCCCGATCCCTCACCTCCTCTAGGTCTTACCTGACCCCAGGCCAGCACCAATCTCCTGTCTGTCTCTATGAATTTGCTGATTCTGGACATTTTGTATAAATGGAATCAGACAACGGATGCTCTTAGTGACTGGCTTCTCCACTTGGCAGAATGTGTTCAAGCCTCTTCCATGTTGCAGCACACAATTGTACTTCATCCTTTTTTGTTGCTGCATAATACTCCATGGTTGCTGAATACTATTCCATGGTATTACTTGTCAGTTGGTAGACATTTGGGTTGTTTCTACTTTTTGGCTGTTAAGATCTAATGCTGCTATGAAATTCATGTACAAGTTTTTATGTGAACATGTTTCCAGTTTTTGTGAGCATATACCTAGGGGTGCAATTGCTGGGTCATATGGTAACTGAATAATTAATCTTTTGATGAACTGCCAGGCTGTTTTCAAATCAACTGCATGATTTTACATCCCACCAGCAGCATATGAAAGTTCCAATTTCTCTACATCCTTGCCAACACTTGTTATTATCTGTCTTCATGACTACAGCCATGCTAATGGATGTGAAGTGGTATCTTACTGTGATTTTGATTTGCATTTCCCTGATGGCTAATGCAGCTGAGCATCTTTTCATGTGCTTATTGGCCAGTTGTGTATCTTCTTTGGAGAAATGTCTATTCAAGTCTTTTGCCCCTTTTTAAAAAATTGAGTTCTCTGTCTTTTAATTATTGCATAGTGAGTTCCTTATTATTATTATTATTATTATTATTATTCTTTTATTTTATTTTTATGAGATGGAGTCTCACTCTGTCACCAGGCTGGAGTGCAATGGCTTGATCTTGGCTCACTGCAACCTCCACCTCCCAGGTTCAAGCAATTCTCCTGCCTCAGCCTCCCAAATAGCTGGGACTGCAGGTGCACACCACCATGCCCAGCTAATTTTTGTATTTTTAGTAGAGACAGGGTTTCACCATGTTGGCCAGAATGGTCTCAATCTTGTCAAGATCAGGATCAGGTGATCCTCCTGCCTCGGCCTCCCAAAGTGCTGGGATTACAGGCATGAGCCACTGTGCCCAGCTGTGAGTTCTTTATTCTAGATACAAGTCACTTATCAGATGGATGATATATAACGATTTTCTCCCATTTTGTCAGTTGTCTTTTTAATTTATTGTGTCTTGAAGCACAAAAGCTTTTAATTTTAATGAAGTCTAATTCATCTGTCTTTTCTTTTGTTCCTTGAGCTTTTGATTTCATATCTAAGAAGCTGTTGAGTAACACAAGGTCACAAAGATTTATGCCTGTTTTTTTCTAAGAGCTTTTATAGTTTTAGCTCTTACATTTAAATCTTTGATCCATGTTTTTTTTTTTTTTTTTTTTTTTTTTTTTTTTTTTTTGAGACAGAGTCTTACTCTGTCACCCAGGCTGGAGTGCAGTGGCATGATCTTGGTTCACTGCAACCTTCACCTCCCTGGTTCAAAAGATTCTCCTGCCTCAGACTCCCAAGTAGCTGGGACTACAGGCACATGCCACCATGCCCAGATAAGTTTTGAATTTTTACTAGAGACAGAGTTTCGGCATGTTGGCCAGGCTGATCTTGAACTCCTGACCTTAGGTGATCTGCCCCCCTTGGCCTCCCAAAGTGCTGGGATTATAGGCATGAGCCACTGTGCCTGGCCTAATCTTTGATTCATTTGAATTAGTTTTTTATATGTGGATAATTTTTGAATATGCATATGGATATTCTGTTATTCCAACGCCATTTGTTGAAAAGGCTATTTTTCCCTATTGAATGGTCTTGGCACCCTTATCAAAAATCAATAGGCCATAGATGTGAGGGTTTATTGGTTTATTTCTGGACTCTCAGTTCTATTCCATTGATCCATATGTCTATTCTTATGCCAATAAACACTATCTTTATTGTTGCCTTATAGTGGGTTTTGAAATCAGGAAGTCTGAGTCCTTCAACTTTGTTCTATTCAAGAATATTTTGGCTGCTCTGGATCTCTTGAGTTTCTGTACTAATTTTATGATCAGCTTCTTTATTTCTACCAAAAAAGTCAGGCAGAATTTCGATAGGGATTACACCAAATCTGTAGGTAAATGTGGGGGCGTACCACCATCTTAACAACAGCAAGTCATGCCCTTCAAGAATGTGGGATATCTTTGTGTTTATCTAGGTCTTTAAACATTTCTGTTAACAACCTTTTGTAGCTTTCAGTGTGCAAGCCTTGGGCTTCTTTTGTTAAATTTATCCCTAGGTATATATGCAATTATAAGTGGAAATTTCTTTAAATTTCATTTTTGGCTTTTTCATCACAAGTGTGTAGAAATAAAATTGATTTTTGTATATTAATCTTATATCCTGCCACATTGCCGAACTTGTTTATTTGTTCTAAGAGTATTTTTCATGGATTTCTTAGGAAGATCATTTCATTTGCAAATTGAGATTGTTTTTCCTTTCCTATGTGGATATCTTTTCTTTTTCCTGACTAGGTTTTGCTAGAACCCTATTGTTGAATAGAAGTGGGGAGAAGGGACATCCTCGTCATGTTTCTGATCAGAGGTAGAAAGCTTTTTCAGTCCTTCTGAATTAAGTATGAAGTTAGCTGTGGGCATCACGAGCACTCTGAGTATTTTTAGACGGTGCCAAAGCAAAGCCCTCCTCCGTTCTCAGCAGACCCGTGAACAGCCATGAACCCCAGTGTCCTTTGCTTTCTCTTGTTCCTTCATGCTCGCCTTCCACCCTCCTCTGTGCTGACCCCTCCAGGCTGCAAATAAAACCCACCAGCTGCTTCCTATGCTACTGTCAATGCATCAGCTAAAGTTGGAATCTCAGCACCAAACCCGAGCCCTTTGTGCCTAAGGCCCCGTGGCACAATAACCTCCAACACAGTCGTTAGGGTGAGACCTTAGGAGTGAACAACCCCTATGCAAATGCCCAAAAATGTATTCAGATGTCACCTATGTTTGTACCTGTAGCTGTCACAAATCGTTTAGAAGTGTGCCATTGGGTGGACGGCTGGATGGATGAAGATAGGGGACGATTTCTGATTTAACAACCACCAAGTGTCAGGAGAGAGAAACACAGTCTGCGAGTAGCACTGACTCTGGCAGAGATTTTATAACAATTCATGCAAAGATTATTTATTCAATAAATATTTATTGAGCTCCTATTATGCACTTGGCACTGGGGAAAAACAATGAAGAAGACATAGAAATCCTGTCCTCTGGCACCTAAGCCTGGTGGGTTCAGGGAGATGCATTTGGTTGCCCTGCCAGGGCCTGGGCTTGAGGAGGCCAAGCCATCTCTCCTAGTCATCTGAGCCAGAACTTGGCAAACTTCTCCCCAGCTGAGTGAGTGTGTCCAGAAGACTTGCATTACCAGGGACCCCACCATGCAGCCATGGCTTAGAGTGCCCTGGAGTCTGAGTTCAGGTCCCGCAGTTCAGAGCAGAGGGAAGGCAGCTGGCAGAGTAAGGAAGTAAGGAGAATCCATGCTCACCCTTGTCTCCCACTATGTGACCTTGGGCCTGGGGCTGGCATGGCAGGTGCTACAGCCAGACAATAGAGGCTCCAAACCCAAGTTTCTGTCACTGTGGGAGCTACCATGTCAGAGGAAGGTGATGATTAATGCACAAATATGTATTTTCTCCATCAGTCTGGTCTTTAACCAGTCTCTAGATTCATAATACCCTATCCAGGACAGGGTTTTCAGATGGAGCATCAATAATGCAGGTGCACACACAAATTATGAATGAGTTTGATCCTGGAGCAGTGATAAGTGAGACTTTCTTGGAAGGCAGGGCTCAGCTGACAGCTGTGGGCCCTGCAGTGACTCCTATCTACACTCTGGAGGGCTCCGGAAACCTCTAGCTCTGCGCCCCCTCCTCTGATGCAGTCCACATTGCAGAATGGCAGGCTCTCCTGTCCCTCTGGCTCAGCTTGTCCCAGCTTGGCCAGTCAGCCAGGGGCTACCGGGTGCTTCTGTGCCATGGTAGCATCTCTCCTCCCCTTGGCCTTTGCTGTGGAAGGAGCTACCTGGAGGAGATTGTGGCCTGGGCCAGGGACATCTGTGCCATCACCCTGGCAGGAGGTGAGGAGGCAGTAAAAGGGCAGCCCAGACTGGCAAGAGAGGGGCTGCCCACTTCGGGGGCATCACACCTACAGGAGGCATGTCCTCCAGCACGTGGTCTTCACGCTGCCCCCCGACTTGGACCTCCTTTTAAACTGTACCACACTGGGAAGTCCTTCACCACGGTGGGGCTCACCCTCACCACTGGTCCATGGCAAGGTGGAATAATACTTCCTGAGCTCCTTTTCCCCTCCAACAACTTCAGAGAATGAACAAGAAAGAGTCTAGAAGATGCAGCTGGAGGTGCCATTTTTCCTGGCATGGTGTTAAAAATTTTAAATGGGGCTGCAGTAGCCTTTCCATCTGTGTGTGTCTCTAGCTGTGTGTTTATCTGTTCACGTGTGTTGTGTGTATGTGTGTGTCTCTGTGCACGTGTGTCTCTGGGTTTCTAGGTATGTATGTCCATGTGTATTCACGTGTGTGCATGTGTTTCTGTGTATTTGTGTGCATATGTATGTGTCGATGTGTGTGTGTATGTGTGTGTCTCTGTGCACGTGTGTCTCTGGGTTTCTAGGTATGTATGTCCATGTGTATTCATGTGTGTGCATGTGTTTCTGTGTATTTGTGTGCATATGTATGTGTCGATGTGTGTGTGTATGTGTGTGTCTATGTCCCTGTGTGTGTCTGTGTCTATTTCTGTGTATGTGTCTGTGTGTGTATCTGTGTCTGCATCTCTTTGTGTGTGTGTATCTCTCTGTATGTGTCTGTGTATATCTGTGTGTGTATCTCTGTGTGTATTTCGGTGTCCGTGTGCATGTGTGTCTGTGTGTGTTTCTGTGTGTGTCTGCATGTGTATCTCTGTTTGTATGTGTATTTCTGCGTGTCTGTGTGTATCTCTGTGTGTATTTGTGTGTATTTCTGTGTGTCTGTGTGCATGTGTGTCTGTGTGTCTTTCTGTGTGTGTCTGTGTCATGTTTGTGTGCATTTGTGTCTGTGTGTATTTCTGTGTGTGTTTGTGTCTGTGTGAATGTGTGTCTGTGTGCATTTGTGTCTGTGTGCATTTGTGTCTGTGTGTATTTCTGTGTGTCTGTGTGCATTTATGTCTGCGTGTATTACTGTGTGTGTCTGTGTCTATGTCATGTTTGTGTGCATTTGTGTCTGTATTTCTCTGTGTGTTTGTGTCTGTGTCATGTGTGTCTGTGTGCATTTGTGTCTGTGTGTATTTCTGTGTGTGTCTGTGTGTGTTTGTGCATGTGCACACATGGGTGCTCCAGCCACCGAGCCCAGCCCTCGGGGCACAGAACCCTCTGGGCACAGGGGCTTGGTCTCTGCTTCCGAAACGGCACCGCCAATGTCTGTGAGTTTCGTGGGTGTCCCTGTGTGATCCCCTCACTGGAAAGTCTGGCTGGCTACAGACATTGCTGCTATTCTCCTGGCAACTGCTGCAAACCACAAAGAGCTTCTTTCTTATCCTTTGGGAGCAGGGGAACAAGGCTTCACTATAAGGGGATTAGGTTTGTATTAGGCTTTGATCAGAGAGGCAGAACCACCAGGAAATGTGGCTGAGGGATTTATTGTAGGATTTGCCCATGTTTGATAAGTCAAAGAAGGCTCTTGCTTCTGTGCCTGGTGTGGCAGCCTAGGGTCAGAAGAGCAGGTGGTGGGGCAGGAGAGCTGCATGTCAGGTTGGGCAGCAGGAGCGCCCTGGAAACTGCCGGGTCGGATGTCCTCTGCAAGGCAGTCTCCCTGTTGCTGTCCCCAGCTTTAATTCTGGGATCCCACAGGAGAAGATGGGGCCCTTCATCAGGTGCTAAATGTCACACCTGTCCTGGGAGTTAAAGAACTCATGGAAGACTATGGCAGGAACAGGGCTGCTGTGGGTCCCCTGCTGCACACTGGCAAGGTGCCTGCCCACAGGTGACAGCATGCAGGGCTGCAACAGCTCCAACCTTCTGGGCACAAAAAGAACATGGCCACTGCTTCCCGCCTTCCCAATTCTGCACCATGCCTCTTGGGGCCAAACTGACCAGGGGCTATGTAGGAAAGGGCATTCTGGGCAGTACAGTTCTGCTTGGGTGGGCTGATGCAATAGAAACCCACCACGGTCTGCCCCTTGTCAACCTGGCACCATATATGACTCACTTAGACACACTTAATGCCTGAATAAAGACAACAGCAAAATCCTTGCTTATGCCTAGCATGAAGCATGATCCTCTGAACAACTGAAAACACACTCTGCCCAGAAGAGGATACAAAACCCCTTCCTCCACCCCTGGGTGACATCTCTTCCTCCTACAGCTAAGTCTCACACCCTTTCTGATATCCTGTGGCCTAAACGCCAAGTATATTTGTTATCTATTGCTCTATAAAAAATCACCCCAAAATCCAGAGGCCTAAAACAATAAATGTGCATGATCTCACCTCTTCTGTGGACAAGAGTCTGGGCATCGCTAAACTGGCTGCCTGTGGCTCACAGTTCCTCGCTAGGCCTCAGTGAAGCTTCCAGCCAAGGCAGTGATCTCATCTGAAGACTGGACTGGGATGGTATCATCTTCCACGCTTGCGTGCATGGCTGTTGGTTTGTGTCAGCAGCTTTCTGCCATGCAGGCCACTCTGTGGGGCTACTCATGATGTGGCAGCCTGCTTCTTTCAGAAAAAGAGCTGCAAAAGAGAGAGAAAGCAAGATACTGCATGCAAGATGGAAGTCATGGTCTTTTTGTGACTTAACCTCTAATCTTGGAAGTGATAACCCTTCGCTTTTGTTGTATTCTGTCCATTCTTTGGATTGAGGTACTATGTCCAGCCCACATTCCAGGGGAGGGGATTACACAGGGCCATAGATACAGAGAGGAGGGGTCATGGGCCCATCTTAGAGGCCGCCCAGCCTGCTGAGAGAGAAGGTCACTACTATCAATGCAACGTATGTTGGATGCAGAGAAATGGAAGAGGGAGGAGAAGTGTGGTTCACATCTACTGACAGATTCACAGCTAAATACGGAATAAGAACTTGTGACTGTTACACCTCATGTCTCTACCTGGTCATGCGGCCATAGCTGTCCCATAACTACCCTCCCTCGTGACTGTCCATAGTCCCTGTGCCCTAGCAAGGCCCTCGGAGGGTCGTGCTTCCTTGTTTGGTGGGGTGACCCAAATCTTCATTCCCAAAGGATCTGAACGTCTGAAACCTGCTACCATTTTGGGTCATTGTTGACCATTTCAATGTGGTTCATAATCATCCTGGAGAGAAGGCAGGTGCCTCGGGGCCCAGGTAGTGGGACTTCAGGAGCCTGTGTGCTGCCCTGGGGCCTCTGGGTAGAGTGTGGCCTGGCCTCAGGTGCCCTGGGGGGTCTTGGAGTTGGGTCAGTAGAGGGTCTGAGTCACAGCCACCCCGTCCTTCTGGCCCATCCTCCCAAGACCATCTCTGGAAGGTTTTCCCCTGGTGGGTGTCAGATGGGACATCCCTGAGGAAGACCTGGCTCCAGGTGGAGGCGCCCCACGCCACCTTGGTTGTGGCGGCTGCCAGTCCTGGCCACAGCCCCAACCCCTATGAGGCACCAGCATCCTCTTTGGTATCCACAGAGGTGGCAGGAATCTGTCCATCCACACCTTCATCCACTCATTAAGCAAATGCGCGCTGGGGCTGACTTCTCAAACTGTGAAAAAGCCACGTGGGGCTCTGCCGTGGTGGGGCTGCCACCCCAGGGGACAGGACAACCCACCCTTGAACACATACTATGTGGGTCCATTTCAAATTGCAACCAAGGCCCTGGACAAAACAAAGCGAGGTGGCTCCAGAGCATCACTGCCAGGAGGGGCCTCCTTCGATGGGGGCAGCAAGGTGCTCTCCAAGGACCCATGGATGGGCCTGAAGGAAGAGGTCTCAGGAATAAGCAAGCCACAGACACACCCTGCAGGCAGGAGGAGGACGGCATGAAGGCTGCAGGTGCAGGGCTCTGTGCTCAGCTGGATGGGGCTGAGGGAGGAGACCCATTCAGATGCTGGGGCCTGCTGGGTCGAAGGCCAGTCAGCTCCTCTTGCTCTCAGCCAGGCCAACCCTTGAGGGTCTCAGACTTCACTGTTCACCACTCCGCTACACACAGGTAGCCTGTGAAAGTCACTTCTCTAGATCCCCAGGGACGTACATCCCGCAACGCTAGCTTGGGCGGGACCTGAGTGCCAGCTGGGTGGCCAGAGGTGGGCGAATTTAAGGCAGATGGCAAAGCCATTCCCACCCCAGGGCCACTGGTCGGCACAGCTGGGCACAGCCCACCACCTGCCAGACCTTTCAGAGGGAATGCATCTCCCTCCAAGCCAGGTCCCAGCTGGGATCTTCCAGCTGAAGAGGTTTCCTTGGGCAGAAGCGAGAAGCGAATTGGAAGAAAGAGGCCCTGACCCTCCAGGAGGCTCCATTCTGCCTGTGGCCCTGAAAAAAGAGAGCAGGAAGGAGCAACTCTCACTTCTTCACAGCGACTTTGAGAAGTGGAAGACAGGGGCCGCTCCCCGGCTACAAACAAGAAGCCGATGGAAACCAACACCGTCCCCTCCAGCCTCATCTCCTCGCTCTTCAGAGTTTGCAGGGAGATGCATCACGAAGGCCCATGAAGCTGTAAAGATTAGTATTCCAACCCGGGCAGCAGGGTTTTAATTAGTCATTAGGCCCTTTCTGCAGAGCCATGCTGAACAGGCAAGGGCAGGGTGACCTTTCTCCGCCCAGCACTGTGGCAGCCTGTCTGCTTTGCAGGTGCACTTGGGACTCTGTCAAAACCGCTAAGAGGAGAGGACTGAGGCTGGGCCGGGAAGGAGGCCCTAGCCTCTCTGTTCCTGGGCATGGCCCCCACCACGGGGGCACTGCAGACCTTTGCTCCCATCTGGCTCTAGCTCACAGCTTGCACCCCTCATCCACAAGGGACACAGACAGTTGCTCACGTGATGGCTCTCCTAGCGAGCCCACGGGCAACGCCAGGAACAAGCCACCCAGGAGTTGAAGCACTTCCCTGGTGTGTGTGATGGGAGAGGGGAGGGAGCCGGCTTCCTGCAGCCAGTCCCCGCCGGATTCCAGGAAGGCGAGCGAACCCCTGCGGAAGGTCGGTTCTCAGCCAGGCATCTGGGACCCCCCTGCCAAGTTGCCCCTTCTTGGCCAAATGTCACCACATACCATAAAATCACAGAGAACCTTCCAGCTTGCCTGCCTTAGAAGCCAACCCTCCCAACCTCCTGGTTTCTCGAGGACAGTGAGGCCAAGAGCAGCTGCAACCAGGGGCGTGCAGAGGCCGGTGGCTGAGCTGGGGCCAGGACCCTGGACTATGGCTGTCTATTTACAACCCAAAATAAAACGCTAATTGCCACCAGCACCTGCTGACAAAGATTTCAAATCAGTGTCCTCACGAGGACTTCTCCTGGGGCTTCCTGCCAAGCTCATGATGTGCTTCTATCCAGTGGGTCAGCAGGCCCCGGTGTCTGAGGGCACAGCATTTCTTTCTGCCACTGCTCCGGATTATCTGCCCCAGTCTGGCCCCTCGGCTCCTGCCTCACCCACAGTGCCCCCAGGCCTCCCTCCCGTGGGCTGTTCGGCTCCTGTCTCCCACCTTCTCTCCACCTTGGCAGCCGTCCATGGCCACAGGCTTGCACCCGGGTCTTGCACTGAACGTCAACTCAGGTGCGAGGCTTTCCTTCCCAGCTTCACTGCAAACACTGCAGGCAGGCCTTGGGGTCATCTGGCTCAGCACACCACAGGGACCCCACTAGCTCTTATCCGCTGTATGGGGGTCCCATAGCCATGGGCTGGGCACTTCATAGGAAATGGACGTCTGTGACCTCCAAGGGGTTACAGACACACCCTCCGAGGGGAGGTGACAGAATGGCTGGAAGTCGCCACCACGATCACAGCCCGGAGCCACTGTGGGGACCTTGGTGCGTGTGCCCCGTTCGTGTTGTCACCAGTGCAGGTGCCCTGCACCTCCGCCTCTCAGGAGCAGCCACCCAGCTACAGTCTGAGCAATTGCACATCTGGCTCACTGCAGTTCCTTGTATGACAGCAAGGACAATGTAACAGGTTTCATGCCTTCTTGTCTGTGCTGTTAGTTCCTGATGCCAAGCCCTTCCCAGGAGGCTGAGGATCAGGCGGACTCTCAGGCCAGCAGCAGCAAGGTAGGAAGTCCTCCTGCCCCAGATGCCTCCAGCCTGCAGACTTCATAATAAATGGGAGGTTGGCTTTCCCAGCCAAAGCCATAAACTTTAATTGGGCTTTTTAAAGACCACAAAAGCAAATATATGCCCTTAAAGAAACCCTTTGGTAACTTGCTCAGAACATAAAGGTGACTATTAGCATGTGCTGATTTGAAATACCAAGAAGAAAATATCTCCCACATCAACATATGCTAGTGTAAGGCATGTCCTGTTTTGCATAGCTCTCACGGTTCCCCACCCTAACACTAGGGCCCGCCTGTCCTAGAGGGCAGCATGCTTGAAATCAGAAGACTGCATTTGGCCTGGCTCCACATGCCCCTTAACATTGTTCTTTTTTGTTTTCTTTGAGACAGGGCCTGTCGCCCAGGCTGGAGTGCAGTGGTGTAATCTTGGCTCACCACAACCTCCACCTCTCAGCAACCTCCGCCCCCCAGCAACCTCCACCTCCCGGCAAACTCCACCTCCTGGGTTCAAGCCATTCTTGTGTCTCAGCCTCCCGAGTAGCTGGGATTATAGGCATACGCCACCACACCCGGCTAGTTTTTGCATTTTTAGTAGAGAGAGAGTTTTGCCATGTTGGCCAGGCTGTTCTCGAACCCCTGACCTCAAGTGAGCCACCCACCTCGGCCTCCCTAAGTGCTGGGATTACAGCCATGAGTCACCGCGCCCGGCCGCTCCTTAACATTGTTGAGCTCCCCTTTCCTCCTCTGCGTAATTAGTAAGATCTCTTCCACCTGCCTCATGGGCTGACTGAGGGAACAACCCAGACAGGGATGATCATGACGGTGCTGTTGGCTGACTGTGGGGCTCGACACTGTGCTCATCACTTTATGCATCTGAGATGGAAATGGTCTCAGCCACAGGCACAGATGGGGAACCCAAGGCAAAGAGAGGTTAAGTAACTTACCCTTGGTCATGCAGACAGTGGCTGAGCCCGAATTCAGCCCCAGTGTCTTTAACTCCAGGTGTGAGGGCAGCGGCTCCAGCACGCGAGGCCCCAGGAGCCAGGCACTGCTCACAGCACCAGGCGTGACCGCAGCGGCTCCAGCACGCGGGGCCCCGGGAGCCAGGCACTGCTCGCAGCGCGGGTCGCTCACGTGTTCTTTGGAGGCAAATCCATGCGGCGTTCACACACACGGACCTTGCAGTTGCTTGCGCCTTTTTTTCTCTCCAACTCATCACAGGGCATGACTTCTCTCCAAGCTGCCTGAAATAAAATGAATAACTTTTTATGTGAAGTTCTTCGTGCTGAAGAGAACTTGTTCCAAATGGGGAATAATTGGCCTTCCAGGGCTCCATACCGGCAATGAAGTGAAAGATGCTGACGTTTCAGAGGTGTGGAAATAAAAGGACTAAAAATGGGATTCGGAGCAGCTAATGAGGGCAGATCCGCAGGGTTTGAGAGACAAAATGGGGATCGCAGGTGGAAGCTGGCACCGCGGCCAGGGGCAGCCCACGCAGCAGCGAGTGGGGCCGAGGTCGTGGGCGGGTGTCCGGACCCTCATCACAGGAACTTGCTGGAACCCCCAGAGGCCCCGGCCTCTGCTGGCTTTGAGGCCTCAGACCTCCCTAGTCCAGTCACGAGCCACCGAGCCCCCTATACGAGTCTGCTCAGCGGCTGTATGAAGCATGTTATGTTTGACGAAGGATTAAACACCAGAAATGTATTGTCCCCGGTTCTGGAGGCTGGAAGTCTGAGATCAAGGGGCTGGCAGGGCTGGTTCCTTCTGAGACCCCTCTCCCTGGCCTGTGGGTGCCATCTTCTCTCTCTGTGGGTGTCCATGTCTTTACCACCCCTTCTCCTAAGGACACCAGTCCTATTGGATTAAGGTCCACCCTAATGGCCCCATTTTAACTTAGTTACCTCTCTGAAAATCCTACCTCCAAATACGATCACAGACTCCAAGCTGCTGGGGTGAGGACTTCAACATGTGAATTTGGGGCGAGGGGCAGCTTGGTTCAGCTCCTAACATGCATGTCAGCCACGCTCTCACTCACTCATCCTTGTTTTGATTCGTTTACATGGTGCATGTCTCCGGTGCCTACTGTGTGCTAAGCTGGGCCAAGACAGAAGCTGCCTGCCAGGAGCCCAGTGCCCAGTGGAGGAGGAGGGATGGAGCAACAGGGCAGTAGGACGGGGTGTGGCTGTGCCCCAGATGGGGAGGAGTTAGCCCTGGCCCCATGTGCAGTGCAGCCTCCGGGTGCCCACCGCTCTGGGACTACAGAGTAGCTCCTTGGACAGTCATGTCTTCAGAACTGAGAGCTGAGATGACCCAGTTGGCCCATATTAGGCAGTTTCCAGTCCAGGAAAGGAGGGGGTGGCATCAAGACCTGAGCTCTGGGGAGCACATTTTGGGGTCCACATTCTTGCTTTGCTTGTGGAATGCCTGCAGGAGCTGGAGGCCACGCCACAGAGCCCTTGGGAGGAGAAACGGCCACGTGTGGAGGGCAGTCTGATGGCAGGTATCCACGCTGAAGATACATGTGTCCTTTGAACCAGCCCCCAGTTCCCTGGGAGAATGTCTCAGATCCCTAGGCAAAGGCACAAAGATCTGGTGTGTTTACTGCTGTAAGAGACAGCCCCAAACCTCGGCAGTTTCTCCCAACATAGAAACCCACAGAGCGATGCTGTGATCCAGGTCCTGCCTGCTCCATGGTACCACCCTTCTCTGGTTCAGCAGACAGAGAGGGAGAGAGCGTGAGGACCACACATGAGGGGTTTTATGGCTGACCAGAAGCAGAACACAGCACTTCCTCTCACCTCCCATTGACCAGACTCCAGTACACACAGGACCGCCTGAGAAACATGTGCACCGGGGGAAGAGAGCGTGGTTGGAACACCAGCCATCTCTCATGCAATATTTATCTAAATTCTAAAATAATTGAGCATTGAATCCAACTGGAACTCCCTGTAGGTGAGGGGTTAAAGACATTTAATGGTGTCACCGGGCATTTGTCCATTATTCACTTACTCAAGAAACATTTATTAGGGCATCATGTTATTTGAAATATAATGCCTAAAATATCAAAACTAATGACACATATCCACATTTCCAGATGCAAGACCTTCTCCTTGACATGTTTAAATGAAAAGATCAGGATTCAACATGGGTTGTATACTATCATCCAATTTATAAAAATTAAATATTTATATCTGCAGGCATAAGCCAGCATAGAGAAATATGGAAAGATTTTCACAGAAATTCTAAGATATGGCTACCATTTCTTTGGTAATCCTCACTTCAAGAGGTGGAGTTCAACTCATTTCCCCTTGAACGTGGGCTGGACCTGGTGTCCGGATGGGTTACAGTGTGGCCTCAGAGTTGGTCAAGCCTGGCATTGCAGCCTCTTCCTGCTTTCTCTCGTGCATCACTGGCTCTTGGGGAAGCCAGTTGTCACATTGCAGAGACCCAGGAACAGCCCTACCAGGGGCCCACATGGTGTGGACTGAAGCCCTCTGCCCATGGCCAAATGCACCAGCTTGGAAGCAGCTCCTCCCACCCCAGTTGAGCGTTCTGATGAATACTGCCCTGGCCAACAACTTGACTGCAACTTCATGAGAGACCCTGGGGCAGAAGCACCCCAATTCCTGACCCACAGACCCTGAGATAAGAGATGTTTCTTGTTGAAACTTCTATGTTTTGGGTTAATTTGCTGCATGGTAGCAGATGACAAACACACCATCTTTGTGAGGTGATGGGCGGTGACGCTGGCCAGCCACAGCCTTCCCCCATGCTTGCCCTCTGTGTCCACTCAGAGCAGAATCTGAGAAACCCCTGGATCTGGTGCTACCAGGCCTGCCTCCCTGTCGTGCCCAGCCCTTCAGCCATCCCTTTGCAAGGACACATGCCTTGGTGAGTCATTGTAACTATTGCCTCTCCAAGGCCCAAACCCACAGGGACAGGCATCTCCAGCATGGGGCACAGCAGAGCCCTTAGCAAATTCTCAGCAAATGCGCCAAGAAGGAAGGCCTGCAGGCTTCTCTTTACTGTGCAGCCTTCCACGATGAACACGCATGGCTTTTAAAACTGGGGAAATAAAGTTTCTAAAGTAATCGAGCTGATCCAAGGACTCTCACTGATAACTTGAAAGGCTCCACAATGAGCAGGAAGACTCATGGTGACCAGTTCCTGACGCAGCCTCTAGGGAGGTAGCTGAGATGCCAGGGTGGAGCCGCCCTTGCCTTTCTCGCCTCCTAACTGTCTGGACGCAGGGTTGTTTGCCTGGAGTCAAAGAGGGTAAAAATGGGTTTGTTGCTTGGTAAGAAGACCAGGTGCCAATGCACCGAGGGTGAGACAGCAAGCCTAACAGAGCCAGGTGGGCGTGTCCTCCCCTTCGCTGGAACTCCTGCCTGCTGATATCAAGGTCGTCCTGAAAAGGCCGCTAGGGAGTTGGTCTTGATGCGCCTGTGGGCCGAGCAGGTGTCTAATAGCCTGAGGCCGCTGCCTATTTAAGAACCACTTTTCCAAGCCCCCATTTCTCCCATGACAAAGGGAACTCACGGGTGATGCCTGAAGGCCCTGTGTGCCATGGTGGCCAGCACGGTCCAGTCTGTGACCTTGTTCTGGGGGATGGAGAGAGGAGGAGGAGGGGGATCCCAGCCACCTGGAGCCTGCAGCTCACCCATGCCTGCCCTGCATTTAGCAGCCACAGCCCTGGCGGGGGACAATGGCCTTGCCGGGATTGGTGGGCAGTGGCACCAGAAGTCTGGGCTGGTTGCTACCCTCTGGTGGCCCTGGGCCCTCCTTTCTTGAATGTTCGGGCCAGTTCCCTCCTCTGTGCTTCAAGGCTGCTGGTGGACTCTGGGCTCTGCAGATGCCACATGCAGTTCTGGTCTCGGGAACAGCTTTGCAGCTGGGCTTACCTGATGTGAAAGCAATAAATGAGTCCCCCAGTGCCTCCCAGCCCAGACTGGGGCAAGAGGGGTTGCCCAAGGGGTTTGCAACTCACGCTGAGAGCAGCCATCCTGAGAAAAGCCTCTAGCTATGCTGCCCAATTACGCAGCCTCCTTGGGGGCACTGGGCCATCCACATCCCTCAAGTCCCTCAACGGTGACCCAGGGACAAGCCCCATGCCCCCCTCAGAGCCGCTGCACGGATGAAAAGAGGGAGAATGTCCCACGGCAGCGCCCCGCGTGGGATCGCCGGACAGGGGTGCCTTCGCAGGCCGCTGTAGACATGCAGTTTCACATTCATGCTTCACAATTGATCTGTGGGCTTCGTGTGTCCTCAGCTTTAGGAGATACGTCCGGGTGCCCCTCAGCAGTGCCTGTGCCACTTGCCCCCCAAGGGGCAGTCGACCTTCCTGTGCACCCTCAGCTCGTCCTGGTGGAGAGAATAAGGCTCCCCGAGGTGACCCCCTATCTGCGCTATTACTGCTGCCTTCTCAGACCATGAGAAGGAACCCTGAGAAAGAACTTCTTCAGTTTAGAGGGAGTGCGTCTGCGTCTGCAGTAGGCAGTAGCAGCAGGCAGTGGCCTGGGCGTGGGCAGTTGCTGTCAGCTCAGAGCAGGAAACGGGCAGCTGAGGAGGCCAGGCTCCTCGGGCATCTGCGGCTGCGTCTGCCCGCGTGGACATGGGACTCTCTCACTGCAGCCCCAGAGCGCAGCCTCAGCAGAACCAGCCTGCTCACAGCAGCCTCCTGTCTGATTAATCAGGGGGAGGAAGGGCTGCCCATAAGCAGACTCATTTTATTCTAATGCTGCTTTCTCAAGATTTTAATTTTCCATAGTGCTACATTCTAGTCCCCTTTCCTTAAAAAAAAAAAAAAAGAAGAAGAAGAAGAAGAGATATAATTGGGACAATCCTCTATCATATACATGCTATCTTATTCCACCTCGAGGTCTGCTTCCAAAAAGCAATTGTGTGCTACTTAATGGACAAGCACTCAGTGACTATGGGGGTAGAACAGAGCTCAGATTTCAAGATTTCAGCAGGATGTGGGCGGCCTGACTGTTCCCGTGGCAGGAGGGACCATCCTCCATCCCAGCTCCGGAGCAGCTGCCTGGCCTTGCGCAGAGCCCTTGGGGCCCTGTCCTGAAGCTGCTTCCCTGGAATTAATTGCTGCAAATTCCGCCCACCCAATGGCGCTGAAAGTGGGCTGAGCACCTATTCTCTTTCACTTGTCAATTGCAGCAAATCCAACACAGGCTTCATGTAATGAAAGGAAATGAAGACGAGTCCAGGTGGGCTGCGGCCAGTGATGCCTCCAGCGAACCAGAGGGAACTCTGGTCCCTTGGGTGCAGTTTAAATGCTGCCACCCTAGGGACAACCAGGACCTGGAATGTGTCTGGCCAGGACAGTGCAGCATTTCCTGACCCTGTCTAGGAAGGTGGAGGGACCGGAGCATTTCAGCAGCCCATCTCTACGCCAGGAAGGGGACTGGGTGTCCAATGTCCAGGTCTCAGTGTCTCACTGACATCTCCCAGCATGGCTCAGAGAGGCGCAGTGAGCTGCTCAAGGTCACACAGCCGAGGAGCAGCAGAGGGGAAGTCCACCCTCTGTGTGAGTCTCCCGACCCGAGCTCACCCCACCACATCGCAAGGTTGCCAAGGCAGCTCCAGCACCAGAAGGCAAGTTGCTCGGTTCCAAAAACAGTCCCTGGGTCCGGCAGCATAGACTTTAGGCATATCCAGGAGCCAGGACAAAGACACTTCCTGAGGGCAGCCCTAGGGCCTCATCTCTGCAAGATCCAATCATCTGCAGGGGCCAGAAAGTTCTATCGAGGGAAAAGGCTCAGGTCCCATCTCCTTTGCTGACCGTCTGTGACCTCAGCTTGCCTGGCCAGACCCTGTTTCTGCACATGGAAGAGGAGATGGGGGACTGCAGCTGGGGTGTGAAATGTGGACCTGGAAATGCTTGGTAAGCCGCAGCGGCTGACAAATACTACCTGGACGGAGCACAGAGAAGCCCCAGCATCACTCTTCTGGGCGTATACATGGCCGTGTCACTGCCACAGCTCAGCTCTCCACAAGGATGGAGAGGAACAAGCCATTCATCACCTCCTGGGGTGGAATCTTGTTAACTTAGGGCCGATGTCACCCCAGGGAGACAAAGCTGCACCAGGGCAGGGGAGGCTGGAAGGGCCAGGACAGGGGCTTGGGTCTCATCCCCGGGTTTCACAGCTGGAAAAGCCAGATGGAGACTGAGAGGCAGTCTCTGAGGCTAAAACCTGGGCTGGGAACAGAAAGGGGTATGTGAAAGACACCATGTGGCCTAGGACTCAACTTCAGCGGTGATTCCGAGGGAAGCATATCAGCAGTGAGTGTGGGAGTGGATAAGGCACAGGTGGCGCTTGCTGGTCACAACGACTGCTTGGCCCACCTGAAGGCCGCCTCCTCCAGGAAGCCTGCCCGGAGTCCTGCTTCCCAGCTCGTGACCCCAGCTGCCTGCAGATAAACACCTCAACAGGACCCCAGTTGCGGGTTACTTCCCGCAGGCATTTCAGTGGCCCAGGTCCATGGTCCCTGACAGCCCTGATGGGAAAACTCTGTTCTCTCTGCTGCATCAGCACTGTGCACTGGGGATCCTCCAGCCTCCTCCTCTCCCCCTGCATCCTGGGTCCCCCATTGCCAGCCTTCTTTAACCCTGCTCCCCTCTCCCATAGGACCCAAACCCCGCCTGTGATCTCTACTTTCCAGGACCCCAAGGTCTCCTGCCTGCTTTTCACGACTCCAACTGAAGGACCTTGCCCTGGAGTGAGGGCAGCCAGGCTGGTACCATGTGGCCTGAGGTGGGGGCTGGTGCTGACTGCCCTCCTCATAGGATGTTTTCCTGTGATCACCCTCAGAGCCCAGAGAGGGGCTTGTGCCCTCCTTGCTCACAGGCACCTGTGGCTTCTCCTGGGAGGCCAGGTCTCCTTGCCTGGCTGTTCCCTGTTCGCTTTCCTCCTCTCCTTTTCTTTCCTCACTTGACTGGGAGCTTGGCGAGGAGGTGAGCTGTGTCTTCTCTCTTTCCCCAGGTTTACTCATTCATAGTATGTGGCTTAGGGCACATGAACTATACTATGAATGCATGCATGAATGAATGAATGCGCGAATGAATGTACGAATGAATGAATCATAAGTGAATGAATGCACAAATGAGTGCATGAATAAATGAATGAATGCATGAATAAATGAGTACACGAATGAATGAATACATGAATGAATGCATGAATGAATGCATGCATGAATAAATGCATAAGTGAATGAATGCACAAATGAGTGCATGAATGAATTCATGAATGAATGCATGAATACATGAATGCACAAGTGAATGCATGAATGAATGAATACACGAATGAATGCATGAATGAATAGAA
Source organism: Homo sapiens (assembly GCF_000001405.40). Lineage (NCBI taxonomy): Eukaryota > Metazoa > Chordata > Mammalia > Primates > Hominidae > Homo > Homo sapiens. The sequence continues at coordinate 134,970,538 of NC_000009.12, forward strand.
TACACGAATGAATGCATGAATAAATGAATGAATGAATGCATGAATAAATAAATGAATGAATGAATGCATGAATGAATGCATGCACACCTGGATGCCTTCCTCAGACTCCGAAGGTCTGTGGTGCCCATTCAATTCTAGTAGGACCAGACGGGTATCACAGTTCCTGGTAGGGCTGTCTAATATCTTAAGCCTCCATCAATCTGCTTTTAATAATGAAATGACATTAAACCGCACACAGTATCTGTCTTATTAAATTGAAATTAAGTTTCTCATGGAGACATTAACGTTGACTGAGTTCTTGGCAGCTGTGTATGGGCCCAAGAGCAGGTGGTTAGGCTGATGCCTGGCACCTCTGCCCCACAAGCTGACCTTATTTGTAGCCTGGGAACTGCCTGCCCTTCCCCGGTCTCTCGTCACCTCCAGGTGGGAGAGAAGGGCTGGCCGGCTGCCTTTCTCGTGCAGCATTCATATTGATTCAGAGGAGCAAGTGTGGAATCATTTATCATTCAATTAACGGTGTCAGCAGAGCCATTATTTAAATGGCCAGCCACATGTGTAATCAATCTTTAATGAAACAATAATTGTACTTCCTAGTCAATGAGTGCCCTGCCTCCCCTAAAACGTTCTCAGTATGAATAATAAATAGCAATGGGTCCATGGCAAGGGCCAAGAGTTGGTGGGTTGATCCTTTCCAAGACAGCTGGGACGGTAATACCAATGGCACTGAGGAAAGAGGGGCCAGTAACCCACAATGGGGGTGAGAGTCCAAGTAGAAGTCCCTCAGCCCCACCCACCCCAGCGTCATCAGACGGGCCCTGGTTCGGGGGGCCTGGCTACACTGGCAAGGGCAGGGAGCACTTAGGACTGGACATCAGGGGACGTGGGGTTCTAATTCCAGCTGGGTCTCCATCTCCTGTGGGACCTCCGCTGATTCCCCTCGATCTCTGTGCCTCCTTTTCTGCATCTGAAGGGCAGGGTGGGCAAGAATAGAAGAGGCCCCCAAGGGCTGCTTTGGGGCAGATATTTTGAGTATGTGGGCCATGCAGGAAAGAGGAAAGAATACAGGAACTTGCCCAGTTGCAGGTGTAGGTGAGACATCTGCACTCCCTGGCAGCTTCCCTGCAGCCCAGCAGCCCATACTCAAAAGTCATCTCCTGCAGTTTGCCACAGTAGAATGTTCTTTCCCCATGCAAAGGTTCCAGGCCCCATGAGCAATAAAGCTCAGGTCCGGAGGGACTGGGAATGGGCAGAGCTTGGGGGCAGAGCCTGGACTGTCCAGAGCCTGTCTTATGCTGCTTGGGAGAGAGTGCTGTCCTGGGACAACTTCCTCCCTTGGTCTGTGTGCCAAGTCCTCCTCCTGGTCACATCAGGGGCCAGAGCAAGAAACAGGCGCTGCCGATTGATTGTCACATTGGTCTTCGGGGCCTCTGAAAAGCTCAGTTTGCTCATTTCTTCCTGCTGAGATGTAGTGTGGGGAGGTATGGAAGACAGGACTCAGCAGCAGCACTTTCCACAGAACAGGTAGAGTCCCTGTGCCTGCATCTTGTCCTCTTCACAGTGGAGAAACCGAGTCACTCCACTCAACCCTGCCACTCCTCAGTGTCCTCCCTAGAATCTCCCACAGCCCCTAAGAAGGCATCGTGCTGACCCGTTGACTCACCTAAGAAGGCACAGGGTGCTGACCTCTCCATCTGCCCAAGCAGGCACGTCGCTGACCCCTCCACTCACCTAAGAAGGTGCAGGGCGCTGACCTCTCCACCTGCCTAAAAAGGCACAGGGTGCTGACCTCTCCACCTGCCTAGGCAGGTGCATCACTTACCCCTCCACTCATCCAAGAAGGCGCAGAGCGCTGACCTCTCCATCTGCCTAAGCAGGTGCATCGCTGGCCCCTCCACCTGCTTAAGAAGGCGTGGGGCACTGACCTCTCTATTCAGCTATGAGCTCTGGGAGTCATCATTGGATTCACAGTGCCCAGGACATGAACAACTGAAATTAAATAGCTAATTGTGAGATTCACTTCATGCCTCTCTCACCTCTTAGGGCAGAGATCCTGTCTGTCTTTATTCACAGCTCTAGGCATATTAACCTTTGCAGAAAATAACACATAAATATTTGTTGAATAAATGTTTCTGGTAAAACTTTCCCTTGACTGAAGTAAATTTTTAAAAAGTAATGTAACTTTCAGCTAAGATAGAGTAATGGGAACCAGAATATTCTCTCTCGTGAGACGAGAAAGAAGAAAAGAAGAAAGGAAAGAAGGAAGGGAAGGGAAAGGAAGGGAGGGAAAAAACTGGACAAAATATATCAACCAATGGTTTGGACAAAATATATCAGACAACAAAAGCAACCCACCCTGAAGGATGTGAAATGAGAGGAAGCCCTGAGTGGGTGCTGTGACTGCTCGACCTTACTGCCTGGAGAAAGTTTTCAGGTAGCAGCACAGGAACAGGGAACTCATAGGTCTCCCAAAGTGGAGAAAACACTTAGGAGCTCAGGAAGACCACAGAGGGTGGAGACCACAGGGGAGGGCACTGGAGGGGAGACGGCTGCACAGAGAACTCTAGAAATCAGCTTGTGTGTGTGAAAAAAAACCACCTGAGGCCAGGGAAGAATCACCAAAGGAATTACAGGGAAGGATCCCAGGGGCTTATGCAGGATTAGGAACAGTGCCAGTTTCCACCAGCCAGAGTGCAAAGCACCCGACATCACCGGGCGTCAAGTGCACACGCAGGGGACTGTGGTGGTGTAAGGAGAGTTAGCCCTAGACTCAATTCTGCTGTTTTCACTTAAGAAAGCCTAAAAGCAAGATCCAAGAGGACAAATTGTTTCCATGTAACTTAACTGTGTTTCAGAATGAACTCAAGGGTATTACGTGTGTGTATGCATGTGCGTGTGTGTGTGTGCATGTGTGTGTATCCAGCATCCAATAAGGTAAAACTCAGAATGCCCAGCATCTAGCCAAAACTTATCAGGGGTGCGAAAAGCAAGAAAATACAATCCATACTAAGGAGAAAAATCAGTCACTTGAAAGCGACCCAGAAATGACACACATAATGAAATTAGTAGGTAAGGACATTAAGTGGTTAGTATAATTTAATTTCATACATTCAAGACTCACAGGAAATAATAAACATATCAGGTAGAGACATAGAAGAACCAAAATTTAAAAGAGAACCAAATCAAAATTCTACACATGGAAACTATAATATGTAAGATATATACTGTATAGGATTAATGGCAGAATTCACATTGAAGAATAAAGATGAGTGCAATTTAAAACATAGCAATAAAAACTGTACAACATAAAATCCAGAGAAATAAAAACTTAAAAAAATAACAGCCTCAGTGGGTCCTGGGACAAGGTCAAACAGCCTAATATACATGTAATTGGAGCCTACAAAGGAGAGAAAAGGAAGGTCAGAAAAAACATTTGACGAAATAAAATACAAACATTTTCTAAATGTGATAAAAACCATGAATCTGCAGATCCAAGAATCTCAATGAACCCTAAGCGTGAAAAACCATAAAACAACAATACCAAGGCACAAATAAATGCTTTAAACTGATAATAAAGACAAAACCTTAACAGTAGCCAGAGAAAAAAGACGTATTACATACAGAAGAACAAAGAGTGGTGGTGAACCTTTCGTCTGAATCGAGGCCAGTGAAAAGAAAGTAGAGGAACATCCTCAAAGTCTGAAAGAAAAGCAAGGTTGTCAAACTGGAATTCTTTACCAGCAAAAATACCTTCAGAAAATGAACACAGAGCATCTCCCAAGAGCAACCATACTGTAGACCATGAAACCAGTATCAATAAGCTTAAAAGGATTCAAGGAATATAAACTATGTTCTCTGACCGTGATGGATTTAAATTAGAAATTGACCACAGAAAGCTATCTGGAAATCTCCAAATATTTGGAAATGAAATAGAACACTTCCTAATACACCAAGGATCAAAGAAGAAACCAAAAAGCAAATTAGAGAGTATTTTGAACTGAATAAAAATGAAAATACAACAAATCAAAATTAAGGAAATAGAGAACTGAAGAATAATAAATAAAATCATTAAAAGCCAAAGTTTCTTTTTAAAGATCAATAAAATCTCTAGGCAGATTGACCAGGAAAAAGATAGAAAAGAAATGAGTTAACCAAATTAGGACTGACAGAGGTGACATTTATAAAAATTTCCCAGATAGTAAAAGGATAACAATAAGATACTGTAAATAACTTGTTGTCAATAAATTCAACAACTTAAATGCAATGGACATATGGTTTGAAAAACATGAACCACCAAACACCAAAGCCCACTTAAGAATAAATAGATATCATGAATTTTCCAAATTTGTTAAAGAAATTTAATTTGTAGTTAAAGCCCATCCACAAGGAAATGTACAATCTCATATAGCTTCACCACTGACTTCCACCAAATGAGAAAGAAAAATATCAATTTAAAATAATCTCTTCTAAAATCTTGAAAAGAAGGGACTGCTCAAGTCATTCCATGAGGTCAGAATTGATCTGAAAGCAAAATTAGACAAAGAGATTATGAGACAATAAACCTAAAGACCAATATTCCTTATGAGCATAAATGCAAACATTCTTAACAAAATTTTGGCAAATAAAAGCTAGTAATTCCTAAAAAGAGATAATACCTCATGACTACGTGTTTATCTCAGAAATGTAACATTGACCTGACATTCAAAAAGTAATGTAACTTATATTAAGAAACCCAAACCAAAAAACATATGATTCTCTCAAGATTTGCTGAAAAGGTGTTTCACAAAATCTAATTGCATTCCTGATAAAAACTCTCAGAAAACTAGGAGTAGAAGGGAGCTTGCTTGCATAATAAAAGGTAACTGTAAAGAATCCACAGGCGGTACCATATTTAGGTAACTAGGAGTAGAAGGGAACTTGCTTGCATAATAAGAGGTATCTATAAAAAACCCACAGGTGGTACCATATTTACTGGACAACCAAATGCTCTCCCCTAAGGTAAAAAACAAATAATGACACTGGCCCACCCAACTCCTACTCAGCATTATATTGGGGATTAACCTTTCAATAAGTCAAGAAAAGTAAATAAAAGGCACCCTGCATGTAAAGAAGGAAGGAAGTTGTCTGAAATCACAGAAGACATGATCATCTACTTAGAAAATAGCATGAACTCTAAAACAACAACAGCGACAACCCCTAGAACTGATAGTGGGTTTAACAAGGATGCAGGGTACAAGATTAATATACAAAAGTCAACTTTTATGTATTAGTAACAAACATTTGGAAATTGAAATTGAAAATGCAAAACTACACTTTAAGAGGCCGAGGCGGGTGGATCACTTGAGACCAGGAGTTGGAGACCAGCCTGGCCAACATGGTGAAACCCTGTCTCTACTAAAAGACACAAATTAGCCGGGCGTGGTGGCGCACGCCTGTAATCCCAGCTACTCAGGGGGCTGAGGCATGAGAATCGCTTGAACCTGGGAGGTGGAGGTTGCAGTGAGCCAAGATTGCACCACTGCACTCCAGTCTGGGTGACACAGCGAAACTCTGTCTCAAAAAAAAGAAAATGCAAAACTATTTACAATAACATCAAAAGACATAAGATACTTAGAGGTAAGTTGGACAAAAGTTTTCCAAGACCTGTGCGCTGAAACTACAAAATACTGCAGAGAAAAATTTAAAAGAACAAAGTATAGTGACAGCCGCATTCAGAGATTGGAAGCCTCAATATTGTTAAGATGTGAGTTCTTCCCAATTTGAGCTATAGATTCTATACACTGCCAATCAAAACCCCAGCAAGTTTTCTCAGATAATAAACTGATTCTAAAATTTATATGGCTTTTGGGGCATTTCAGGGTTTCAGAAAATGAATAAAAAGAAAAGTAAAATGTACATGGAAATTCAAAGTATCTGGAACAGCTAAAGCAACTTTGAAAATGAAGCATAAATAGAGGACTTGTTCAAGTCTGATGATAAAGCTGCAGTAATCAGAAGGCACCATGTCATGGAAAAGGTGGAAGAGACACGTGTTGATGGAACAGAGTGTAAAGGCCAGAGGTAGACCCACATGTATGTGGTTAGCTGATTTTCCCTTCCCTCCCTCCCTTCCTTCCTTCCTCTTTCTTTCTCTCTTTCTCTGTCTCTCTCCCACTCCCTCCCCCTCCCCCTTCCCCTCCCCATCCCTTCCCCCCTCCCCCTTCCCCCTCCCCCATTTTCACCAATAGTGCTAGAACCATTGCATGTGGATATCCACAGGCAATAAATGAACTTCTGCAGAGCCTGCACCATATGCAAAAATTAACTTAGAATGAATCCTAGGCTTAAGTGTAAAACCTAAAACCATAAAACATCTAATAACAACAACAAAAAACAACAGGAGAAAAATATTTGTGATCTTGGGTTAGGCAACAATTTCTTAGTTACAATACTAAAAGCATGAAAGAGAAACATTGGGTAAATTAGACTTCATTAGGAACTTATGTTCTTCAAAAGACATCACTAAGAGAACAAAATTACCACAGACTGCAAGAAAATATTTGCAATCCTGTATTTGAAAAAGAACTTATATCCAGATAATAAGGCAATGAACAACCCAGTTAAGTAAGTGGGGAAAAGACTTGAATGGATATCTCACCAAGAAGCCATATATATATGTATGTATGTGTATATATATATATGTGTGTGTGTGTGCATATATATATACATATATATGTGTGTGTGTGTATATATATATATGTGTATATATATGTGTATATATATATGTGTATATATATATGTGTGTATATATATATGTGTATATATATATGTGTATATATATGTGTGTATATATATATGTGTATATATATGTGTGTGTATATATATATGTGTATATATATGTGTGTATATATATATGTGTATATATATATGTGTGTGTGTATATATATATATATATATATATATATATATATATATATATATGTGTGTGTGTGTATATATATGACAAACACATAAAAATGCTCAATATCCGTCCAGGCACGGTGGCTCACACCTGTCATCCCAGCACTTTGGGATGCTGAGGCAGGATGATCACTTGAGCCCAGGAGTTTGAGACCAGCCTGGGCAACATGGTGAAACCCCGTCTCTATTAAAAATACAAAAATTAACCAGGCATGGTGGCTCATGCCTGTAATCCCAGCACTTTGGCAGGCTGAGGCCAGGCAACATGGTGAAACTTGAGCCCAGACAACATGGTGAAACTTAGGCCTGGCGGTGAGTGCCTATGGTCCCAGCTACCTGGGTGGCTGAGATGGGAGGATCACTTGAGCCCGAGGCTGCAGTGAGCCAAATTGTGCCACTGCACTCCAGCCTAGGTGACAGAGTGAGACTGACTCCAAAAGAAAAATGTTCAATATCATTAGTCATTAGGGAAATATAAATTAAAACCACAATGAGATATTGTGTGGGGATGAAGTGCCAAGGGCTCAAGGAAACTGTCAGGAATGGGGGCCGTGTGCATCACCATGATCGTGGTGATGGTCATGAGTACACACACATGTCAAAGCTGATCAAGTTCTACACTTTAGATGTGTGCTGTTTACTCTATGTCAGTTATACCTCAATAAGGCCGATAAAAAATAATAAACACCTATTAAATAGCTGAATTTCATAGGCCTATTTAAATGGCTTATTACAAGGCCTGGGCACACCCAGTGTGATGTGGAAGACCCAGGGATGTAAAATGGGACAAGACTTTGAAAACCATTTGGAAGGTTCCAGATAAACACTCACCCACCATATGACAAGGCTACTTCCCTCGTATGTATTTACGCAAGATATGAAAGTGTGCATCTGTCCAAAGGCTTACACATGAATGCTCACAGCAGCTTCATCTGTAATAGTCAGAACCTGGGAAAAACCCAGCTGGCATCAATGAGTGAATAAACAAGCATGCCGTGGATACTCGCACCGTGGGGCCCTGCCCGTCAACATGAAGGATGAGCTGTGGATGTCCCAGACAACCATAATGATTGCGCTATTGAAAATGCAAATGGAGCCACATGCACGGTGGCTCACACCTGTGATCCTAGCACTTGTAGTCCCAGTTACTTGGGAGGCTGAGCAGGGAGGATCACTTGAGCCTAGGAGTTCAAGGCTGCAATGAGCTATGATTGTGCCACTGCACTCCAGCCTGGGTAACAGAGTGAGGGAAGGAAGAAAGAAAGGAAGGCAGGGAGGGACGGAAGAAAGAAATGAAGAAAGGGAGGGGAGGAAGGAAGGAGAGAAGGAGGGAGGAAGGAAGGAAGGAGAGAAGGAGGGAGGAAGGGAGGAAAGGAGGGAGGGAGGGGAGGAAGGAGAGAAGAAGACAGGGAGGGAGGATAGAGGGAGGGAGGGAGGTAGGGAGGGGAAGGAAGGAAGGAGAGAAGGAGGGAGGAAGGGAGGAAAGGAGGGAGGGAGGGGAGGGAGGAGAAAAGAGAGGGAGGGAGGAGAGAGGGAGGGAGGGAGGCAGGGAGGGGAAGGAAGGAGGGAAGAAAGAAGGGAGGGAGGAGAGGAAAGAGAGAAGGAGGAAGGAAAGAAAGAGGGAGGGGAGGAAGGAGAGAGGGAGGGAGGAGGGGGGAGGGAAGGAAGGAGGAAGGGAGGGAAGGAAAGAGGGAAGGAAGGAAGGGAAGGAGGGAGGCAGGGAAGTAGGGAGGGAGGGAGGGAAGGGAGGAAGGAAGGGAGGAGGGAAGGAAGGGAGGAAGGACGGAAGGAAGGAAGGAAGGGAGGAAGGAAGGGAGGAGGGAAGGAAGGGAGGAAGGACGGAAGGAAGGAAGGAAGGGAGGAAGGACGGAAGGAAGGAAGGAAGGAAGCTGACTAATCCATAGTGACCTAAAGTAGGGTCGTTAGTTGCCTGAATGGGAGGGAGGAGGGAAAGGGGAGGGAAGAAGTTCCAAGGACACAAGGAAACTCTCAGGAGTGGGGTCTGCGTGTCTCACCATGATCGTGGTGATAGTATCACAAGTACACAGAAGTGTCAAAGCTGATCAAATTGTACACTTTACATATGCACTGTTTACTCTATATCAGTTATACCTCCATAAGGCTGATAAAAAAAATACACAAAGTTTCCACAGCAGAGATGCGTGGCGGGCAATTGCTAATGTGGTTTTCTCTGTGGAAACAGGAAGGGCCTGGCATGACCAGCCCCCAATCTTCCATTCGAAAAGAATCTGTCCGGCCTCCTCCAGGCCCCGATCTGCTTGCCGGGTCCCTGGGAATGGCCTCAATTTTTAGAGGACTTCAGGTTGTCCTTGTGCTTTGGAAGGGGACTCTCCAAGCCTGTGGGGCAGGAGTTCTTCAGGGCTTCTGAGCCAGGGGGCCCCTTGGCATCTGCTGTTGCCTATGGAACCCTTTTCAGGATGTTTGCAAATGACATATCATAGGGTTTTTAAATTCTTAACAAAATAGTCAGGATTTCAAAATAAACGACTTGCTTTAAAGTACTGTTATCAGATATTTTCTTCAGGTGTGACACAATGGCCTGATCCTGGGCCAGTCCCTTTACCTGGCCCTGTGGCAGGAAGGAGGCTGCATCACGTGTGGCCGGTGGGCTTAATAACTCCGCAATTCCCAAGCCGTGGTGAATAAAAAGGATATTTGAAGTTAGCAGCAATGGCTACCTCGAGAGATCAAAGATCTGTGGTTTTCCCTGTGCACAAAGTCGCATGTACTGTGGTCGTCTATAAGCATTATCGAGAGAAATGACGGATGATCAGAAATTTATTTTTAAAAACTGCAACGTGTTTTCCATCTAAATTCACAGACCCAAGGGTAAAACCCCTGTTAGAGGCACCAGGCTGTAACCTCCATGCCCAGGCCAGTCTGCCTGGAGATGCGGGGCGGTGTCCGGAAAGCTGCAGGTATCGGCATCTGGAAATGACCCTGTATCTGAGGGGTGAAGTCAGCCCAGCGCAAGGCCTTGCACCTGGGGAGAGAGCCAGACAAAACCTTCCACCTTCCAGTGAAGAATAAAAACAACCCAGCTGTGTGATCCAGGGCATTTGCCGACTCCATAATTAACGAGGTGGGGGAGGCACCTTCTCAGCCTCTGCTGGAGGTGACATGGTGGGAGCTGGGTGGCCGGGGGGCAGGTGGGGGTGCCGGCGCAGAGGAGCTGAGGTTGAGCCTAGAATCTCAGCGACTTAGGAGATCCCAGGAGCCAGCCCTGGGAGAAAGGGGCCTTCCCAGGCCAGGGCCTCTCCTGGCACTTGCTGCCAGCAGGAGTGCCAGCTGACACTCTCCTGTGTGCACAGCAACTCAGCAAGGTGTACCCAGCCCTTAAAAACGCTCATCCTCTCAGCCAGCGAGTCCTCCTTCACAGCGACTATCCAAAGCAAGTAACCATGTGTAGGAGAACCTGTCTGCATTGCTCACTTGGGAAAAACAGCAAGACAGATTGTATTCAAGCCACTGGAGTAAGTGAAGGACTTTAGAACCAAGCTCAGTTCAGACGCAGTGAAGACAGCTGTGGATGCCCAGCCCACGAGCAGAGTGAGGGTCCGGGCTGGAAACCACTCACCTGGTTAGACACCAAGGGCAGGAGTTCCTGTTAAAGGCAGGCCGAGGATTTAGACATTGATGGTCAGGGGCGAGGAATCTGATCCAATGCAAAGGATGGGAGGGTTCTCAGTATAACAAGACTCAGCCAGCCATGGACACGAAGGCCAAGGTCAAGGCCTAGTTGAGACGGGGCTCAGCCCAGGCTCGCAGTGGGTCACGGAGGGAATCTGTGCCAGTCAGTTGCCTGCCCACAAAGGCTCACCACAAACCATGCTGGTCCCTCCGTGGGAGGATGGTTATACAGGGAGAATGATGATTATACAGGGAGGAGGGCCAGTGAGAGAATAATGGTTATACAGGGAGGTGGGATGGCGACAGGATGATGGTTATACAGGGAGAAGGGACGGCAAGAGGATGATGGTTACACAGGGAGGAGGGATGGCGAGAGGAAGATGATGGTTATACAGGGAGGAGGGATGGTGAGAGGATGATGGCTACACAGGGAGGAGCGACAGCGAGAGGACGACGGTTATACAGAGAGGAGGGATCGTAAGAGGAAGATGATGCTTATACAGGGAGGAGGGATGGCTAGAGGATAATGATGGTTACACAAGCGGGATGGCGAGATGATGATGGCTATACAGGTAGGAGGGATGGTGAGAGGAAGATGATGGTTATACAGGGAGGAGGGATGGTGAGAGGAAGATGATGGTTACACAGGGAGGAGGGACGGCAAGAGGATGATGATGGTTACACAGGGAGGAGGGACGGCAAGAGGATGATGATGGTTACACAGGGAGGAGGGATGGTGAGAGGAAGATGATGGTTACACAGGGAGGAGGGACGGCAAAAGGATGATGATGGTTACACAGGGAGGAGGGACGGCAAGAGGATGATGATGGTTACACAGGGAGGAGGGATGGTTATACAGGGAGAAGGGATGGCGACAGGATGATGGCTATACAGGCAGGAAGGATGGCGAGAGGAAGATGATGGTTACACAGGGAGGAGGGACGGCGAGAGGATGATGGTTATACAGGGAGGAGGGATGGCAAGAGGATGATGGCTATACAGAGAGGAGGGACAGCGAGAGGGTTATGATGGCTACACTGGGAGGAGGGACGGCGGGAGGACGATGATGGTTATACAGGGAGGAAGGATGGCGAGATAATGATCATTCCACGGGGAGGACGGACAGTGAGAGGATGGTGGTTATACAAGGAGGGCAGTAGGAGCTGCGTTTTCTTTTAAATTATCTAAATGTTTAAATTTATCTTTTTTAAAAAATTAAGAGAAATTATTTAAATGACAGGCAGCTGCTCAAAGATTCCACTGAAGTGGAAGGGTGCCCCCATCTTTACAGCAGAACGAAGGAATCCTGCACATCAGGGCTGGGTGGGCTGTGGCTGGAGAGTCAGGCTGGCTAGGCCAGGAGAGGCTCAGGATAGCCGTCCGCAGCCAGCACCCTCGTGCTGGTGCCTTGGACTGTGCGTCCTCACAAACAGCCGAATCCTGCCTTGTTCCTTTCCCAGGGCTGTTGTAGCAAAAGACCATGAATGAGGGGCCTTCAACCCCCAGGAATTCCTTCCCTTGCTGCCCAGAGGCCGGGAGCTCAACATCCAGGTCAGTGGGGCGTCACCCCAGTCTCTGCTGCCATCTTCCGCGTGTGTCTCCGGAACCCCCTTCCCCTCCTAAGGCCACCCCCCCTCAGTACAACCTCATCTCAACCTGACTACACCTGAAAGACCCTGTTTGCAAATGAGGTCTCTTTTGCAGGTATTGGGAACTAGGACTTCCCCATATCTTTCTGGGGGACAGAGTTCAACCCCACGACACCCACTAAATGCCTGTATTGCTCCTGTAGCCCCTGGAAAAGAGCCATGAACAAAACACACCCTGTTTGTCCTTGGGCAGCTTATGTTCTACCGAGGACACACAGTAAACACAGAGATGATCATTTGCTGAGAGGGACAGGCCAGGGTGAAGGGGCGACGAGTGGGCCGCACTTTGGACGTGCGGTGGAGAGATCCTGACGCTGGAACAGAGCCCTGCTGGAGTGGGGAAGGACAGCCACGCGAAGGCCCGAGGGGCAGTTTTCTCTGCGTGCACAGGAATAGCAGGCGCAAAGGACCCTGAGCACAGGGGGCGGGGGTGGGGACTGCACTTCACCCGGAGGAACTTGACCCATAGCTTTATGCAAGTCCAAGTGTGGCCTGAGGTCAGTTACCGCCACCTGCCGGCGGCTACCCACAGAGCCCGCAGGATCTGACCCGATTATCTGCCACTCGGCCCTTCCTGTCCCTCCCTAAATAAGGCACTCAGGTGGGCTGAATAACGGCTCCAAGTATGTCCACACCCTAAACCCAGAGCCTGTGAGTATGTTCCCTGGCATGGCAAAAGGGACCCTGCAGGTGGGATTAGGTGAAGAGCCCTGGGATGGGGGCTTATCCTGGATTATCTGGGTGGCCCCATGAGCCACAAGAGTCCTTATGAGAGGGAGGCAGGAGGGTCCAAGTCAGAAAGGATATGACCACAGAAGCAGAGGTCAACGCGAGAGTCGAAGATGCCACTGTCAACCTAAGCAACAGAGACAGCTCGTCCAGTGATGCTGAGTGTATCCAGGAGTGCATAGGCGGGGTTCCTGTCCTGGCTACGAGGGCTGTGGGGACCACAGGCATGTGCAAGGAGGTTGAGGCAAGGGGAAGCTTTTAAAGGCAAAGGGAGGCATGCACATAAGTTGTTTTGAAGCAAAGAGAACCCTGGTCACAGAGTCTTGTTGTGAGAGTTGACGTCAGTTCATGCCTGGAGATGGAGACAGCGTGTCAGGCAAGGGTTCTTGTGCATCCGACCAGCTGTCCCTGTGACTCAGATAGCAAGTGGCAGTTTGGAAAGTCCTTCGGAAAAGTTCTTGCTACAGGCATATGTAGATAAGAGCCCTTCAGAGAGCCTTTATGATAGTTCTTACCGCCGGCAGGTGTGTGGGGCAGGGAGGGCCCTTCTTAGCCTCTTGACTTTTTTTTTTTGTTAGGGTTTGACACAAGTGACTCTATTTTGATTCTGACAACTTTCACGTGATGTTCCCAGCTTTGAAGGTAGAGGAAGGGGCTACGAGCCAAGGAATGCAGGAGGCCTCTAGAAGCAGGAGAGGCAGGAAGGGGTTCTCCCCTGAAGCTTCCAGGAGGAGCCAGCCCCATTGGCACCTTGGTTTAGACCTTTGACTTCCAGAACTGTAAGAAAATAAATGTGTGTAGTTTGAAGCCCCCAAGGGTGTGGCACTCTGTTCCAGCAGCTACAGGAAAGTCATGCAAGCAGCACTTGGATGCCAGTTCTGAGGCTGAGGCGGGGGAGCGGACGGAGAGGCCGCCTCCATCACAGTATCACCACGGGGTGGGTCCCACAGCGCAGGTCCCACAGGGCTCCTGCTGCTGCTGATACTCGAACTGCAGCAGGGGTGTCCTTCCTTCCCAGACCCGGCCACGGAACAGCCTTGGGAATGGGGAACCAGGACCAGCCACGGAGCCACAGAGAAGCAGAGGTCAGGGTGAAAAAAATTCAGGATGCTTCACGAATGCAAGCCAGGGGCCGACTGGAGCCCCAAGTAGAAGTGGGGTCTGTCTAGGTTGGGCTCTCCAGAAGCAGAGGCCACGGTGGAGTCTGGGAGCAGGACGTCCAGGAGGTCCAACGCCTGGAAGTAGCGGAGGCAGGACCAGGCAGAACGATGCTGTGTGCAACCTGAAAAGCCTCTGGCCCACCTGGTAGGGAGCTCTGGGGTACACGGTCCTCATTGGAATATCCCATGGAATGGCTCCCCAGGAAGGGTGTGGGCTCAGTGGGGCAGCTCTTGGCAGCCCAGGCTGGCTCAGAAGATGCCGATGGCTGAGACTGTGGGCTGACTGTTCCCTGCAGCTGGGCAGTGAGGCCATGTGTGCAGAGGGTGTCTGGGGCCCATCTCCGTGTCTACCACAGTGCCCTGGGGATCATTTGAGTCCATCTGTGGCCAACAACAGACAGACCTCTGGCCATCTGCCATGAGATGGGGCAAGGACATTAAGGTTGGGTTCGGCTGCCACATCTTGCAGCTTGTGTCTAGCTTCCAGTGCCCTGGTTTTGAAGGATGTGCCAAATCCTACATAGACCTGCTGAGCCCCCGCCTTCCTCTGCTGCCTCCTTGGGGGTGAGTCCCCATCACTGAGTGCACGAGAAGAGACTGCCCGCTGGGATGTTACAGGTGGAGGAGAAGTCCTGAACCGAGATGGTAGTAAGAACGGCATATACAGGTGTCATGCTGGCTCGGTGAAGTTGAATATTTAACACACTCAATCCAGCAGCAGACACACTAGCACAAGTGCAAACAAGACCTTGATTCATTTCTTTCTTTTGTTCATTTACTCCACAAACATCTTCCTGGGGACTAATAGGTATGACATCCCTTCTATCCAGAGTCACACTGTGGACAGACCCTAACGTTAATTCTGGGGAATCTCTTATGCCCTTTGGCGTCTGCCAATCACACTTCTTGGTGTCTGATCCCCACGGCCACCTTCTCATTCACTTGGCTGGCAGCAAGCAAGAGCCTCCGTCATGAACAGCAAACTCAGCTTTCTACCAGGTCACTGACCGCAAAGCCCTGGCTAGGAACCACCGGGATTCCAGTTCTCGCTTAGCCACCACCTTTCTTTGTGACCTTGAGAAAGTCCTCTACTGCCTGGACTTAGTTTCCATGTTGATATAAAATGTGGAAGCTGCCACCAAAGCCCTCTCCTGAATGCCACTCTATGCCTATGAGATCCAGGTCTCCTGCCTTCCGAGTCCCCTGGCCTGTGGCTCATTATCCCATTTCCCATGGCCGCGGGTGCCCTGAGCCTTCCCTTTGATATTTGTTCCATTTCTGAGAATGTGGTCAGGTCAGAGTCTCAGGAATGTCCCTCTTTGAGGCTGATGTCTGGACCACTGAGGTCTTCCTATGGTGTGGAATTGTTTGCATGGATGGCACCACCATGTCTCCCATCCCACGTGTAGGGCCCTTTTCAATGTGACCCTGCAGCTCCACTGAAAGTGGAGGCTGTTTCCTGCCCCTTGCATCTGGGCCAGCCTTGAGACTGGCTTTGAGCTGTAGAAAGTGGTGAGGAAGGTGGTGAAAATTGGGATCTCACAGCTTCCCCTCTGGCATCCCACTGCCCTGAGACACCATATAAAGAACGCAGGCCAATTAGAGAAATGCAAATCAAAACCACAATGAGATACCATCTCACACCAGTTAGAATGGCGATCATTAAAAAGTCAGGAAACAACAGGTGCTGGAGAGGATGTGGAGAAATAGGAACACTTTTACACTGTTGATGGGACTCTAAACTAGTTCAACCATTGTGGAAGACAGTGTGGCGATTCCTCGAGGATCTAGAACTAGAAATACCATTTGACCCAGCCATCCCATTACTGGGTATATACCCAAATGACTATAAATCATGCTGCTATAAAGACACATGCACACGTACGTTTATTGCAGCACTATTCACAATAGCAAAGACTTGGAACCAGCCCAAATGTCCATCAATGATAGACTGGATTAAGAAAATGTGGCACATGTACACCATGGAATACTATGCAGCCATAAAAAAGGATGAGTTCATGTCCTTTATAGGGACATGGATGAAGCTCAAAACCATCATTCAGAGCAAACTATCACAAGGACAGAACACCAAACACCACATGTTCTCACTCATAGGTGGGAATTGAACAATGAGAACACTTGGACGCAGGGTGGGGAACATCATACACCACGGCCTGTCATGGAGTGGGGGCAGGGGAGAGGGATAGCATTAGGAGATACACCTAATGTAAATGATGAGTTAATGGGTGCAGCACACCAACATGGCACATGTATACATATGTAACAAACCTGCATGTTGTGCACATGTACCCTAGAACTTAAAGTATTTTTAAAAAAAGGAAAAAAAAAAAAAAGAACCCAGACCATGTGGAGGACATGAGCCAAGCTAAGAGCTGGTGCTAACCACCACTCAGATGAGTGAGGTCATCTGGACCATCTGGCACCAGGAAACTGCCAGATGTCTGCAACTGTAGGAGTAGCCCCAGCCAAGGCCAGCAGAAGAGCCATTTGCTGAGCCCAGCCCAAATGCCAACCCACAGTCACAAGAGCATGAAACGGTAGTTGTTTCAAAGCCTGGTGTGAAAGCCACCTCTTCCCTGAAGCTTCCCTTGACTTCCCCTCCACACACACTTTCCTCCTTTCCTCAACTCCTGTACTTTTGAATAAGCACCCCATTATTTACTAGTTGATTCTTTCTCGTCTTTGTTGTCTTCTTTGTAGTTGTTGCTGTTTAGTGGGCAAACATTCTACTTTCACAACTAGATTGTGAATGATCCAGGATTGGGAATTTAGACAGAGTGAAAACTCAGTAAGTAGTTGTTTGCTCTAAATATGGAGACCCCCTTAGTGAAGGGAAAGGGTTGGACAATTTGCATTACTGGAATTCCAAGGCCGCCGTCCCAGCAGTGAGAAGTAACTCACTCGGGTGCCTTGGCACATAGCTTAGTGTGCAGGGACTCCAACTGAGCGGTGAGACGTGGGTGGCATCCTGGGTTTTCATCCAGCTTCCTGCTATGGAGGGGCACCAATTGGTATTTCTCCCAGCTATCAATACGGATTATTCCAGGACTTTGCTTCTAAAATGGCATTGCAACCTCTTAATCAAATAATGCCTGAGGAGCATCGACAAATAATGCCCTTGCTGGCAGAGCAATTGCAAAATGACAGAAGAAGTTAGGGAAGAAGTGATAGAACAAGGCTCCCCAGAAAAGACCAAGGTGACTTGTGTGAAGGGTCACCTGGCTCAGAAATACAGGGAGACTCTTGGGGGTCCCTGCTTTCTCTGCAGTGGGCAGGGAGCAGGGGTCATCTCCTCCTTGAGTAGTGACGGGGGAGCAGCCTGAACCCTTGGCCTTCCCCACCCTGGGAATGGCAGGTGAGAAGCCACCTGGCCTTGGCATGTGTGCAGGTCACGTGAGAGCAGAGGCATATGCAGGTGCCCAGGACACATCTGGCCTCTTCTCTGCCACTGCCTGGAGAGGATGTGGGCCGTGAGAGCAGCACTGACCTTGCTTCTGCCCCCACCCTCCCTGCTTTCTCCATTCTCTTCCCACCAAAGCCCGGGATATTCTCTGTCAATCTCCACCAGCAGTGGCGTCGCTCTGGTCTGTCAGGATCTGGGCTAGCTGCACTCAGCCGGAAGCCACAACTTTTCCACGTGGAAATTGGGATTTTCTGTGATGTGGCCCCATTCTCTGGTTTTGGCCTTCCTAGTGACAAGCTGGCTGAAATGGCGCCTGGTCCTTTACCCCACGGGGAAGGGCAGACCCAAAGCCAACTTCCCTCCATCTGCCCCCAGTAGGAGGGGGGTCCCCCGAGCTGGGGCTCAGTAGCCGCCTTCCCCAGCCTCTGCTGTGGCCTCCAGACACCCAAGCAGGCCCCCCACCCACCTGATTCAGAGAGATGGGAGCAACGGGGCCGCCTCCCTCCCGGGAGCTTGTGTTGGGATATGTTTGGGCCCAGGGATCAGAGACCTGGGTACTACGTTAGTCTGTTTTTGCCTTGATGTTATGAAATGCCTGGGGCTGGGTGATTGATAAAGAAGAGAGGTGTAGTTGGCTCACACTTCTGCAGGCTATACAAGCGTGGCACTGGTACCTGCTCAGCTTCTGGAGAGGCCTCAGGGAGCTGTTATTCAAGGTGGAAGGCAAGGCAGGGGCAGGCACGTCACACGGCCAGAGCAGGAGCAAGAGGCAGAGGCAGGGGCCGGGGGCAGATGGCGCACACTTTCAGCAGCCAGACCTCACGAGAACTCATTCACTATGGCCAGCACAGTGCCTAGCCATGAGGGATCTGCTCCCGTGACCTAGACACCTCCCACCAGGCGCCCTTCCAACACTGGGGTCCCGTTTGAACATGAGGTTCGGAGGGGTGTCCAGACTGTGTGAGGTGCCTTCTGCTCTTCAGCGGTGTGTGTGTCAGGGGCAGTGAATGAACGGGGGTCTCCCAAACCCACAGCACCGACCACTGTATCTGCTGTCTTTTCAGACACTAACAGGCAGGTGCTTTTAAAATCGGGAGGGGGTGGGGGCTGGACACTTAGCAGGATTGGGGAAAACAAACATTACTCTGCAGGTCGAGGCAGCTTGTGGCCACACAGGAAGGAGTGTCCTGGTCAGGGGTGTGAGGGGAGACTGAGGAAGTGGGGCCGCTGCCTAATGGTAGGAGACTGAAATCTCATGCAGAGATCACTGCCACCGATTCAAGATGGTGCCGAGGGCGATGCCAGCCCCAGCACGAGGTGCCCACTGTCCACCCCGCGAGTGGGGAGGTGAACAGTGCTGTGCTTGGCAGGTGGCGCTGGAAACCGGAACTGGGCTGGGAGGGTGGGATGAGCCTGGGCACATCGTGGGGAGCTCCTGCAGATGCTGGATGGAAGGACGGCTGCCTTCCTCCTCTCCCCAGGAAGCTGTGCTGACCTCTCCCTACTCTCCACTATACCCCTGGATCTGCAGAGGGCCCAGCTCACCACGGGGCACGTGGTCCACGTGTGACCTGTGTGCACATGCCTGGCTTCCCACTCACCCCTGAGGGCACCGGTGCAGGGATGCCACATTTATTTCCACGTCCCAGTGCCTGGTGTAGAGGCATGCTGCAAAAAGAAAACTCAAAACGCGTCTTTTGAAGGTCCCCTGACTAGGCCACGACCCACCACAGGTGGCCAGCCTCCTGGCCCGGAGTCCTTGGCCAGGTTTTGGGGCAGAATCACCCATCAGAGATCCAGCAAGCTGGGCAGGTTTCTGCTTCTGCCTGGCTGGGCATCCTGCTGATGAAGACCTCTCGCCTTGCACCACAACAGCCCTGGGGGAGAGGTGGGTGAAAGGCAGGGCCACCCTGGCCAGCCTGGGCCCAGCCCGACTTCTCTTCACCTCTCTTTTTCCATTTCTTTTTAGAGTTTATTTGGAGCCCGTTTTTCTCCAACAACGTGAGAGGCACTTTGAAGAGCGAAGTCCCCTGTTTCCTGCTCTCGGGCAGGTATTTCGAGCTTGATGAAGTCCAGGCTTCTCTGTGAAGCTGTGTTCGGAATTGGTGGGTTCTTGGTCTCACTGACTTCAAGAATGAAGCCGCGGACCCTCGCGGTGAGTGTTACAGCTCTTAAGGTGGTGCGTCTGGAGTTTGCTCCTTCTGATGTTCGGATGTGTTTGGAGTTTCTTCCTTCTGGAGGGTTCGCGGTCTCGCTGGCTCAGGAGTGAAGCTGCAGACCTTCGCGGTGAGTGTTACAGCTCTTAAGGCAGAGCATCTGGAGTTGTTCGCTTCTCCCGGTGGGCTCTTGGTCTCGCTGGCTTCAGGAGAGAAGCTGCAGATCTTCGCGGTGAGTGTTACAGCTCATAAAAGCAGTGTGGACCCAAACAGTGAGCAGTAGCAAGATTTATTGCAAAGAGTGAAAGAACAGAGCTTCCACACTGTGGAAGGGAACCCGAGAGGGTTGCCACTGCTGGCTCAGGCAGCCTGCTTTTATTGTCTTATCTGGCCCCACCCACATCCTGCTGATTGGTAGAGCCCAGTGGTCTGTTTTGATTGGTGCGTTTACAATCCCTGAGCTAGACACAAAGGTTCTCCACGTCCCCATCAGATTAGTTAGATACAGAGTATCCACACAAAGGTTCTCCAAGGCCCCACCAGAGTAGCCAGATACAGAGTGTGGATTGGTGCATTCACAAACCCTGAGCTAGACACAGGGTGCTGATTGGTGTGTTTACAAACCTTGAGCTAGACACAGGGTGCCGATTGGTGTATTTATAATCCCTGAGCTAGACATAAAGGTCCTCCAAAGCCCCACCAGACTCAGGAGCCCAGCTGGCTTCACCCAGTGGATCCCGCACTGGGGCTGCAGGTGGAGCTGCCTGCCAGTCCCGGTGCCGTGCGCCCGCATGCCTCAGCCCTTGGGTGGTCGATGGGACCGGGCACAGTGGAGCAGGGGGCGGCGCTCGTCGGGGAAGCTCGGGCTGCACAGGAACCCACGGAGCCGGGGGAGGCTCAGGCATGGCGGGCTGCAGGTCCCGAGGCCTGCCCCGTGGGAAGGCAGCTAAGGCCCGGCGAGAAATGGAGCGCAGCGCCAGTGGGCTGGCACTGCTGGGGGACCCAGTACACCCTCTGCAGCTGCTGGCCCGGGTGCTAAGTCCCTCATTGCCCGGAGCCAGCAGGGCTGGCCGACTGCTCCGAGTGCGGGGCCGCCAAGCCCACCCCCACCCGGAAGTCCAGCTGGCCCGCAAGCGCCGCACGCAGCCCCAGTTCCCGCTCGAGCCTTTCCCTCCACACCTCCCTGCAAGCTGACGGAGTGGGCTCCAGCCTTGGCCAGCCCAGAAAGGGGCTCCCACAGAGCAGTGGTGGGCTGAAGGGCTCAAGTGCTGCCAGGCAGAGGAGGTGCCGAGAGCAAGCGAGGGCTCTGAGGACTGCCAGCACGCTGTCACCTCTCAAAGCGAAGGGTCCTGTGGCGCTGGGCTGGCCATGGATCTGCTGCTGCTTGTCTCGGCCTCAGGTCCTGCCTGGAACTAAATCCTCAGAGCTGCCAGTGAGGCCTTGGGCCAGGTTCCGGCCGCAGGTGTCAGAGAAGAGAGACGGGGGGTCCCTTCTGGAACTCCACAGCGAAAATCTCTTGTGATATTCAAGGTGGGTTCCCACACCAAACTGAGATACACAGAGGCTCAAGAAGCCGATTTCATTAAGCGCTAAGTCTTCAAATTAATTTACTACGAAAACCATAAACCCCTTTTGTACAAATTCAAGGATGGCTGCTGAGTCCCTGGGAGGTTTGAGGCACCCCCATCCCCCCACCACCCCTTCTTTTCCTGACGTTCATGAGGTCGGAATGGTCAGGTCAGCCCAGGACCCAGGCACAAAATTAGAAAAGCCCAGCTGTCGGCAAAGGAAGCAGCTTAAGAAGCAATAAGAC
Organism: Homo sapiens; assembly: GCF_000001405.40. NCBI lineage: Eukaryota > Metazoa > Chordata > Mammalia > Primates > Hominidae > Homo > Homo sapiens. The sequence goes on from NC_000009.12 coordinate 134,992,056, forward strand.
CAGTGAGACTGAACGCAGGTGGAGGATCTAATGCACCCTCTGCAACTGGGCATGCTGGGGAAGGGCTGGGAGGGAGGCCCCCTGAGACGGAGGGTCTCCCAGAAGGAGGAAAAATCCCCTGCAGAGGGTCTCCCGGAAGGAGGAAGGGGCTCCCCGGTGGAGGGTCTCCAGGAAGGAGGAAGAGGCCACCCCACGGAGGGTCTCCCGGAAGGAGGAAGGACCCCCCTCCCCGCGGAGGGTCTCCAGGAAGGAGGGAGCGCCCCCCGGCGGAGGGTCTCCCGGAAGGAGGAAGGCCCCCCGGCGGAGGGTCTCCCGGAAGGAGGAAGGCCCCAGAAGGCGAGGGAGCCCCCCGCCCCGGCAGAGGGTCTCCCGGAAGGAGGAAGAGGCCCCCCCCCACGGAGGGTCTCCCGGAAGGAGGAAAAAGTCCCTGCAGAGGGTCTCCTGGAAGGAGGAAGGGCCCCCCCCCCCCCCGCCGCGGACGGTCTCTGGGAAGGTGGGGCTCCAGTTCTAAGTACCGTTGTCACCAAGTGAACATCCTTACAGATTTCTAGCAAAATGCTGCTCAGACCCCTTTCCGAGGCCGCATGGCCTAATCGTCCTCGGAGAGACTGACTGACTTTATCGGGTGCTCGCGGAGTGCCAGACACGGCTTTCATTACATTCGGTCCTTGTGGGGGCCTGTCAGGTGGGCGGCACAGATGCTGCAGTTTCATGGGTGACGATATTGAAGCACAGAGGAGTCAGGTCACCCGTTCAAGGTCACACATGGAGTAGGAGGCAGGGCCCTCACCACCACCTCGCCAGGGGCCTCATTGTGAACTCGGAAAGGGCCCCACCCCTCCAGCGACTCCGAAACCCGTGGAGCTTCCCTCTGTGAAATCCTGATCGAGGGCTTTGCTCCCAGTGCGCGCCAGGCCCTCTGCCAGGCGGAAAAACATTTCCTGCTCTGAGCTCATCTTAGTCTCCTGGGCGGGCGAGGCTTTGGTGCCCTCCGGGAGTGCCGACCCACCCACGTTCCGGATCAGCGAAACAAACTCGGCGTCTGCACTGGCTTCCCGTCATCCGAGCAGTACAGCCAAGAAGTGCTCTCAAAAGGTACAAATTAAATTCCTCTGTCGCAAGGAAGTGCAAGCGGAGCTTTGCTTTAGCTGTCATTTTGCCATTTCATCTGGAGCTTTCAAACCCCAAATCCATAGCTCTGGACGTGTCCCAGGCATCTCTCTAGAGTTTATTTACAGCCCCAAACTTTTAATTATGAGCATCTTCAAAAATACTGAGACATGGGCAGGATCAAAAATACTGGGACATGGGCAGGATCAAAAATACTGGGACATGGGCAGGAGAGTATAAAGATTTCCTTATGTCCTTGTCGCCCAGCGGCAACACAGCCTCGTCAGTATCTTTTCCTCGCACAGCTCTCATGTCTTGCGGAAAGGTTCAGGTGTTGGTCATCTGTCAGGTCAGTGTGACCTGCCTGCAGGGGGGATCCATGCAGACTGGGGATGGGGGTGGCTTTGGGAGCAGAGGGACTCTGGCCAGTGTCTCTGCTTTTTCACTGTGTGACCCCGGGCAGATACGTCAACGTCTCTGGACTTCAGTCCCCTGAAGCAAAATCACAATAATGAGAATCCGCTCCCAGGCCTGCCATGAACGCGAAGTAGCCCATAAACAGCAGCTCTGTGCGTGTGTGGACGAGAAAGTGAACGCGAGAGCTCTGCAGACCTCAATCTCACGCCCGCAAGGATTTGCCAATGGCTGCTTAGAAAGCTGTGCTTACCCTGGGCCTCAATGCAGCTGATCACTTGGGGCAGTGGCACAGCAGGAACAGGGAGGGAAGCCCTTATCCCCAGCAGCCACAAGAGTGGAGGCAAAACTTCATACCCACCTTAGCTTCCCAATTCCCCTGGCTGTCCTCCCAGCCTAGTTTTTAAATATCTGAATCTTAAGCGTGCACCTAGGAGTAATCTTAATAAATCGCATCCCTCCCTGAAGGTCCGTCTGCTCTGCTCCTTCATTGAGGTCTCCCCTGGCAAGCCACCACAGTTATTCGGATTCACATTACTAAGACGCAGCAAGCCTCATGGCGACTGAGCCCCTAAATCTGGAGGCGGGGACTGAGGACACAGCCCAGCTGCAGGTGTGGGTGTAAGGGTGGCGTGAGTCCATCCTGGGAAGGATGTGTCTGCCCCAGGCTCAGAGTGCTGAGACTCTAGGGAGCTATGTACCTTCTTGCAGGGAGTCTGTAGGCATCTCCTTCTGCAAGGGTGATATTTCTGGCCCTTTACAATGAGCGGTGCCTGGGGGCTGGAGGAGAGAACTTAGGGCAGGAGACAGATGCTCCTGCCATGTTTGCCACCCTCCCCCACTTGCCACCATCCCCCATCACCCTGCGAGATGAACTCTGGGCTAAAGCAGGAGGGACGACCCCCCTCACCCTGACAGTCATCCTGGGAGGGTCACAGTCCTCATCTGACAGCCAAGGAAAGTGGCTCCCAGGGGCACGGGGCTTACCAGGGCCACCTGCATAGGGGACAGCAGAGGTGGGGCCAGAGGCAAGGCCGGCTGACCCCAGAGCTCAGCTCCTAGACACCACCTCTCAAAGGTCTTGGAACACAGCTTAGAAAAAAGGCATCCTGGCATCTCGCGGGGTCTAAGCCACCCCTTGGGAACCAGGTGTGGCCCAAAGCTTCATAGCACAGGTGTCCTCACATGAGACTAAGTGGACTTTGCAGGATGCAACCCTGGTGAGTGTGGCACAGCGTCTCCAAAGAACCTTCCCTCCTTTCCTCTTCCATCTCTCTGTCACCTCCCTCCCACCTCTCCTTCCCCCCAACAAATTCTTACTGAGCACCTGCTGGGCATGCTGTGTTAGGCTCCAAGGGAATACAAAATTGCCAAAAAATAGTCTCAATCTTTGGGAAGCTCCACAAATTCATTTGCCTATTCATTGGCACCACAGATGCTCTCCAGGCCCCCATGGGCCAGGGACAGTGCCAAGTGAATGGGATCCTTGCTCTTGCAGGGCTGGCATTCCCAAGCAAGAGGCCGACACTAAGGACTCGGGCATAAACACACACACGTGCGGTGGGGGCCATGCTTGCATGCCTGAACAAGAACTGGGCTGGAATTAGCAGAAAGTTAGGCTTGAACAAAATAAAAGGACTTGGTTAGACCAGGTCTGATCCTCATCTAACAAAGGGGATGAGGTTAATAAACTGAAGACAAGCCTTGCGACTAAGGAAGGACAAGGCCTGCCTGGGAAGGGCCCTGATGGGACCTGGTTCCCCGACCCCGACTCACAGGTGCAATACCATGCACCAGGGTCCCAGAGTTGCTGCAAGCAGTGAATAAAATTCCCTGCTGATGAAGAGCTACGGCCAGCGTCTGGCCCATAGGAATTGCCCAGCAGACGTTGGGTGAGTCTGCACCGGCAAAGCCAGCTCTCCAGAGTCACCATTAACGTGGTCACTTTCTCACGGCCTGGGAGGGTGTGAGTCTGACGTGGTGACGTGGGCCACATTCGCGAGGATCAGCCTTGGGTCAGAGTGAGGTCTACTCCTTTCTTCAGGGCAGCAGCCCCCTTTCCTCTGCCAGCACCACCAGAATCTGAGCAGCCTGGCAAAGGCATACACAGGCTGCGGGCACTCTCTAGGGTGGACGCCAAGGCTTCTTACTGGTCCTCCTCTTGTAACTTTATTGCAGTAACTTTGGAGAGAGAAAAAATGGAGCTGCTAACGTTTGCAAAATTCATCGCAAACAGTATTAGATGGCACTGATTAAAATGACTCATTCTGCAAGGAACTAAGCCAAATCAATCGTTTTTTTAGCAAATTAAAGCCATTCCTTCACTCAGCAGCCTGCGCTTTGGGTAGCAGATGGAGCGGATGAGCCTGCCCAGGTGTCTGTCCCCGCAGGGGCTTGGCACACTTGGGCGGGCTAGGCCACCTTCTGAGCTGATCAATAAGCAGGTCTTAGGCCCGGTTCAGAGGGTCTCCTCGTGGCCTTGCCCCAGGAGAGGACAGCCCTGATCATTCAACACTTCACGCGCTCATTTTTTAATCACCCTGTTCCTAATTGAGCCCAAAGACTTGCGACCTTTGCATAAGAATGGTTTACTGAATCCCTACTATGAGCCAGGCACATGGTGAAGGAGCCACACTGGGGAGATGGGATGGGAGGGTCAGGGGACGGAAGGAATGGAAATGGGGTGGGGGAAGAAACAATAGCAAGTAAACAAATGTGGAAGAAGGTGACTTCCCAAGGTTGGGATGCCCAGAAGACTGTGTGTCAGGTTGCCATGAAAGGACTTCAGGGGCTTTAGATGGCAGGGTCGCTGAACAGGTGACTGCAGTGGAGATCTTCGTACTGGTCAGTGGAATAGTGGAGGCAGGGCCAGGCAGGGGACTGGAAGAAGAGCCGGGCATCTTTGGGGAAGGGAGTGCTCAGGAGGGGCCCAGGCAGTCAGTGGGGCCAGGACAGCTGGTGTAGCCCCCTCTTCTGGGCAGTGTAAGGAGCTTGGATCTCCCTGAGTGTAGCTGGAGCCTTCAGCAGGTGCTGGGGATGGGCAGACTGGACCTGAGCGCTGCTTCAGGTGCTCCGTCGGCCTGCACTGTGTGGACTGGATGGGGCAAGGACACCAGAGCTCAACCCTGTCCTGGCTGTTCAGCAACAGGACAGTGGCTGGGAGAGAGTGTTGGCTGGAGGGAGGGAGGACTCATGCCAGAGACATCCTGGAGGGGGCAGGAGACAACGCTGGCTGTAGGCGGAGGAAGAGGGAAGGACTCAGGTCCCTGTCTCAGCAGCTGCGAGGTGGAGGATGCTAGGCGAGGGGCTGCCCTTGTGCCCACCAAGAAGCGTGGCAGCAGGCACAGCTGCGGCGTCCGATGGGCAGGTGAACACATGTGCCGGTGTTCTGTGGGAGCTCAGGGCTGGAGACAGACACTGGGAGCCACTGGCCCAGAGACGACGTTCTGAAGCCTCTTATGGCCAGAGGTAGGGAGAGAAAAGGAGGGGAGTGCTGGGCTGGGCACCTTCACAGCAGGTGAGTGGGAGAGTGTGGAGGGAGCACCTAGAGGGGAGAGGAGTCCAGAGCATGTGGGTGTGAAGTCTGGAGAGCATGACACATCCTGTGAAGATGGCGGGGAGCAGGGGCTAAGCTCAGGCCTGTGAAGATGGCGGGGAGCAGGGGCTGAGCTCAGGCCTGGCCAGAGGGCGGTCACTGCACGGCTTGCCAGGGCAGTGTGGAGGCTGAGGGAATGGAAGGCCAGCCACAGCCCTTGGTGAGTCTGATCTGCCACCTGACGAAGGTGGGCACAAGACCCTCAGCCAGCAGCACCCTCCTGGAGGTGGAGCCTCACCTGGCTTTGCTGTACTCACGACACTCACGCCCCAGCCGTGTCCCAGAGCAGAGGGGACAGCAAAGCAGGGAGGTTGAGGGGAGCAGGGCGTGCACCAGGCATCAAGGCTTTCCGGGAGTCTGTGGCCTGGGAAGGAGAGGACAGCCTCTGGAGAGGAAGCATAAGCATCCACAGCATCAGATGACTCAGGACTTCATGGGCCTTGCTGAAGAGCTTTGAGTAAGTGAGCCCCACATTTCCAGTGGGTCTGTCTGCTTGGCAGTATAAAATATATTATATATGTTTTGTCCACTGTAAAGTAACATGTCTCTTCATCATGGAAAAGATTGGAAAATACCATGGTGGGCTGAATACCGTTCCCCAAGATGTCCAGGTCCTGATGCCCAGAACTAGTGCATCCCAGAACCTGTGACACCTCCCCTCTACATGGTAGAGGGGCTTTTCAAATGTGCCGAAGTTGGGGATCTGGAGACAGGAGATGATTCTCCATAATTGCGGTGAGCACAAGCCATCAGAAGTGTCCTCAGGAAAGGGAGGCAGGGAGTCCAAGTTCATAGCAGGTGTGTGGGAGAAGCAGAGATTGCAGTGATGTGCTTCAAAAGCGGAGGAAGAATCCAAAGACCAAGGAATGAAGGGAGTTCCAGAAGCTAAAAAGGAAGGAGACAAACTCTCCCCAGAACGTGCAGAAGGAAGCAGCCCCACCAGCGCCCTGACCCTAGACTCTGAGCTCAAGAACTGTAAGAGAGGGCATTTCTGCTGTGTGAAGCTGCTAACAGTGGCAGAAAACTAAGACAGATACCAAAATGTACAAGGAGTGGGGTATAATCACTAGTTGCCTTCCACCCAGCCTTTCATCCCCACAGAGTTCTTTTTTAAGTACTTAAGACGGGGCAATTGTATAGCCTGCATTCTTCACCAGACTTTTACAGTGAGTATCCCCATGGTGTTAGCATCACTTTGTGGAGTCCTAATAAGATAAGCAACAATGAGGAAGGGGTCCAGGTCTGGGAGAACAATAGTCCTGAGAAGCAGCTACTGCAAACCACCCACTGGCAAAACAACCTGTTCACAAAAGCCTTGCTCCACCTAGCTTCAGCAGCATGGCCCTATCAAACCTCCCCCTAGCTTCTGCCTCTTTGCAGATAGCCCCTTCTCGCTGTGCTGCCCATTGCATTCTTGCAATGTGTTTTCCTACTTTCTCTAATAATCTGCCTTTTTCTACCTACAACTGTCTTGGTAAATTCCTTCACAGCCCACAACAATGGCCTGATCTACTCACACCTATGACATTTTGGTGACCCAGGGAGTGCTTGGGGACAGCTCAGGAAGTGCCTGGAGACTGCTCCCCTACTCTCTCCCTTTCCTCTCCTCCAACTCCAGACTCTTAATGGACAGCACCCAAACCTAGAGACAATTGGAGGTGCCAGTCAGGGCCACTCCTTGGCAGACCAGGATGTCCCGGTGGAAAGATGTCTGACCATTGTTACCCAATCTGGTGAGAGTCTAGAGTTTTGCTTTCCTTTTCCATCTTCAAGAAGACAAAGTCTAGTATTCTTCTGGCAATTGATGGCAACTGGCCAGGGCCACTCCCTGTTGTAGCCTAAAGGCCAGGAGGTGAACAGGTCTGGCTGCCTTGCCCAGAAGGGACGAAGGCCGTCTCCTGTCCTTTCTGGTCAAAAGTTCCCCACTCCCTACAGGTAGCATGATGGGCAGTGGAAGCTCAATGAAAGTGAACCTACACACATTTTGGGGAACTCAGACCCCTTCTTTCTCCCTGTCAATTCTCCAGTGAAGGCAGCTAGCCATCCTACTCAGGCATTTTAAGCCAGATGATCCCAAACAGCACCTGAATGGTGAGTCTTCCCTCAACCCCTTCCCCTCATACCTGGATGAAGCACCCAGCATAACTCATACCTGGGCTGGCTACCTAGTGTAATTCATACTTGAAGTGACCTGGGGCCATTCACCCAGTGTTCATCCAATGTCAGGCACTAGTGCTGGGAGATCTTTTCCAATAGGATGGATGCCCCCTTTGGAAAGTGCATCTCAGAGGCCCTCTGTGGACATGAGGGGAGCCCTTTTCCCTTGGTGGGATGCCCCAGGAGAAACTGTGGTTTGTGTCCCCACTGGATGTTCTTCCCAGTCCCATGAGCCCCTCCATTCCCTCAGACTCACCCCAGGGCTGCATTTTAGAGCATTGGGGTAAATTAGACCCTTAGACTCTCAAAAACAAATATCTAATTTTTGTGGTCCCTATGCAGGAAATCCTCAAATTCACCCCCTCAGTCTTTTATAACTAACAGCAGATTAAAGAAAACAGGGTTAAGAGAAAAAAAAAAGAACTCAAGAACAAGAGGCAGGCTCAGCTGCTGGCTGCTTTCTAGTCCCCAGCCCACACCAGGTTGACCTAAGAACACTCCTCCAGATAACGGCCATTGGTGTGGGAAACCAGACCACTAGAAGGCAAACTGCCCCAATGGGATAAATGGGGAAAAGCCCCACAGAGCTTGTCCCCTCTGACCCAAGCTCGGCCACTGGAAATGGGACTGCCCTGAGGGCCGCAGGGCTCCTGGGATGGAATCCCCACCTCTGATGGCCTTGAGCTGAAGGGGTTTCTGCCCTGGCTGGCTTCCAAATCAGACACTCACCAACAAGACAAAGCCCAGGGCAACTCTGGAGGCAGCAAGTAAAATGATAAATTTCCCTTTTGGGTTCAAAAACTGCCTACTCTGTGCTAACCTCCTTCTCTAAGCTACTCTCCTCCAAATCCAGTCAGATAATGGGAGCAAATGACAACCCCTCCCTCCAAAGGAAAAATTCACACCCATTTATATTATTAATACTTAAAAGACCAGTGCCCATTCTCCCACCAGTCCCTGGTAATGTCAACATACCTTACACCTCTCTGGGGCAAAAATATACTTTCAAAGATGAGGACATGCTTAATATTTACCCAACCTCTAAATTCATCTTTCTCTCTAATAGCCCTGTTTGTCCCTGGAAAGCTACCTAAACCTTTAACCAATAACTTCAACCTAGAGAGTCCCACCTCAGGGGTTTAAGAATATTCCACACTTACTCAGACAAGCCCTAGCAAGAAGTCTAATGGAGCAGTCTCTTGAGGGGAATAACTTCTACGGTGTGGGGACATCCTCTCCATCTGCTTCCCCTTCGCAGATACACACAGTAACAGGCAGCACAAACCCCAGCTTCCTAACAGAAGAAAAACGACTTTGTCTCATTCAAAGGCTATAAAGGTAAAGAGGTATTTGTGGTAAGGAAGGTTATGAGAAAGAGATTTTATATGAAGAAGAATCTTGTATGGTAAATTCTTGTCCTAAGTAAAATGACTGGTTGTTTAAGAAAGAGGGATGTTTAGGACAACTCAGAAAGTTCAAGCATGCTGTAGATGGTCTGTGTAAGTTTAAAATTTGTGAAAGGAAATATATAAAAGAAATGTTGTATGTAATTGCGGTCTAATAGTCTCTGTGAAATTGGTTCCCTATGCTGTGTCTAATTAAATTCAAACATTTTTTATGGGGCTTAACTTCCAGGTTACCTAAATGAACTTCCAATAAGAAAAAACAGTCACACAGCAAAAGGTTTTTCTTTACCTTTTGGTAAACAAAAGCAACAAAATTTAAGAAAATTTCTTGGCTTAAGAAACAAAAAAATTTGTTGTCAAAAATTCAGCAGTTTCACCTTCAAATGGTGCTGCAAACGTGATGTCAGTCTTTTCCCAATGATGCCTGCTACCTTTATGAGTCTCCCCTGGATTCAGCTGGACACCAGCTCTGGTGGGATCAGCATCTGCAGCACCCCTTGTGAGAACAACAGGTGTGGTGGCTGAGTCGTGCCCCAGACATGGTCACCTGGAGCCTGTGACTGTGACCTTATTTGGGAAACAAAAAAACAAAAAAGTCTTTGCAGACATAATTAAGTAAAGGGTCTCAAGATAAGATCATCCTGGATTAGCCAGCTTGGCCCCCAATTCAATGACAATCGTCCTTATGAGACACAGGGAGTGGCAGAGAGACCACCTGGAGACACCAGTGGAGGGGTCAAGAGGCCACTTGAAGATGAAGACAGAGATGGAAGTGACACAGCCACAAGCCAAAACTGTCTGGGGCCACCAAAGACTGGAAGAGGCAGGAAGAATCCTCCCCAGATCCCCAGGCAGGTGGCCCTGCCAGCACCTTAGCTTTCAGCTTCTGGATTGTGAGAGGGTACACTTCTGCTGATGGATGTCCCTCAGCATTGAGCTGCTAGCCTCAGGGCTGGGGAAGGGCACTTCTGTGGTTGGACATCCCTCAGAGTTGAGCTGCTGGTCTCAGGGCCAGGAGAGGACACTCCTGCTGTTGGACGTCCTTCAGCATTGAGCTGCTGGCCTCAGAGCTAAGAGAGGGCACTTCTGCTGTTGGACATCCATCAGCGTTGAGCTTCTGGCCTCAGGGCTGGGAGAAGACACTTCTGCCATTGGATGTCACCAGTTTGTGGTCTTTTGTTGTGGCAGCCCCAGGGAACTCATGGGAGGAGGGAGCAAGACCCGGAGGATGGGCGCTCCAGGCAATAAAAGTACTGTGTATCAGTCCTTTCTCACATTGCTATAAAGAATACCAGAGACTGGGTGTTTTACAAAGAAAACGGTTTAATTGGCTCATGGTTCTGCAGGCTGTACAGGAAGCATGGTAGCTTCTGGGGAGGCCTCAGGAAACTTCTAATCATGGCGGAAGGCCAAGGAGAAGCAGGTGCATCCCATGTTCTGAGCAGGAGCAAGACACAGAGGGGGAGGTGCCACACACTTTTAAATGACCAGATCTCACGAGAACTCACTCACTATCACAAGGACAGCACCAAGAGGAGGGTGCTAAACCATTCTTGAGAAATACACCCCCATGATACAGTCACCTCCCACCAGGCCCCATCTTCAACACTGGGGATTGCAGTTTGAAGGGAGATTTGGGTGGGACACAGGTCCAAAGTGGATCAGACCTTCACAACTTTTCTAGAATCTGGGCTCTCCAAAAGCTCCCAGAAAGAGGACGAGCTTGGACTTTTCTCTGTGTCCACCTCCCTGTCTGCCCCTTGGCTTGGTCCCCTCCCATGTGGCTATCGACACAGTCTCTGGACAGGATTGGGGTACACCAGCCTGGGGAGGAGGTCCCACCCGCGCAGCAAGTGGGGCCTGAGCTTGGATGGAAACAGCTGCCTCCCCTCTTCCCTGGAGACTGAGGCCCAGGCAGAAGGAGCTTGAGAACAGACCACCCTGTGGTCAGCTGACAGTCAACGCAGAGTTGCTGCTGTCAAACGTTGAGAATGTTACAACTAAGGAAGTAATTTCCCCAGAGATGCTTCCTGTCGAGCAGTGTATTTAATAATTTGTTATTCTGAAGCTTCTACAAGATTTACTCGATGAAATCACCATTGAGAATAGTTTTAAATCCACACATTCACAGGAAAATTTTGAAGCTTCCAAAGTATTAAAATGAAGAAGTGAAGTTTCACAGTTCGCCTCAGATGACACCCGTCCCCTCCCATATTCAATTAACCACATGTCCCCAACAACTCAGAGTGTGCAGCGAGGACACAGCTGAGATTAATTTTGCATGAGGCATTGGACTGTAAAGGATTTTTCTATTTACTTATGTAACTTGTACATAAAAGATGATCATATTTAATCAAATACAGACCAACTACAAATTATGCTGGATAAACAGTGTGAAAAAATTCAATATGCTAGTGACTGTTTATATACACATACATATATATGATTGATATATATTTAAGAGTAGCAATCCAACCCATTATGAACCCTGTGTGGAATAGTTACACAGCGGTGCCCCTGTATCTGCAGTTTCCTTTTCCAAAGTTTCTATTACCCCAGGTAAACTGAGATCTGAAGATAGGTGGGCACAGTACGAGAGGGAGAGACCACATTCACATAACTTTTACCATGGTATATTGTTATAATTGTTCTGTTTTATTATTAGTTACTGCTGTTAATCTCTTACTGTGCCTAATGTATAAATCAAACTTTATCATAAGCATGTATGTATAGCAAATAACATCGTATATATGAGCACTGGTACCATCTGTGATTTCGGGTGGTCTCAGGGAGTCATGGAATGTATTTCCCATGGATAGGAAGGAACTACTGTACATTTTCCTGTTTTCAAGGTGTTTACCTGGGGTTTAGAAAAATACTTAAAAGCTATTACTATCCAGGATATGTTGCAGCAGGCTTTTTTATTTTTATTTTTATTTTTTGAGATGGCATTTCACTCTTGTTGCCCAGGCTGGAGTGCAATGGTGCGATCTCGGCTCACTATAACCTCTGCCTCCTGGGTTCAAGTGATTCTCTTGCCTCAGCCTCCTGAGTAGCTGGGATTACAGGCTCACAGGTGCCCGCCACCATGCTGGGCTATTTTTTGTACTTTTAGTAGAGACGGGGTTTCACCATGTTGGCCAGGCTGGTCTCGAACTCCTGACCTCAGGTGACCCACCCTCCTCGGCCTCCCAGAGTGCTGGGATTACAGGGGTGAGCCACCATGCCCAGCCCAGGCTTTCTTTTTAATTACATCCCTACTAACTTCAGCTATGCAGAGTTTCTGGGAAGAAACTCTCACAACCTCCCTGAAAGGGAGGACTGCAGTTTGTTTTCATCTTTGCCTCTCTAGCCTCTAACACAATGGTTTCTCAAACAGCCGAGACTTCCCCCCGCCCCAGGAGACATTTGGCAATATCTGGAGATGTTTTTGGTTGTCATAATTTCTGCTGGCATCTGGTAGGTGGAAGCCAGAGATGCTGCTAAACAACAAATTATCTGGTCCCAAAATGTCAGTAGGGCCACAGTAGAGAAGCCTGTCCTAACACAGTGTCCGATGCTGGTGCCCACTCAGGGCACGTTTGAGGAAGGAACACAAGCCTTGAGCCACAGCTCTATGTACCTGCTATTCCCATTGCCTGGAAGATCTTTCCCTCTTCCCTTCTATTTTAGCAAATTCCCTTTTCTCTTTTAAGACACAGACTCAATATCACCTTCAGGGACAGCCCCTCTCTACACCAGAGCTGGGATCCTCTCCAGGAAGCCCCAGGGCTCCTAGGGCTCCATACCCACGGTGATGCCAGCACTTACCCCACGACACTTGCTGGCTGGGCTAGTGCTGGGCTATAGTCTGCTCCCCAGTGGCTCATGAAGCCCACAGGAGACACAAACGCCATCTTGTTTATTTCTGTTTTCCAGAAGCTGGTACAAGGCCTAGAGCCTAGTTGGTTCTGGATAAATGTTTGCTTTAGATAGCTGACTGGATGGGTGGATGAGTGAATGGATGGATGGGTGGGTGGGTGGGTGGATGGATGGATGGATGGATGGATGGATGAATGGATGAGTGGATGGATGGATGAGTGGATGGATGGACAAGTGGATGGATGGATGGATGGATGGATATTTTGGTAAATGAATGGATAAATGAGTGAATAATGGATGGAGGGATGGATGGATGGATGAATTAATAGACATTTTGTAAATAAATGAATGGATAGATGAATGAATGGGTGGATGGAGGGATGGATGGGTGGGTGGATGGATGAATGGATGGGTGGAGAAGTGGGTGGATGGATGGGTGGATATATAAGTAGATGATAGATAGATAGATAGATAGATAGATAGATAGATAGATAGTAAGTCACGAGACCTGACTACAGTCTTTCATTTGCCCCATCATATCCGCTATATGACTCTTGAAAGGTCAAGTAGACTCTCTGGGATTGCTTCCCCAGAGAGAATGCAATGATTTGAGAGAGCAATGGTTTCTTTTCAAACTGTGTTGTGAGGCTCTTAAGAATTCCTGTTGTTGTTTTTTTTTCGATATTTTTATTTCTCCAAATTTGTTACTTATCAGGAGTGATTTGAAATAAAAAAATATAATTAAGTCTCATCATGATCATCATGGAAATAGCTTTAAGAGAAAACTGGGCCAGGCGTGGTGGCTCACGCCTGTAATCCCAGCACTTTGGAGGCTGAGGTGGGTGGATCACTAGAGGTCAGGAATTTGAGACCAGCCTGGCCAACATGGTGAAACCCCATCTCTACTAAAAATACAAAAATTAGCTGGGCATGGTTGTGGGCACCTGTAATCCCAACTACTTGGGAGGCTGAGGCAGGAGAATCACTTGAACCCAGGAGGTGGATTTTGCAGTGAGCAAAGATCATGCCATTGCACTCCAGCCTGGGTGACAGAGGGAGACTTCATCTCAAAAAAAAAAAAAGAGAGAGAGAGAGAGAAACTGGTCAGATGAATATTATTGCTTCCCATTTTCAACCAGTAAACTGTTGCCACTGATAAATTGACAGCCAGGAGTCTGTCAGGAATGCTCAAGCAATGTTATGTGATACAACACACCGGTCCACAGGCAGAATAAATCCTAGGAAATATGGCCCTGGGGCTGCCATAGGGAATGTCTTGGATACCTAAGAGAATGGTTGCCAGATAAAAGATAGTTACATTTAAATTTCAGAAAAACAACACTAATTTTTTAGTCTATGTTCTAAATATTGTGTGGGGCATGCTTATACTAAAAAAAAATTACTTGTTGTTTATCTGAAATTGAAATTTAACTGGGCGTCCTGCAATTTTACTTCCTACATCTGGTGATGCTACCTGAGATGGGAGGGGAGGAGAAAGTGAATGTCTCCATGTTTCTCTCATTTATATGGAGTTGGCCCTTTGTATCCGTGGGTTTTGTATCCATGGATTCAACCAACCATGGACTAAAAATATTTCAAAAGTAAAATAGATGGCTGCATCTGTTCTGAGCATGTACATACTTCTTTTCTTGTCATTATTCCCTAAACAGTATACCAATCATCTACATAGCATTTACATTGCATTCGATATTAGACATGATCTGGAGAGGGTTTAAAGGGTACAGGAAGATGGGCATAGGTGCTATGCAAACACTACACCAGTTTCTGTCGAGGACTTGAGCATCCCTGGAGTTTGGTATCTTTGGGGTTCCTGGAGCCAATCCCTCAGCAGTACTGAGGGACAGCTATACTGTGTAAAGCTCTGATGCAAAATTTGAAAACTGCTGGCAGAAAGGAGCTCCAGGTCCTTCGTAGCAGCCCCCAGGACCTGTGAAGCTGGTGGAAGGAGCCCTTGCCCCATATAGCGCGGCAAGCCACAGAGGCATTCTCGGACACTGGAGCCCACCCTACCCAGCCCTGTTCTATGCTGAGGCCTCTTCTTCCAGTCCCGCCAGATCTCCAGCTGGTTTCAAGGGCAGAGGAGGAACCTGGGTCTGGAGCTCCCGAGGACAGTTCCAGGCCCCTTTGCCTGCAGCCGTGCTCCACTTTGAGAGGACAGGTAGAGTAATTGACTAAAAAGCCAACGGCAAGAAGCCATCACAAAGCCCTGTGTGTCTGTGAATTTTTACTCACCCCAGGAAACCAACAATTAAAGGTTTGCAAAAATCACTGGCCTCTGAAAAGAGTTCCAGCTGGAAGGCCAAGCAGTGTCAGAAAGCCTAAGCTTAGCAAGGTGGCTGCCTGTGGGCACAGACAGGCCAGCGGGAGGCCCGTCGGCCTCCTCAGTTACGGGAACAGAGGCCAGAATGAGCTGGCAGCCCGGCTGCCCCCGCCCGGCCCTCCACAGCCAGGTCCTCCCCAGCCCAGCTCTCCCAATCCTGGCTCCCCTAAGCCCGGCTCCCCACAGCCAGGCCCTTCCCAGTTGGTCATCCCCACCTGAGGGCTCGGGCCTGACACCTGTGACCACGTGTCCCTTCTAGAAGCCCCTGGATTTCTGAAACCAAAGCTCTGACAGATGCTCCCTTTGGCAGCTGTAAATACCTGCAGAGGCCCTGCTCTGTGCCAGGGGCTGTGCTGCGAGGCACCCGCACCTGGCCCCTGACCCCAGGAGAGTCTCAGCAGCGCTTCAGGGTGAGCCGGAGCGGGACTCAGCTTGAGAAAGCTTGGGAGGCTTTCCTGAGGAGGCGGCTTCTAAGCCAGGTCCTGAAAAAGAATTCTGGCCAAGTGTTGGGAGAGATGGGGGCTACAGCAGGCGGCCTGACACTGGAGGAGGCCGGGAGCTCAGGAATGGAGAAGGATGCTCTAATCTGCAGATGGCCCTGGTGTGGGGGTGAGGGAGGAGGAGGCGATGACCCCCTTTTCCTGACTTACGGGGTTGGGTGGGTGGGAGCTGTGGCCTGGATTGCAGGAGTCTAGGGAGGACGGCGCTTGGAGAAATATTCCGAATGCACTGAGTTCAGTCCTCTCACAGCCTCCTGAGGGGCCTGCCCAGAGAGCGGAGGATGCTCCCCACCCCTCCAGGTGCACAGCCTGACCACCCCCACCGCCGATAGAATCGCATGGGGAGCTTTGGGGAAGCCCAGCCCCAGGCCTCACCATCAGGGTCTGGGGCAGGGGCCAAGCATGGGTGGTTTTCACAGCTCTCCCCAGATTCCAGCGTGCGGCCTGAGGTAGGTGGATGCTGTGGCCCCGTGGGAACTGACCCATGGCTGGACAGATGCTGGTCAAACATCCCAGCCCTTCTTCCTCAGGCCCACGGACAAATGATGAATGCTGTGTGTCTGTCTTCCTGGTTACACCCCCAGGCAAGCCAGGAGCAGCCAACGTGACCCTCCCTCTGGGCAGCCCAAACCCAGATCCTCCCTGCCAGGGTCTGGGTCCCCAAGGCACCTCCCTCCCAGCCCCCCAGTCCTGTTTCCCTCAGCTGCCACCAGCACTTAGGTTGAAGGCAGCTGTCACTCTCAGCGTGGGTTTCCCTCCACTGTCCCTATTCTGGGACTGAATGGTCTTTCTCTGCTGAGTTGGAGGTAATGAGAAGCAAGCCTGACATTGAAGGTCTGCTTGCCCTGAATAGACAAATCAAACCCGGATCCAGCCAGGGCTTTCGCTTTGCAGGTGTAGATAAGCACCCACAGTTAAAGTGGGATTCACAGCACCAGAAAGGTTATCCAAAAATCGACTTAATAACAGATGTGGTATGCAATTATTATTTTTCTTTGGGATCTTTAAAATTCCTTCTCACAGAGATATTTTTGCTTGGTCAAAAATATCCTTCAGGAGCACAGAAACTCATTTACATTATAGTGGAGACGTGGGCCTCGCAGCCTTGGCTGGCAGTGTGACCAGGGTGGGCTTCTGTGGGGTGGAGCTGCGGTGTGTGCTGGGGGCGCTGAGGGGCCGGGATGTAGGATCCAGGATCCAGGGAGCAGGGCACCCCTCCGCCTCTCTCCCCTCCCCCAGCCCAAAGGTGAGCAAGAACCCAGAACCCACAGGAAAACAAAGGAGCTAAAATCAGCCCTGGAGGTGCTGCCAAGAGCAGAGGAAAAGAACAAGAGGAATTATCTTCGAGAAAGAGCTGGGCGACCTTTCAGCAGGTGTGAAGCTCAGCCCAGGCTTCCGGTGTTTTGGGTTGAATAAAGGGATGAGGCAGTCCTAACCTCCGATACTCCATAATATGGCCTTATTTGGAAATAGGGTCTTTGCAGATGTAGTTAGTCCAGATGAGGTCATCCCGGAGTGGGTGGGCCCTAATCCCATGTCACTGGTGTTCCTATGAGGGGAGAGAGGCACAGAGATACATGGCTCCATGACATTGGAGGCAGAGGTTGGCCCCAAATTGCCAGCAGCCACCAGGAACTGGGAGAGGCAGGGGAGTGATTCCGCTTCAGAGCCTCTAGAAAAAGCCCACTCTGCTGCCATTTGCTCTAGGCCTTCTGGCCCCCAAGACTGTGAGGGAATGAGTACCTGCGGGTCAAGCCGCAGGCCTGTGGGACTTGGCTCAGCAGGCCCAGGACACTGGTGCACCTGGTCTCTCCACCCCGCAGCAAGGTTGGGCCTGTCCATCTCTGGCTGCACCTTGGGGGTGATTCACTGGCACCCCCGTATTACCCATGCTGCTCTCCTCCTGACCAGAACGGTGGTCCCTGCCCTTCTGTCTCCTCTCAAGGGGACTCCAGGGCTTCCAGGAAGGAACGCCGCCATCTCCAGCAGCCAAGAGAGCCAAGCTCTGAGCCGGATTCCCCGCTTCCCAGTGCAGCAGGCCATCTGTGTGGCAAGTCCCCTAGACTCTCAGCCACAGTCCCTTCACCTGCAGAGAGGGGCCATGAGCACACAGGAGTGTTGCAAGCTTGCCAACCCACAGGCCGCAGGTGACATGGCCCAGGACGGCTTTGAATGCCACCCAACAAAAATTCGTTAAACTTTCTTAAAACAGTATGAGATTTATGTATAGGCCTTTTTTTTTTTTTAACTCATCAGCTACCACTCGTGTTAGTGTATTTTATGTGTGGCCCAAGACAATTCCTCTTCTTCCACCGTGGCCCAGGGAGGCCACAGATTGGATACCCCGGTTTACAGGATGGAAGGGAACAGTGGGAGGGGCCTCTCCCACCTCCGTGGCCAGGCGCCCACCGACTCCCCCTGGAGACGGAACCCTGTTTCCTGTTCCCCACGTCTGGGAGGAGCAAACACAGCGCAGGAGCGGGCCCCAATGGCCCCAGCCCCTAAGGCCTCACTCCAGAGCCTCCTGCCCTGAAGGTGTGGGGCCGGAAGTTGGCAGCAGGGGCCCTGAGTGGTGGGGTCAGTGTTGGGAAGGACCGAGGGAGACTCTCTCACGCTCACCTGCCCCTAAGCTTCGTTGCTGCAGATTTTCTACTCCAGAAACGAAGCTGTTTACTCCACATCCTTGTGACACAGGGCAGGTGAGCCCTAGCTGGGAATCAGCCTGGGAGGGATTTTTACTTTGCCCGGGAAATAATTCACGGGTGAGCCAGTGGTGGAAGAAACCCACTTTATGGATGTGGCAGTGTCACAGGTGTCAGCTCTGAGCGTGTCACAACTCCGTGACTGCTCCTGCAGAGCTGGGCTCCCCACTGGTGGAGTGCTAAGAGCGGCAGCTCCAGGCAGCCCTGCAGCCATACGGATGCTTACTTTTAATTGCATGCAGATTAAGGGGCGGCATATGCAGAAATGTCTAGGAAAAGGGTAGTCACTTCTGGGTCATTGTCATTGCCATGAAAAGGGACTGCCAGGTGTTGCCATGGCAACAGTACACACTGGTGGGTGTGTCTGATGGAAAGCTGCTTCTACCCTGGCCCTGTTTTAGCTAGTTCCCAATTGGGTCTGGTGGCCAAGCCCCGCCTCCAGAGTCCAGTCCCACCTCCTACCTCACTTGGAGAGAATGTGGAAGGGGCACACTCCTTGAGAAGTGACAGGGCGACTTAGGACCACTTCACCCTCGGGCACAACTTGTACCAAAGCAGGGTGTAGTGGGGTGAGGGTGGGTCCAGAAGGCTAGGGGCCTGAGGGTCTGGCTCACTCAGGAGCACCCACCTGTCTCTGGCACTGCCCCCACCTCTGACAAGCTTCCCTCCATGGGCCAGTGTCATCTCGAAGAGAAACTGTGATCACTTAATTTTGTTTAAATGAATTCCCTCCACCTGCCCTGTCCACGAATGCTAGTTGAGTGAGAAGAGACATGGGTTAGTAACAGACAAGCCAGCCACCTCCTCCATGCTCCTGGTTCCGTAGCAGGGGACTGGGTAGGTCCTGGCTGCACTGAGCTACTTACTGGTAAAGAGGGCAGTGAAGCCTCTCAAGTGAAACCACTCAAGCGAAACCACTCAAGCCTCAGGCTCAGGGCGGTTCTCGAGGGGAGGCCCAAGCCCAGTGGTAGCCCTGGCTTGTTAGAGGTGCAAACCCTTGGCCCCCGACCCATGGAGGCAGAATCTGAGGGTGGGGCTGGCATCTGCTCAGGATCCCCCGGGTGCTTCTGACACTTGCTCCCAGGGATCCCCTGCCTGCCTTGTTTCACACCTTGTTTTGTGCACAAGGGGACTTCATGACGCCATCCCTCCAGCTCTCAAAGGACGGTCCCCAATGCAGCCCTGGAAGGTGGCTCAACAAAAAAGACCCCCATGAGGCCAGGCCTGGAGCTCCAGTGGCCCAGAGCACTGTAGGCTAAACGCAGATGTGACCACTGGAGTGAAAGCTGGAAGAGCAAATCCAGAAAGCCAAGCCTTCCTGTAAGCCTCAACAGCCAACCGGATCGGCTGAAGAGCAATTAGGAACTCAACCGACAGCTCACATCTGAGCCCAATCAGAACAATGCAGCTAAGCAATAGTGGCCCAGTGAGCCCCTCTCCACCTACCCAAAGAGCCCAGAGATCAGGGGGTCCTAGCAGTCCCCAAGACCAAACTGTCTGCACAAGCCACAGATGGATAAGTGGTGCTATTTGCCCCACCCATAACTAGTTGACAAGGTAGGAAGTCAGTTTAGGAGATCTGGTGGTAATGGTGAAGTTTATGCCCTTGGAGCCATGGGGACCTGGGTTCAAATCCTGACCCTGCTGTTCCTAGCTCTGTGAACTTGAGAAAGACAGTAGCCTCCGTTTCTTTGTCTGAAATGGGAATCTGGGGATGAGGGGAAGGCAATGCCCCTCCACCCATGCACATCATCAGGACCATTTGAGATAGGAAACAATACCTATCTCATCTGATCCTTGTCAGTAATTAAATAGTGCATGTGAAACGTTTGGTGACAGCTCTGTCATGGCTTGCCAAGCATCTTGGATTTTGAGTCAATGATCTCACTTCTTCCACCCAAGGAAGGTTCAGGACACTTTCCACCCAAGCCTCCACCAGAACCTAAGCTTCATCTGCATCTCAAAATCAGCACTGGCCAGCAATGGGCTTCTGACTCATTGGAGTAAATGGTCTACCTGTCAGTAAATTAAGTTTCAGATTCAAAGATAATCTAAGAATCAGAATTTCATGCTGCTAGAGCAATGCCCTTTGACTCCCAGACCCAAAGGCTGACAGCTGAGTAGGAACCCAGCTCCTGAAGCGGTGGGAGGGCCAGAGGGTCTGGGGAGCGGGGAGCAGAGAGATAGGAGAGGCACACAGAGAGAGGTGGGCTGGGAGCAGCCGGAGGGCCCAGGCCCATGCAGGGCATCTCCAGTAGCCTTGCTCTTCTCAGATCCTGTGTGTGGGGCCCAGGGAGGGGACTGGTGTCTGCAAAGTCCCTGTAGACCTGTCACCAGCATCTCCTATCGTCAGCATCTTGTATGACCAGGTACGTTGGTCACAACCAGAAAAGCAACATTGCTGCAATGCTATCATTAATTAAACTTCAGACCTGATTTGAATTTCACTAATCTTTCTTCTGAGGTCCCTTTTCTGTCCAGGACACCACAGGACATTGTGTCGTCTCGGTTTCCTCCTGGCTGTGGTGGTTTCTCAGCCTTTCCCCATCTGTGATGACCTTGACAGTTTTGAGGGATGCTGTTTAGGTGTTTTTTTTATTTATTTATTTATTTTTTTTTTTTGACACAGAGTCTTACTCTGTTGCCCAGGCTGGAGTGCAGTGGTGCAATCTCTGCTCACTACAACCTCCACCTCCTGGGTTCAAGCGATTCTCCTGCCTCAGCCTCCCGAGTAGCTGGGATTATAAGCACCTGCCACCATGCCCGGCTAATTTTGTATTTTTAGTAGAGACAGGGTGGGTTTTACCATATTGGGCAGGCTAGTCTCAGACTCCTGACCTCAGGTCACCTGCCCCTTGGTGGGGCTCTGTCTGCTGTGTTTCTCACAGGTAGACTGGGTGATGGGTTTGGGAGGAGGAGCAGGAAGGCAATGCCCCTCCACCCACGCACATCAGCAGGATCATGTGCCGTCCACTTGACTCTCACTGCTGACACTGGCCTTGGTCACTGGCAGAGGATGTGCACGTCACGTGTCTCCACCATGGAGTTACTTATCTTTTTCCAAAAGGGAATGTTAGTGTTTCCTATGGACTCGGACTCAATGGGGAAGGAGCCTGTCACTGGGCCCAGAGATGTCACTGAGACGTGCTGTTTGCCTGTTCTTACCTGTTCAGGAGGGTGCTGGTATCTGCAGAGGCCACCACCCCAGAGGCTCCTAGGAAGCTCCTCCAACCCCTGCCCTATCTCCGTCTCCTCTCTGTGGGACACAGACTCTCCCCAGGCCTGAGAGGAAGGGGCAGCAGAACTGGCCATCTGCCCTGGGGTCCTCAGCCTCCCTCTCGTGAGGCCTCAGCCAGGGGCCCAGCCTCACAGGTGGACTCCGTGCAGGGGCCATTTGTCAGAGACGAGGGGAGAGAAATGGAGCTGAAACCAGTCGGCAGGAAGCCAAGGGAGGCAGGTCTGTGGCTTCGCTGCCCTTTTCAAATATTTATTTCTCAGCCCTGCCATTCTTCACTTTCAAGGGGCCTATATCTTAAAAATGGGTGCTTGATTTAGTGCTAATGAGGGCAACTGTCTAAACCACCACGAGCCCTGATTTTAATTAAAATGACAAAGACGGGTGGGCCAGGAGCTGAATGTCCTGTTTCCCTCTGGCCCTTAGAGAGAAAGGAACAGGACATCTGGATTTAGGAATCCAGTCCTCACCGGGGGCCCAAAGTCAGACTTCCTCTTGGGGAGCAGGGGACGTCCCCACTTCTTTCCCTCCAGGAGCCCTGAGGCCAGGCTGTGAGGGACCCCGCACCATGCTCCTGGCCCCTTTCCCGCCTCCCCCGCTCTGTCTCCCTCCTTCCCTTCCCCTTTCTGGGCCTGGGTGGATCTTTTCCAGAATCCTCTTCCTTCTCCAAAATGATGGCGGTCCCCGGAGAAAAGCCCCAGTGCCACTTTGGGGTTTGGTTCATGTTATGGGCTGGGTGTCTGTGTTCCCCCAAATTTGTATGTTGAAGTCCTAGGCCCCCAGGACCTCACAATGTGAGAGTATCAGAGATAGCGTCTTTTCAGAGGTCACTAAGGTAAAATGAGGTCTTCAGGATGAGCTCTAATCCATTGTGACTGGTGTCCTTAAAAGAAGAGGAGATTAGGACACAGAAGCCCACAGAGGGATGACCACATGAGGACGCAGGGAGAAGACGCCATCTGCAAGCCCAGGAGAAAGGCCTCAGGAGGAACCAGCCCTGCCTCCACCTGCACCTCAAACTTCCAGCCTCTGGGACTGTGAGGAAATCAATCGAGTGTGTGGTTAAAGCTGCACAGCCCTTGGATTTCATTCCGGCGCCCGAGCTGCGTCACAGGGGTCCGGAGAGTGTGGTTAAAGCTGCACAGCCCGTGGGATTTCATTCCGGCGCCCGAGCTGCGTCACAGGGGTCTGGAGAGTGTGGTTAAAGCTGCACAGCCCGTGGGATTTCATTCCGGCACCCGAGCTGAGTCACAGGGGTCCCGAGTCTGCACTGTTCATGCCTGATCATGTTCTACATCCTCCAGCCTGGACGTGTAGACCCTTGGTCTGCCTTTACCAAGGATCCTATTAAGCCAGCTCAGCACGAATCCCCTGCTCTTGCTGTCTACGGGAGCTCCTCTTAATCATTTTCCACCCACCGTCCCTCACTCTGCTTACCTGCTGAACATCCCCAGCTGTCTGTCTATTCAGAATTGAGCTCAGTTCCACACTAAAATCTTTTCCTCCTACTGCGGGAGCTCAAATAAAATCAGCCTGAAACACAGTGAACAGCAGAGCTAAGGGTGGCCCCTGTTGAAGGGCTGGGGCGCTGCCTCTGGGGGCATCTTCATTAGACCCCCGGGAAGCAGGTATCTTCTACTTTTACAGAGTAACACGAGATTTCTGTTTTCCACTCACCTTCCTGAGAAGTGTTGTGTGTGTGAAGGCCCAAGGTGGCCTTATTCCTCTCTTCTTGGTAAGGTTTTATTGAAGTCCACTGGGGAATTTGGGGCAGCAGGACTCAGGCGGGGGTCTCATCCCAGAGCCGAGGAAGACAGACACAGTGGTCACAGGAAAGTGCACATGGTTGCAAGCAAGCAACAGGAGCAACGCTCACCTTTCCTGGCATCTGCTTCTTTCTGAGGAGGCGCCAGTCCCAAGGGAGAAGCCCACTGGTGCACGGCGTAGGTTGTCCTCCCGAGCCTGTCGCAGGACACATGCGTGGGCTGGACCAGGCATTGCCAGATAAAAATGCAGGACACCCTGTTGAACGTGCATTTCAGCCGCTGACCCAGCAGTTCCACTCCTGCATCCACACCCAAGAGAAACAAAGGCAGAGGCCTCACAAAAACGCGCACTTGGAGATTCACAGCAGCTCCATTCGTAAGAGCCCAAAGGCAGGAACAGCCAGAGGCCCGCTGTCAGTTACAAAATGTGCACCAGACGCTTGTTAAAAACAGCAAGACAGATTTTATTCCAGCTACCCCAATAGGAGGAAAGGGCTTTAGTGTGGAACTGAGCTCAACTCTGAGTAGACAGAGGCAGCTGGGGATGTTCAGCAGGTCAGCAGAGTGAGGGGCAGTGGGTGGAAACTGATGAAGAGGAGCTCCCTTAGACGGCGAGGGCAGGGGATTCGTGCTGAGGGGGCCTAACAGAATCCTTGCTAAAGGCAGACCAAGGGTCCAGATGTCCAGGCTGGAGGATGTAGAACATGTCAGGCATGAAGAGTGCAGGATTCTCAGCAAATAGGTTTAGCATGACTTTTGCTAAAGCTGGGAATGGCAGGTGAAGGGTGGGGTGGCAGACCGACGTCAGAGGACCCTGATAGGGAGGAAGTCTTTGTCACCATACTCTGATGAGTGGATGACAAAAATACTGTCTAACACAATGGAACGCTGCTCAGCCATAGGAAGGAACGGAGTTCTGACGCTTGGTGCAACACGGGTGGACCTGGAACGCGTGGTGGGTGCAAGAAGCCAGTCACAAAGACCCCATTTTATGGGATTCCATTCGAGTGAAATGTCCGGAT
Organism: Homo sapiens; assembly: GCF_000001405.40. Taxonomy (NCBI): domain Eukaryota; kingdom Metazoa; phylum Chordata; class Mammalia; order Primates; family Hominidae; genus Homo; species Homo sapiens. The sequence goes on from NC_000009.12 coordinate 135,016,165, forward strand.
GTGGAAACCCACAGGGACGTGCAGCCAGGCAGGGGTCGCTTAGGGCTGAGCGGAGCGGGGATGGGCAGTGACAGGCGACAGGGGTGGGGCTTCTTTTTGAGGGAATGAAAATGTTCTCAAATTGCCTGTAGTGATGGCTGCACTTATCCATAAATATGCTACAAAACCATTGAACTGTGCACTCTAATGGGTAATTGTACAGTATGTGAATATATCTCAATAGAGCTGTTTATAAAAAGGTTAGCTGGGGAGACACCCACACCACACATTCACCCACATGCCAGGGCATGCAGTGACAGCTGCTTCCTCTTCTTGGCGTCATCATCCTCCTGAAAATAAGACTTGAATTCCAGATAAATGAAAATTTTGTTATTTACTATAAACATGTCCCGTAAAATACTTGGGACATGCTAATTAGCCACAGAGGGAGACCCTTCTACTCCCTAGGCATCAGAAACTGGCCCCTCTTCCCACAGGCAATAAAAACAACAACGTATCAATAACAACTCATAACAGCCTGAAACACAGTGAATAGCAGAGCTAAGGGTGGCCGCTATTGAAGAGCTGGGGCACTGCCTCTCGTGGCATCTTCATTAGACTCCTGTGAAACAGGTGTCGTCTTCTTTTATAGAGTAGGTAGAGTAGGAAGAGGGAGCTTAGAGAGGTTGCACTTTGCCAGCATGTACGCACTCTTAAGCGATGGGCTGAGATTAAACAGGCTCATTAGAGCCTCTCACACAATTAGGAAAACGGGCTCACACCCAGCTGGGGGCCCAGATTGTGCAGGGACAGGGTAGAGGCCACGGGCTGCAGGCCCACAAGTCTACTGTGCACCTGCTCGTGGATGGAGCCCAAGCGTGGACAGCTCGGATCTCCTCCTCATGGACCTCACAGAGCAGGAGGTGCCAGGACAGGAGCCGAGATGCTGAGCTTGCCCACAGGTCCCTGTGAGGACGCAGCTACCCACCCAGCAGTCCCTGAGTCCCTTCTCAGCCTTCCCAGACCAGAGTTGAATTCCCAAACCTGGAAAGTGTGGTAGAGCTCCAGGGGAACCGGTCAGGCTGATAACTGCAAAGTCCTCAAATCGCAATGACTCTTAGGAGCCTGCGGCTAATTTGCAGGCAGCTCCAAGGTGGCTTCTGGGAGGGGCAGGTCTGGGCCTGCCAGGAGCTGCCTGCGTGGGTCTGGGGTCCAGAGGACAAAGCCCCTGGTTGGGCTTTGAGGCTCTGCAGCACTAAATGCCCCCATTGTTTTTTGCTGTTGTTGTTGTTGAGACGGAGTCTCCCTCTGTCACCCAGGCTAGAGTGCAGTGGCACAATCTTGGCTCACTGCAACCTCTGCCACCCATGCTCAAGTGATTCTCTTGCCTTAGCCTCTCTAGTAACTGGGATTACAGGCACATGCCACCACCCCCGACTAATTTTTTGTATTTTTAGTAGAGACGGGGTTTCACCATCTTGGCCAGGCTGGTCTTGAACTCGTGACCTCATGATCCACCCGCCTCAGCCTCCCAAAGTGCTGGGATTAAAGGAGGCAAGCAGCTTTTCTTCAGGAAGTACTGCCAGACCTCCATGAAGGGAAAGGAAAATGAAGACATAAGTGATTTTCTGAAAAGCATCTATTAGAGAGAGGTGGCGGGAGAGAGAGAGAGAGGCCAGTTCTGCTGACAGCTGAGATCCTTTCTATATTTGCAGAAACCTCATCTGGGAAATCCCTCGTCTGGGTTGGTTCTCTGTGTGTCCCATCACTTTCATCTTGTGGCTGGATGTATGGAAGGGAGGGAGGGGGAGGAAGGAGGGGAACTGACTCTGGAGTCCACAGGCAATCGGATGAGTAAGGAAGGAAGGCTAACAGCCTGAGTTAGGAGTTCACTGCCATCCTCTTGTGCAGTGAAGTAAATAAGTGCTTAGAGAAGTGAAGCAACTCAAAGCTAATGTGTGCACTAAGTAACACGGGTGAATCCAAACCACTGCATCACTCCAAACCACGTGCTTCTGAGCCCATGATATCTTGATAATAAATTCCTTGAAAACAACTACACATCTCTTTCTAAGACAGCACTTGGTGTATAGTAGGTGCAGCATTACCAGCACAGTCACCCACGGGCCCTCCCCCAAGCCACATGCACCATCCACCACCACAGGAACCCACAGGCCCTCCCCCTTGCCACGTGCACCATCATCATCACCACAATCACCCACGGGCCCTTCCCTGTGCCAGGTGCACCGTCACCATCACCATAGTCACCCACAGGCCCTCCCCCAAGCCAGGTGCACCATCACCATCACCACAGTCACCCACGGGCCCTCCCCCATGCCAGGTGCATCATCATTATCACCACAGGCACGCACGGGCCCTCCCCTGTGCCAGGTGCACTGTCACCATCACCATAGTCACCCATGGGCCCTCCCCCAAGCCAGGTGCACCTTCACCACCACCACAGGCACCCACAAGGCCCTCCCCCGTGCCACGTCCACCATCATCATCACCACAGTCACCCATGGGCCCTCCCCTGTGCCAGGTGCACCTTCACCACCACCACAGTCACCCACGGGCCCTCCCCTGTGCCAGGTGCACCATGATCACCAGGGTTACCCACTGGCCCTCCCCCGTGCTACGGCTCTGGTTGTCCCACATTTGGGGCTGCCTCCCTTCTCGGGTCAGACTCTTCACTTCTTTGAATCACGACCAGATGAAGATTTGTGATTATCAAAGCAATTGGTCAAAGGGGCCCACCTACCTTTTAATCCCAGTTAATTACATCACCCAGAGAATGTTACCAGACCACACAGAGCCCTCTGCCTGAGCTGCAGAAACTTACCTTGTCCAGAGATCCTGGGCTGAGGCCCAGTGCCATCTTACCGTCAAAGTGATTGCGGATGAACGAGGATGGAGGGGTTGCCTATGGTCTTTCTCCCCAGGTCCCCGTTGCTTGGGTCCTATCCCCCTTGCTTTTTGCCAGGCTACCCTCTCGGGAGACAGATGAAGAGTAGGGGGAGGCTATAACTCCCTCTTAAAATGACCTTTTCCAGGGGTGGCACTTTGAGACCCTCAGTGGCAGAATTACTTACAACCTCTCAATGGTGAGTCTTCATCAGCCCCTCCTGCCAAAGCCCCTGAGTGGCCCTTAGATCTTTCCCTAAATAGACCAGGGAGCTGAGGATGGCTAAAATGCGGGCACTCAAGCCTGAGTGTGGAACCTGAGTGAGGACCTGCATCTCTGGCCATCCACGGCCACCCACGGCCACCCTTGCCAGCCCAGACTTGCAGGAGAGCTCCAGGGAAGACGGTGGCACCATCGCCCCTGCCCTCTGCTCCTGCAAGGATGTTCCAGGGATGTCCAGCAGGGAGTCCTGTCTCCAGGTCCTGGGCCCCCTTGAGCTGGGCTGGAGATGGGGACTCTCAGATCAACTGGAAACCCAGTGGCCACATCATAAGCAGATGGGAGCAGGTGATGTAAGCATTGCTATCGCCCAAGCCATGGAGCTCTTTACTCCACAGCCAGTGGGCATCACTGGGTGAAGAAATGGAATCTGCCTGAGTGTGGATGAGAGGAAGTCGATTTGAGGGCTGGGGATGGGCTGTGAGGTCCCAGCAGAAACTGCAGCTGCCAGGATGTGGGGTGAGTCCTGGCCCCTCTGTGGTGGCCACCCATACTTCAGGGTCCTTGTCTGTCAGGTGGGACAAATGTTGCAGCCGCCCCCACCCTACTGCTATGAAGAGCTAAAGAAATAGCAGCGGTGCAGGCTCTGGACGCTGGAAAGCTCTGCACTTACGGGAGGTGTGATTGCATCTATTTATTACCTGGGAAGTCCCTTCCAGCCAAATCCATTTCAAACCAATTAAACTGAACAATGGCCGCAGAGATTATAGGATGGAAACCTATGAGACTGTTTCTCTTGGGCTTCGGGGTCTGCTTTTGTGGGGCTCCTCCTGAGTCTACTCAGCCTGCCTGAGGTCAGCTGAATAATGACCTCCAAAGTTACCAGGTCCCAATCCCCAAAACCTGCAAATGTTGCCTTATATGGAAACTGGGTGTTTGGAGTGTGATTGAAGCTGTTGAAATGGGAGGAGATCCTGGATCATACAGGTGTGTCCAATGTTAAGATGAGGGTCCTTATCAGAGGGAGCTAGTGGGAGAGGTGATGCCATGTGAGGATGGACACAGAGGTTGGAGGGACGTGGCCACAAGCTAAGAAATGCCTGGAGTCCATAGAAGCTGGAGGAGGCAGGAAGGATCCTCCCCTAGAGCTTCTGGAGGGAGCACGGGCCTGTGACACCTCCCTCTTGGCCTCTGGCCTGCAGAACTGGGGGAGAATCAATCTGTGTTGTTCTGAGTCCCTCGTGGTGGGGTCGTTTGTTGCAGCAGCCGCATCGAACATGTGTGGAGAAGCCTGGACTGGACATCTTCCCTGTCCCCATGGCCCCAGGGGTCCCAGCTTCAGTCCTGGATGTCTGAGGAGATTGTCCCCAGGGCCCAGGATGTGCAGGGTCCCCGGGGCTGCCCTGGGCAGTTCTCCACCTGCTCGGATGGGTCTGCGGCTCCCGTTGGTTGATGTTTCTTCTGCTGGGCCCCGCCAACTCCTCCACTTCCTTAGGAAATGGTGACCTCAGCCAAGCCTGTTTTCTGGTGATTTCTGAGGTGTGAAAAAGAGGGTGTTATGCACACCAGAGCTGAAACTTGCTCCTAAAATAAGACCCAGGAAAGTCTTGCAGTCACTGGAACCCCGTGCAAGCGACTGCTTGTCTACTGAGCCCCAGGGTGTGCCTTGCGTCCACGGGTGTTTCAGGCAAAGCTCTGCACAGCCACTCAACTCTCTCAGTCCCAAAATGTCTCAATTTGCTAGACCGGTTCAGTGGAGAACGAGGGAGGGCACTTTGTTCTCAAGATCTACGGGCTGGGCCGGTGGCTGCCCCTCAGCCCTGTTATCCTGCAGAGGAGCCCACAGTTGCTGTAAACAGCCCCCAACTCCCCTCGGGTGAATGAGGGGTGAGCAGTTGGACACGCTGGGCGGAACAGGATGGGCTGAGCTCCAGGGCCCAGAACCTTCCAGCTTGAGGGCCGTGGGGTTGTGGTGGACAATGGCGCATGCATCAGACTTCAGGGCAAAGCACTCCAGGGCAGCCACCGGATTCAGGTCACATGCCCTCCACCCTCAAGTCTCTGGAGGTGGGTGACACTCATGCATGGTTGCCCTGGGTCAAAGGGGTTTCTATGGCCCCGAATGTCCTCCTGAAGACCCTGCCTGTTTCTTACACAGCCGTTTCTGGGTCCTCCACTCAACACCCGGTAACTGAGCAGCTGTGACACGCCAGGTCCAGCTCGGGGCTGGACACAGCTGGACTTGCATGGTCCTGGTCCCTCCTCTGCCCTATGGGCTTTGCAAGCAGCAGCTCAGAGATCAACCCCACAGTCCGCCCTGGGACTCCTGCTCCAGCCCCTGCAGGCCTCCTCTGGCCTTGGCTCAAGGCAGTAGTGGCTACAGTGCCAGGCAGGGTGACCCTCAAGCTTCGCCTGGGACACCATGGAGCAGCTGCTGGTGCTGGGCTTGGAAGAGGCTGAAATAATAATTTGCACTCCCCTTCCCGTAAGCCCCATCTGACCGGGGAAAAGGTGGTTTAATGGCTTTTTGCTGGGCCAGAATTTCCAGAAAGCTTCTTCTCGATTGGATTCTGCACTTTTATCTCTTAAGCCCCAGAGTTTTGTGAGTGTACGAAGGGATGGGGGAAAAGCTCGACTTAATTTTGCGTGGATGCCTTTTTTCCTGTATGAAGTCAGGTTTTACATGAGTTAACTCGAATACGATGATAATCAAAAGCCTTTGGTTAGAAGCCTCTTTCCTCCACAGATTTCAAAGCATTTTCATGCAGAAATACAGGGATTTCTTGGCGGATCGGACTCTCCCAGCAGGCTATCCATCATCTTTGTGCACTCAGAATAACAATCATTACAGCAATAATAATAATATCAGCTCCCATTTGTATAGCGCTTTATGGCTTACGAAGCACTTACACATCTTTCCTCTCATTGCATCCCTGCAGAAACCCCAGAGAAGGATGGGAGAGGCATTCGGGCTCATGCTGTGAAGGAGACGCGGGCAGGCCCTGGGGTAGAGATAGGCCTCAGGGTGCATCCGGAGGCCTTCAGGCCCCTCCACCAGGACTGCCTCCGCCCCACCAGTGACCCAGAGCTGATCTCAGCCCCACTCCATGCTCTGCTACCCAGGGCTTCAACACCCAACTTCTCTTGGCCTTCCTGGGTCTCCTCCCACTTCTCTGACCTTCCTCCTCGGCCTTTCTCATGAGAGCCACCCCCGACTTCCGGCAACACCCTGGAGACTGGTTGGCAGTGGGGTTGAAGGCAGGCGCCACAGTGGCCCAGGTCCCTGGGGACACCCCGTTCGAGTGGTGCCAGCCTCCAGGTCAGAGCCAAAACACCTTGGAAAGCACCTGGCCCGTTTCAGATATGGGGAAAGCAGAAAGAGACAGACCAAGAACTGCGGGTCCCTGGACTTCCCACAGCTCACGCAGCACTCCAGGGTCCAGGGTGCGCCCAGCTGAGCTCACTTGCCTGTGCCGAGGCTGTGCCCTATGACATTGTAAACCAGAGTGTTCCCCCAACTTCCCATTGGCTTACCCTGCATTTCAGGGCCCACGGTGCACCCCAGCTGCGCTCACCTGCCTGTGCTGAGGCTGTGCCCTATGACATTGTCACCCTGGGTGTTTTGGGAGGATACACAAATGGTAGGACATTGTGTGGAGAACAAAAGATATATCTCTTAATATGTGCAATGGGACCCCTGTTCTATAAACAAACAAAAACTACTCGATTGTAAAAAAGAACGGAAGGAAGCGCGTGAGCTGCTGTGAGGACCAACCCCCAGAAGCAGTGGGGAGAGGCAGAAGAGCCAGGGGGCTTGGATGTGATCTCAGCTGCACGATGGGATCGCAGACAGGCCACCTCAGCTCTCTAGGCCTGAGTCTCCTTGCCAGTAAAGTGAGGCTCAGAAGGCCCTCACTGAGAATCACTTGCTCAGTTTTTGGAAAAATTACAGGATGATTGGAAGATTACATGTGTGCCCAGCATGGTGTGTGTCTCACAGGTACACGCCCTTCATCCCCAGCAGCTACAGTAATGATCTTTGCTTGGTGAGATTACGGCCACTTACTTTCTTTTTTACACCATGTCTGTATTTTCTCAACTTTCTATCATGGCTATGTGTTATTTTCATAATCAGGAAAACAATAACCATATTGAAACCTAGCTACAGTCACCATCCACCATGGTTCTGATGGGAGGTGTCTGCGCATGCCTGCTTCCCTGCCAGAGAGAGGAATTTCATGCCACAAGACCTCAGCCCTGCAAAAGGAGCCTCCTCAGCCCCGGGGGCACTTTCTGGAAAGGAGCCTGGTCTGTGCCTCTGTCCTGCTGGCAGCAGCTTTCCGGCCTTTCTTGCTAATCAGGACCTGTGACTCATTATTGTGTTTCTGAAGAGAACACCTCACCCCTTCAGAGTGGAGCAGCCCACGTGGGGCTGTGACAGCTGCCATGGTCAACCCCACAGCTGCTCCCCATGCCCCCCACTTAATAATGGACGAGGCTGATGACAGCCTCCTTGAAATGGAAATATTGACCTACATGCTTCAAAGCAAGTGAGGAGATTGTGTTTGCCGGCATTGCATTCCCTGTCACCAGTTTTGCCTTTTTAGAGAACTGTGAAGGGTATTTGTTCCCAGAATTTCTGACAAATCTCTGCCACGTGCCACCACCTCATCTCAGCACTCACTCAGGCGATGTGCATTTCACTGATCACCTGCTGCAGGCTGCACGGGGGCGGGAGGACTGTGAGGCCAATCACACCTCCAGCCTTAGAAACCAGATCACAGGACCTGGGAAGCGGCTCCGGAGGGCCCAAGAAGGTGTTCCTAGGGGGTAATGGTGGCGTGGGATCTCCCAAAAGAGTGGCCTGGACGTTAGTGGCATTCCTGGGAGAGGAAGGAGGACCTTGGAGGTGCACAGTGTTGGGTGCTGCCTCTCCATGGACCAGAAGGAAAAATGTCCAGTCAAGGAAGCAAAGGTGGGAGGGGAGAGAGGAAGCTGAAGAGGTGGGCTGGAGTCCAGCAAGGTGATGCGGGATGCTAATTCGGACAGCCACGTGGACAGAGGCGAAGGGGATGGACCATGGGGACAAGAAGGGGAAGGCAGGCACCTGTCGGGAGATCTTCGAGCTCCTGACATCACGTCTGTGCCTGGCTTCGTGCCTCCTACGGGGTTCAATAAAGAAGACACCATCTCCACTCACTGAGCTTATGATGCCGATGGCCCTGGTTCTCACACTTAAAATGTGCACAAAAATCCACTGGGGAGTGTAAGAATGGAAGCTTCTTGGGAGCCGGCCCAGGTACAGCCGGAGCAGCTATGTTAACATCAGACGAAGGAGACACGAGAAGGAGAATTGTCAGGGATAAAGGCAACATTACATCACCATAAAAGACTTGATTTTTCAAGGAGACATACAAATCTAAAAGATATACTTAATAACACAGCTTCAAAACACCTGAAGCAAAAAATGAGAGAGCTGAAAAGTGAACTAGACAAATCCATAATTACTGTTGGAGATGTAAACGATTCTCTCTCAGTACTTGGCAGAAAATCCGTGAGGATGTGGATGACCTGAACAACACCGTCAGCCAACTTGGCCCACCTGGCATCTCTGGTACACTCTACCCAACGTCAACAGAATACATGTTCTTAAGGGTACGTGGAAGCTTCCCTAAGACAGACCAGATTATGAGCCACAAAACAAATCTGAAATTTAGAATACAAATCATATAAAGTGTGTTCACATACCACAGTCTTAAAATGAAAATCAACAAAAGAAATATATGTGGAAAATCCACAAGTATTAGGAATTAAATAACATCTTTCCAAAGGACATATGAGTCAAAGGAGAAATCTCAAGGTAAATTTAAAAATATTTTGAACTGAATGAAAGTAAAAATACATTGTGTCAAAATTGGTGGGACGCAGCTAAGGCAGTGCTTACAGGAAAACGTATAGCTTTAAATGCTTCTGCTAGAAAAGGAAGGTCCCAAATCAGTAATCTGAGCTTCTACTTTAAAAATCTAGAGAAAGAAGAGCAAAGTAAACCCAAAGCAAGCAGGAAGAAGGAAATAATAGCAATAAGAGTAGAAATCAATACAACCAAAGAGAAAAATCTATTAAGTCAAAACTTGATTCTTTATTTTTTTTTTTTGAGATGGAGTCTCGCTCTGTCTCCCCGGCTGGAGTGCCGTGGCACCATCTTGGCTCACTGCAAGCTCCGTCTCCCGATTTCATGCCATTCTCCTGCCTCAGCCTCCCAAGTGACTGGGACTACAGGCACCCGCCACCATGCCCGGCTAATTTTTTGTATTTTTAGTAGAGATGGGGTTTTACCATGTTAGCCAGGATGGTCTCGATCTCCTGACCTAGTGATCTGCCTGCCTTGGCCTCCCGAAGTGCTGGTTCTTTGAAAATATTGACAGAATTGATAAACCTCTGGCCACACCAACAAGGTGAGAGATAGGACACACATAAATATCCAGAATGAAAGAAGCATTATCACTACTGATTATACATATTAAAAGGATGACAAGAGAATGCTATGAACAACTCTCTGCCTATTAATTTGATTACATAGATAAAGTGAACCAATTTCTTGGAAGTTGAAAAAGTATTAAACTTACTCAAGAATAATAGATAACTAGAACAGTCCTATATCAAATCGAAAAATTGAATTAATAGTTTAAAGTATCCCTTAAAATAAAACCTACAGCCCAAATGATTTTACCGGTAAATTGTCGTAACATTTAAGGAATAAATAATACCAATTCTACACAATTTCTTCCAGAATATAGAAAAAGAGAAAATACTCCCCAACTCATTTTTTGAGGCCAGCATTATTCTAATGTCAAAGTAAGACAAAGACATTACAAGAAAAAAAAAAACTACAGACCAATATTTGTAATACACAGAGACGCAAAAATTCTCAAAAATATTGACAATTTTAATCCAGCAATATGTTAAAAAGTTAACATGCTGTGATTCAGTGGGGCTCAGCAAGGATGGTTTAATATTTGAAAAGCCAATCAATATGATTTACCATGTTCACACATTAAAGAAGAAAAAACATAGAATCATTGCAATAGTTGCAGAAAAAGTATTTTGTAAACTTCATTATTGATTCATGATAAGATCTTTCAGTAAACTAGTGTAGAAAGAAATTTTCTTAACTTTATAAAAGCCGTCTACAAAAATCTTACAGCTAACGTCACACTTTACTGGTGAAATTCTGAATTTTTTTCCCTTAATACTGAGAGCAAGGTAAGCACGACCTTGTGTCTAAAATATTAAAGAAATTTCAAAATTCAACCACAAGAAAACAAAAATCTAATAAAGAAATTCAACAAAAGAAGACATGTAGATAGTGAATAAGCCTCTAGTACACCCTCAACATCATGAATCATTAGGGAAATGAAAGTTAAAGCCATGATGAGATGCCATTTCACATTAATTACAAGGGCCGATATTTTAAAAAAACTGACAATGCTAAGTGCTGGCAAAGAGGCACAGCAACTGGACCTTTCATACACTGCTGTGGGATGCAAAAAGCTCTAGCCCCTTTGGAAACGTGTGGCCATTTCTTTTGAAGTCAAACACACCCTTACGATTATATGACCCAGCCATCCCACTCCTAGATACTTATCTAAATGAACTGAAAACCTACAGTCACCGAAAAATATGCATGCAAACAATTACAGAAGCTTTATTTACAAACACAGTGACTTTCTTCCAGAAAGCACAGGCCTGCCCTGATCTGGGGCCACTGGGAAAGACCCAGTGATCAAAAACTGAAAACACGTAGATACGGGTGTGGCATGGATAAAACAACCTTGGGGCTTCCATATGGGGGAGAAGTACTCCACAAGGAAAAGGAGCAAAGTACGGGGGAGAAGAACTCCACAAGGAAAAGGAGCAAAGTACGGGGGAGAAGAACTCCACAAGGAAAAGGAGCAAAGTATGGGGGAGAAGTACTCCACAAGGAAAAGGAGCAAAGTACGGGGGAGAAGTACTCCAAGAGGAAAAGGAGCAAAGCATTATTAATGCAACACCATGAGGGCAGGCACTCTATGCTGCTAGAGCTCAGCCCCAAAGGAGGGAAGACAGGCCTCAAAGGCTGTATACTGTATGACTCCATACATAGGAAATCCCAGGAAAGGCAGAATTATAGAGATGGAAAGCAGAGACAGGGTTGCCAGGAGTTGCGATGAAGAGAGATTGACTACAAAAGGTCAGCACAAGGGAATCTGGGGGGAATTTTCTGTTCTATTATGGATCTGTGTTGGTGGATACATGACTATCAATTTGTCGAAATCCGTAGAACTCGGCCTGACACAGTGAAATTAACTACACGACTGGCAGGCTAAGTACTGGCCCATGGTCCTAGAGCTCATAAGACCACTGGGGTCAGGTTCACACCATGTCCAGGCATCCTTGCCGCTGACACACACACACACACACACACACACACACACACACACACCTTTTCTCTGTCAGCTGAGAAGGCCAAGGAGCAACCACACCCCCAGTAACGACAGCACCCCCAGCACCCAGATCTTGGTTTCTAGCACCATTTTCCAATTAGAGAACCAGGGCTTCTTGGAGAAATGGCTGCTTCTAGAACTGGGGCAAGATGAGAGTGGGGCATAGACTTGTGGTGCCATAAGGTAACGCAGTGCCCCAAAAAAGAAAAGTTCGCAAAGGCAGGGACATGTCACAGGGGCACAGGAGCCAGCTGCAGGGGGTCCCAATGGCCACAGGTGGAAAAATTGGAACCGCAAAGTAAAGTAGTATCAGAGTATAACCTAAGGTATAGAATAAATGTCCATGAGTCCATCTGGTTATAAATGAGTGACGGAGTCAATCAATAAATGAGGAAGAAGAGATCTTTCCCATGCAGAGGCATTCCATAATTTATGCCCTCATGGAGGTGACTCAAATCTCCCCACCCCTTAAGTGTGGGCTGAGCATAGAGACTTCCTTCCGGAGAGCACAGGCCTGTCCCTGATCTGATGCCACTTGGACAGGCCCAGTAACCAGTGGATGCTGCAGCTACCCCACGGCCCTTTCAATCCCAGCATGTGGGCTGGGCAGAGCTTGCCTCTTGGGGCTGATGGGCCAGAGCTTGTTTGATGGACTCTCGGCCAGTGGCCGGCCAGTGTCCCATCAGTCATGTTTGTAGAAAATGATGTATATGGTGGTCCATTTTCAAATTAGAATGCCTCAGAGAGGCTTGGGTGCTCAGACTACAAAAGAACAAGGTACACTAAGCCCCTGCCTAAGTACCTGGCGCCTGCTTGTCGGGACCCCTTAGTTACCCTCACCCAAACCAAAAAGTTTAGTCTAAAATGAAAGTTTACTAGCCTGCAAAGTAGCTCACTTTATCTATTCTTATCAGCTTGCCTGACTAGCTGGGTCATAAGTCAAATGCTTAAACAGCCCCAGAGCTGATCATGATTGCAATGTATTATGAGCTGCAACAAAATGCAGCGAGACGGGCGGGCGTGGTGGCTCATGCCCGTAATCCCAGCACTCTGGGAGGCCGAGGTGGGCAGATCACTTGAGGTCAGAAGGTTGAGACCAGCCTGGCCAACATGGCGAAACCCCATCTCTACTAAAAACACAAAAATTCAGCTGGGTGTAGTGGCAGGTGCCTGTAATCCCAACTACTTGGGAGGCTGAGGCAGGAGAATTGCTTGAACCCAGGAGGCAGAGGTGGCAGTGAGCAGAGATCACACCACTGCACTCCAGCCTGGGCAATAGAGTGAGACACTGTCTCAAAAAAAAAAAATGCAGCAAGACAACTCTAAAGAAAACACCTAAAGCCTCTGCCCGACAACCAATAGGTGACGTCCAGGAAGATTGAGGCCCCACAGTACACAGCCTATGAGGAACCGGGGGAGGGGACTGTGCACTAGGGGATAAATTGCTTGTTGAAACTGTGCTGGGTGTGCCTGCCCATCAGACACCCGATCTTGCAAGTCTCTCTTCCGCTGTTCTCCGTGTCTCTGAGTCCATTCTTTGGGTTTGAAGAGGTGAGTTTGTTTCTCACAATGATGTTGCGGCTACATTGCGAGCCAGCCTGGTGTCCATTTAAGGGGAGCAGCTGCCAGAGCCCCGAGACACTGGCAGGGACCAGGGGACATCTGGCTGTAGTGCTGGCCTCCTCCTGAGGTTCTCCTGGATGCCCACACCCCCGAGAGGATTCAGCGAGAACCACAAGGAGGGGTGCAGCTATGTGTCTCTGCTCCTGCCCTGCTGCCAGCAGCCTCTGTCCCCATCATCCTGCGCCAGGCCAGCCATCCCCCGTGCATCCTTCCCATGCGTGCTAATCCTCCAGCAGATGCGGAAGGCAGGGCGGCGGGTGTCACCAGCCCCACACACTCTTGCTTTGACAGCCTTTGAGTGAACAAGACTCTATTTCTGCATGTGATCTTTTGCAGGAGCTTCCGCGTCCCCCATGCACTGGGGCTGCAGGAGTGAGATGTTGCCTGTCGCACCATCTCTGGGGATGAGGTCAGCTGCAAGCCGCTTTGCCCAGGGCAAATGGGATTCAAACGTGGAACAGGCTGTGCTTTGAAAAGCACTACCAGGTCTTTTCCACGAAAAACTCTAACCCTGTTCTCTAACCCTGTGACAGTGCCCCAAATTCCACCATTAAATCACAACACTCTCCCCAGAAGGTTCCCACGGAAAGTCCAGTATGCTCACCCAGCAGACAGGAGGCTCCGCACGGCGCCGCTGCTGCCTTGACTGCTAGATGTCGTCTGTGTTAGAGGGACTTCTTCACATGCCCCCAGAACCCACCTGCCCCTTGGTCACCCACTGAGACCCCCCCCCCACCCTGCGGGTTGGGCCTCTCAGCTTTACTCATAAGTACGACGGGTGGGCACAGCCCCTGCCCCCTCCTCCTGATGTGGTGGGGTGTGGGCCACCATGGAGAGCTTGGGACAGGCCCGTTCTTGGTGACAGCAGGTGTGGACTTGCTCTGCTGCTGGCTGCTTATACCTGCAGGAGGGTGAGCAGGGCAGGGCTGAGTACGTGTGGATAGGTGTAGAGGAGAGAAAGGCTAGGACTGGGGGCAGCTTCCCTACTGTCCAGCAAGGCAGGCCTGGGGGAGGTCCGAAAACTGGGGGCCGGAAAGTGCTTTGCTGGGGACTGGAGGCAGAGAGGGGTGCTGCGGGGTGGGCTCAGGGGGCTAAGCAGCGCCACCTCTGCAGCGGGGAGCCCAGGCCTGCTCCCCGCAACCCCGTACCGGGTGCCTGCACTCTTTCCTGGCCAAGCTCTCTGGAGTGTTGGGAAGATGCCCCAAACACTGGAGCCCGGTGCTGCCCACCCTGAATCTCAGGGAACTTTCAGAGCATGCAGCAGGCTGTAGCCTGACTGGAAGCTGCAAATGAGCACGAAATATGACAGCCAGAGCTTCACGGACTCTGCCGCGCTGCCCTCATGAATATGCAGCCGCTGCTACCTCGGTCGCCCTCTGCGGCTCTCCTGGGAGCAGGCAGCCACGCCAGATGCTAAGGACCCGGCTGGGGGAGCAGGGTGCCTCCAGCTGCTGGGTGCTGCAGAGACACCTGCCAGCCTCACCAAAGCCCCTTCTCAGGGCCACTGCCCTTTGGGGACCATCTCAAGAAAGGAAAACAAGGTCTTCCTGCTCTAGCATGTCCCTTCTTCTCCCCTAGATGTAGCTCTGGGAAGGAAATGCACAGCCAGCATGTGTAGCTAGCAGGAAAAGTCCTGCAAGCTCCCGGGGGGGAACCCAGCAGCCCTGCTTCTAGAACTCTGTCCTTAGTAAACAAGGGTGGATGGGCTCACACAGCCAGACACAAAGCTGTCCCTCGCGGCATCGTCGTTACAATGAGAAAAAGTAGAAGCAGCCTAAACACCCTACAGCAATATGGGGGGCTGTGGGGGGCTATGGGGAGCTGTGAGAGGCTATGGGGGACTATGGGAGGCTAGATGGGGGGCTAAATAGGGGGTTAGATGGGGGACTAGAAAGGGATCTAGATCGGGGGGGTCTAGATGGGGGGCTAGAAGCAGGGGGCTAGATGGGGGGCTAGACTGGGGGGCTAGAAGTGGGGGCTAGATGGGAGACTAGATTCGGGGCTAGATGGGGGACTAGATGGGGTCTAGATGGGTGGCTAGATGTGGGAGTTAGATAGGGGATCTAGATCAGGGACTAGATGGGGGCTAGATGGTGGTCAGATGGGGGGCTAGGTAGGGGATTAGATGTGGGGTCTAGATAGGGAACTAGATGGGGGACTAGACAGGGGTCTAGATGGGGGCTAGAAGGGGGGCTAGATGGGGACTAGATGGGGGCTAGATTGGGGAGCTAGAAGGGGGACTAGGTGGGGGGACTATATGAGGGGCTAGATGGGGGGCTAGATTGGGGGATAGTTGGGGGGCTAGATGGGGGACTAGATGGGGGGCTAGATGGGGGTTAGATGGGGGCTAGATGGGGGCTAGGTGGGGGCTAGATGGGGGTAGATGGGGGTTAGATGGGGGCTAGATGGGGGCTAGATGGGGGTTAGATGGGGGGCTAGATGGGGGCTAGATGGGGGTTAGATGGGGGCTAGATGGGGGCTAGATGGGGGACTAGATGGGGGCTAGATGGGGTTAGATGGGGGGCTAGATGGGGGGCTAGATGGGGATTAGATGGGGGGCTAGATGGGGGCTAGATGGGGGTTAGATGGGGGCTAGATGGAGGACTAGATGGGGGTTAGATGGGGTCTAGATGAGGGGCTAGATGGGGGAGCTGTGGGTGCCTGTGACCCATGAGCGTGGGCTTGTGCATGCTGTCCAGCCTCAAACCCATGTTGTGCCTTAAAGGGTGTTTGTATCCAAAACTGTGCTTCAGCCACTGGCCTGGGCTCGCAGGCTGAGCCAGAGCAGATGCACCCTGGAATCTGCCCCAGTCCTGAGCTTCTGCTGTGCGGCCCTTGCCCTGGGAGGGAGGGATAGATGGCAGCAGGGCCTGAGCCCTGAGCCCTGGGCCGGAACTCACCCCAACAAGCTCAGCATCTCGCAACCTCCAGGTAGCAAACCTTCCCCTCCTCCTCCTCCCCCGCCCTGGTCGGGGACCTGGCTCAGCTTGCGAGGCTCCCCTCATGCCCACCATCCATTCAGGTTCTCTGTCTCGGGAATTGACACTAAAAGCCTCCGTCTGGCAGTTGTCAGTGTGTGGGGGAGCACAGATTCCTGGGGAGTTCTGTCCCACACAGGCCTGCATCCCACCCCACTTCTGGTGTCCCTCACAGGTAAGTCTTTTGGGCTGCTGCGCTCACCACCTGCTGGGACCCAGGCTTCTCCAGTCTTGAAGTCCTTTCTGCTGCCACCTGCACCTGCTGAAAGGGACTTCCTGCCCAGGTGAGAGCAGCTCCTGCCCTACCAGCCAGATTGGGTCTTAACCTCGGCTCCCTGCTGCCTTCCACACTGCACCATGGCATTCGCAAGGTCAGTAGGTGGCAGTTCAGTGGATGTCTGCCTCTCCCACCAGCCTATGAGCTCCCTCATCTTTATTTGTGGGTGATTTTTTTCACCAAACAGGGCCCACATCCCCTCCTGAGCTGGTGGACGAGGCTCTTTATCTCCCTCCACTATCGCCCACCACTATCCTTCCCTCCCAGGGCAAGGGCCGCACAGCAGAAGCTCAGGACTGGGGCAGATTCCAGGGTGCATCTGCTCTGGCTCAGCCCGTGACCCCAGGCCAGGGGCTGAAGCACAATTTTGGATACAAACACCCCCACCATGAGGTTTGCTGAGCGTGCACTTTGTCCCCCTTTTACAGATTAGAGCACTGGGCTTCCGTCCAGGGATGCTAAGAGGATGGGGGTGCAGCCCTCTGGAAACTGCAGTGCTGAGGGTTCTCCTGGCAAGGTAAGCAGGAACCGGCAGCGCAGGCGAGAGGTAGCCGCCCATCTGCAAGCATGGAGAGGCGTCTCCGAGAGTGAAAGGCGTGTGAGGAAGGTCGGCGATGGGGACCCAGGTGCCCTGGCCCCGCCCTGCCCAGAACAGCCCCCATGGCACAGGCTCAGCGGCAGCAGAAGAGCCCCAGACCCTAAAAGCACCCACCGCTCTGCCCTGCCTCGGGCCTTTTGTCCAGTGGTCCATGAGCTCTGGAGATGGGCCGGCTCGCGGGGTGAATTAATGAGAAGGTGAGAGCAGCGTGTGTCATGTCTTGGGGACAAATCTGAGCCATAAAGGAACAAGGTCCTTGTAAAAAAGGATAGGCTACTTGGGAATTGGGTTGTTAACGCATTAGCATCTTTATTTGGCCCATATGAAGTGTGTGAAATGAAGGTGGCAGTAAACAGGAATTTATTTTTCGAAGTGGTCTTGGCAGAACAGCATAAGGTGCTTCTCCCGCGGCCGGGAAGGCCCCCCTGCCCACATATGCACACCCCTGCTCTCCCCGGCAGCCTTACCTGGCCTGCCCAGCATGAATATACTCCTTCCTCCTGTTTCCACCCCCATAGTGGCCGAGAGTGAGGCTGTGTCCCATGGACTCACTGAATCTCAGCACATACTAGGTGGCCACCCTCATTATCCCCATTTGCAGATTGAGAAAACCAAGGCCCAGGAGGGAGGGAGCTTTCCACTGTCACCCAGAGAAGTACCTGACCCCACCCACCACACCATCCCCTGCCTCTCCTCTTTGCTGACACCCCCAGCCACCCTGTCCCCTGCCTGTCCTCTCCGCTGACCCCACCCGCCACTTCGTCCCCTTCTCCACTGACCCCACCCACTACCCCATCCCCCTCTCCGCTGACCCCACCCGCCACCCCATCCCCTGCCTCTCCCCTCCACTGACCCCACCCACCACCCCATTGCCCTTTCCGCTGACCCCACCCGCCACCCTGTCCCCTGCCTCTCCCCTCTGCTGACCCCACCCACCACCCCGTCCCCCTCTCCGCTGATCCCAGCCGCCACTCCGTCCCCTGCCTCTCCTCTCCACTGATCCCACCCGCCACCCCATCCCCTGCCTCTCCTCTCCGCTGACCCCACCCACCACCCGATCGCCCTCTCCACTGATCCCACCCGCCACCCCATCACTCTCTCCACTGATCCCACCCACCACCCCGTCCCCTGCCTCTCCTCTCCGCTGCACCTGAATTTCCACACTGCATGTCTCGTGGAAGATCCCTGGGGCACAAGCCCCGTGTCCTCTTCTGGCAAGAACCACTCAGAATCTCAAAAGACGGTCGCTTACTGAGCACCTGCCCTCCCTTGGGCTCTATGTTGGCTTTTTGTAAAATTGTGATAAAATGCACATGACATAAATCTACCATCTTCGCCATTTTAAGTGTACAGCTCCGTGGCACCAAACACACTCACATCGCTGTGCAGCCATCACCACCACCCACCTCCAGAACGTCTTCATCTTTCCGAACCAACACTCTGTCCCATCAAACACAAGACCCCATTCCCCTCTCCCCAGCCCCTGGCACCCACTTCTCTACTTTCTGTGTCTGTGAATCTGCCTACTCTGGGCACCTCGCAGAATGGGAGTCGCGCAGTATTTGTCCTTTTGTGTCTGGATTGGTTTACCATGGTGTCTTCACAGTCTGTTCGCGTCGAAGTGTATGCATCAGAATTCCCTTCCCTTCCAAGGCCCACGGTCCATTGTAGGGATGGACCACATTCTGTTTATCCGTCGCGCACTGATGGACGCTGGGGTTGCTTCTACCTTTGGCTGCTGTGGGTCCTGCTGCTAGAAATGTGCATGTACAAATATCTCTTTGGGACCCGCTTTCAATCCTCTCTGGTATACGCTCAAAAGCAGGATTACCAGCCGGGTGTGGTGGCTCACGCCTGTCATCCTGCTTTCAATCATCTTGGGTATACGCTCAAAAGCAGGATTGCCAGCCAGGTGCGGTGACTCACGCCTGTCATCCCAGCACTTTGGAGGCTGAGGCAGGCAGATCACCTGAGGTCAGGAGTTCGAGACCAGCCTGGCCAACATGACAAAACCCCGTCTCTACTAAAAATACAAAGAGTAGCCAGGCATGGTGGCGGGTGCCTGTAATCCTAGCTACTTGGGAGGCTGAGGCAGGAGAATTGTCTGAACCCAGGAGGTGGAGGTGGCAGTGAGCTGAGATTGCACCATTGTACTCCAGCCTGGGCGACAAGAGTGAAACTCCATCTCAAAAAAAAAAAAAAGCAGAATTGCCAAATCACATGGCAACTATTTTTAATTATTTGAGCAGCTGCCATCTTATACTCCCATCAGCAGTGCCCAAAGGTTCCAGTTTCTTCGCATCTTTGCCAACATTTATTTTCCGCTTTATCTTTTCCTTTGGCTATCCTAATATCTCTGTCTGCATTTTGTACATTATCTTATTGACTCTTTTATTCCCTAAAATGGGAAAATAATAACTTTTTATTTTGCTATTAACCCCATTTAAAGATGAAAACCATCAGGACAGAGGGGCTGAGTGTTCTGTCCCACACAGGAGTGGCCGGTATGCCCCAAGCCAGTTCCCTCAGCCACTCCAGGGCTCAGCTTCTGGCCAAGTGAAGATCCTTCATTTCTTGCAAAAGAGGCCCTCAGTGCTGTCTTGTCAGATGAGAACACCCATGAATAAATGAGTGAGTGAGTGAACACCTGCGTGTATATAGGACTAGCTGGAGGTCACTGTGGAAAGTGGCTGGTGGCTCCTCCAGGTGGGCCCAGGCCATATGATGTGACCGCCATGGGGCCTGGGCAGCATGGTCCAGGGAGGATACTTCAGGAAGGAGCCCTGGGAAGGGAGGTGCAAGGGAAGCAGGAGCTCCACGTTGCAGAAAAGATGAGCAAACTCACCTTAGGGCTTTGAGCAACCTAAGCCAGACAATGACAAGGACACCAGGGCCAGAGGCCAGGGAAGCAAACACCAGGGGCAGGGGGCAGGAGAGTCAGCAGAGTGGGATCCACCGTTTGGGCCTCCCGAGAGGCCCTGGGCTAACTTTCTAGGACAAAGGAAGAGAAGACTCTTTGATAAAAGGGAAAGTAAAAGGCAGCTCTTGGATCAATAAATGAATTAGTTGACCTTGATTTGCAAACCAGTTTGCTTCCATCTGCCTGGAGTATATTAACCTGCTACCCTGCAGTACCTGGGATTAATCAGCCTTAGTACCCCACCTGCCCTGCTCCAGGCAGGTTTATGTGTAGGTGGAGGAAGATACCATTGTGAGGGAAGACAGGGATGCTACCTGTCTCTAGAGCAGGTCATACCGCAACGCCACATACGCTTGTCCCCATTCTCTTTGTGTGGGGTGGGCAACTTCCAGAAACGAGCATTCGGGGCCCGCACCCCAGGTGGCCAAAACCTCTGCTGAAACACACCCAGCGTGAGTGTCTGGAGGAGGGTGGGACAAGGAAACCTGCTGTGGCTAAGAGCTTGGCACAGCTGTCTCATGTACTACGCATCGCTGAGACATCTGTCCAACTGACCTTCATAGGAAAAGATGGTGCAAGAAGGACCAGAAGAATCTCAAAGCTGATTCCCAATGTGGGAGCTGACCTCCTTGTGTCTGCACAATGAGGAGGCAAGGATTGCAGGGCTGGAGATGCACACACAGACACGTGCGCACAGGCACACACATGCACGTGCACACTCATGCAGTGCAGGCATGTGCACACACACACAGGTGTGCATGCACACACATATACACGTGTGTGCACACAGTACACTTGGATCCCTTTGCTGCATGCCTAGAGTGCCCAGGCTCCTTATGTACCCCCACACCTTTCTGGGGATGACCAGTCTGACGTTGGCAGCCCTGATGGTTGGCTGCAGCCTCACACAAAGGAACCCCCATCATGTCTGGATTGATCCTAGTATGAATCCTCAGGGCTGAGCGGTGCTGCGCCCCCATCTAGGGAAGGTCTCTGACTCTGGGGGCGGGGCAGGCTGCTGAGGAGGGGATTCTAGTTGGGAGTGGAGAAGAAGTCTGGTGGTCTGGGAGCAGGGCCAGCTCTCAGGATTCCGAGATGCTCATCTAAATTCAGACCACAGGTCCATTAACACAAACCTCACGGGTTCCATCATACCCCAGGCTATACTACATAGATGGCACCAGCCTGCAGCCAGCAGGCACAGAAGGCAGAGGGGATAGACGGGCAGGGTGGTCAGAAGAGCCCCACCCACACAGAGAGCCACATGGCCAGTGCTTGGACCACTGTGGATAATGCTTATTGAGAACCGACTCTGTACCAGGCACTGCTCCAGGCGCACCTAGATCCAGGACTTCCCGGCCTACAGACTGTAAGAAAGCAATGTCTGCCGTTTCAGCTGCCCAGTCTGGTATCTGTTTTGGCTGCCCTAGGAGGCCAGGACAACAGCCTCCCCCAGTTCTCTTTCTTGACGTTTGTTGTTGTTGAAGGAATGGAGTCATCTGCCCTTCGCGCGTCCTGCAGTCTGGAGCTGGCTGGCTGCACCCGTGCTGTCATCTGAACGTCTCTCTGTCCCCTGGATCTCCTGTCTGAATGTCTCTCTGTCCCCTGGACCTCCTGTAAGGTGCTTAGACCTAGAGGCATGATGAGAGCGGGGCGTGATTTTTAGGCAGGAGCCCTTCATGGGTGGAGTGGGCGCTTCCCACTGTACTGCCTCGGGAGGTGCATGTGACATCCTGTTGCCTTTCTGTATGGGGGGAGATGGCATCACCCTCGCTCAGTCGTTATAAAACCCCAGCAGCCTTCCTCCTGGAGCTCTCAGTGGTTTGCAAAGGAGGGCGGCTGTCATGGTTCCACTCTGAGCTTCTGAGCTGGAGGACTTGTGTAAAGAAGCTTCCCCCGAAGGCTCGGTCCCTGTGGGGAAGGAGAGGGGTGCTTGGCTTTTCCTCGCATTTATCAGTTTCCGGAAGGATGAGTTGGTGCCCCCGCGCCCACCCCAGGGGACCAGTGTGGCTTTCTTTAGCTTAGTGATGAGCTCATGAATTTTCAGCACATTTGATGTGTTTCAATCTATTACAGTTGTTATTTTTATGCCCAAATTGTCACATCATTGACTAGTGGGAGCATCTTCAAGCTGTGTCCTTTTGAAAATGTTGTTTTTTAAAAAAATCTTTATTACTCCCTTATGAAGCAATTTTCAGTTCCTACAAACTGAAGTCAGACTCCGACGCGGACCCACAGGTCGTGATCCCCATATTCCTCTACATCTAATCCATCTCTCTGATCTAATCCACGGACACTGTGTCCCTCCGATGTTTCTGGCTCCGATCCTTCTCACACGGCCTTTGCAGGGGCACCGGCTTCACCACGTTCTCAGGGGCTGGGCTGGGAGGATCCCACCCAGGCTCTCTCCAGAAACAGCTCAGTGAACTCGTGGCTGCAACCCCTGGGAAGTACACAAGTAGGGAAACAGGACATGCACGTGGCCCTCAGCTGGGCCCATCTTCGTTCCTAGCAAAGCCTGGCAGGTAGAGTGAAGTCAGGTCTTAGTGGCTTTTCTTTTTCTTTATGTAGCAATTCTTATCCCAGGACTCCATTATCAGAAAAAGAAATGCATCATTTTCTCAATGTTATAAACACCCACTATTCCCAGGAGAGCTCCGGGGAGAACCATCACAGTTTCCAGCCTCTGCTCTTTGTATTGGATGGAGATCACCCAGGGCTCCTTGAGGACAGCATGGATAGATTGTCATGTTTGGGGCTTTCTTGGGACAGAGTTTTCTGTGGTTTGTTTGGCCCTGCCAAGCCTCAGATTGAAATCTGACCCTCAGTGTTGGAGGTGGGGCCTGGTGGGAGGTGCTTGGGTCCTGGGTGCGGGGAGTCCCTCGTGAATGGCTTGGTGTTGCCCTCCAGGTAATGGGTGAGTTCTTGCTCTAGGAATTCCCAGGAGAACTGACAGTTTAAAAGAGCCTGACACCTCCCTTCCCTCTCTCTTGCTCCCTCCCCTGCCATGCAACACGCTTGCTCCCCTTCCCCTCTCACCATGAGTGGAGGCTTCCTGGGGCCTCTACCCAAAGCAGATGCTGGTACCATGCTTCTTGTACAGCCTGCAGAACTGTGAGTCCAGTAAACCTCTTTTCTTTGATGAATTACCCAGCCTCACTATTCCTTGGTAGCAGCACAAACGGACTAAGGTAGGTCTTCAGAGGCCCCACATTTTCACTCTGCTCTGGGGCCCCCTGGGCAAAAGAGCAGACACTTATGCTCCAGGTGGATGCATGCACGAGTGTACCCAGCTGGGAGCTACCAGGGATACTGACCAGGCCACTGTCCAAGAACATCCTCCCTTCTGTGATTCCCAAAGTGGCAGCCAGAGGTGAGGCGCAGGGAGTGCAGGGTGCACCCTGCAGAAATGCAGTCCCCAGGACACGCTCACACCCGATGCCTGCAGGCTGTGGGGCAACACGGAAAGGCCGCTGGCCACGGCTGGGCCCAGACCTGCAGCCTCCAGTGGTGCATGCTCAGCTCAGCACAGGCTTCATCTCTGATGCGAGCCACCAGCCACCGAGGCCCCGCTGAGCAGCTCCTCTGAGAGATGCCGAGACACTGGGGAGGAGTGAGAAGCTCCTCAAGGTTCCCTCTCTGCAAACGCCAGGTGCAGGGTGAGCAGAAACTGCCTTTGCAGAGTGCCAGGCAGGGCCCGTCTGATGAGTTCAGGCACACTGGACGGTCCATTTTTTTTCAGATATTCTGCTATGGACACAAAATTCACCATCCCCAGGCAAATTCTCACATTTATGCCAGCCCCTACTCTCCGATGAGGCACCCAGGTTCCCCAAAGCTGAGTTTTCCCAGGTTTGCATCTTCCAAGAGAACAGCAATCACTCCAAGCAGGTGAAAGCTTTCTGTCAGCCTCCACCACGCAGGAGGTGAGTACCTGGGACAGAAGCTGAGCCCACAGCTCACAGAGGCAGCTCCTCCACGTCGCTCCCCCAGAGGGAAGATCATTGCCAGAATCCAGCAGGGGATGCTTCTGACCTGGCATCTTTTCCACAGGCGTCCAGTTCTGAGATCTGGAAGCCAAACTGACCTTATGTTTGGAAAGGTGAGTTCAAGCCCTCAGTGCAGCACCCTCCTGCATCCTTTGACTGGATTCCCATAAAAAATCCAATCGAAATAAGGATGAGAGTTCCCCACACTATGCAAAGACCCCAGGATTTGTGGATGCCATTTGTTCAGGTTACATGCCTATTCAACCATCACCCAACATCTCACCTGGCACCTGCTTCGTATGGGAAGTCTGCCAGGAAGTACAGCCCAGCGGTGATCAGGAGACCAGTAGTGAGCAGGAGCCCAGCAGTGAGCAGGAGCGACCAGGTGCATGCAGTGGTGGTTAGCATTATTTCTTTAAAGATGAAAAGCTTAAGAAGTTATTTCCTTTCATTCATGGTGCAGAATTTCATTTTAAGTATGATTAAAAAATCAAAAAAGGAAATATGAATGTGCATAAATTTAAAATTCTGTGGCATATACCAACAAACAAGGTTATAAAAAGAGGACAAACCAAAAAATATTTTCATTACATAAAACCGAAGAAGTCAACATTAATTATTTATAACAAATTCCTTCAGAAAATCTGCCTGCGCTGTGGAGCCCCAGAAGCATGTGGACACCTTTTATCTAGCCCACACAGCACTGAGTAAAATAATGCATTCAGGACCCCGCATTCCCGATGCAATGTAGGGGGAGAAACCGGAGCTGGAGTCCCGCGGCTCTCTCCTCCTTCATCCCTCTCTTCCCTTCCCACCTTCTCTGGGAAGTCTCCCCTGTCTCTCAGCTCAAGAATCTCCAGGATGGCGGAGCCTGCATAGCACATACGAAAATCACATGGAATCCTCCTCTATCTTCCTGTTCCGTGTTTGTCTTCCAGGGACCTCCTCAAAGCCACAGACCCTGTTCCCTTTTCAGGATCGGGTACACAATACATTGTGCAATGAAAGATTGATGGATTAAGATGCCTCACGTACGAGATTTTTTTTTTTAAAAGATGCTTGTTGTTTTGAAAAAAAAATGCGTGCGTGCGTGCGTGCGTGCGTGCGTGTGTGTGTGTGTGTGACTTGAGGCAAGTTAAGGAGTGTGTGGGGAGAAACACTGATATGGAAGGGTGTTCACTGCCCATGCAGGGGTGGAGAGGAGGGCCTAGTGCCTTTGGCACAAGCATGCTTATCTTCAATGCATCCTTTATTTTGGCACAAGAAGATGCTCCAGGTTCAACTTGGATACTTCTTGGTCCCAAACTGGACCAGTCATTTCTCCAAAGAACCCTGGGTCCTTATGGTGGGGAAATGGTATTTAGAGACCATAGTCTCTGTGCTGAGAATGTTCATTGTTACTGAATTTGTCATCGTTTCTTGGCCTTTTTGGTGAACAGAAGTAATACACACACACTATGGAAAGTACACCATAACATCATTGTAATATTTACCATGCCAATGTAGGATTACTGGCTTCTATGTGGTTTATTCCATTTTATATCTGTGTCTTTTTTCTCTTACATGCATCATCTTTATACATAATTGCTATGTCTCACTACCTGTGTACACTCCACCCACACGTCCGTAGTATTTTCAGAACAACAAGGCCGACAACAATACCATGACTACTAGCACAGTTGCCAAAACCAGTGTAAGATCACTTAGCCTCTCTCCAGCAGTGGGATCTATAGGATATAATCTCACGAGCTCTACATGGCGTTTTAAAGTTACCTGCAGTAATTCACAAGAAGGCAGGTGCAGAAAAAGCCAGCATTCCTCCTTCCCTTCCACTCTTTTTCCTCTCACCGCAGATAACTATTCCACAGGATTTCAAAACTTACTCTCCCACATTTTAAAATGCAAGTGATTACATATGTGTGGGTGCATATTTGCATACAATTATATCCACAGCCCCCTTTCTTAGATGAAGCTGGCCTGCTCTGCACACCGTTTTCCGTCTTTCCTTTTCCACCTACGATATGCCTCCGTTACCCTGCTGGGATGGGATGTAGATGTTGTCTTTACTTGTTTTTACTGCTGCACAGAACAGCCCAGGATGTTCCATAATTTATTCACCTGTCAGCTAAGAATAGACACAGAAGTGGCTTCCAATCTTGTTATTACAAGGTGTTCAGGATACAGTCTTGTGCCTCCATTTTATCTTCACTAGAGATTGCCAAATTTTCTCTGGCAGAGACTATCTTCTTTTGCATTCTGTGTTAGTTCCCTAGGGCTTTCATAACAGAGGACCACAGCCTGGGCGGCTGAAACCACACGAAATGTATTGTTTTACAGAGGTCAGAGGTCCAAGATCAAGGTCTGGCAAGGGCCGTGCTCTACAAGCTCAGGAGCTTGTAGGGAAATTCCTTCCTTGCTCCTTCCAACGTCTGGTGTTGGTGGGCGACCCCCAGCATTCCTTGGCTTATAGATCCATCGCTCCAGTCCCTGCCTCCATTGTCCCATGGCCATCTTCTCCCTGTGTGTCTCTTATAAGAAAGTCGCACTGGCTTGGAGCCCACCTCCTAATGAGCTCATCCTAACTTGCTTACATCTGCAAAGGCCCTGTTTCCAAATAGGGTCACAGGTACCAAGAGCTAGTGTAACTGGAAAAGGGGTCTCCATCCAGTCTCTAAGAGAGGATCCTTGGCTCATGTGCAGGAGGAAACGCAAGCCTAGTCGCAGAGTGTAGTGAGAAGAGAGTTTATTGAAAGCTGCTCCTTTACAGAGTGGGGGCGTCTGTCCACAGAAAGCAAGCCAAGGAATACACCGCCTGTGTTTTCAGTTTTTCTTATATAGGGGTCTTATCTTTGTAAACACTAGGGCCAGGCACGGTGGCTCATGCCTATAATCCCAACACTTTTGGAGGCTGAGGTGGGCGGATCACCTGAGGTCAGGAGTTTGAGACCAGGCTGGCCAACATGGCAAAACCCCGTCTCTACTAAAAATACAAAAATTAGACAGGCATGGTGGTGCATGCCTGTAACCCCAGCTACTCAGAGGCTGAGACAGGAGAATCGCTTGAATTGGGAGGCAGAGGTTGCAGTGAGCCAAGATCATGCCACTGCACTCCAGCCTGGGCAACAGAGCTAGACTCCATCTCAAAAAAAAGAAAGACTAAATTAAGCTGTGCCTATGTGCGGGTGGGCTGATAACATGATAACGTTTATTACTTTATTGATTTAAAGAAAGCTATCCCCGACCTTCCAGCGTGTGAGTGCACCAAAGCGTAACTTGAATTATTGCGAACGAATATATGGCTAAGGGCATTGGGACCTGTGGACTTTCTGTTGTAGGAGCAGGTCCTCGCAGGCATCTTTAGGCCACTTCCGCAACCGCAAACATCTCAGGACCATGGGTCGTGACTGGCAAGGAATGTGCCTTGCTAGTGTCAAGATGGAGCCAAACTTAAAATGACATCACTCTGGCTCTGCCAGGCTCCTGTTCCCCTAACATTAGCATTCCACGTATTTCTGTTTGGAGGGGACACAGTAGCTCATAACACATTCCTATCAACAAAGCCTGAGGACTCCCATGTCCCCCACAGCCTCGCCAACAGTGTAGGTGGGTCAATCTGATAAATGAGAAATGGTTTCTCCGTGTTTTTTTTTTTTTTTTTTTTTTATGAGGCGGAGTTGAGTTGTTGTTGTCCAGGCTGGAGAGCAATGGTGTGGTCTCAGCTCACTGCAACCTCCGCCTCCCGCGTTCAAGTGATTCTCTGCCTCAGACTCCTGAGTAGCTGGGATTACAGGTGCGCACCTCAACACCTAAGTTTTTTATATTTTTAGTACAGATGGGGTTTCACCACGTTGGCCAGGCTAGTCTTGAACTCCTGACCTCAAGTGATCCACCCGCCTCGACCTCCCAAGGTGCTGGGATCACAGGCATGAGCCACCATGTCCGGCTAATTTTTGTATTTTTAATAGAGGTGGGGTTTCATCATGTTGGTCAGGCTGGTCTTGAACTCCTGACCTGAGGTGATCTACCCGCCTCGGCCTCGCAAAGTGCTGGGATTACAGGCGTGAGCCACTGCGCCTCCCTTGATCTTAATTTTCATCTCTGAGATCTGGAGTGTGGTTGAGCATCTTTTCACACGTTTAAGGTCCCTTTTCTTTTTCTGAACAACGCACAGTTTTCATGGAGTACCCACTGTGAGCCAGGGCTGTACAGTCAGCAGGCACATGATCACCAACAAAACAGATGGGAGTGTCTGCCTTCTTTAAGCTTGCATTCTATTGGAGGCGATAAACAAGAAACAAATAAGTGAAATGTATTATAAGCCGGAGGCATGAGTTTCTTGTTGCTGCTGTAAGAAATTCCCACCAGCGTGGTAGCTCAAAATAAAACCTGTTTCCTCTTGTCATCCTGGACGTCGGAAGTCTGGACTCAGCCTCACCGGGCTAAAGTCAAGGTACTGGCTGGGCTGCTTCCTTCTGGAGGCTCTGGGGGAAAATTCATTCTCTTGACTTTTTCAGCTGCTGGTGGCTGCCGGCTTGTCTTGGTTCGTAGGGGAGAGAAGGTCACAGCGGGCGGGGGCTGGGTAGAGAGGGCCTGTCGGACACTGTAGGAATTTTGGCCTTCTACCTGAGTGATGTGGGAAACCAGCAGAGGGGACCTGATATGACAGGTGCTTTTAAATCACACTCTTGGGCTAGGCACGGCGGCTCACGCCTGTAATCCCAGCACTATGGGAGGCCGAGGTGGGTGGATCACCTGAGGTCAGGAGTTCGAGACCAGCCTGGCCAACATGGCAAAACCCCGTCTCTACTAAAAATACAAAAAAATCAGCCAGGCATGGTGGTGGGCGCCTGTAATTCCAGCTACTCAGAAGGCTGAGGCGGGAGAATTGCTTGAAGCAGAGGTCACAGTGAGCAGAGGTCGCGCCATTGCACTCCAGCCTAGGCAACAAGAGCCAGACACGGTCTCAAAAAAAAAAAAAAAAATTACACTCTCACCACCGAGTTAGAAGAGAGAATAAAGGGTTAGGGAGGGCAGGAGGATGGTCCGAGTCCAGGAGGCTGTTGAAATGATTTGTGCAGGAGGAGCCAGTTGTACGGTGTGCAGGACCCAGTGAAAAATAAAAGGGTGAGGCCTCCAACAGCAGAGGATCAAGTCAGCGTGAGACCTGCTGCCCAGGTCTCAGGCCGGGAAGCCAGCCCTGCGGTGTGGGCCGCGGCGGGACAAAACGCATGGAACCATTGATAGTGGAAGGAAGCCCGCAGGGCCTGCTCATGGACTAGATGTAGAAAGAGGAGTGTCAGGGGCAGCACCAAAGCTTCAGCCTGAACACCTGGCCGGACAGAGCTAGCGCCGCTGGCACAGGCAGGCTGCAGGAGGATGGCCAGGAGGCAGAGCCCAGTGCAGAGACCAGCAGGCCCTGGTGTTCAGTCCCAAGACAGGACCAGGCGTTTCCGCAGAAGAGAAACAAGGCAGGACCTGGTGCCCTCGCTGGGGATGAGGGGAGCCAGTAAGGCCGAGGAGAGGGTGGTGGTAGAGCCAAGCGACATGTGTGCAGGGACCGGAGATGCCGTCACAGCAGTTCCAAATGCTGCCAGATGGAGCAAGACACCAGCGAAGGAAGTCATTGGATCACGGGAGGCGCTGGATGGAGAGGGTTGGTTGCGGGATGGAGGACGCGGACTGGGGACAGCAAGTCAGACAGTTCTTTGCAGCTGTTTGGGGGTAAAAAGGGCAGAGGAAACAGTGCAGGGTCCGGAGGGATGGGGCTGGGCAGTTTGGGCTTTGGTTTTCCATCGTTGCTTTTTGTCAGATGGGGATGGCAGCATGCTTCCGTGCCTGTGGGAGGATCCAGGCAATGTCAGTGGCGTGATGGGTGGGAGCAGGAACCGGTGGGCAGCAGAACTGGCCCGGGCGGGGTGTGGGTCTGGGGAGGCCAGCTAATGGCTGGGGGCAGGCACTTTTCTGGCTGGCGCTTTCCTGGCTGTGCTGTGGGCCACGGGCACAGGCACCATTCAGCATCTGTCAGCTGCCATCGAGAGCCATTGCCATGAGCTGAATGACCTGCCTGTGTAAACGAGGTCACTTACGAGGTTCTGCTCATCCTGGCGGTCCCCAGGCTGCTGTGGGGCTGGGGCTCTCTCCTGCAGCATCCCTGGTGGACCCTGGGTGGGGGCAGGGTGGGGATGAGGAACAATCGCAGCTGCTTCTTAGCTGTGCCCCACCCAGCTGTGTGCTGAGCATGAGAAAGAGGTGTCTGCATGTGAGACCTGTGCATTTACCTTCCCGCACATAAAAGGGAGGGAGCACGGGCTCAAAGCCATTAGCAAACACATTGTTGGCCACAGCTAACCAGTGAAATCTGAGTGGAAGGCCCACTTAGCAAACCAGGTGCATGGTGGGCCACTCCGGGAGCTCACTCAGGCTCTGAACCCTCTGGGGAGGAGCATTCCCAGAGCTATGGGCTCTAAGTGGTCCAGTCTGCTGACCACATCCTGCTCATGGGCAAGCATCTCTGCCCGGGCTGCCTCCCATGGGACCAAGCGGCACTCTCCTACCCACTCCTTAAAGTCCAAAACCTCACTATGGGCCTTTCCAAAAGCCCATGTTGTCCCTGGACCACTGGGCATAGAGCAGATTTCCAGGTTACTTGAGGGCCTGGAATGTGGGGCAGGCAGGGGTGGAGGACAAGGGAATTGCACCACATCTAGAAGACAGAAGCCCAACATCCCAACAGACCCTTCAATGGCCAGCACTCTCTCTGTGCCCAGTACGGCACCGTGGAAAGTCTTTGCTGTCCAGTGCTTGGTGTCTGAGCACTGGCCCAGGTGGGGGCAGCCTGAGGATGCAAGGGCCTGAGCTGTCTTCCAGAATGGGGAGTATCTTAGCCGCTGACATCCTCTTCACACCCCAGAAGGCTGATCCTGGGCAGCACTGGGGCCTGGGGGAACCTCCTACCTTCTCCCCAACCATGGTGTCCCTGCTCAGATCGGGATGCCGGGCCCGGCCCCAGCAAGGAGGGCACACACAGTCACTGGGGGGCACAGGCCTGGACCCACCAGGCATGAAGCCTGTCCTAGACCTCCAGGGATTAGAGCAGGCTGGCGCTGGCGAATGCAACGGCAGACAGACCCCCGTGGGGAGCAGCACCCCAGGGTGGCCCCGCATGCTTGGGAGTTCACACAGCAAAGCGGGAAGTCTGTGGCTTTCTCAGTGGCTTGGGGCACCCTGGCTGGCCTTGTGGGGGAGTGTCTTCCTATCTTGCTCCCTACACCAAAATACATTCATGAGAGTAAAGACATATCAAAAAAAAAAAAAAAAAGCAAAATAACCATGTAACCTTACTAGAATATGAGCTTTTTTTTGGTAATGATCTTAAAGTACAGCGGTCTTAAAACCAAGAACCAATAAAAAGAAAGATGGAAAAATATCCTGTCATAAAAATTAAAACTTCTTACATGACAGACAAAGCCAAAAGCCAATAGCAAACTAAGAATAACGCACTTTCAACATATGACAAAATGTTAATTTCCTTAATATTTAAATCCTCTCACAAACACATTTGCAAAGGACCAAGAACCCAGTAGAAACCACAGGCAAAGCGCATGCGTGAAGACTTAGCAGGAAAAGGAATGCAAAGGGCGATTCGATGCCAGGAGAAAAAAATAATTATTATGACAGAAATATAAATTTGCAATACTATGTGGTGGTTAAACATGCTCATAAAATGTTATGGGAAATGTTGATTTGAGTCTTTAGAATATGATTCAATAATATCTATTAGCAATAAAAATGAATATAACTTTTGTTTGACCACTTTTTTTTTTTTTTTTGAGACAGGGTCTCCCTCTATTGCCCAGGCTGGAGTACAGTGGCACGATCACAGCTCACTGCAGCCTTGACCTCCCAGGCTCAGGGGATCCTCCTACCTCAGCCTCCTGAGTAGCTGGGACTACAGGTGTGCACCACCACTGCCTGGCTAAATTTTGTATTTTTAGTAGAGATCGTGTTTTGCCACATTACCAAGGCTGGTCTTGAACTCTTGAGCTCAAGCAACTTGCCCGCTTCAGCCTCCCAAAAAGTGCTGGGATTACAGGCATGAGCCACCACACCCCCACCTGTTTGGCCACTTTTAATCCTACACTTGTACCTGTGTACAAAGACATGAGGTTCTGTATCGCAGTGTATTTTGGTTGCAAAACATTAGAAACGACGTATATGGAGGAAACCAGGCAGCCACCACTGCCCGCCAGATGCAGTTTGTGAAATCCCAAGGGCAGAGCTGGGACAGCCTGACCCCCGCCTCACTCCTCCCCTCATTTGGGAGGAGGTGCACCCAGGAGCACCACCTGCCCTCCTTCCTGGGGCCACTCATTCCCCATGCTGATTGAAGGAGTTGTCACACCAGAAGTGTGGGTGCCTGAGGCACCGTGGTGAGGAGTCCAGGTGGTCTGGGGTCGAGGCCAAGGCCTGGGAGTAGCTGAGGGCATGGGTGAAGTGCATTTTGAAGGCAGGGAGGAGGCTGACTGGAGTCTGGGGAGAGGCACACAGCCCAGTGGCAATGAGGCTGCTTAGTCTATGGAACCACACGTCCGTCTGGGGGCACCATGGTGGCAAAACACAGCAAAGGGACTCGGAAGTGTGGGTGGCAAAGTGCAGGGGCCTGAGGAGCGCCCACCTTCGCAAGGGGAGATGCCCAGTGCGGATCTGCCGAGGAACACAAGTGGCCCCCAGCCAGCCAGAGCGGAGCCGTGCGCCTCAATTCTCTCCACATAATGTGCCTTCCTGCATTTCCACAGCTACAGACTCCATGCTGAGCTCTGAGAAATCAATTTCAATGGCAGCTTGACTAAGTACAGGACGTTTTCCTTTCATCTCCTCTCTCATACCGCCAAATATGCCTGATGGACAATTAAAGGACCTGTGTTCCTCTGCTGTTTGGAGAGCCGAGAGTGCCTGAAAAGAAGGCACTTAGGGAAATGACAGGGTAAGAAACCAGACTGACCCACAACATGCAAGATGCCTGCATCTTCCACAGTGGCTCCTGCCTGGTGGGAGGGACCCTGATGGAGAACTCAGTCTGCGCGAAGAATAAATGCCCCGTGTTGCAGCAAATGGGGATGGATTGCTCTGCACCTGCTGAGAGAATCGAGCTGTTCAGTCAATACCCTCTCTGTGTGACAAAACACAGTAGATTACAGAAACCAACCACTGCTCCCCCGAATGTGGATGCCGGCCTTAGAGAATGGATCCTGGAGGGACCCCTCTGAAAGCCAGTCCAGCAAGACAGCTTGCAGAGGGGAAATCTGGCCATCTCTGTCCCCGCTCAACCCAGCAAGGGTCTGGGCAGATCCACGGGGAGTTTTGTGCTAACTCAATTCCCATTTCCAGGAATAAAATCAGTCCTGTCCAAAAACCTCCCCTCCACATCTTATCTAGAAACAGATGGGCTGGGAAAAAATGCTCCCTGGAGCACCTCAGCCTGCCCCAGTCCTTGGCCGGCCTGGCCACGCGTCCCCACACTGCTCACCATTGCTACCCACCCCTGCTTTCATTTCTGATTGGTGTGCAAACGTGAGAGAATTCTGTTACCAGAAACCGAGGAGACCCCTGGGCCTCAGCAGCCACAGGCTGTTGGTGATGCAGGTGTGATCTTCTATGGGGGTGGATCCCCGTCTCTATGGAGCATCCTTCCTCCTGCAAGATTTGCTTCCAAAGAGTCAAAGTCATGGAGCTCCAATCCCTGAAACAGAGGCAGCCCCTTCCTTTCATTCCAAGACAGGAGGGACAGGAATTGGGTCCCAGATACGGAGTTTGACTGCTACCTTGGAAATAAAGAGCAAGATAAGATCTGCAGACCAGTGTGGAAGAGAGACCGCTTTCCTTGAGGACACTGCGTGGCAGGATGGATTTAATATGGGGAGGCAGGGGGCAGAATGGACAGAAGGCCACTCTGGTGATTCAGGAGACGGTGACAGGGACTGTTGCTTGAGCCTTGTTCGTCAGAACGAAGCGAATGAGGGCCAAATGTGCCCACGCCCCTGGTCTTGTAGGAGCCGCCTTAGAGGAAGTCTGACAGGCCTGCCCAGCTCCCGCCTGCTGACTTATGTTTGTTGTTGGGTGAGCATCGGGCGGTGCCCATCCAGACACAGGCATTGGGCCTGGCGCAGAGTGAGGCAGGGCGGGTTCGGACCCCCCACTGTGCCGATGCCTCGACGTCCAGCAGGCACTGAATGGGCGGCCCTCCTGGCTCCCCTGCTCTCTCATCTGATTCGAAGCAGCATTTTAGAGCTGGAAAGAACCTCCAAATATTTTTGGCCAGATGACCCCTCCAGGTGCCCCTGCTCTGCCTTCACAGTGACCCTGGGCCATTGGCCCTGTGCCTGTCACCTTCTGTCCCAAATTCAAGGCAGGCTTGGACTCACAAGGGCTCCCTGGCACTCCCGCGCAATGCTGGGCCTGTCGTGCTGAGTCCTGGATATGTGGGATCATCAGGCCTCCCGGGGACCAGACCTCGGGACGACAAAGAGAAAAGCAGCGTGGTGAGCTGGGCGGTGGTGGGAAGAAAACCAGCTCAAGGCACGCATGGGTGCCTTCATCTGCATCAGGATTTCAGACTTCAGATCTCAGGGCACATGTTTCGTCTCTTTCGGTTACAACAGGCCTGAGAGTGTTTGTGGCTGCAAGGAGGCTGAGAATGAGGGTTGAGAGGAAGGGACAGGAAATGACATCAGAGGCTTTGAGGAGGGAGACTCTCGATGAGTTAACCCCTGTAAAGCCCTAGGAAAAGGGCCGGCACACAACAACCCCCGTGTGAGCATGCCTCTCCATCATCCCCATGGTTATTACTATTAATTGAAGAATAGAATTTTTGAGTAGTGCCTAGTGCAATGCTGCAGACCAAAGAGGTGTTTTAAAACAGAACTATTTGGACAATCCATTCTGAGCTCTTTAAAGCAGAAGAGAGGATGGTTGCCTCTTCATGAATAATTATTAAGGTTCACTCATTCATTAGATGCCATGGCAGTTGGTCTTTTCCAGACCTGCCATCGTGAGAGATTCCATCCCCCATGCATGTTCTTCCTACAATGTGAGGGCAGCCCTCCTCCTATCTTGTGGGGGGGCCCGTGTCCCCACTCCTGGATCCCAGGCAGGCTTTGTGCCGCCTCACCCAATAGGGTACAGAAGATGCGATGTGATGTGACTTCCAAGGCCAGCTCACAAAAAAGCCATGTGTGTCTTTCTACCTTGTTCTCCTGAACTTCCCTGGGTACCCAGCAGTTGTGCTGGGGGAAGCCAGGCAGCCACATGGAGAAGCTACGTGAAGGTCTTATGCCAGCACCCCCAGTGGCGGTGCCAGGTGCCAGCCAGCATCAGCAGCCGAGGGTAGGATGAGGCTTCAGGTGAGCCCAGCACCTGCCATTGGGCCCTCTCCACCTTCAAGCCACCCCAGCTGATGCTTTATGGAGCAGAAATAAACTGCCCCTTCTGAGCTCTACTACAACTGCAGATTGGTGATTAAAATAAACGATTATTGTTGTTTGAGGACCGGGTGTGGATTGACTTGTTATGCATTACAGGTATGGAATCGCTTACAGGGCCTGGAGGAGGTATCGCCAGATCCAAAACCGAACACATGTGACTTGCCCTGAGGCCGGCTGCTGAGAGGAAGCAAAGTGCGGCGGGACCTGAGAGTGTCTGTGGACAACCAAGGGGACTCCAGGAGGCTGAGAGCGAGGGCTGAGAGGAAGGGGAGGGAAATGTTAACAGCGGCTTGGAGGCACGAGACCCTTGTCATGTCCTGGCAAAAAGCCTGGTACCAACGTGGCTTCAAGGAAAATTAGAAATCACCTTAATAAACTCAATAAGCTACCTACGAAGTTTCAAGACAGAATATTCAAAACACCACCTGGCTGCTTCTGGAGGCCAAGGATAAAATGCCAGAGTAGCAAGACATGTTAAAGGCTGGCCTGGTAAATGGGAGAGGACCAGGGTTGGCTACATTTGAAAATAAAACTGCTTCTCCTTGCCTGCCCCCTCCAGCTGGTAAACAATAAATGGCTTCCAGGGTTCCATTTCCAAGATACACAAAGAAACTCCCAAAAAAACCATTCTCTCACAAGAAGTAACTAAATGCTAAGTGAAATGCAAAATCACAACCGCCTGAAGGCTGTGGGGAATAAACACACACAGGCAGGTACTAGACGGGAATAGGAGTGTGCAGGTGGTGAGTGTTGATGTGGTGTGGGTCTAAACACACACAGGCAGGTACTGGACGGGAACACGAGTGTGCAGGTGGTGACTGTTGATGTGGTGTGGGTCTGTGTCCTCACCCAAATCTCATGTTCAGCTGCAATCCCCAGTGCTGGAGGTAGGGCCTGGCGGGAGGTGATTGGATCGTGAGGGTGGGGTTCTCATGAATGGCTTAGCACCCTCCCCACTTGATACCACATGGTGAGTGAGTTCTCATGAGATCTGGCTGTTTAAAAGTGTGTGGCACCTCCCCCAGCAATCTCTCTTGCTCCTGCTCCAGCCATGGAAGACGTGCCTCCTTCTTTGCCTTCTGCCATGATTATAAGTTTCCTGAGGCCTCCCAAGAAGCCACGCAGATGCCAGCACCATGCTTCCTGTACAGGCTGCAGAACCACGAGCCAATTAAACCACTTTTCTTCATAAATTCTCCAGTCTTGGCCGGGTGCAGTGGCTCACGCCTGTCATCCCAGCACTTTGGGAGGCCGAGGCAGGCGGATCACGAGGTCAGGAGATCAAGACCATCCTGACTAACACAGTGAAACCCCATCTCTACCAAAAATACAAAAAAATTAGCCGGGTGTGGTGGTGGGTGCCTGTAGTCACAGCTACTCAGGAGGCTGAGGCAGGAGAATGGCGTGAACCCCGGAGGTGGAGCTTGCAGTGAGCCGAGATCACGCCACTGCACTCCAGCCTGGGCGACAGAGAGAGACTCCGTCTCAAAATAAATAAATAAATAAAAATAAAATAAATTCTCCAGTCTCAGGTCATTCTTTATAGCAGCACAAGAATGGTATCATATAAGTGTGGGGCGACTTCCGTGTTTCTCCAGCTTGTCCAGAGGGCTCATGGTCATGGAGCAGCACCAGGCTGCTAGGTCTGTGGTGGGAAAATCTGCCGTCCTTCTGGCTGGAGGAAGCACAGAAAGAAGCCCCAACCCAGCAGGCTGGTGGAGAGTGAGCAGAAACCCAGAAAAAGAGGAAGCCAAGAAGGGAAATGGAAAACCCCCATTCTGTATACAAACTCTGCCCAGGACTCCAGCTGGACCCTGCAGCGTGCATGTGAAACAGACGAGAAGCAGCTTGAAGTGGGATTTGGGGTCCCACTGTGACAGTTAATTTTATGCCTCATTTTGACTAGCTTATGGTGTACCCAGGTCTTTGGCTAAACATGATTTCTGGATGCGCCTGTGGGGGGCGTTTCTGGAAGAGATCAAGCTGGAGAAACATAAAGCTTGCCCCACGCTTGTATGAAGCCATTCTCACACTGTGATAATAAGTGAACTCAGTAAAGCCAACAGCAATCCCCATGCCAGTGGGCATCATCCAACCCTTCAAGGGTCTAAGGATAACAGGGGAGGGGGAAGGAGAACGCCCTCTCTCTGTCTGAATGCTGGAGCTGAGACATCGGTTTCCTCTGCCCCTCGGCCTGGGGTTTATACCATGGGTTCTCTGGGGTCTCCAGCTTGCAGGTGACAGATCCACGGAGCCTCTCAGGCTCCACAGCCACATGAAACAATCCTCATACTGAATCTCTTTCTCTCTGCAGACCCCATCGGTTCTGTTTCTCTGGAGAACCCTGACTCATACACCTGTCAACTACTGGCATGACAGTGTTTGCAGTTTTGCTCTAACCAAGTAAATTGGCTATTAAAACAAAAACATCAACCCTCTTTGGAGCAATATAACAGAATCCAGAATCTCACAACATAGCAGTAATAGTCTTCAAAATTATTCAATATTTGAATGTGGAAGTCAGGAAGATGTGACTCATTTACGAGGAAAAATACTCCACGATGAACCTCAGGATGAACCGAATGTTGGAATTACTAGACAAGAACAGCTATTTTTAACTATGCTCAGTGTGGAAAAGGAAAATATTCTCATAGCAAATGGGAAGAAAAAAATTGTAGCAGAGATACAGAATGTGTAAAAAGTATCCAACGGAAATGTTAGAACTCAAAAATAAAGCAGAAGAAAAAAAATTTGCCTGATAGAGTCAGTAGCAGATTGGGGGTGATAGAGGGTACACTTGAATATAGAACTATCGTCATCATCTAATCCAAAGAAGAGAGAGAGAGAGAGAAGACACTATAAGGATGAATCACACCTCAGAAACTTATTTTAGGAAAATCTCACAAGCAAGTATTGGAATCTCAAAAGGAGAGGAGAGAGCATGGGAAAGAAAAAAATGGAAGAAAGAATGTCCTCAAACTCATGAAATTGGGCGAAAGGTATAAATTTATGATTCAAGAAGCACAAGGAACTGCAATCAGGATACATTTGCAGAAGCTCACATCCAGGCACAGCAGCAAATGGCTAATACCCAAAGATAAAGAAGAAACGTTGAAAGTAGGAAGAGGAAAAGGACAAGAGAACAACCACAGCTTCAGCCTTCTCATCCGAAATCATGGAGGTTAAGAAGAGAGCCTTCTCAACCCAGAACTCCATATCCAATTAAATATTCTTCAACAACGAAGAGTAAAGGCATTTCCAGTTGGAGGAAAACTATAATAGCCTTTTCTCAGGAGACCTTCCCTACAAGAAATGCTGAAGAAATTTCCTCAGCAGAAAGAAAACACCACCAGGTGGAAATCTGGGTGTTCAGAAACAAAAGAGCATCGGGAATAGGAAACAGAGAAGTAAATAGAAAAAAGACTATGTCTCCCTTCATTTTGTTAAAGCACATAGGACTGGTTAAAACAAAAAGTGTACTGGGTCTTATGGGGTTTATAATGTTTATGAAATTATTCATTTGATTACTATCACATAAGGATAAGGGTGTGGAAGGCTCTATAGGATTGCTAAGTGGTACAATATTAGCCAGATTGAAAAATACGGGAATGTCTATGTATTAGTCCATTTTCACACTGCTGATAAAGACATACCCGAGACTGGGCAATTTGCAAAAGAAAGAGGCTTAATGATTTATAGTTTCACATGACTGAGGAGGCCTCACAATCATGGCAGAAAGAGGCTTAATGACTTATAGCTTCATATGACTGAGGAGGCCTCACAATCATGGCAGAAAGAGGCTTAATGACTTATAGTTTCACATGACTGAGGAGGCCTCACAATCATGGCAGGAGGCAAGGAGGAGCAAATCGCATCTTACAGAGATGGTACAGGCAAAAAAAAGAGAAGAGCTTGTGCAGGAAAACTCCCCCTTATAAAAACCATCAGATCTCATGAAACTTACTCACTCTCCCGAAAACAGCATGGGAAAGACCTGCCCCCATGATTCAATTTCCACCCACCAGGTCCCTCCCACAATACATGGGAATTCAAGATGAGATTTGGGTGGGGACACAGCCAAATCATATCAGTATATCATAATCCTTAGCATAACCACTAAAAGAATAATGCAAAAATGTATCACTAAAAGTCAATAGGTAAAGTATGTTGGAATTCTAAAAATTAATGAAATAATCCAAAAGAAGGTAGGA
Organism: Homo sapiens; assembly: GCF_000001405.40. Lineage (NCBI taxonomy): Eukaryota > Metazoa > Chordata > Mammalia > Primates > Hominidae > Homo > Homo sapiens. The sequence continues at coordinate 135,055,827 of NC_000009.12, forward strand.
AAGAGGGCTGGGTGCAGTGGCTCATGCCTGTAATCCCTGCACTTTGGGAGGCTGAGGCGGGCAGATCACGAGGTCAGGAGATCGAGACCATCCTGGCTAACAAGGTGAAACCCCATCTCTACTAAAAATACAAAAAAATTAGCTGGGCATGGTGGCAGGCACCTGTAGTCCCAGCTACTCTGGAGGCTGAGGCAGGAGAATGGCGTGAACTCAGGAGGTGGAGCTTGCAGTGAGCCGAGATCGTGCCACTGCACTCCAGCCTGGGCGACAGAGCGAGACTCCATCTCAAAAAAAAAAAGAAGGTAGGAAAGTAGGAGAAGAACCAAAAAAAAAAAAAAGAGAGAAAAAACAAAACAAGTAAAAAGACAGTAATCCAGATGATTTCTTTAAAAAATAAAAAAGCAAGGCCTAACTATGTACTCTCTATAAGAGAAGCACTTTAAATATAAAGACAATGATTGAAAGTAAATGGATGAAAAACCATAAACCTTGCAAACAGTCAGACCAAGAAGTTAAAGCAGCTTTATTAATGTCAGGTAAAATAGACAAAGAATGTTGTCAAAGATAAAGACAGAAATTTCATAAAGACCAAAGGGTTAATTTATTGGAAGACAAAATAATTGCAAATGTGTGTACACCTAATAACAGAGCTTCAAAATACATGAAACAAACATTACAAAACTAAAGGAAGAAAGATAATTCCATGATCATAGTAAGAGACGTTGACACCCTTCTCCAGCAACTGATAAAAGAACGGGAGAAAAAAAGTCAATAAAACACTGAAAAAAAAATTATATGAAAATGGTAATGACTTAGAATAGCCAAATTACATCAATCATATCAATTGTATTGATATGATTGATATGTGCTGAGCAGTACACCCAACAACCAAAAGACAGACTTTTTTTTTAAGTACACGTGGTCAGCTCAGCAAGATGAGTCATTTCTAAGCCATAAAATAAATATAATACATTTTAAAGACCTGAAGTCATACAGAGCATGTTCTCTAACTGCAATGGAATTAAATTAGATATCAGTGACAATAAGGTATCTGGGAAACTCCTATACATATGGGTGTCAACAACATACTTCTAGATAATTCATGGTCAAAGAAGAAATCACAGTGGAAATTAGAAAATAGTTCAAAAAATGATCATGAAAGTGTGACATATGAATTTATGGGATTCAGTTAAAGCAGTGCGTAGAAGGAAACTTATAGCTTTAAAATGTTTTTATCTGAAATGAATAAAGGTTTAAAATCAAAATCTAAAGTTCTCCCTCAAGAACTAAAAGAAGAGCAAAATCAGTCTAGGTATGTAGAAGGAAGAAAATAATAACAATATGTAAAGAAATCAAAGAAATGGGAAATCAATCAAAAATAGAGAAAACTAACAAAGCTAAAAATGTATTCTTTGACAAGATTAAACAAATGACAAAACCCTAAACTTACCCAGAAAAAAATGAGGAAGAACAAAAATGTCAATATCAGGAATAAAAGAATGAATGTGATTTCAGATCTTATAGATGTTAAAAAGATGAGGAATTATTATGAATAACAATTTGCAAACAAATTCATTGACATTAAAAATATAAGAGAATATCATGAACACCTTTATGCCAACAAATGTGACAACTTTGTTAAAAGGAGGAAAAGCCTTGAAAAATGCAACCTACCAAAATTTACATTATGTGAAAGAGAAAATCTGAATATCTATATAGCTATTTTAAAAATGTTTTTTTAAAAAATAAAAACAAATTTCGCCAAGAAAATTTCAGGCCTGGATGGTTTCACTTGTGAATTCCGAGCACATTTCAAGAAGAAATAACACCGAATATACACAAACCCTTTCAGAAAGAAGAGGAGAAGGGAAAATGGCTCAACTTGTCTTATGAGGCCGGTGTAATCCTGATACCAAAACAAAGACATCACAAGAAAAAAAGAAAAAAGCTATAAACCAATACTCCTCACAAACATAGACACAACAATCCTTAACAAAATAGCAACTCAGGAAATCTAGCAACATATACAAATAATAGTACATTATGAACAAGTAAATTTTATCTCAAAATGCAAGGTTGGTTTAACATTTGAAACTCAATCAGTGTCATTCACCATATTAACAGAATAAAGGAAGGCAGAAAACCATATAATCATTTTAATAGATACAGAAAAACATCAGATAAAAATTCCATATCCAATCATAAACTCCCAGAGAAATAAGAATAAGGGTAGGATAAAGGGTAGCTTTATAAAGCATACCCCTTATAAAGAATAAAGGGTAGCTATGTAAAATCCATAGCTAATTATCACACTTAATCTTCCCTATAAGATTGGTAACAAGAGTTCTTGCTCTCGCCACTTCTATTCAAACATTTACTTGAAATTCTAGTCATTGCAAAAGGAAGATGAAGAAATAAAAGCATTCAGATTTGATAAGAAATAAAGCAGTTCCTATCTGTGGGTAAAATAATTGCTTGTGTAAAAAATGCTAAGAAGTCTGTAAAACAATTACTGGAATTAATAAGTGCATGTAGCAAAATTGAAAGATACAAGATACAGAAATCAGTCACAGTTTATATACTAATATCAAACAATTAGAAAGTGAAATTTTAAAAATTACTCTTACAATAGCACCACAAGCCACAGAAGGAATGAATTTAACAAAAAAGTGTAACTCCTCCTCACTGAAAACCATGAAATGCTGCTGAGAGAAATTTACGTAAGTAAATGGAAGACAGACCCTATTTATGTATCCGGCATTGTCAAAAGGTCAGTCCTCTCTAAACTGATCTATAGATTCAGTGCAACCCAGGAGGCATTTTACTGGAATGGAGAAATTGACAGGCTGATTAAAAAAATGTATACAAAAATGGTAATGACTTAGAATAGCCAAAGCAATTTTTAAAAAGAACAAAGTTGAAGGGAAGGCGGGGTAATCAAAGGTTGGTTAAGGGATGTAAATGGCCAGCTAGGGAGGAGGAATGAGTTCAGGGCTCTATTGCACCTAGGATGACTGTAATTAATTAACAACAATTTAATAAATAGCTAGGAGAGTGGATTTCAAATGTTCCCAACACACAGAAATGATAAATGTTTGCAGCAATGGCTATGCTAATCACCCTGAAATCAAATGATCATTACATACTGTATACATGTATTAAAATCTCACACTGTGCCCCATAAGTATGGGCAATTATTCTATGTCGATTAAAAATAATTATAAAAGCAATAAATAAATACAGATTCCCAGGCCCAGATCCATCCACTGGATTTGAATTGTCAGCAAAGGAACCTGGGGTCTACATTTTAATGATACCTCTGTCATTCCTATCATCAAGCAAGCGGCAGAAACCCTTAGACTAATTCTACTTGGATCAAATGGGAAATGTGTTTAGTGCCGAATATAAATAATTGTGTAATTGTGAGCTTTCCAAGTATAGTTCTACTTAAATCACATCATCAAATGGAGACATTCTATGTTTCATGTACGTAAAGCACAAAACAAGCAAAACTAAGGTTTAAAATCCAGAGTAGTGAGCACTGGGGCTTAGGGACTGGAAAGGAGCAGGAGGGGCTTTCTCGGGGACTGGGAACGTTCTGTTTATTTAACTTGTGCTGGATTCATGGATGTGTTTGGTTTGCAAAAATTCATCAAGTTATAGGTATATAAACAAAGTGTATGATATATAAACCCACATATATATGCCATGTGTACGATACACATATACATCAGTAAAAGCAGTTTTCAGAAAGATTTAAAGGTGTAGGCTAACCTAAAAAGATGTAAAGGTAAAGGTTCATTGAAAAATAAGCTTAAATATAAATGCTAAGAGTAGCTCCACTAGATCAGCATTTTTATTAATATGAAGGATACACAGCCCAAATATAAGTGGACTTCAGATTATGTGCTTCACCCCTGAAAAAGCACAAAAACAAAGTGGAGGGCTCAAACTCATCTGATTTTAAGATTTATTGTAAATGTATAATAACCAAGACAGTGAGGATTTTGCAAAAGGATACATATATAAAGCAGTGATCTCTAACAGAGAGTGCAGAAATATTTCACACATATGTGAAATTCATGATTAACCAAAGTGCAGTGGCAATTCATGGGGAAAGAAGAATTTTTTTGACAAATGCTGCTGGAATTATGGGGTAAACCTATGAAGAGAAAATGAAAATTGACCCTCACCTCACACCACATACAAAAGCAAAACTCGAATCATAGGGCAAAGTGCAAAAGCTAATACTAAACTTCCAGAAGAAAACAGGAGAAAATCTTTGTAACTGTGGGGCACAGATTTCTTAGGTTGGTTGCAAAAAACACAAACCACAAAATATAAATTGAAAAAGTTAACTTTATCAAAATCGAAAACTTGAAAGCCACCGCTAAGAAAACAAACCAAAAAGGAGCAAGGCACAGAGTGGAAGAGAGTATTGAAAATACATCTATCTGACAAAAGACTTATACCCAGAATATAGGAAGAACTTTTACAATTCATGGAGAAGACAAAAATATCTATTAGAAAATGGGCAAAACAGCTGGGCACAGCTCAAGACAATATGCACAGGGCCAATAAGCACACAAGAAGATGCCCAGTATCTTTGGTCATCTGGGGCAAGGGTGGACCGGGAGACTGCGAAGGGACTGCTGAGGCCATCCAGGCTGGGGCACACAGTGGCTCTGGCCACCCCAACTGAAGCCTGGGTGTCCTCCTGGGGCCACTCTCAGAGAGAGTCCCAGAGAGGAAAAGAACTTGCAGAGGAAATGAACCTCAATGACATCATTGGCTCAGGGGCTCCACTAAGTGCAGCTCAGGCACAGGATGAGGCTGGCCCAGGAATGAGGAGCTCGGACAGGAGGAGGACTCTGCACCTGGGGTTTCAGTGCCATCTGCCTGGTTTGTTGCCTCCCCCTCCCTCTCTCCCAATGCCCACTTGTCTCCCAGGATGCAGAGTACCCATCCCAGAGTCCCATGGTCCTGCCAAAGGGGATATGCCCCCCAGCAAAGATAAGCAGACAGACCCAGCCAAGAGGGCTGTTTCAACAGCTCAGAGACCAGGACGCCCATGGGGTTCCCATATGGGCCAGAGCCAACCAACCACTCTCTGGATTTCAGATCCCCTTCCCTTTCCCTGCTGGTCCAGCACCTGGCATGGAGCATCCACCCCATAGGGTGAGGAGGGAGAAGATTCCTGCTGCAAACGGCTCAGTGCAGGGCCTGGTACAAGTTAATTGTTCAGCAACTGGCAGCTCTCTCACGATCTGTTTATGTCCCTGATGGCTCTTGGCTACAAAGGTGGAATTCAGAAGCCAGTCTCCAGCCCTGGGAGTGGGAATGACAAGATCAAAGCTGAACCTAATCCTCGAAAGACAACCTGGTATAGCGGAAAAACGCTGGTACAGGAAGATACAGATGCAAATGGTACTTGGTGGATAAATATTCCCAGATCCGGCAGGGCTCTCTGATCCTTCACCTTAAGGAAATCTGTGTGTCCAGTTTGTTTATTAATATTTTAGTTGTGCAAAGCACATGAAGTCTCAGCACTAACCTAGCAGCCCTGCAATGCTGTGGGGGAGAGGATGGGGCTGGGGCTGCAACCCCAGAAACAAAGGACCAGAGACCTCCACCACCACAGCCTGAGCCTTCCTGCCCCTCCAGCTCTTCTCCTGAATCTGTGCCCTGCGAGTGAATTCAGAAGCAAATGGGATACTGGTGCGAGTACAAGCTGAACCATCATTCTTGAAACCGGAGCCCACAGAGGGCCTCCCGCTAGCCTTTCCACCGGGGGTGGGCGCTTCACGAGCCCCAGAAGCACTTCATGTTCAGTCTCAGCCCCTGCATCTCCACGCAGCAGCCACTCAAGTCTTCGCGGAGCCTCTTCATCTTAAACACAGATTTAGAAGAGGACGTCGTGGAGGTCAAGCAATTGCCTGCTTCATTTCCATGCATTGGCATCACCAAGAAGGCCCCCAGAGACTTTTCCTAAGTAGCAGGCTTGGTACAGAATTATCAGATATTCTCCATTTTTGTTGTTGTTGTTGTTAAATCCGCTGGGTCGCTGCTAACAAAATGCTAGCCGGAAAGACCGTTGAAATTGATGTGTCTCATTTCCTTTTGCCTTTTCTCTTAAACCAATGACCTTCACTAGTGCATTTAATAGCCTTTAGGTTTTTTTTTAGCTTTGTTCTCAAATTGCACCCTGGAACCAAGCAGGTGAAACTTCAGACCTCTCTGAGCGGCTATCTCTGCAGATGGATATTTGGGGCTGAGGGAGACCCCAGAGGAGGAGAGGGCAGCTGTAACGAGGGAGCTGGGGGCAGATCCCAGCTCTGAATCCCAAGGATCCTGGGTTTGAGGCAGCCTCAGCCACTCCTGGCCCAGTAACCTAGAGCCAGCAATTCTCCTCCATCTCTGCCTCAGTTTCTTCAACTGTAAAATGAAGCAAGAGCAGTGCACTCTCCATAAAGCAAGGAAGGGGAAAATTCCTGCTGCAAAGAGCTCAGCTTAGGGCCCAGCACAAGTTAATTGTTCAGCAAGCAGTGGCTCTGTCACCATCTGTTTATGTCCCGGATGGCTCTTGGCTACAAGGGTGGAATTCAGAAGCAGGTCTCCAGCCCTGGGAGCAGAGGGTTACAAGATCAAAGCTGAGCCTGACTCTCGTGAGGTGATGTGGGATCGGGGAAGAAGAGGAGCTCTAGAAACCAGCAGAACTGCGGCTCTGCCACATCCCAGCGCATGGACCTTAGCATATCTGAGACCCAATTCCCTCACTTTAAGGAGGAAGCAGGGTGGCATGAATATAGATGAAGCCAGAATGCACTTCATGCATGCACAGGGAAACACACACACACACCCTGGCACCATAGTCCACGTTCAGTTTTAGTAAAGGCACATTTCCTCCCCTCTCCCTCTCCCAGAAGGAAACTTGAGTACCAGGCAGGCTACCAGGATAGAAATCCCACCACAGAAACCCACTGTATTAGTCTGTTTTCATACTGCTAATAAAGACATACTTGAGATTGGGTAATTTATACAGGAAAAAGGTTTAATGGACTTATAGTTCCATGTGGCTGACAAGGCCTCATAATCATGGCAGAAGGCAAAGAGGAGCAAGTCACATCTTACATGGATGGCAGCAGGCAAAGAGAGAGCTTATGCTGGGAAACTCTCCCTTATAAAACCATCAGATCTTGTGAGATTTATTCACTATCACAAGAACAGCATGAGAAAGACCTGCCCCCATGATTCAGCTACCTCCCACTGGGTCCCTCCCACAACATGTGGGAATTCAAGGTGAGATTTGGGTGGGGACACAGCCAAACCATATCATTCCACCTCTAGCCCCTCCCAAATTTCATGTCCTCACATTTCAAAATGAATTATGCCTTCCCAACAGTCCCCTAAAGTCTTAACTCATTTCAGCATTAACTCAAAAGACCACAGTCCAAAGTCTTATCTGAGACAAGTCAAGTCCCTTCTGCCTATGAGCTTGTAAGATCAAAAGCAAGTTAGTTACTTCCTAGATACAATGGGGGTATAGGCATTGCCTAAATACAGCCCTTCCAAATGGGAAAAATTAGCCCACACAAAGGGGCTACAGGCCCCATGCAAGTCAAAAAACCATCAGGGGAGTCAAATCTTAAAGCTTCAAAATGATCTCCTTTGACTCCATATCTCACATCCAGGTCACACTGATGCATGAGGTAGGTCCCCCTGGTCTTGGGCAGCTCTGTCCCTGTGGCTTTGCAGGGTACCACCTCCCTCCCAGCTGCTTTCACAGGCTGGCGTTAAGTGTCTGCAGGTTTTCCAGGCACACAGTGCAAACTGTCAGTAGATCTACCATTCTGGAGTCTGGAGGACGGTGGCCCTCTTCTCACAGCTCCACCAGGTGGTGGTCCAGTGGGGACTCCGTGTGGAGGCTCCAGCCCCACATTTCCCTTCTGCACTGCCCTAACAGAGGTTCTCCATGAGGGCCCCGCCCCTGCAGCAAATGGGCATCCAGGCAACAGAGGATGTTTCCATACATCTTCTGAAAACTAGGTGGAGTTTCCCAAACCTCAATTATTGGCTTCTGTACACTTGCAGGCTAACACTACATGGAAGCTGCCAAGGATTGGGGCTTGCACCCTCTAAAATCACGGCCTGAGCTCCACATTGGCCCCTTTCAGCCATGGCTGGAGTGGCTGGGATGCAGGGCACCAAGTCCCTAGGCTGCACACAGAATGGGGACCCTGGGCCTGGGCCGTGAAACCATTTTTTCCTCCTAGGCCTCTGGGCCTGCAATGGGAGGAACTGCTGTGAAGACCTCTGACATGCCCTGGAGACATTTTCCCCATCGTCTTGGGGATTAACATTCGGGTCCTTGTTGCTTGTGCAAATTTCTGCAGCCACCTTGAATTTCTCCTCAGAAAATGCAATTTTCTTTTTTTGTCACATTGTCAGGCTGCAAATCTTCCAAACTTTTATGCTCTGCTTCCCTTATAAAACTGAATGCCTTTAACAACACCCAAGTCACCTCTTCAATGTTTTGCTGCTTAGAAATTTCTTCCACCAGATATGCTAAATCATCTCTCTCAAGTTCAAAGTTCCACAAATCTCTAGGGCAGAGGCAAAATTCTGCCAGTGTCTTTGCTAAAGCATAACAAGAGTCACCTTTGCTCCAGTTCCCCACAAGTTTCTCATCTCTATCTGAGACTACCTCAGCCTGGATTTCATTGTCCATATCATTATAAGCATTTTTGTCAAAGCCATTCAACAAATCTCTAGGGAGTTCCAAACTTTCCCACATTTTCCTGTCTTCTTCTGAGCCCTCCAAACTGTTCCAACTTCTGTCTATTACCCAGTTCCAAAGTTAATTCCACATTTTCAGCTATCATTACAGTGGTGCCCCACTCTACTGGTACCAACGTACTGTATTAGTCTGTTTTTATGCTGCTAATAAAGACATACTCGAGACTGGGTAATTTATACAGGAAAAAGTTTTAATGGACTTACAGTTCCATATGGCTGGGGATGCTTCATAATCATGGCAGAAGGCAAGGACTAGCAAGTCATGTCTTACATGGATGGCAGCAGGCAAAGAGAGAGCTTATGCTGGGAAACTCCCCCTTATAAAACCGTCAGATCTCGTGAGACTTATTCACTATAATGAGAACAGTATGAGAAAGACCTGCCCCCATGATTCAGTTACCTCCCACTGGTTCCCTCCCACAACATGTGGAAATTCAGGATAAGATTTGAGTGAGGACATGGCCAAACCATATCACCCACCAAGCCCTTCACTTGAGGATCTGGGCTGGGCTCTCAGGCAAGAATCAGGAGGCACTGAGTTGGGATTCAGTCCAACAATGGCAAGTGGACGGCATGTTCTGGCTCAGGGTTGGGCAGACAGGGCCTCCCTCTGGGATTCACACTGGTTCTGAATAACAAGAACCATGCTGGGGCAATGACCTGGGGCCTGAGCCCTGCTCTTAGCCTGCTGGGCACCATGCCAGCCCAGGGCAGCCCACCAAGGCTGTCCACGTGGCATCCTTAGTGATAGTTTCTAGAGCTGCTTCCTTGGCCCCTGACCAGCCCCACATCCCTGGACCTGGGCTCTGTGGAGGACCTCTCTCTGCCCTTCGGCTCCCATCCTCCCATCCTGCTTCCCCTTGGGGAACCCCTCCAGCCTCATGGGTGCTGTCTGTCCCCACTGGTCAGTCTCCCCCTACGCTTGGGCCCTGGACAGCAGACTGCCGTGTCCAGCCTCCTTTTTGGCATCTCCACTTGGGATCTCCTCCCAGGCTCTGACACCTGCAATGCCCCACAGCGTTCCTGACCTCCCTTCCTTACCCTGCCTCTCTCTGTCTTTGTGCAACGAAAGCCCCTTACTCACCCAGAGCCCCCAAACCAAACACATAAGCTGTGTCGTTACTCATGTGACCCCTTCCAGTGGCCCCTGGAGTGAGCCCCCCTTCCCTGTAGCTCCCTGTGGATCCTCCTCATCCATTCTCCACAAAGAGGCAGGGTTTTCAAAGCACAAATCAGACACCATCACTCCCTCACTCAAAACCCCAGTGACTGCCGTTTCATGATACTGAGAGCTAACGGTCTGTTCAGGGCTGGCAAGGCCCTGCCTGCTCCCCATGCCCTCCCCCTGCACCAGTCTTGCTGACACCAACCCCCAACCTTTCCCCAAAGCCACCTACTCTCACCCTCAGGCCTCTGCATGGGGTGCTCTTCCCCAAGTCATGGGCCATCTTCCCCAAAATGTTCCCCGAGTGACTCTGGGCCCAGCATCCTATTCATTAGGCTCACACCACTCAGCTGTGGCTGACGTTTACCAAATTCTTCTATCTGCTTGCTTGTTTGTTTTCTCACTGTCCCTGCAATTGGCTGAGTAACAGCCCTCCAAGATCTCCATGTTCTCATCCCTGGAGCTGGACATGAACCTTGATGGGTCTTTATTCAGAAGAAGTGAGCTGCAGATATGGCCACATCCAGAGTCTTCCGATCCTCCTGTCCTCTCCCTGTGGGTACTAAATTCAAGCATCCTTATAAGAGGCAGGGGAAGACACATGTGGTTGGGAGGAGACACATGCACAGGGGAGATACATGCAGTTGGGGGGACACATGCAGGAAAGGAGACACATGTGTGGGGGAGACGCATGCAGTTGGGGGGACACGTGCAGGAGAGGAGGCACACGCACGGGGGGAGACACATGCAGTGGGGGAGACACATGTGGGGGGGAAGACACACGTCTGGGGGAGACACATGTTGGGGGAGACACATGTGGGGGGGAAGACACATGTCTGGGGGAGACACATGTTGGGGGAGACACATGTGGGGGGGAGACACGTGGTTGGGGGGGAGACACATGCAGCAGGGAGATACATGCAGTTGGAGGGACACATGCAGGAAAGGAGACACATGTGGGGGGGAGACACATGCCAGGGGGGAGACACATGTGGGGAGGGGAGACACATGCAGAGTGGGGGACACATGCAGGAGAGGAGGCACATGTGTGGGGGAGACACATGCATTTGGGGGGACACATGCAGGAGAGGAGGCACATGCAAGAGGGGAGACACATGCAGTGGGGGAGACACATGTGGAGGGGAAGACACATGTCTGGGGGAGACACATGTTGGGGGAGACATATGTGGGGGGGAAGACACGTGGGGAGGGGGGACACATGCGGGGAGGAAAACACATATGGGGGGAGACACATGTGAGAGGGAGACACATGCAGTTGGGGGGGACACATGCAGGAGGGGAGACACATGCCGGGGGAGACTCATGCTGGGGGGAGACACATGCACGGGGGGGAGACACATGCAGCGGGGAAGACACACGCGGCAGGGAGCGGTAGGGACACAGGCAGAGGGGAGAGACACATGCAGGGTTGGGGGAGACACATGTCGGGGGGAGACACATGCAGCGGGGAGACACATGCGGGGGGGAAGACACATGTGGGGAGGGGAGACACATGCGGGGAGGAAAACACACATTGCGGGAGACACATGTGGGGGAGAGACACGTGCAATGGGGGGGAACACATGCAGGAGGGGAGACACATGCCGGGGGAGACTCATGCTGGGGGGAGACACATGCACGGCGGGGAGACACATGCAGTGGGGAAGACACACGCGGCAGGGAGCGGTGGGGACACAGGCAGAGGGGAGAGACACATGCAGGGTTGGGGGAGACACATGCGGAGGAGCAGGGGACATGGAGATGCAGCAGAGACAGCTTGAAGGTGCTGGCCTGGAAGACTGGAGCAGCCACAGGCCTAGGAACACCCAGGGCCTCCAGAAGCTGCAGGAGGCAGGAAGGATCCTCCCCTAGAGCCTCTGGAGGGAGGACAGCCCTGCCAACACCTTCGTCTTGGACTTCTCCCCTCCAGAACTTGGAGAGAATGAATCTCCGTTGCCTTAAGCTTCTCAGGTTGGGGTATCTTCTCACCATCAGCCCTGTCTGATGTAATAACGCTCTCTCTCCCTCACTAGGGCTCTGTTTGCCTTCAGGGAGCTCTAGTGAGGGAGAGAGAGCCTTACTCCATCACACAGTCAGAAAAGCTAAGAAAACAAAGCAGAGTCCAGGGCCTGAATGAAGCCGGGGTGGGATTCACATGGCGTCAGGGACAACAGGCTCCTGGCAGGAAAGCAGGGATGTCCCCAAGCAGCCTCAGGGCAGGGCAGTGCAGCCGAACAGGACTGAGCGAGGGGAGAGAAAGGGGGTGGGATATGAGAGGTGGTGGGGACCTCATGACAGAGGACGGAGGGCTCTCAGCCCTGTGGGAAGCCTCTGCCGGGTCAGGACCTCAGGGAAGATTCTGTAAATCCACCCTGGCCGCAGGGTTAGGGAGGCGGCAGGGAGACTGGAGGATGCAGTTGAGTGGTTGATGACTGTGTGGGGCGGTGCTGGATAATTCAGGTTGGCCCGAAAGACTTGCGGGTGAGTTGGATGTGAGATTTAAAAGGAAGCGGGTTGCCCGGCATAGCTCCTGGAATTTGGGCCTGGGCAACAGGAAGGGCGGAACTGCTGTTCCCTGGACTGGGAAGGTGGGGCAGGAGCTGGCTGGGTCTGGGGTAGGCTACAAAGAGCCGTGCTGCAGACTCGCCAGGTGCACAAGCACGTTAGATACCAAGGGACACTGTCAGGTGGTGCAGTATGAGCTGGGAATTCAGAGAAGAGGCTATGCTGAGATGTAAGTGAGGGGAGCACAGCAATGGGAGTTCCTGTCCTGCGCTGGAGGAGGCACCTGGCGGGGGGCCATGGAGGACAGAGCCTTGAAACACCCAACCATTAGAAGGTGGGAAGGTGCAAGCCTGGCCAACATGGTGAAACCCCGTCTCTACTAAAAATACAAAAATTAGCTGGGTGTGGTGCATGCACCTGTAGTCCCAGCTACTTGGGAGGCTGAGGCAGGAGAATCATTTGAACCCGGGAGGCGGAGGTTGCAGTGAGCCAAGATCTCGCCACTGCATTCCAGCCTGCAGACAGATTGAGACTCCATCTAAAAAAAAAAAAAAGAAAGAAAAGAAAGTGGGAAGGCGGTGAGGCCCAGCACAGCACAGAGCCTGGGGAGGAGCAGCCAGGGAGGGACGAGGGCACGCAAGGCAGGGGCATGCACCATCCAGAGGAAGCGAGGCTTCCAGGGTAGAGGGAGGAGAGTCTGTGCCGGGTGTCGCTGGTTCCCTCCAGTCAGATGAAGGCTGGCATTGCCACCGTTGCGTTTGATGACGAGGAAGTCGCTGGTGAGCTTGCCCAGAGCTGTGTGGAGGAGCAGCCTGGAGAGATGGGATGTGGACATTCATCTCTGCAAAGGAGGACAGAGAGGTGGGGCGTGGCTGCAGGGGATGAAAGGAAAGACATTTCTTTGGTGAAGATGGGCAAAAACGGCAACATGTTTTCGACGAGAGGACAGGTGTGGGGAGACAGAGCAGGGAGGGGGCAAGCTCCCGGGCCCACGGAATGGTGGTCCTGCATGGGGGCAGAGATGATTCACCTCCTGCAAGGAGCAAGGCAGGGCCAGGCAGGAGTCTGGGTGGTGGATCTTGTGATGGGAGCTGAGAGTTGGGCTGGGCCTTCCTCGGTGCAGTGAGAATCATGTCATCTGCCGGGGGAGAGGTGTGAGGAGGAGGGCCAAGGGGCAGGGGAGAGGTGTGAGGAGGAGGGCCAAGGGGCAGGGGAGAGGTGTGAGGAGGAGGGCCAAGGGGCAGGGGAGAGGTGTGAGGAGGAGGGCCAAGGGGCAGGGGAGAGGTGTGAGGAGGAGGACGGAGGGGCAGGGGAGAGGTGGGAGGAGGAGGGCCGAGGAGCAGGGGAGAAAGAGTTAGAGCCCCTCCAAGGGAGTTGGGGCTGTGGGCAGGGGGAGGCAGAGACAGGATTTCAGGACTCCCTTGGGCTGGGAGGTCATGAATTCAAACAGGGACCAGTCCACAAGGCGGTGTGATTTCCCTGGCCCTGCTCAGCTGTCAGGGAGCAGGGAGGGGTGGACAGAGAGTTGGGTGTCGCCAGGAAGACAGGAGGATGGGCAACGCCAGGGAACTGAGAGCACAGGAGAGACTTCTGGAGGAATCACAGCTGGACAAGCAGGGAAGTGACGAGGGGGAGACCACGGAGCAGGGTTTGGTGCTGCCTGCCCCGGCTGAACACCGGCAAGTGCACGACTGACTCCCGTGAACATCAAATGTGCTCCTAGGCTGCAAGGATTTAGTGAGAGAATGGCATAAGCTCAGCGCGTGCCCAACACACAGTGGGGCTGAGAACTCCAAACCACCCAGGTGGTCCCAGAAGCAGAGCTGGCCACCCTTTCCTTGCTTGACGGCTTCCAAACAGAAGCAGCTGGTTGCCGTGCACAAGTCCAGGGAGCTGATAAGGAGGGGCAGCCTGGGTCCTCTGTGAGCCTATTCACCACCGCCCCAGGCCGGTGTCCCCAGGGGCCAGGGAGGCCATCTGGGTGCTCGCTCGGCTCAGCTGGATTTGGAGAGGGTGAAGCCGGCAGCCTGAAGGCTCAGGGCACAGGGAGCCGATCGCGTGGATTTTGGGTCCCATTTGCTAGGAAATTCGCAGAGAGGAGGGGAGAGTTAGTGCCGTTGCCTTGGCAACGCTCTGTCACATTCTAATGGGGCTCAGCAGTAGAAGGAGGCTTGTCTTAGAGGAGCACAAAGCAGATCGATTTGCTGGTGTCCTGAGGCAGCTCAGCGGGAAAGCGGCTGCTTCCTGGGTGCCTGCTGCCCAAGCTCCATCAGGAAGGCAGCAGAAGAGGGGCGGGTGGGGGTGTCCCAGGACCCACGGTACCCACCAAAGAGTGAGGCGGGCTGATGCTGGGTACCCACTTGGCCTCATCCCAAGGTAGCTCAGGATCTCAGAGCTGGGGTGGAGGAGGTGGGCAGCTGCCCCAGACCGACTGGAGCTTTGGGACCCAGGCCCCACACCCACCTCTACATGGAGCCTCTGCTCTAGGGAGCTTCCTGATTTTGCAGACAGGAACGCCATGGGATGAGGAAAAGACAAGCATCTAAATCTGTCAGCAGTGAGGTGTGTTGGTGTCACGGGCTGTGGCCTCCCTCTACCTGAACCTCAGCCAACCCCAAAGGGGTGGACACAATGAAGAACTCGGAGCAACCTCCTCGAGGGGCCCGAGTGGATGCCAGATTCCCCAAAATCCAGAACTAGAGCCAAAGAGCTAGGAGCTTGGGTTGCAGAAGCAAATATAAATATTAAAAGTACGGACAAGATACAAATAATACAAGCAGTACAGATTGAGAGGAGGGACAGGGTGGCCAGAGAAAGAGGAGCTGAATATTACCCAGGCTTTCAAAAGAGGAAGTGGGCGTTATTGTCAAAAACGGGACCACGGGATAGAGAATGTCTAATTCCAAACAGTTAACGGTCTTCATAGACTTTTCCTTCTCAATCTTAGAAGGTTCTTCTAGGAAACAATGCCTCGCATGGTGAAGATAAACGCGCTTGAAGTCAGCAGCATCTTCGGCTTGACTTTGTTCCCCTTCCTTCTTTACGTTGCAGTTCAATCTAATATTTCTGGGCTGCAAAGCCTGGGAAGGATGATGTCATCTTTTACACCAGCATTTGCCCATCCTTCCTATTTCTTTCTAGCCATTGCCACGTGCCAGGCACAGTTCTAAATATTTGGCACGGCTGTGGCTCCCTGACGCCACTCAGCTGGGCACTGAGGTGGGGCTGCCATCATCAATCCACCCCCAGGGAGATAAATGGGGCCCGGAGAGGGTGACTGGCCCAGGGCCTCAACAGCTCCCAAGAGGGGGGCTCTGGCTTGGCACCCAGGCCATTTGGTCTTAGAGGCCACCCTCTTACGTTTGCACATTTTGCATTTCCTGATCACGTGCACAGAGGAATGCCTGCAGAGCAGCCCCATGGTCAACACTGGCTATTCTGGGTAGGGGGCTTTCGTTACTTTTACATTCTTCTTTGTATTTTATCTTTTTAAAGAAATACAATAATAAGTCTGTATTTTTTTTTAAAAAAAAAACAGCTTTATTAAGATATAGTTTACAGGTGGTGGCTCATGCCTGTAATCCCAGCACTTTGGGAGGCCGAGGCGGGCGGATCACGAGGTCAGGAGATCGAGACCATCCTGGCTAACATGGCGAAACCCCGTCTCTACTAAAAATACAAAAAATTAGCTGGGCGTGGTGGCGGGCGCCTGTAGTCCCAACTACTCGGGGGGCTGAGGCTGGAGAATGGCATGAACCTGGGAGGCGGAGCTTGCAGTGAGCTGAGATCGATCCACTGCACTCCAGCCTGGGCGACAGAGCGAGACTCCGTCTCAAAAAAAAAAAAAAAAAAAAAAATATATATATATATATGTTTTACATACCATACAATTCACTCACTTAAGGTGTACAATTCAATGGTTTTGGTATATTATATTACTATATTTTTAAAACTGTGGTTACATATGCATAACATAAAATTTACCATTTTACCCATGAAGTGCACAAGTTTGTGGCACTGATGACATTCACCATATTGTGCCACCGTCACCACTGTCGACTTCCAAAACTTTGTCATTATTCCAGGCTTAAACTTGTACCCACTCACCAATCATGTCCCAACCTCCTTCCCCTTAGCCCCTGGTAACCACTAATCTACTTCCCAGCTCTGTGAATGTGACTACTCTAGGGACCCCATAAAAGCAGAATCCTGCAGTACTTGTCCGTCAGTGACCGGCTTATTTTGCTGAGGATAATGTCTTCAAGCTTCATCTGTGTTGTAGCATGTGTTGGAATTTCCCTTCTCTTCATCGCTGGTAACAGTTCATTGGATGGAGCACATCTGTCTGTTGATGCATCTGTTGATGGACACAGGGGTTGTTCCCACTTTTTTGTTTGTTTGCTTATTTGTTTTATTAAGATGGTGTCTCGTTCTGTCCCCCAGGCTGGAGTGCAATGGCGTGATCTCGGCTCACTGCAACCTCCGCCTCCCTGGTTCAAGCGATTCTCCTGCCTCAGCCTCCTGACTAGGCGGGACTACAGGTGCCCATCACCACACCTGGCTAATTTTCGTATTTTTAGTAGATACTGGGTTTCACCATGTTGGCCTGGCTGGTCTCAAAGTACTGACCTCAGGTGATCCACCCGCCTCGGCCTCCCAAAGTGCTGGGATTACAAGCGTGAGACACCACGCCCTGTCTGTTCCCACTTTTTGGCTGTTATGAATAATGCTGCCATGAACGTAGGCGTGTACATATCCGCTCCAGTCCCTGCTTTCTCTTCCCTTGGGTGTGTACTCAGAAGTGGAATTGCTGGGTCACCTGGTGTGTAACTTTAAAAATAAAAACCATCCTTGCTAAAATTGGATCTGAGGCCTCAGTCCACTCAAGGAAATCAATGCAGCCTTCCTCCCCAGCCCACAGGAACAAAACCCCAAAGACGGGGGTCGCACTCCAGCTCTATGGCCATGTCACAGGTCTCCCAGAGCCCAGACATTTATTAGCGGCCACTTGGAGCATCAATGTGAAGGCTGAAGGAGAAACTTGGGTCGAGGCCTGGGGTGCTGCGCGTGCCCCATGCACGTAGAGTTCTTAAGCATATAGAGTGTGTTTATTCCTGCACTGGATCTCCTCAGTAGCCCCGAGACCTGCAGTATATGGACCATTCATTCCCATTCGACAGATGTGGGGACTGAGGCTCAGACAGCCACTACCCGGAGATCCCTTCAGCTCCAAACACAGGGTCCACTCCGGCCCCTGGCTGCCTCTCTCAACGATCCCCAAGGGGCTTACAAACAGCTTTCCTCCATTCTAGGACAACAAAGACACTGGGGGTAGTAACATGAGGGGGGCAGAGAGAAAAGAAGCCTCCACAGCTGCACCCCCCCCCCAATTTCTTCCCAGCACCATCTCCTCACAGAGTCTTGGGGGCCACCCTGCCTCAGGGGCCGTGGCATATCACCAGGAATGCCACTGCTTAAACTCGTCTGAGGCTGGGAAGCCCACCCAGACCAACAGGCGGGCCCTCTGGCTTCCCTGGAGGGAGCTCTGTCCCCAGCACTCAGAGAACAGAGTCCCCACAGCAAAGGCCCTCAGGGTGCAACGGCCGTGTCGGAGGGCCCCTTCCCATCTTCTCTTCTTCAGCACATGTGCCCAGCTCCTGCACCCAATGCCCAGGGGATGCCTCCCAGATGCCAGCAGCATGGTGACAGGGGCAGGAGGTGGCATTGTCCTTGTTCTGGATATCCCTGGGTGACCCCGGTACGTGACTCCCCTGAACTCCAGCGGCCTCATCTGTGACACAGGGGGCCGGGCCACATCATCCTGGGCAGTGCTGCTCTCTGCAATTATTGAGTCTGGAGTCTCTTCTTGTCAGAGATTCTCTTTAGGGAGTTTATTTTCCATAGACTAAAGACTAAACAATAGAGAACAGAGAGAGGCTTCTAGATACCTACTGCAACCTTAGCTTCTCAGAAAATACAGGTGCTTGGGACTCTTCCACAAAATCAGGAATTTAAATGGAAAACGTGGGCCCCAAGACAGCTCCTTTAGTCAACGGGTCTGAGTACACATTAAAGGAGGGTGGAGGGAGAGGGGACATAGAGAGGGAGGAAAGGGGAGGAGGGCACCAGGAAGGGCGGAGCCAAGGGAGTCCTGGGGGTGGATACGCACCTGCCTGTAAGGGGCCCTGTGGTCCTGGCACGTGCCTATAAGAGGCCCTGTCATCGTGTGTTAGGTTGTGACACAGCTCTGCCCTCCCCAGGTGCCTTTTCTGAACCAGGAACCTAAGAGGAGCTCTCCCACCAGGGCCAGGGAAGGAGGGCACCAGGACGGGCAGAGCCAAGGGGGTTCTGGAAGTCCCCGGCCCTGGTGGGAGAGCTCCTCTCTTAGGTTCCTGGTTCAGAAAAGGCACCTGGGGAGGGCAGAGCTGTGTCACAACCTAACACACGATGACAGGGCCCCTTACAGGCACGTCGTATCCACCCCCAGGAGCACACAGACAGACTCTCGTCCACATGCCCTGTCTGGGGACAGGAGCCCAGCACCCAATGCTTGTTCCTGCTTCCACCCCTTTGCTGACCTCCCCACTCATCAGGGCTGCGTGCCAGGTGACCAGGGTTCTAACCCTGGCTTCCTCCCTGACCCCTCCTCCTGGAAACATCCTTCCTGACCCAGCCTCAGTTTACCTCATTGAAGGGTGAATTTTAAGGACCCATTCAGCTTTTATCTCCTGTCACTCCATAGACATCAAGACTTAACATCCCATCCCTCCCACTCCCAGCTGTCATTCCCCCCCCCCAATCTTCGGCCCACTCCCTGTCCAGGGGCCCAGGTCCCCAGCGCGGGCAACCCCTCTGTCCCCATTCCCGGGACCTGGAGCCCGCGAGGGCTCAGGCCGGCCAGGATGGAGTTCTCTATCCCAGTTCAATTTCCCCCGCCTTTTTGATGTCACATCCTGTCCCAGCCTGCTTCCCCGCCGGCCGCCGCCCTCCTCCCCGGGAGAGAGCGAGGCGCGCGGGTCCCTCTGCGCCACCCCCGCCCCCGCCCCTTCCGAGCAAACTTTTGGCACCCACCGCAGCCCAGCGCGCGTTCGTGCTCCGCAGGGCGCGCCTCTCTCCGCCAATGCCAGGCGCGCGGGGGAGCCATTAGGAGGCGAGGAGAGAGGAGGGCGCAGCTCCCGCCCAGCCCAGCCCTGCCCAGCCCTGCCCGGAGGCAGACGCGCCGGAACCGGGACGCGATAAATATGCAGAGCGGAGGCTTCGCGCAGCAGAGCCCGCGCGCCGCCCGCTCCGGGTGCTGAATCCAGGCGTGGGGACACGAGCCAGGCGCCGCCGCCGGAGCCAGCGGAGCCGGGGCCAGAGCCGGAGCGCGTCCGCGTCCACGCAGCCGCCGGCCGGCCAGCACCCAGGGCCCTGCATGCCAGGTCGTTGGAGGTGGCAGCGAGACATGCACCCGGCCCGGAAGCTCCTCAGCCTCCTCTTCCTCATCCTGATGGGCACTGAACTCACTCAAGTACGTGCATCCAACGCCATTTTCCTCCCTGCCAGGCGCCCGGCCCGGCCCCTCGGGAGCCCCACAAAGTCCGGGAACGGCTCTGGCTCCGCGCCGCCCCGCGCCCCCGGCCTGGGCGCCCGAAGTGCCGGGGTTGGGGAGGGGGCCAGGGCGCTAGGCTGGACCTGGGTGGGAGGGAGGGGTGCAGGCTGACCGGAGACGGCGCTCCTCCAGCCCCGGCTCAGCAGAGCTGACAGCTGCCCCCTTTTTCCTAGGACTCCGCTGCCCCCGACTCCCTGCTGAGAAGTTCAAAGGGCAGCACGAGGGGGTCTTTGGCTGCTATTGTCATCTGGAGGGGGAAGAGTGAGAGCCGGATAGCCAAGACCCCAGGCATTTTCAGAGGTGGCGGGACCTTAGTCCTACCCCCAACACACACCCCTGAGTGGCTCATCCTCCCTTTGGGCATAACGCTGCCCTTGGGGGCTCCAGAAACAGGCGGTGGGGATTGTGCCGCTGAGACCTGGAAGGGCAGCCAGCGTGCCGGCCAGCTGTGTGCATTGCTGGCTTAATATGCAGGGCTTGGGGGGCTGTGGCCACATGCCCGGCAGGAGGTGAGTGAGGAGCCCTGTGGCGTGCTGGTGTGGGGATCGTGGGCATTTCAAACGGGCTTGTCGTACCCTGAACAATGTATCAATAGAGAAAGGTCTCTGCTTGGTATTCTCCATTTTAAAGATGCATATTGGAGCTGGCAGGTCTTGGGGGAGGAGAAGGGCTGTCTGTGAGCGCCGAACTGGGAGGGTTGCTTTGGCACTATGGTGCTCGGAAGAGCCTGCCAGCCGAGGGAGCCGGGCTGCTTGGGAGTGACATTAAAATGCCCTTTCAATGATGCCACTGTGCCACGCTCTGAACTGGGAGACTCTGGCCCTTTGGAGTTGCAAGTCCAGGAAGTGATGGGCAGCCAGTACCTTGGCCCCAAGCCCCAGCTGCCCCTGACCCTTCTTTCCTTCCTCCCTTCCTCCATCTCCCTCAGAATAAAAGAGAAAACAAAGCAGAGAAGATGGGAGGGCCAGAGAGCGAGAGGAAGACCACAGGAGAGAAGACACTGAACGAGCTTCCCTTGTTTTGCCTGGAAGCCCACGCTGGCTCCCTGGCTCTGCCCAGGATGTGCAGTCCAAATCCCAATCCAGCAGTGGGGTTATGTCGTCCCGCTTACCCTCAGAGCCCTTCTCCTGGTGCTGCCCAGACGATCAGCCAGTCCCTCCTGGAGAGGTTCTGCATGGCCTCTAGGAGAGGTTTTCTTGGCCCCAGGAAGGCCTGGTGGAGGGTGGTGGTTGTGCACTGTTGCTGGACAGATGCATTCATTCATGTGCACACACACACACACACATGCACACACAGGGGAGCAGATACCTGCAGAGAAGAGCCAACCAGGTCCTGATTAGTGGCAAGCTGCCCCACAAAGGGCTATGCCTGTGTCTTATTGAGACACCTTGGCAAAGAGATGGCTGATTCTGGGTGGTCCTGGACATGGCCGCACCCAAGGGCCCTCCAAGCCTTAATGGCACCCTGAAGCCTCCATGCCCAGGCCAAAAGATGCTTTTCCTCCCTAAGTTCTCCTCTTTGTGTCTTTTTAAAGATTCCCTGTTCTGGGGAGAAACTTTTGGTTCAACTTCAATTAGAAGCCTTGTCTCAGTGGTGAAAGTATTTGTCCATCCACACGAAGGGTGCTGGACATCCGAACCCCAGCCAGCCCCTGGTCACACCCCTGCATCCTCACACCTTAGAGTCAGGGCCCAGCCAGCCACCTTCAGGACCCTGGTCAGCTCCGCCAGCCCACAGCCTCCGCGGGTCAGGAAGGGAAATGCTGCTGTTTTCTTTGCTGGCCTGGCATGTTCCTCTCTCTGAAGCTGAACCACAGGCTGTCTCAGGGGAATGTGTCCCTTGACTCAGCCAGGAGGCACCTCCCACCCTCATGGTACAGCTCCACCTTCCCCAGGCTGGCTTCTGATAATTGTGCTTTCGGAATCTTGCATTGGAGGCCAGTTATCCTAATGTGTTGGGATTTTGGAAAAAAGCCTCAGCAGGTGAAATCACGTCAACGTTTCTGAGTCTCTGAAGGGGGCAGAGAGTGGCTGGCTCAGCACCAGCACCCGAGAGCCTGGCTACCCTAGTCCCCACCTGGGTGGGCCCCACTGGGGTTATGCCAGGTGACTTTCATCTTTGACCTCTAAGATGGCATCTGGGGTCGGGAATGGGTGTGGGGGCAGGACCAGCCTGCTCTGATTCCAAGAGCTACTGGGGGACATCCATCCCCAAGCATCTTACTTTCTTGATTCCAAAGTTATGCGTTGCGGGTTCCCTGAGCAATGCTGCTCATATTTGTGAGTGAGTGAAGAAGCATGTCTGGGCTTCAGGATAGGGTGCTGGAGCTGCCTGGTGTCTGCCTCCCGCTTCCACTGTAGGTAAATTGCTCCAACAGCCACATCCTTGCTTTTAGCTCCTTCCAAGGGATGGACATGCGATTCTAGGGCCACTGTGTTTCTAAATGAGCATACGTCGACATAAGAAGATGTCAGAAACGCCTGGATCCTACCTGCACTTAAGAAATGCTGCCTGGAGGATTCAGGCGGACAGGCAGGGGGAGTGGAGCACATGGCGGGGCCATCTGTTCTCCCGACAGCTTACTTACGATGAGACACTCAATCAAACACCAACCGTTGATGGATGGCCTACGACACGCAAGGCTGTGGGGCCAGGTGAACTTTGTCCTCAGACAGAAAGACATTTCACATGGTCTTGCTCTGTGATTTTCAACAAAAGACTGGTATTTCATGCTCTTAGAGAAGCAGGGTAAAGTGGCATGGTACTGAGCTTCCGGGGCAGGGTCCAGAGGCATTGATCTCTGGGCCTTGGGGAAGGTGGGGCAGGGCAGGGACTCCCTGGGCTCCAGGCCCACCGCCACACCCCCCAGGCTTCCCTTCAGAGTGAAGAATGTTTTTTGTACGTGATAGGGTAAAAGGGGCTGGGAAGCTTTGTAGCAACAACCTTGAACCCAGATGGCCTCATTCTCACCCCGATCCCACCAGACACTGGCTGTGTGACCTTGAGAAAGGCCCTTTAACCCCTCTGAGCCTGACCTTCCTTGTTTCACAAGGAGGATTAAACAAGATGATTCTTGAGTAAAATCCCTTCCTGCTACAGACCCCCAACCCCATTCTTTCCTTGGCTCACTCATCCTCTCCTTAGACAAGCATTTCCTGGGTACCAGCTGGTTAGATTTAACTCGGTCAATTCTGGGCTTACAATGTTAAGTGAGTCCAAACCCTTGCCGCTTGGCACCTGGGGCCGGCTTGCTTTGAGGGAAGACCCCAGGCTCTGCCATAATCATGTGTTTCAGTGGCAAAAGAAGTGTCTGCACCGAGTGCTCTGGGTAGGAGTTGGGGAGTGAGTTCTGTTTTGGAAGCTGGAGGCAGCTCTGGAGAAGGAGGATATTTGATCTGGGTCCAGGCTTGCACCTGGGTCCACTAGTGAGCCCGGGGGAAAGAAGAAGAGGACAGAGGCTGGGTACGGTGGCTCATACCTTTAAGGCCAGCACTTTGATCACTTGAGGTCAGGAGTTCAAAACCAGCCCGGCCAACATGAAGAAACCCCATTTCTACTAAAAATACAAAAAATGAGCAGGGCGTGGTGGCAGACGCCTATAATCCCAGCTACTCAGGAGACTGAGGGAGGAGAATCACTTGAACCCAGGAGGCAGAGGTTGCAGTGAGCCGAGACTGCACCACTGCACTCCAGCCTGGGCGACAGAGCGAGATTCTGTCTCAAAAAAAAGAAGAAGAAGAGGACAGAAATGGCTGCAGACAGAGGCTGCAGCAGGAAGAAGGGCCTGGAAACCCTGACTCTCACATCCAATGCTCAATCCACGTGGGTTGAGGGTATTTGAAGTGTTTGAAGATGGAAGCGGAGCTCTCCTCATTAGCCACGCATCCCCAGGCCGGGCCTGGCCTTTCCTAAAACATGACACCCCTGGATGCCCCTGGTGGGGTTCAAGCTGTCAGTGAACACAGAACAGGCTTGAGTGGCAACCGTCACTGTGACTGTTTGCCTTCAGGTTTTATTGAGTGACTACTGTTTGCTGGGTCTCGGAGTTGGGCCAGCTGTTTGCCAGTCTAGGTGCCTGCATTGAGAAGTGGGCAGACCCGGGACTGCACTTGGGGAGTTGTGGGTTGGTGTGAACAGGGCAGACGAGAAGACCAGGGAGGTGATGCTGACTTAGGCTTTCAGAGAACCCCAGTGAGGCCCATCCCTCTGAATCTGTTCCTCATCCCCCCATTTAGCTCATTCTAGAGCTGAAGACCTCACTTCACTGCCCTGAGCAAATCCAACAAGTAGAAACGGCTAAACACTTTTACCTGCTGCAACCTAAGCTTGGGCCAGGTGGTCTGGATGAGCTGTCTTGTCCCCCTGCCAGGCCCTCTTCCCCTCCAGCTTCTCTGCCCCCTCTGTTTTGGACTTGCTGGGAGGATACAGTGTTTGTAGAAGGGGATGGAGTGCACGGGTAGGGGGAAGAGTTCAGGTGAAATTGGGGTCTTTTCCTAAACCCATTATTTCAGAATACGTGGAATTCATTCAGTCTTTGCACCAAAGTTGGCTGTGGCCTCTCAGGCTGGCAATGCCTCTGGACACACGGAGGGAGAGGGGCACCCTCCCCTTTCCCATTCCCGGGCTGCCTCCCCTGGTGGAGAGGCTCCTGACACCAGGGGCGCTGAGCTGTCAATCCTGCCCATGAGACAGCTGCTCCGTCTCCTAAAGCAATTTGCTTCTCATTCCACTGACTTCAACCTTCCCCAATCAGAAGAAAGGTAATTTCCTGCCTTGGGTTGTATTTATTACTAAAGTTATCAGGCCCTGTAATCAGTATTAACATCACCGTGTAAAGTAATACAAAACTAATTACTAGCTAAACTGAATTAGATACATGGCAACCACGAGCTAGGCTGACAGGGCGAGCAGCCAATTTCCAGCTCTGAAAGATTCGTCCTGGACACCCTGCACGCTCGGAAACCTCAGCGCTGTCCCGACTGGCACCGCAGGGCGACCGAAGGGAGGGGAAGAGAGAACAGGAAGTAAAAATGCACACCTCTGAGTTTTTTTAGATTATTAAAATAATAATCTAAATATTATAAATAATAATGATAGTAAATAATATACTATATAAGATAAATAATGTAAGAAACTGGAGCCCGCCCGGAGTTAAAGCCCCAGGAATCCCGCCAGTGGCGAGGACTGATACCGCATGTCACGAGTGTAAACTTTATCATGTTGCGGCGGTCCCAGCAATCCTGGGCAGTTGTCCCCATTCTTGACCTGAGGACACACAGGCGTGGGGAGGTTAAGCAGCCTGCCCATCCACCCAGCACATATGTGATGACCCCAGATGGTGCTCTAGGTCTGTCTGACATCTGAGAAACCTAAGTTCTGGTGCTTGTTAAGACAGAAAGAAAATGCAAAGTCGAAAAACAGCGCAGTGTCACCGAACACCAGTGCAAAGGAGGTGCTGGTGCTGCTGCCGGGTCGCCGACCTCTGTGGAATGCACCACAGAGCCCATCAGCTGTGCCTTTCCGACTGTGTGGACACGTGCACGGCCGGCTGCTGACCTTGAAAACGGGCTTTTGAAGGAGAAAGCAGGGCAAGAAGGAGGGGGTCCACTTGTGGTTTCCTTGCAACCCCTGAGGATCAAAGACCCCAGCAGGCCCGTCCACCCCTTGGAAACGGGGATGCATCTAGGAGTGCCTGCCCAGCTGCCTCAGTTCTCTGGAGTGTAAGGTTAGGGGTTACGTAGGCAGCCCTGTGCCCGTTAAATGTCTCAGCATGTGCATGACAACTTGAGATCCAAGAAGTCAGAATTAGGGGCCAGGCGCACTGGCTCATGCCTGTGATCCCAGCACTTTGAGAGGCCGAGGCAGGTGGATCACTTGAGGTCAGGAGTTCGAGGCCAAGAAGTAAGAAATAGGATCTACAGGTCCTGAGCTAAGGTGGCCTCTCAGTGAGGCTCTAAACTGCCCGACACGTGCACCCGACACGCCTGCGGGTCCGGTGACCCCCTTTGTTGCACCTGGCATGCTTTGCACAAGGTGGCTGGAGGGGCTGCCATGGAGAGAATCCGCTGCGTTCGAACTGACCCGTCCTCGTGTGTGGCTGCTCACCTGGAGAAGGTTTCCTGTCCCTGCTTCTTCTGTGCTCGTGTCAAAGCTCACGCCCCTGCCTGGGCTCCAGCTGGTGATGGCAGCTGCAGTGTTAGCAGACCTGCTCGCCCCAAAAGGACATCCCAGCAGCAGGGATCTTGCCCGTATATTCCTTATGCATGGTTCAATGACAGTTAAAATCTGATTGGAGAGTGTGTAGCCATGAAAAGTTGAGATGAAAGAGTGTAAGGGGGAGATGGGAATGAGGTCGGCTCCCCAGCCCTTGTCCACATTCAGATCAGCAGTTCACAGCATCGCTTTGGGCCGTCCCTAAAGTGGTTCCATTCCAGCTAGTGGTTTTAGGTATACAAGTTGTCTTCGGGGAGTTTAAACCCTGCCGCGGGGATTTCCCTACCATACAAAATGGCTCTCCTGAGTGGTGCTGAAAAGAAAGTCTCCCCCACTTGCTTCTGGTGATGCTTCGGGGGCCTAAGAGTCAAAGAAAGAACATGAGTGTATCGTAAATAACTTTACTCCATGCACTGAAGGATGTGGTTTTTGACAGTGCAGTGGGACTCAGAAATGGGGAGCCAGCCATTTACCAACAATTTGGCTGTCAACTTGAGTCCTTGAACCCCTGCCCAGCCTCCTTCCCAGCCCCAAATATGCACACACAGGTTTCCGTTCCCAGGCCACTCAGCCTCAGCATCTTGTCCCACAGATGCACAGACTGAGTCAGCTCTGAGTGGCAGCAGGTGAGGGGTGTTGACGGACCCAGGGGTGCTTTGTTCCATCAGCAATACAAAGGATGATGAAACAGGAGATTCTCCCAGGGGCTGCAGCAGTCTTGGTGAGAGGTGGCTAAGAACGTTTCCGAGGCCAAGTCCAGGCTCCACAGGGCAGGCCCCATCAGTAATGCCCGGGAGCCTCCTGTGCAGAGGCCGGGTGTCGTCTGGATGCAAAGAACTTTGTTTGGAATCTGGCAGCACCAAATCCTTGGCTGTAAGCAAATGGTGCCACCTGGGGCATTTTCCACATTCCCAGCTGGACCCTGGGATTGACTCTTTGATGTTTCTCATCATGATGTCACCTTTGAATTCATGTCAGGATCAATGACTGATTCCACAGAAACCGGGCTGCCTTTCCCAATTAGTTACGGTGAGTTTCCTCACCTGGGAAGTAGGAAATGATTATGTTTGTGGGGTCCCTGAAAAACGTGCATTCAGCCCAGAGGGTGACGTGTCTGCTGAATTGTCTTGTCCCTGTTCTTCAAAGTACCACTCCCAGAATTGGCCTCTTTTCCATTCGGCAACTAAGGGAA
The DNA here is from genome assembly GCF_000001405.40 of Homo sapiens. Taxonomy (NCBI): domain Eukaryota; kingdom Metazoa; phylum Chordata; class Mammalia; order Primates; family Hominidae; genus Homo; species Homo sapiens. The sequence continues at coordinate 135,083,289 of NC_000009.12, forward strand.
TACAGAGCTGTGGCTTCCCTTGGCCTGGCTGTGGCCAGGCTGAGACGATATCCATGAAAGAGGCGTGGAACCTGCCAGGGAGAGTGCGGAGGGTGCATGAAGGGTCTGGGGGGATGGGGGCCGTGGACAAGTCAGCTCTCTGGATGGACAAGGAACTAGGACTGAAGAGCTGGACACGAGGCCAACTGCTGAATGGAGGAAACGTCCCCCAGCAACAGCCATGGGTCTGTGGGATGCTCTCCCCAGGGCAAGTAGCTCCCCATCACTGTCACTGGGGGACTTGAAGAGCTGACACTGAGGGAAAGGGGGAAGGACGATACCTCGGAGGAAGTTGAATCTCCTGGGTCGGCAGCTCAGGCCAGCCGTGCTCACAAACCCCAAGCACAGTGGCTCATGATGGCAACGGTGTGCATAGGGCACAGGCTGCCTGGGGGCACCTCTGGCTCACATGTCCTGTCATTCGAGGGCCCTGGGCAAGGGAGGGGCCCTCTCTGGATCTGTTTTCCTCATGACAGAGGCAGAGAGACAGGGTGTGACTGAGACATTTGGCTCTGAAAGCTGCTCAGTCGTGGCCCTTAGCCGTTCTCCCTCCCGGGGCCAAAATCGCAGGTCACACAGCCACGCCTGATGCAGGTGGTGTTTGGGAGACTGTCAGCTTATGGGAGGTGCTGCCAGGCACAGGGAGCCGGGCCAGGATGGAAATCCTCTCCAGGGAAGGGGGTGAGGAGCAGTTACGCCTCCACCCATGTGTGAACCCAGAGGCCTCAGAGGAGGGGAGTACAGGGAACACTTGGCTCAGAAGACCCATGCTGGTCTTCTGTGGCTGCCGAGAGGGAGTGCCCAGGGGACCTGTGGCTCCTCCCATTCTGCCTGGCTTGAGGCCAGGTCCTTTCCTTGCTCCTGGAATGTTCCAGCACAGAAAGGGAATGAAAAAGCTACATACAACGTAGAAAAAGGAGAGGTGGCTCCATGTGGGACCTCTCTCTGTGTCTCTTCTCTCTCTGTGTCACTCTATCTTTCTTCTCTCTCTCTCTTCTCTCTCTGTCTCTCATCTCTCTCTCTGTCTCTCCTCTCTCCGTCTCTTCTCTCTCTCCTCTCTGTCTCTATTATCTCTCCTCTCTGTCTCTCTTCTGTCTCTCCTCTCTGTCTCTATTATCTCTCCTCTCTGTCTCTCTTCTCTCTGTCTCTCCTCTCTCTGTTTCTCCTCTCTTCTCTCTCCTCTCTCTCTGTCTCTCTCTCCATTTCTTTGTCTTCCTCTCTGTCTCCTCTCTGTTTCTTTGTCTTTCTGTCTCTCTGCCTTTGTCTCTCTCTCTCTCTCTTCTTCTCCCCTTCTCCCTCCCTTTCTTCCTCCCCTCCCCTTGTTTCCCTTCAAGATATTTGCCAATAGCCTGAGGAGAGTATGCGTATTTTTAAACAGCAACCGGGCATCCAAACTTTGTCCCTTGAGGGCATCCTTTGCCAAGGAGCATCGGGAAGTGGCCCAGAGACCTGCTTCCCTCCAAGCAGCCACTCCTGGCTCTGGGACCTGAGTAGGTTTGCATCCTGCGGACCTCACTGTTCTGACTGTGGGTGTCAGTGGTCGTCTGACTGTGGGTGTTGGTGTCGTCTGTGCCCTATCAGCTCACCATGTGGCTGTCCTAGGGCTTCTCGAGGTGATTCCCCAATAGCCCACGTGTGTCCGCCTCTTGTAAGGTCTATAGCAAGCTGGGCAGGAGCACCCTCTCACACTTGCGTCTTCTGAGCTCTGAAGCCGGGAGATGCAGAGGGGGTGTGCTTGTTTTTATGTGTGTTGATGAATTTGTACAGAGTCCACCAAGGTCAAGGCCTGTAGGGGGCTGGCATGAGGATAGAGACGTGGCTGTTCTAACCTGTCATGACAGGGAGGGTGGTGCAGGCTCGTGCCAGGACTCAGAAAGGGGTGGGCAACCTCCTGTCCTTCCCACGAGCGTGGAAGGCAAGGGCCCATGAAATGTCTTCTGGCGGCCTCTGTGGCTCGTGGAACTGTGCGGACAGCCAGGGCTGCTGTGGCCATGCAACTCATGCCACTTCTGGGGCTCGTGAGATTTAACTATGGCCATGACATTTATAAGACGAGGATGCCACCATGTGTATGGGCTTAGCCCTGGAAATAGGCTGTCACCATATGACCTTGGACAGGTCTTATCATCTTTCTAGGCCTGAGATTCCTCATCTATACAGTGGAGTCAATGCCACCACACCATGCACTTCAGTAAGGATTGGGTGCCAGGCATGGCAAAGCCCCAGTGCCACCAGGGGCGCAGCACCTGCCCCATCAGCATCCGTATGATTGTTCAGAGCTGCAGGTGTGATGAGCCCTGGCTTTAAGAGAAGTCGTGAAGAAATTGGGATTGAAAGTCCTCTTTAGGAACACTTGGTATTGCCTGGCGCCATGGATCCCCTAATCCAAATGCCTTCATTCTTCAACGATCCATACTTTCCTTCTGGAATGCTCCATGGCCTTCTAAATCCAATTACACTTACTCAAGCCTTATCTGACGACCCTTTCAAAACCATTATGCCCACTGAATCACAGATTTTAGAAACTGGACAGGACAGTTTGGAGCAGGTGCAGGTTGGAGCCGCTCAGGTGCAGGTTGGAGCCGCTCAGGTGCAGGTTAGAGCAGTCCAAGTGCAGGTTAATCTTTTACTTCGTTAAATAAATAAATGTCTATGGCTTCTGAGATGGCCTGACAGTTTTGTGGATTGGATTGGGTTGCATTTGAATTTGTTCCCGCAGAACAAGTGGTCCTTGTCCTTCCGCAGCGGGAAGCGGCGTGAGTGATCTGGACAGACACGGCTTGTGGCCTTGAATCGGTGTTAAACATGCATGGCCAGAGGAGGGGGGCGAAGCCAGCCCAACCGGACTTGTGTCTCCGCCTGGGCCCAGTCTGTGAGCCGGGCCTGCAGTCCCAGCTTACACTGGGAGATGGCGCCCTTCCCCAACAGTTGGAATTTCCTGGCATCCGACCCAGCCCGGCTGCCTGAGATTACAGCATTAATCAGAAAAGCAGATCTGAGGGGCTCATTTAACTAGCGGGTCTCACACCCAGCACTCAGGCCAGGATCATCTTGGCTGCAGCTGAAGTCTCTTCAGCCGAGGACTGCGCACACAGAGAGAAAAGCCCCAGGAAGGCGTTGTTCCTCTCAGGCGGGCGCCAGGGAGGCGCGCTCCTTCCGGCCCGGCGTCCGTCTTTCAAATCCCATCCAGGAAGGGAGATTAATTTTCGCCCAGGCAGAGAAGAGTGTAGTGAGTGATCTGGAGGATTCTTTCCTTCCCAAATGGCTGGGAAAGCTTAATGGAAGGCCCCGGAGGAAGTGGCTTTCATCTCCGATTAGAAGCCTTCTGTAAATGCAAAAGCCCTATTAACGTGTTTGACCCAGTCAGGCCTGCGCTTCAGGTGGGACTGACACGCGTGAGTCCTGCTGCGGTCGCCGCAGAGGGCCGGGAAGAGGGGCAGCGTGCGCCACTTGCCCTGCCTCTGTGCCTGGGCGCCATGACTCGAGCGCCACCCCTGAGTCAGTAAGGACACCCCCCAACCCACACCCCTCCACCACAGACCCCAGTCCCCGCCCCACACACCCACCTCCCCAACACCAGGTTCATGGGCGTGGTCCCTTCAGCTCCTGAGGTCCAGGCCTGAGCCCCAGACCTTATGCAGCTCCTGCCGGGTGTGCGCCCTCCCAGGGCCCTCACTGCGCACCGCGGGCCACGGCAGACCACCCCAGCCCCCGCCTTGCTGTGCAGGTGTCAGGAGTGCCGGTTGGCTCCCTTCCTCCCAAGCAAGGCCTTAGGGCACCGCGGCTGCCCTGGGATCGCAGGGGCGCCTTTAGCTCTCCACCGATGCCCCGACGCCCCCCTGGCGCTGGAGGCCCTCGCGAGTCTGGCTGCTTTTCGGAGCCTGCCCTGCCTGCTGGGTTTCAGGCGACGGCCCAGGCTGGCTGGGACCCTCGAATCACCGCGGAAAAGGGCTCCAGTAGGCAGGACGGCGCCGTCTCTCTGCCGGCAACCTTTGCCCCAAAGCGGACCCTCTGCGGGGATCGGAGAGGGATGCCCCGGCGTGAGGATGGGAGAAGCCCCGGGACGGGAGGGCCGCGGGCCGTGCCCCCAGCTGGAGTCCCCGCGCCGCCGCCGGGTATTTTATGATCTGGGGGTGGTGGTGTGTCCGTCTCCTCATGTCACCCTGATCCCAACTCCTGGGCGGACTGGAGTTTGCAGACCTCGCTGCCAGCAGCCAGGGGGCGGCGGGGAGCCGAGCGAGAGGAAAAATCCACCCATTTCCTGGGCGGATTGCGTCGGTCCCGCCCGGCCGAGCCCCGCCTCCCGGCCGCGGCCCCCGCGCGCAGCCCGCGCAGCGCTCAGAGCCGGACGGCGCTTCCCGGTGGCGGCGGAGGAGCCCGGAGGGACGCAGCCGGGCAAGGCAGGGCGCAGGGCGGGCGGCGCGAGGCGCAGGGCGCGGCGGGCAGAGGCCACCTGGCCACCTTCCCTGGCGCCCGGGGAAGGCGCGGCGATGGCCGGGGCGCGCGGGGCGGCGGCGGCGGCGGGCGGGCGGCGGCGGGCCGAGGGGGCGCGGGGACACAGCCAGGCGCCCCTGCCCGCCGCGGTGCCCGCCGCCTGAAGGCCGCCTGGGCGCGGGAGCCGGTGCCAGCTCGGAGCGGGCGCTGGAGGCAGCTCGAGGCGCGATGTCGGTGCCGCTGCTCAAGATCGGGGTCGTGCTGAGCACCATGGCCATGATCACTAACTGGATGTCCCAGACGCTGCCCTCGCTGGTGGGCCTCAACACCACCAAGCTCTCGGCGGCCGGCGGCGGGACGCTGGACCGCAGCACCGGCGTAAGTGCGCCCGCCGGCCGCCTTGGCGCGGCTCCTCCTCCTCCTCCTCCTCCCCCTCCTCGGTCCGGAGCCCCGGGCTGGGCGGGCGCCGCGCGGGACCCGAGTCGCCCAGGGAGGCGGCGGGGAGCAGGGCGGGCAAGGGCAGGCGTCGCGGGCCGGCGCAGCGGTGGCGACCCTGCTCCCCGCTCCCCCAGCCTGGGCCACTCCATCTCCGCCCGCGCGCCCCTGGGGCGGCGTTTCCTTCGTCTGGGCCCCTCGCCGCGGGGCCGGGGGAGCTTGGTGGGTTCTCGGAGGCTTGGAGTCCTGGGTCAGTAATCATGAGCCCCCCATTGAAAAGGTTAGGAAACTAAGGCTGGGGACTTGGGGACTTGTCCAAGGTCACACTCAGCGAGTGAGGGGTGGAGCCGCCGCTAGACCCTAGTCTGGGCTCGGTCCAGCGGGGACTGAGCCCGCCCTAGTTTGTAAAAGCCAGACTGGCCGGACCGGGCTGGGAGTGGGGCCCCAGCCGGTGGGCTCCGGAGCTCCTGCCCGCGCCTGCATTCCCAAAGTCCCAAGGCGCCCTTTCCTCCCCAGTCCATAGGAGGGTTTGTTCCTTCTCCTCCGAGGACGGTGCCGAGGGGCTTGGGTGGGGCCCCTGGGAGCCTGCCCTTGGGCGCTCACCCCCTCGCCTTTGCCTTCGTCTTCTGCGCGCACCCCTCCCTCCTGGCCTCTGAAATTGAAATCGCGTCTCCCTCTCGAGCCTAGCGGGAGGGGAACCGTGGCCGGGGCTGCTTCTGGGCAGAGCTGACTTAGATGGCTGAGCGAGGCTGAGCTGAAACCGCCACCCGGAGGGCCGCGCGGGGAAGGGGCCGCTGCCGGGAAGGCGCGCCCCAGACCACTGGCCCTTTAGGCTGAAAGGAGAGGTGAAGGACGTGAGTCTCCCTCCCTCTCTCTTTTTGCTGCCAGGGGTTTAGTGCCCTGCGAAGAGGGCTCCGTGGTGTGGCTCCCTCCTAAGACCCCTCTTGAGGCCGCCCTCCCTGCTCCTTCAGGAATCGGAGGGCGATTCCTCCATGATGACTTTGTTCCGGCCTGCCGGTCCCGATCTTCTGGGGTTGGGAATGAATGAGATTAAAGATATGACTACTATAGATTCTACCCGCCCAACTTCTCCTCCCCATCTTCATGCTAAAAATAGCAGAGAGATGACCTGATGCCACCGGAGGGGAGCGTGCTCAGAGACAGTAGGGCCAGCAGCAGGATGGAGCTGTGTAGGCTCAGGAGTGCCCGCCCCGGTACCTGGCAGGGCTGGGCTGCAAGGTTAGACCAGACATGGGCAGCTCCGGTTTCTTTGGTGATCTTTGGGCAAACCTCAGGACTGAGGTTGGGGGTGACCCCTGCACAGCATGTCACCAGCAATTTGGCGACCTCCACCAAATGGCTCGTGGGGGGAGCCCACAAGGAGCTGGAAACCTAGTGTTTTCTCGGGTCGGTCTGTGCCACGCTGCCGGCTGGGAGGTTGCTGTAGCTCGGGGTTCATCACAGCTCTGGGCGAATAGGCTGCTGGATCTGGGGCTGTTACAGTGGGTGCTTCGTCTGCAAGTGTCAGGGAACGGCAGGGCGAGGCTTGGTGGTGCCAGCCACCCGTGCTTGACTTACGGGAAGGATATCCTGTTTCTGAAATACGTGCCCGCTGCAAGCCACCCAGCGTTTGCTTTCCTGCCTTGCTCCTAGTCCAGCCTGTGGCCTCCAGTTGCCCCTCCCATCCACCCAGCAGATCAATTTGGCCAGACGACAAACTCCAGACATCCCTTGAGTTGAACTTAAATTTTAAGAACGTAAAGGGTCTTGCCTCTTTGACATCCTTCCAGCCCTGAGCCCCCTAACAGGAGACCTGTGCCTCTTTGTTCCCAGGGACCCTTTCTTCCCTTTGGGTCAAACATGTCTTGGGACCATTTCCTCCCATCTTTTCCTTGGGGGTGGATGTGGACAGTTTCCCCTGGTTGTTGGCTCTGATACACAACCTCATGGTCTCCCTTTCTCTCCTTCCCTCTCCCTTCCCGCCCCGCCCCTCTCCAGGTGCTGCCCACCAACCCTGAGGAGAGCTGGCAGGTGTACAGCTCTGCCCAGGACAGCGAGGGCAGGTGTATCTGCACAGTGGTCGCTCCACAGCAGACCATGTGTTCACGGGATGCCCGCACAAAACAGCTGAGGCAGCTACTGGAGAAGGTGAGTCTGCGCAGAGTGTGTGAGTTTGTATGTGTGTGTGTTTGTGTGTGTGTGTGTGTGTGTACATGCCTGTGTGCTCACACCAGCACCAAGGCTTGGCTAGCTTGCAGGCCCCATTTTGACTCTTTCCTGGTTTGTCTCCACTCAAAATATTTGTGAATGAGTGAAAGGGTGGATGGACGGATGGGTGGATGGGTGGGTGGATGGATGGACGGATGGGTGGATGGGTGGGTGGACACACAGGTGGATTGAGACTTCCAAGGGTGGTCCAGGAAGAGAGGACTAGACCTGCCCCCTGTCACCACAGGCTCCACTGAGAAGTCACATGGGCATGGTGAGACGGGACACAAGGCTCGTCTCTGAGTGATGTCATAATCTGTGTGCACAGGGCTGGGGCTGTCACCCAGCAGCTACCTTGGAGAGCGCCCATAGGCCCAGGAATGCATGGCCATTTGGATTTTACGAGATGAGATCTTTTTTCTGCCCTTGAATGGTTGTACCTGGCCAGTGGCTGGACAGGTGCTCATCACCATGAATGCCTTCCTGGGGCTAAAGCAGGCCATGCTGTCACCTTCAGAACCACATGGGAACAGCAGGTTTGCATATGTCGTTTGCATAACATATTTTGAATCCGTTATTTCACTTAATCTTCACAAGAACCATGTGAAGTTGGTGAGATTTTTCACTCCAGTTCAAGAAAAGGAAATTTGGCTCCCAAGGGGTGGACTTATTTGTCCCAAGCCAAACAGCTGTTAGTAGGGAAGTGGGCACTCGGACCCACATGGCCGAGCTCATCACCTGGTTCAGTCTCCTCCACTCCCCACTTTAGTCAGGGGGCCTTCTCCTAATGGGCACAGCCCACCAGCCTTTTGGCACATTCCACCCAAGGACCCCGTATTCTGTGGTTAACCTGGGTTCTGGGGGCCCCATAGGAGAGTTACCAAGGGAACAAGGAGGAATGGTGGGCCCTTCTGTTCCACCCATTGATTCCCCAGAAGAAAGGTGCATTTGCATGTAGTGCCTATGGGCAGGGAACTTTCCCACCCTGAGGGAGTGGGGTCACACCACACACACGCACACTCACAAACACACTCACACATAGTCACACACACACTCACACACAGTCACACACATTCACACATAGTCACACACACATTCACACAGTCTCACACACACATAGTCACACAGTCACACTCACATAGTCACACACTCATAGTCACACACACACACAGTCACACACTCACAGTCACACACTCACACATAGTCACACAGTCACACACACTCACATAGTCACACACACTCACATAGTCACACACACACAGTCACACACTCACACATAGTCTCACACACACACAGTCACACTCACACATAGTCACACACTCATAGTCACACACACCCACACATAGTCACACACACTCACACAGTCACACACACACTCACACATAGTCACACAGTCACACACACTCACATAGTCACACACACTCACAGTCACACACACACTCACACATAGTCACACACACTCACACACAGTCACACACACACTCACACATAGTCACACACACACACACATAGTCACACACGTTCACACACACACAATAGTAAAGCCGTGACTCTTCCTGCAGGTTGGCCTTGGACTTTCTGGAATGGGCGTCAGCTCAGGAGTATGGCAGGAGGCCTGTGAGGGGCGGGGGGCCTCTGTGACTCAGGGCTGGCTCCGTGCTGGGGGGACAGATGGTGCTGTCACTGCCCACCTCGTTGGGGAAGGTGGGAGCAGCCTGGTGAGAGGACAGCATTGACCCGACTCGGGTCCACATTCCTGGTGCTGAACCACAAACCCTCAGGAAGCTCGAGACAAAGCAAGTCCCCTTCCTTGGAGAAGGAGAGGGTGGGCTAGAGGTTTCGAGTGCCCACCCAGCTCTGACGGGCCTTGAAAGGTCCGAGTCACTGCCTGTTCTGTGTCCCAGTCCCTGTCTGGAATGGCCACAGGACCCTTGTTTCTTGGGCAAGAAGGATGCATCATGGTACGCAGGGCAACTGGCCTAGTTCGTAAAGCACGCTCACCTTGAAGGAATAGAATTTGTTTTTTCTTTAGCCACCTGAGTAAATCATTTTAAAAGAATTAAAGTAAGATACATTTAACATTCCACCAACATTTATTAACACCAAACTAGACCAAAGCCTAACTGAGCCTTTAATTATTCAGAAGCTTAGATGGGGGAGGCGGCACTTGGAGGGGCCTCTGGGCTGTGGGGGCCGGCGAGAGTCAGGAGGGGAAAACAGAGCCCTGAGCCCAGGGAGGAGGCATTTGCGGGGAGAGCAGAGAGTTGGGAAATGGATTCCAGAATGCTCCATGAGCCCCTGGGACTGCAGGCCCTGGAATGTTCCTTCCTGCCTGTGCGTGCCACAGCATTACTGCTTAAAAATTTAAAGCCCCATTTGATACCATAGCGGGCACTCTATTTTCAGAGGGCATGAGCCATTTGCTATGAAAGAGGGCCCTTGCTCCTTAATGCACTGTGCATTTTAGCAGGAGGCAGCGCTGCTCCGTCCTCAGCTTCCCCCGCACACCCTGGCCTGTGTGCTATTTTCTTTCTTTCCTCTTTCTCTTTTCTTCTCTTGCTTTCTCTTCATGGGCAGAAGCAGGACAGGGTGCTCCAGAAACCTCAGCCCATGTGCCCTGTTGATAGGGCTGGGTCACAGCTGAGCATATTCCAGCCAGGTCGGTATTTCTGTGCCCTGGCTTCACCTTTAACCCACCTGGTGAGGCTGCAAGGTACTGAGTCCCAGGCCCCACCTCCAGAGTCTCTGATTTCTGTTGCCCTGGGGTCCCTGTGGGGAACCCAGGTATGTACAGCCCTGGAAGCCTCACCAGGTAGTTCCATGCAGCTAGGGTCGAGCACTGTAGGGACACAGATAGTGGCAGGCGTGTGGCACGGGCTCCGTTCTCTTTGAAGAAGCACTTGGCTCTGGGTTTGAGAGTGTAGGCTTTGGAGCCAGTCCAGCTTGAACTGGCAGGCCTCCTGGCTGGGTGACAGTAAGCAAGTTGCTTAACTTCTCTGAGCCTTGGTCTCCCTATGTGTAAAATGGGACTCAAAATAGTACTTATTCATTTCCCGGGGTTTTGTAAAGATCAAATGAGATAAATAACACAGCAGACTCAGTGCAGTGCCTGGAACATGGGAAAGGATGGATAATTATTAGCTGTTAGTTATCTTGAGGCCAGGTGTGTCTTTGTGTGTTGCTGGCCCCCCTCCCGCTTCTTAATGCCTGCTGCCCCGTTGGGTAGGGTGTGGGATAGACTGTCATCCCGTAGCTCTGTGACCCTGAGCCTGCCAGTTGGCTCCTCAGAGACACATCCTGCAGGCAAGAAAATGAAGGTGCTCAGAGGAAGGGCTGTGCTCAGAGGAATGCCTTCCCTAGGGTTGGGAGATGGGTGCGTGATTGCAGTCCTAGACTGACTGTGAGCTGGAGGCAGACCTGTGCCTGTGCCTTGTCCATGGCCAGAAAGGAAAGTGCATTCAGGGTTAGGAGAACTATAGGAGAGTAATTGTTTGGTTTTAAGGCAGCTGAATAGCTTGGTATCTTTAAAATTTGTTTTTTAAATCTAAAGTCTAATCTTTGAAATCTTTTAAAAGCATTCCTTCTCTGGGGAGCAAAAAGCCTACAGCACCGTGTGTGGTCTCCTGACTGAGGCCAGCATGAGCTCAGCAGCTTCTCCTCGGCACTTGTGGGCCTTCGCTCCTGGGGATTTTGCCAGGAGGGGAATGGAGAGAGGGGTCTGGACTGGCGCCGCCATTTGTATTGTTGCTTCCTCCGGCCATGTGGCTGCAGGAGCTACTCCCGTGCACTAGATTTACTGGACTTTGTGCAGGGGTTACAGATGTGGATGAGACCCAGTGTCACTCCCCCCATGAGCATCCTGTCCGGAAAGCTGTGGGGGGACAGCTGTGTGGCTCACTCCTAGGCAGACATTGTGCCAACAAAGTGACGTTGTTGTTTCCAAATAGTTTGCAGCTAGTTTTAACTCAGTCCATCAGAGAAGCCTCCCTGGAGGAGGTGGCATTTGGGCTGGGCCTTGAAGGACGAATATAGACAAACTTTACATCTTTTCTTGAAAAAGGTGCTGTAGTTATTCAAAGTGACAGAGGAAGACAACAAGAGAATCAGGCAGGTGGTATTAGAGGTATGCTTCCGTTTCTCGGGGAAGAGAAGGGGTGAGAGGGAGCTGAAGCCACCCCGTCGTGTACTTTACAAACTTAAAATTTCAAGATGAGTTTGTGTGTGTTACTTTCTGATAACAAGATATGAAATTCCTTGCATTTTGGGGTGCTGAGATTGGCAATAGTGGTTTTCCTTCTACTGAGGAGGCTTGGTTTGCTCTCTTGTATTTTACTTTATTTGGCGGGGTGGAGGATGTATAGTAAGAAGTAGAAACCACACTGTCCTCTTTTCACACTGACCGGCAAAGCTAAGCCTCATCCCCAAATGATTTTGTTCCTAGAAGGGAGAGTATTTTCAAATTCAGCAGAAAAGTCAGGAGTGAAGATTTGCTGTCATGGAGGTAACTTCCTCTCTAGTAATTGGATTAGATTCTGAGAAAATGACCCAAACACCACTGCAGCAATCCTCAGCTTCCTCCCGCCTCCCCGCAGCCCCGAATGCATTTGCACAGAAGCACACACCAGTTTCCTGCAAATAAAATGCACTGGCAGGTGGCTGCACTAAAACTGTTTTTCTTTTAAGCTCCCTGGAATCCTGTTGAATATTAAAGTTCCATCTTGAGGCTAGACTCAATTCAGATCTGCCTGTAAAGATGTAAAACAGCGATTCTTCATTTGCTGGGTGATTGATTCCTGACTCTATGCTCAGAATGTACATGTTTGCAGAGCAGTCATCTACCTATGATACTGTGGGGTGTGATGGATGGCATAGCAGATAGGGAAAAAAGCTTGATGCAGAGTCAGGGAGAGCAGCTCCCTTGTTCCTTCACTCTGCACTTAAGTAATCAACCTTATCAGCAAGACAGTCAATGAGATTTAGGAAGAAGGAGAATTTATACCTGGGGGCGGGGCAGCCTAAGAGTGCCATTCCTCTCTGCTGGTGTTTATGCTTGCCTAACTAATGTTGTCCTGCAACAGAAAGACTAGGAACAATCCCCACCCACCACTACCAAAAAAAAAAAAAAAAGAGAGAGAGAGAGATCAAGAGAAATCACCCAGCCTGTGCCTGGAGCTACAGCGAATAACGGAACTTGAGTCTCCTACACCCCTGATTTGCATCCCTGATGATAAGAACAGGTTGGCAAAGAAAATGTTTACCCAACCAATTTGCTGTGTTTGGGGAGTTATCAGTCCTCACAGTCCGCGATGCTGGCGATTACCTTGTAAATAATGCATGGGCCACTTCTGGTTCCCAGTGTGCTGGCTGTGTGGGAAAGGGCAATGTCTGTACGAGCAGGCAGAGAAGATTGCCTGGCACCTACTGCGGCTGTTTTGCTGAACCTGTTGCCCTTTTGACAGGTGCAGAACATGTCTCAATCCATAGAGGTCTTGGACAGGCGGACCCAGAGAGACTTGCAGTACGTGGAGAAGATGGAGAACCAAATGAAAGGACTGGAGTCCAAGTTCAAACAGGTGGAGGAGAGTCATAAGCAACACCTGGCCAGGCAGTTTAAGGTATGCATGTTCCTCCCCCTCTCCCTCCCCTTATCCTCCTCCTCCTCCTCTTCCTCCTCCTTCCCCTCCCTCCTCTCCTCCTTCTCTTCTTCCTCCTCCTCTTCTCCTCCTCTTGCTCCTCCTCCCTTCATCCTCCTCTTCCTCCTCCCTCTCCTTCTTCTCCTCCTCTTCCTCCTCCTCCCCCTCTTCATCCTCCTCTTCCTCCTCCCTCTCCTTCTTCTCCTCCTCTTCCTCCTCCCTCTCCTTCTTCTCCTCCTCTTCCCCCTCATCCTCTTCATCCTCCTTTTCCTCCTCCCTCTCCTTCTTCTCCTCCTCTTCCTCCTCCCTCTCCTTCTTCTCCTCCTCTGAGGCTGGGTGTGCTTTCCCTTCATGCTCTCCCTTTCCCTACAGAAATGGTCATTTGGGGCAGGGAGAAGCATAGCAAAGGTTGTTCTGTGCCTTGAAAGGACTGTTGCCCTTGGCAGTAGGGAGGCCACCACTGGCCCTGGCTTGGCAGAAGCCACCTTGACAGGGGCGGCCTGAGTGGTGGCAGCAGCATACACTCGCCCCCAAGCCCCCGTCAGTGTGGTTTGGAAGCCAGGGGTCTGAGATCCTGCGCTGCCCGAGCCAAGTCGAATATTAGCTGGGAAGGGACATCGTTATTGGCCCTTGTCATTCTGCAGCTGCTGCAGGTAAATCACATTAGCCAAAGATTAGCTGAATTGATGAGGGCCATTCTGGAGCAGGAATCTCTCAGGGCAGTTTTCACATCTGACCTAATCTAGCCATGACAAAGCATACCATAGACTTGCAGGGAAAAAAGAGAGAGATGCCAGCCTCCTTTCCACCTCGTGGGAAGTGTTCTGCTTCTCCGGGTAACTCTGGACATTAAAACTGGTGTTTGTTTGACCTAAAATCATAGATACAGATGTGCAGCCAGGTAGAGAGATGCCCACAGTTGACTCCATCTCAGTGCGATTCGACTGAAACGTTATATGCCGCCTTAATGAAGGTATACATGCATTTTAATTAGAAATCCAGCCCAGATGTAAATGAACAGGTCAAATTACACAGCCTCGCCCGACTAGAAACTGCTGGTGTACTCTGTCTCTGTCTTCCCGTCCTTTTTATGCTAATGTTTTTCTTCGATGTGCTCCCTGCATGAGGCAAGAACTAATTCTCTTTTAAAAATGATACATTAAATAGATGAAATGGCAAGCTAATGAAATTATAAATCTATATTATAAATAAAATAATAGCAGGCCCAATCCTGTTGAGGTGAAATGAGCCGATTGTGCTCATCAGAGGCAGTTGGACATTTTTGTCCTCGCATCTGGCTGGTCATCATGAATTACTCTGGAGGGAGAGATGTTGACCTGTCTAACCAAAAAAGCATTTATGTCTCTGAGCCAGCACTCCCTTCTCTGCGGCCAGCAGACTCCTCTAACGAGGGGGGTGTCTTCAGCAACTGGGAGGTAGCTCATCTTGGCAAACGTTGTTGACACAGGCATCTCTCCGAGTTTCCAATTTTGGGGTGCTGTGGCTCTGGGGGAAGAAAAGCAAGCGCTTGCCTATACTGTGCTAAACCGCATTAAAAAAATTCCAACAGAAATTGTGACGAGGGAATCTCAATAACTCTTAAAGCAGTTTGTTTTGACTAACTCGAGCATTACAGTGGGATTTTTCTAACTGACCATGCAAATATGTGTTTCCTGATGGCTGTCTGTTTCAGGCAGGCTAGTGAGCTAGTTCTTCAACGGTATTTCATTTTCTTACTTGCAGGGCTAACTTAAAAGAGTTTTTTCAATGCTGCAGTGACTGAAGAAGCAGTCCACTCCCATGTAACCATGAAAGAGAGCCAGAGAGCTTTTTGCACCATGCATTTTTACTATTATTTTCCAATACTTAGCACCATTTCACTAAGGAACCTTGAATACAACCAGGATCCTCCTTTGCATGCGACTGTAGCTGCATTTCATGAATAGTTTGAACCCTTGTCAATGCATTTTTTGAAAAAGAAAGAAAAAAAAAACTTCGTGTATGTGACTCAAAGCATGTAACCTTAAGATGTTGCATTCTAAACTGACAATAAAGACCTTTCCCAAATATGCTGGTGTTCTGAGGACTGTTTAATATGCTCTTCTAACTCATTTGGACCAGAACAAATAAGCCTGTAAATAAAGCGGGAATATACACACTTTCCCTCACCTAGGGAGAAGCCAGGCCAAGGCAGGGTGTGAGAGTTCTTGCATGCATCGCACTGAACCAGCTTATTTTAACCTTGCAGGCGATAAAAGCGAAAATGGATGAACTTAGGCCTTTGATACCTGTGTTGGAAGAGTACAAGGCCGATGCCAAATTGGTATTGCAGTTTAAAGAGGAGGTCCAGAATCTGACGTCAGTGCTTAACGAGCTGCAAGAGGAAATTGGCGCCTATGACTACGATGAACTTCAGAGCAGAGTGTCCAATCTTGAAGAAAGGCTCCGTGCATGCATGCAAAAACTAGGTAGGCCCAGTACCCTGCGGGACGTGGCGCTGCACTGCCCACCTCCGGCACACGCACAGGCTTAGGGAGTGGTGCTGAAGTGGACAGCGCCCGCCTGGCTTCGCGAGGTGATGGCTGGATTAGGGCTCCTGGGCAGGTCTACCTTGAGAGACAGCAAAGGAGGAGCGTAGGCCACACCCATCCTAGGGCATTGTTCAGAGCCGGGTCTTGTGCAGAGGCCACAGACCCCGCTGAGTCGCACATCTGGAAAAAAATAGCATACCATCTGGCAGATTGTGTGTGTGTGTGTGAATCGTATGTGTGTGTGCATTGAAGACACCAGTTTAATAGGGCTGGCAATAACATCTCAGATTCCTCCGGATTGAGAACGGGGGCTGGTGGAGCTCCTGAAATATTGAATCATGCATAGTTTGAATAAAAAAGGGAACAAAATTCAATCACATCTCAGTAGAGCTGCCATTCACAGCACGGGAGGGAGCCCCTGCTCACAGCCTGGAAGGGGAGGAGCCTCTGAGCAAATGAACCCCTTCCTCGGGTGTGTTTCCTAAGAAAGACCCCCAGTGTGGGGTGACCCATTTGGATTCTTATTTCTGATTGATTACCCATTCACCTTATCAACTTTCCAGTTAATTACTAGGAGAAATATTAACACATTAGTGTCTGAGTCTGCTTTTAAATAGCACATTTCAAATCCCAATTCCACTTTTAATTTTTCTTAAGAAATATTAGCCATCCGTCCTCACCAAGCTGTTTTTGTTTTTTGTTTTTTGTTTAATAACACAAAGGTTGTTGTTTTCATACTACCTACTTTTTAGGGTAACTTAGGGTAATTTTAGGGTGATTTTGCCTTATGAAGTTTATCTCAGGCTTTCTCTGATGTTCTAACTGGATTACCTTTTTATTTCTACTCTCCCTTCCACACACACACACTCCAAGTGCCTTACTATAAACCTAAAACATCCAAAAAGAACACTTTAAAAAAAAACCTCTAATGTTAGTCAGGTGAAGAGAGAGAATATTCAAGGGGAAAGAAAAGAGTCAGCCAAACCCTTGGTTTCCCAGGTTCCCAATTTAGGTGATTTTTAAACGCTCTTCTAGGTGTCCTCAGTGAACGCACAAAGCTTTAAATTCCCCAGTCCCGAAACAGAGACAATAAGAAATGCTTGGAGTCAGAGAACTAATCCATTTTGATGTGTGCATGCTGGCTGTGTCTCACGGGGGCTGCTAACTGCATTCTTTCAGCTCTGTGCTCCATGGTGCCCAGCCCTGGTATGACAGTGGCTGGGTGATCTCAGACAGTCCCAGGAGGGGGGTCTGGGCCAGATGGCCTCTACCATGGCTTCCCAATTTGACTTTCTAGGAGTTGGTGTGAGTGTTTGACTTTCTAGGAGTTGGTGTGAATGTTAATGATGATAGGGCTGTATTAACGATCATGGGGCTATATAACTATTGCCCTTGGGTACTGTCTTCGGCTTGCTACCCATCGTGACCTTGAGTGACCTCACCATTGCCCCTCTCTCCAGGACCTCCAAACACTCCCACTTATGGGGTCTCCCTCGGCCTCCGAAGAATCCAGTGGTGGGGTCTTTTTGTTGTTGTTATGTATTTCCCCATGAGCAGTGTCTTCCCTCCCTGGAATAGACAGGGCACATCATGGAGAAACCCAGAGAAAACCTCCACATTTTCCAATCAAGGAATCAAGGGAGCAAAGTGAGGATTTGGAGTAAAAAGTTGCAAATAGTGAGAAGCCAAGGGCCTTTCTGAGGGGGCACCACCCCTCCCGGATGAGCTGGCCTTCCCATCTGTGCTTGGCCTATTTTTAGTAGCTGGGTGAGTTTACCTTGCAGCTTAAAATCTTGGGTCTTGTGAAAGAGATCACATGGCCGTCCTTGGGCTGCTAACACCATTGATTTGGGAGTAAAGAGAGAGGGTTAACAGGCCTCCAGAGGCCCTCTTTCTCCCACCTTTGGAGTGCAGCTGCCTGGTTTCACCTCTGCGTTTAATTCTTTCTTTGGAAGGGCTGCGACACGTAGGCGGAGCTGCTGAATCAGAGCGTCTGCAGGTGGGGCCCTGGCATCTGCCCGTAGCCAGCACCCAGCTAATCTTGACACACAGCAAACTGAGCTCCCCCGTTAGAGGAGGCAGTTTTGTAAGGTAGTAAATGCCACTCGATAGCTGTGCGACTCCCCCAAGGCATTTCCCCTCTCGAGTTTCAGCTGCCTCCTCCTCTGTAAAATGGTGCAGGGAGTCCCTGAGCTCTGGGGTAATTCATGGAATGGTAATTCATGGAAGTCCTTCAGATCCTGAGCTCAGCACTGTGCCCAGCAGAGGAGGTGCTGGTAGGCAGGTAGGTCGATGGATAGAGAGGTGATGACAGCTGACTGATAACTGGATAGGTAGTTAGATAGATAAATGATTGATTGATTGATTGATTGATTGATAGATGATTGACACATAGATAGAGTTAGCAGCTGCTGACCTTCCTCCTCCCTCTTCCCAGGCTTTCATTCAAGCTCAGTAACTTAAGCACCAAATTAATATCCTGCAGCTGCTTAATTTAGCTTCATTTTAGCCTTGCAAATAGGTACCCATCTCAGGACCACCCTGGCAGCCTGTTCCCTTGCTGGGAGGTTGCTGAGGAGCCCGGCCTTCTGCAAGGTGGAGCCGGCACCCGCTGCCGGCCGTCCTGGGTGGTGAGGGCTTCTGTGAGACGTGGCCTCCAGTAGTGGGCAGTTTCCTCCCCTGTCCCGGACCCCGCAGTTTCTTGGTGTGCCTGCTGTTCCTGCTGGTGTGAAGTGTGACTGCAGGTTCCATGGTCTAGTGAACAGGGTCCGGGTTCCCTTCCTGCAGTAAGCCTGGAGGAGAGGCTCTCCCAAAGTCTTCCTGATAGTTCTCTCCTTGCTGCTACCTTCTTCAAGTCACTGTTGCTGACAAGCCCAGAACATACTCAGAAACAGAGAAAACAAGGACCAGGGCTCCATCAGTTTTCAGTTTCCAATTCTGAAGATCCCTCTTTTGATGGCATTATATGATTTTCCTAATGGCCCAGCCAGAAACTTGAATCTGAACCTCTCCTCTCGGGCATCCTCTGGAAAGGAGGCAGTTTGCCGGTTCCCCTGGAGCAAGTCTTGTTGCCAGGCAAGGGGAGAGTCAGTGCTGCCCCGTGCCCCTGGCCTCGTCCCCTGAGCTGGGCGTGGGGCCCTCTCTCCAGGGGAGCCTGCAGAGTCAGATGCCCCAGCAGCAAAGCTGAGCGAAGCCAGAAGCGTGAGGGTCAGTGCACGATGCTGCTCTACCCATGGAGCTCCCGGGGCGTGGCATGTGCCTGTCAGCTTCAGGCCTCCGTGGTCCTCTCTATAAATGAGGGGTGAGGGGGCCAGCTGATTTGAAGGGCTCCTCCCAGATATACCATCCTGGCACTCTGGTGCTAAAGGCTTCCTTAGTTTCTTTTTTTTCCCAAAGCCTGGGAAGCCCCCAGACACCCATAAGCACAGACAGAGCCTGGGCTTCAGGGTCAGTCGGGTCTTTTTGTTTCACTGGAACGCGTCTTAACAAAGCCCGCTGGCTCCAGCTTCAGAGTCCCCTGTCAGCCGCTGGGAGCTGGGCCTGCCTGGGTATCTAGGTTGATGCAAGTCCAGTTGCAGGCCCCCGTCCCAGCTCGGGATGGCAGGGCATAGTGCTTGGCTCTGGCACCATGCCCTACACTCTGTCCTGGGGGAGACAAACCTGAAGCCTCCCTCTTGTTCCCTGACCCTGAGATGTGAGAAAGGGTCAGCCAGGCAGAGAGAGGGTCTGTCTTCTCCTGCCCCCGGCCCTGAGTGGAGCTAGACAGTGAGCCACTGTCACCAGCACACATGGTGCGTTCAAGGATAGAGAGTTAAGCCCTTGCCAGTGGATTCTGAAGGAAAACCCACTAGAGTGACAGGGGAGGAAATAAACCAAAATCTAAAAAGCCGCTCAGAAGCACTGACTGAGTGGGGCCCGGGCGGCCAGGGCTTCTCCCAGGAAGTTCTCCAGATGACAGGCGGTGAGAGTCTCCTGGAGGCCCGCCCTTCCTGCCATGCGAGGAAGAGGGTCTGCCGTGACCCTTTCCTCAGTGGCCGCCCCAGCCCAGGCCCTGGGTCTGATCTCGAGGCCTGGCGGGGATGCAGCATGGTTCTCAGCTTCTTTCATCTGCATTTTGGACATCGGTTTGTCCAAGTTCCCAGCTTTGCAGACTTCTTCCAGCTTAAGTCTTCCCGGATTGCAGGAGGTAAAAGCTGTGACCAAGGGAGATAGGCTCAGAGGACAGGCAGCAGGACAGGAACCCCATCTGCCTGCTTCAGGGCACTCAGCCCTCCTGGTCTGTCTCCTTTGTTGCCCAGAGACCCCTCTGTCTCTGGCCTGAGGTCCTCAGTGGGCATCTCCCCGGGCCTGTTCTATGAGATCGTCCATGCTGCTGCGTAGAAGTGGCCTCCTCTTGTGAATAGCAAGAGGCAGATTGTCTCATCCGCAGGGGCATCAGCTTGTCCAGGCTCCCGGCCTTGCACAGCGCTCTGCCCTCTGAGCCCGTCTGGGGCCGTCGGGGGGCCTCTGCCCCTCCAGCTGAGCATGCTGGCCCTCCAAGCCCAGGCCTTCCTAGGAGAGAGAGCCCGTTTGGGCCATTTCCTGAGCCTCCAACAGTGCAGGAAGCCCGGCCAGCCCTCTCCTGCCTCTCCCCTCCTCTTCCCTCCTTGTGTGTGCATCCTGAGTGCTCGTGACTGGAGAGGGACGCTTTCCTGAACTGCATGTGCCAAGATTCCACTGAGGCTCTGCCATGGGCTTTTTTGGATCCTGTCAGTTCCTGAGGTCTTGGCAGAAGCAGTCTGGATGGAGAACCAAAAATAACTCCCTGACTCAAGGAGGGCAGGTGGCCTCCAGCCCCAAGGGCCCTGGGAGCTGTGCCTACAGCCAGCAGTTGGAAGATCAGGGTGCAGAGCCAGCCTCACCCTTCCCTGCCCTTGCTAAGCCAGGATTTTAAGGCTCATTTCAAGGGGTCACTTTTGCATTTAAAAGAGGGAGCTGGAGAGGGTGATGCTCAGCTCTGAGCCAGTGGGGCCCATGCAGGAGGGAAGAGGGAGCCCTTGGCCCACGGCAGGGTGGGCCTGGGGCAGAGCCGCCCTCTGGAGAGCAGAACTGCAAGGTCCAGGGTGGGCGGGATGAAGTGGGAGGGGTGAAGACCACGTCCACTTGGGCTCGCCTTTTCTGCACATCCTCAGGCTGAATCCCCAGTGATGCCTCCTGACCTCTGTGGAGCTCTGACTCTGTGGCAGGTGCTGTCCCAAAAGCTCTCTGGTGGTCCCTGCCCTAATTCTCACAGCAGCCTTCCGAGGGGGCACTGTTGTTATTAGCCCATCTATAGAGAAGGAGAGGGAGTACACAGCAGCCCCCAGGGAAGAGGGTCACCCTCCCTCCTTCACTGAGACAGAGAGTGAAGCCTTCGACTTGGGAGGCTTTTCTGAGCAATGAGTCATTCGTTCATTCATTAATTCATTCCATACAAATCCCCAGGCTGAGTTTTGGAGGAAACAGGGTGAGTGCAGGAAGCTTCTTCCCTGGGGCAGTAAGACCCAGACATTCCTTGGCAGCCCCATGAGATGTACGGTGGGAAGCTGGCTCCGGCTGCAGTGAGGACAGGCAGACCAGGCAAAGTGAAGGAAGGGCACGTCTTTAGGGCAGAGGTGTCAGTTTGGGGCAAGCCAGTGAAGGTGGGTGGGAAGGTGGGGCTGGGGCCGGCACACCAGGTGGAGGGACAGCTGGAGCAAAGCTGCGTGAACCAGCAGGGCGGGGCTCTGGCCAGGCGGCGGAGAGGAGCCCAGCACTGACTTGCTGCCTCTGGCCTCTGCCGGCTGCCTGCAAGGTGGAGGGCAGACACCTGGTCTCCTTCCGGTAGGTCATGCGACCGGGATGAGTCTGCTGCGGGTGTGGTTCCGGGCGTTAGTGTGGGCCAGCGTCACGGAAGGCCCGGCGTGTTGACTGAGGAGGCTGAAGTGGCCAGAGCCCGTGTGCGCTGCTGGATGGAAACCCAGCATGGGGCCGCCACTCCTCTAGGCTTCTCCTTCCGGACAACTAACAGAACCACGGCGTGGAAAGTCCTCACGGGATGTTCACAGGGCCAAGGCACTGTCTTAGGGGACACCAGCCTCTGGATGGCAGGGAGGGCTGGAGAGGGGCTGTGAAGGGCTTCTCCCAGCGCCCACCCAGTGCAGAGGGAGCTGCTGTCTCCCCCGAAGCCCAGGGCCCCCCAGCAGCCGGAGGGTGAGCCCAGCCATGGCTCCTCCCTCCCACCTCCTGCCTCCTGCTCCTCCAGGGCCTTAGTGAAGCCGCCCTGAGCTCCACCTCTCCGCCAGCGAGTTGCACTGGGGTGAAAATCTGGGCCGGGCTCTCCTGGAAGAGGAGTCTCTTGTGAGACTTCTCAGACCCCCCACATCTTCTTACTTCTCGTCCCCATAGACGCCGGTCAGCTGTGGCCATCTCCTCTCCATCCCTTTCTTCTGCTGCTTCTCCTCCCACAGATGGGGAGCATGGCCTGGCCCAGAGCCCGTGTGGACCACGGCCGAGAAGACCCTGGCAGCCTCTCACCCGGCCCCACTGCCAGGAAGCCTCCAGCCATGAGGGGACAATATTTACTTGGGAAAGCACATAATTCCTCCTGAAAGTAGGAATGGGGAACTACGCACGGAGGAGGAAGGGAGGGAAGGGCTGTGACATTTCTTCTTCCAATCGGGGCAGAGGCGGCAGCCCGGGAGCCAGGTTGCCGGGGCCTTGGAGCAATGCAGCCCGACTCGATGGGAATTTGGGGGCAAACCCAGTCTTTTTCTGTGGGCAGTGGGCTCCTCGT
This sequence comes from Homo sapiens, assembly GCF_000001405.40. Lineage (NCBI taxonomy): Eukaryota > Metazoa > Chordata > Mammalia > Primates > Hominidae > Homo > Homo sapiens. The sequence continues at coordinate 135,105,362 of NC_000009.12, forward strand.
CCCTCTGAAAGCCCTGGTGCCCGGATGCACGCTCTCCCACCAACCCACAGAATCGGAGACGCCTCCATGCCGGCAGGGCCGGGAGCGTTCCTCTTTCTGGTCTTGTGTGATGCCAGTAACAGGCCACTTCCAGTTGGGAGAGAGTGGGAGGCACCCTGAGACCCGCGCTGAGCATGGGAGTGGCCAGGCCGCGTCCTCCCGGGGGCCAGCCTGGAGCCTGCCCCACCCTGCTTGCCGACAGGATTATCCTGGCTGAGCCGAGGTCCGGGCGCACTCACCCGCAGTCTTCCCCCACACGTGGATGGCCTCTGAACTCGTGTGCTCGTGCAAGCCCACCGAGGGTGCCACGCAGACCTAGGAGGTCACAGGCGGGCTTGGCCGGGAGGGACAGGGCAGGGTGCGGGGACTTGTGGTGGAGGGGCCCTTCCTCTACCCTCCCCAGGAAAGCCACCCACTTCCCATCCAGGGTCCCTGTTAGAATCAGGAGCGTTTGGCCCTTCAGAGGGCGGCCGAGGCTCGTGCATTCTGGAAGAGCTGCGTGGCTGCGCAGACACACCGGCCTCCGGGCAGGAGGAGTTCTGTTCCTGTGCAGTGGGTGTGGAAGCCGCCCTGAGCCCTCGGGGGTGTGGGGGGCTCCAGCCTCAGTCCAAATCACCGGGTGGCCCGGGTGTGTCCCTCCTCACCTCCATGGTCCTCTGTGAGACGGGAGGGCTGCTGAGATCACATCCAGGATCCCATCCGCCCTGGTGCGCTCCAGCTTGGGCTCCTCCCACTGGCAGAAGCAACCGGCTCACGCCTGTGGGAGAAGCGCGCAGGCTCTTCCTGCGGGAAGGCAGCTGTGGCCTTTGTCCCGGGTCAGTTCCGGGGCGGCTGGTGGTGCTGCTGCTCCATCGTGGGACAGGGCCTGCCTGGATGCAGTGTCTCACACTGGGCCTGACTGTGCCCCACGCGGGCTGGGCTGTCAGGGCATGACCTCTAATGCCCTTGGGGGTGGAGCCGCTGCGTTCCCATCTCCAAGAGAAGAAAATTGAGTCTTGGCAAAGCTGACCCCCTCTCCTAGAGGTGCTGCTCCAGCACCCCCATCCCCAGGCCATGGGTCCAGCAGGCTGAGGAGGCGTGAAGCCTGGGAGGGCGGCCGTCTGCCCACGGCTCTTCCCTGCTATCCTGGCCACAGCTGCTCTGTTTTGGGGAGGAGGTGGCTTTTCCGAGAGTGGGGGAGTTGTCTGTGAAAACAAGGGCGTGAGCAGCTTTCCACAGTACCCCAGACCCCGAGGGCAAGAGGAGAAGCCGCCACATGGCACGTGTGCTCTGGGCAGTCGAGGTCAGGGTCATCACCGCGGGCCGGGGCCCCCGCCCTCCCTCTCCTGACCTGCGTGCTCTTTTCCAGCTTGCGGGAAGTTGACGGGCATCAGTGACCCCGTGACTGTCAAGACCTCCGGCTCGAGGTTCGGATCCTGGATGACAGACCCTCTCGCCCCTGAAGGCGATAACCGGGTGAGTGTCCCCTTATGTCATAGGGGGTCATTTGGGCAAGGGCGCTCTCGGACACCTGGTGGGCCCCAGACATGGGTACAAGCCACGCCCACCCTCCAGGGCCTATGGACTGGGCAGCTTGGTGCCTGGGGGCGTTTGTTCCTGGAAGACTTTCGGGAGGGACCCAGGCCTCTATGCTAATCCAGAGCTGTAGATCATGGGCCAGGGAGTGACATGAGGTTGATGGTATCCCATGACATGGCTGTAGACCCCTTCAAGGCCTCCTCCCCGGCCCGGTGGGCTGGGCTGGGCTGGGCTGGGCTGGGCTGGGCTGGGCTGGTGCCCCAAGTCCATTTCTCTGGAGCCGAAACCCAGCCCTGACTTTTCCGGTCCTTGCATCTGCTTCAGGAAGAGAATTCATTAGGCCTTTCTTGTTTTAATGACATCTCATTTGTATTTCATTTGCCATTCCTTTCATGGCTGATGGAGACTCATGTTCCTTTTGATTTAGGAAAGAGGCCATGTTCTTTTTTCCCAGGCTTTTCCCCGCTGGGTGAAACCTCAGAAGAGGAGAGAGAAACAGGCATCATATTTGCCTTTATCTGGGGGGCTGGGTTTTATGTTCGAGCCCCTTTGAAAAATGGGGAGGTGAGGGTGGCTGCCCGACTGATGGTGAGGCCCGGCCTCGCTCGGCCCCTGGGCCCCAGACCCCTGTATACAGGCAGCATGGGCTTGTAGACTCCCTCCAAAGTGAGCACCCTCTGAAGGCTCTCGATGGGGGAGGGAAGCTGTCAGGGCTTCGCTGTCCCTTGATTTGCAAACTGACCTCTGGCTGCCAGAGTGGGCATTTCTCACCCAGCAACCCCTTCCTTCAGGGGTTTGCAGGACACTTAGAAAATAAACACTTAAAAACAAACAACCCAGCTCTGCCCTGGGCCGACTGAGAAAGGCCCTTTGAAATGTGAGATCCTCTAAGCTTTATCTGGAGCGGGTTTGAAGGAAGGGATGGACCCAGCTCTCTCCCCTCTGATTTCTGATCTCTTTGCCTCCCTCCTTCACCATTGCCACCATTTCCACGAAATCTCTTATATTTAAAACATGGGCGGTACGGCCTCTGGCACACTCCTTCCTTCCAGGAAGATGGCTGGGGAGGGGAGGGGGACTGGCAGACTTGCTAGAGCCTGTTGCATGTGTCTTGATCCCCCAGCCTCGCATGGGAGTGGCCCCCGCCCCCATCTGGAAGGGCTGGCCAGACTGCAGAGCCGGGATACAATTGGTGTTGGGTGTTTGTCAGGGAGGTTTTTCTGTCCTGTTTTCTAAATTGTGACAGCTGAGGCTTGGAAGTTTTCTAACAATTTAATTAGCTGTGAAGACTCTGACCACTCTTTTATTCCACATCCCACCTGGAAAACCCCACTTATGTTCAGAGTTAGGAACTTGCTCCTGCCACAGATGTTTTTGTAATGATCATAATACAGAAGAAAACAAGGTGATGCTGGCAGGCACTTAGAAAGCAGGCCCGGGCACAGTGGCTCACACCTGTAATCCCAGCACTTTGGGAGGCTGAGGCGGGCGGATCACCTGAAGTCAGGAGTTTGAGACCATCCTGGCCAACAAGGTGAAACCCCATCTCTCTAAAAATGCAAAAATTAGCCAGGCGTGGTGGCGTGCACCTGTAATCCCAGCGACTCCGGAGGCTGAGGCATAAGAATCGCTTGAACCTGGGAGGCAGAGGTTGCAGTGAGCCGAGATCATGCTACTGCACTCCAGCCTGGGTGATAGAGCGAGGCTCTGTCTCAAAAAAAAAAAAACAAAAAAAACAGCGAGTGTGTCCTGTGTGCAGGTGCTGTCCAAAGCACTTTCTTTTCATGCATTAACTCCCTTAATAGCGGGGGAAGGACGGGGCCTTCATGCAGCCATCTGCGTGCCCTTCCTGCTTTGTCCTCCCTGGGACCTGCCTGCGTCGGGGTCATTGGCATCTCAGTGTGGATGACAAGACTGTTCTCACGCCCAGAGGCAGAAGGGTCTCAGGATCATGGAGTGCCTGTCTGCAGCATGCACTGACACTCCAAGCCGAGTCCCTTATACCACCCTCCCCCTACAAGTGCCCTTCCCACACCTCCCCGCAATCTGGCCCACCCCACTATGCAGAGCAGGAAAACCACCCCACAAACCCACGCTGACCACATTGAGATCTGTGAGCAGGAAGCAGTCACCTCCCTGCTGCAGAGGGCAACCCCAGGGCTGGACTGCTCTGTCTGTATCTAACACCCCCCAGGACTGGACTGCTTTGTCTGTACCTTACACCCCCCAGGGCTGGACTGCTCTGTCTGTATCTAACGCCACACGTGTGTGCCTCTTGACTTCTGTTTTTGTATCACCTTCCTTTGTCGTAGGGAGCACTAGTCAAGTTATCGTTTTTCTAGGTACCAAGGATCTGGGGCTCCTGGAAGCCCCGGCTGTTTGCTTTGCACAGCGCAGCGAGGGTGTGGGTTTGCAAAGCTGTCGCGGTGCTGATGGATGCTTTTGATCATTAGGCATCTATTTTCTGCTTGATGACTGGATCGCCCTCCAGGAAAAGAGGCTCTGATGGTGGGTAGAGTGTGGGGAGAAGAAGCCGCAGGAGAAGGGATCCCTGGCAAGGGGGTGGGGGAGATGGGTGCTGGGGCTGGCAGAGGAGCCACCCGGAGCCTGCTCAGAGCACCCTCGGCTACGGCCATTCCAAGCCATACGCTCAGCACAGCCTCCAACTCCCAGTGTGCTAAGTGACATGTCCCCAGGTCCTGTCATTGATCTAGGCCAGCCGTGGTTTGTTTGTTTTGATCTTTTCCAATCTCCCATTCAGTTTTGATCACACACACAGGAGCCCAATAACTCGCTCCAAAAAAAAAAGAAAAAGAAATCAATGTCGGCTTCAGTGCAGGCTGCCACGGAGGGCATTGTAAGGCAGGTGTGGCCAAGGGCAGAGGGGAGAGGTTCAATGGGGCTGCCTAGTAGAGAGCCCGGCTCAGGGGGACCTGCAGAATCTCTGTGTTCGTGTGACCACAGGAGGGACGGTCCTGAGCCAGCTTCAGGGCCTTGCTAAGCTGTCAGAACAAGGTTAGCTTGGGACGCCTTTGCAGCAGGTCTTTCTGGATTCATTTATTAAGCACTGACTGTATGTCCGGCCTGTGCTGAGCACTGAGAGCCCCCAAGTTCTTCTCAGCAGGAAGCCACCCCTGCGCTTCCCAGGGCACCGGGCCCCACAGCCCCTCCTTTCCTTCCCGCCCGTCCCATTGCCTCAGTGTTGGAGGAGGGAAGGGCTGTGTGGAGGTTGGCCAGCTCTCAACCTGATGCGTGAATGCCCTGCCAGGCTGTGTTCCCACCCACTGGGAGACCACATGAGTTCTGGGACCCCTTCCCCAGCTCGGAGGCTTCTGGCCTGCTCTGACCATGGCCTGCCTTCCAGAGCCCAACATCTGCCTCCTCCTTTCTGACCCGCTTCCTATAAAAGTCTCAGGTCAGCTCACATCAGACACCAGACACCAAAAAGGGGGCCAGCGCTACTCCCACCACCCCAGGAAGTTCATGTTTGAAGGGGTGATATAATTAGGAAAACACTGTCATTTACAAACAGCAGCAAGCTTAGCTTAGCGTTTCAAAGTCCTTTCCCATCATCTAAACAGCGTCAAGGCCATCTAGATATTTTATAAGGATCCCACGGAATCTTTTTTTCCAGAAGGTGGAAATATCCAAAATGCATAAAACCGTGTGGGTGCAGGCAGTGATCCGCCCGCCGCCAGTGGTGCAATAAACATCAACGCCCCTTCCAGTCACTTCTCAGTGTGAGGAGGGACCTTCCCAGGACCGAGAACCGTTGTCTGTTCCCCTTCAGCCTTCACTCCCCAAGTGGAGCCTCCGGCAGAAACTGCCAGCATCCCCCCCACCTCTTTCCCACCACCCATTCAGCTACGGGCCGCTTTAGAGTGTCTTTTCCAGCGGCCCAGGCTCCTTGATGTTAGGAATTCTGTCAGGACGACATGTGACAGATGCTTGCCAAACCAAAGGGAAGTGCCAGCGCGGGCCCAAGTCCCTACGCCAAGACCCCTTAAATAGCATCCGCTTCCCACTTCCCGGGGGCTGCATCAGAGGCATTTGGGACGGCAGTGCCAGATCTGTGCCCATCGTCCAGCTCTACCCTGAACCGAGAGGCCCTCTTCACTGGGAAGCTGATGAAAGTAATCGGGACAGTTAGGAAAATCCCACGTTCTCAGTAAACTGCACCACATGTGGCTGAAATGCGGTGCAGAGGTTCAGACAGCCAGTTTTTCTTATATGGGAAGCTGTGTTGGGCCTCGGTTTCGGAGAAGCCTGGTCCCCTGAAAGCATGGTATTTACAAATGCATTTTGTGTTTGCGTGAGAAGGAAGAACCCACCCGTTGCTTTATCTTTTCCGGCAAAGAAACCCTCATGGGTTGGGGAGGGGATTTGGGCAGGAACTTGGGGCCTTCCAGCCTGTGTCGTCGAATTAGAGTGAGGCTGTGCTCGGGGCAGGGTGGCCTCGCTCGCCGTCTGGCCGCAGGCTCTCAGGGACTGTAGCGCATGGCCCATTGAACTGGAGAAGGATGATCAGTGTGCGAGACCTCCACGACCCCCAGGAGGCCTGAGTCCAGCCCTGACCCCCTGCTTTTCCTAGATCTCGGGGCTGGGAATCTGAACTTTCCTGCCTGTGCTGAGGGTGGGTGTGTTGCGGAGCTTGGGGACATCAGATGTCACCAGTGAGCTCCTGTGTGGGGTCCCTGTGGGTGGCGTGGTTCAGAGCTGGGCACAGAGGTTCGGAGCTGCTCCACACTGGAGTCTGCGTCTCTCTGCTGCCCCTCCCAGCTCTGTGACCTTTAGGATATTCTTTTTTTTTGAGACGGAGTCTTGCTCTGTCGTCAGACTGGAGTGCAGTGGTGCAATCTCAGCTCACTGCAACCTCCGCCTCCCGAATTGAAGCAATTCCCAGGCCTCAGCCTCCCGAGTAGCTGGGATTACAGGCGCATGCCATCACTTCCGGCTATTTTTTTTCTGTGTGTTTTTTAGTAGAGACAGGGTTTCACCACATTGGCCAGGATGATCTCCATCTCCTGACCTCATGATCCACCTACATCGGCCTCCCAAAGTGCTGGGATTACAGGCGTGAGCCACCACGCCCAGCCAGGACATTCTTAACCTTCTGTTCCTTGGGGTCATGATCAGAAAGGGCACACCTGCACAGGGGGCTCTCAGCATACGTTGTGGGGGCAGCACCAGTGGCTCTAATACACCAGGTTTCAGCTCATGGCACACAGCAGCCCGTCCAGCTGTGAATGGAGAGCAGTTAGGTCAGGGAGGGACATGCACTGGCCGCTGATCGCCAAAAGGGCTCCATGGAAAGACGGCACCAGGGGCCACCCGCCCTGTGGGGCTCTCAGTTGGGAGAGGCACCTGCAGAAGAGTCTCTGGTCTCTGCTGTCTAAGGTCCCTGTTCCCTCCAGGCTGCACTGGCCTTCTGTTCCCAGAATGTTCTCTCTGGTCTCCCCTTCCTATGCCTGGGGAACCCCAAGATTCTTCCAGCACGAGGATTTTTGCGTGGAGCCATGGCCCCTCATGAGGTCAGAAGCTTTGGGAGGACAGGGCCTGTGTCCCCAGCACCTGGAAAATAGGAGATGAATGGTGGCCCTTGATGGAGCTTGGGGCCCAGCCTTGGGGCTCTGTGTAGCCAAGACCTGGGGCAGGATGGCCAGCCAGCCATGCACACCTGCTTTCAGGCACCATTCTCCCAGTCGGTGGGTGACCCGTCCACCCAGTCCGCACAGGGCCACTCTTGGGCGGGCGTCTCCTGGGCCGCTGTGGATGCCTTGACCCTGGGAGAGCTCAGCAGCAAGGGCTCGTGTGGACACCGTGGTGTCCTGGGAGGATGGCGGCGTGAGAGCTTGCCTTCTGCAGGGGCACAGACGGACCACCACATGGGGCCGCCAAGTGAGATTGGGACAAGGTCCCTGAGGGGGAGAAGGAAGGGGGATGAGAAGAGGCCATGGCAGGAGGGAAGAGGGCATCACTGGGGGCATCCAGCCAGGGATGAGCAGGTGCGGGGAGCTGCTGTCTCCTTCATAGATGGAAGCCACTTTGTGGCGTGGGGGAGGGCAGCCTTGGGAACCTGGGTGGAAGCAAGCTGTGTCGGGGTCAGGGCAGGCTTTGGATGTGCTGTGTGCAAGATCCAGACCAGCGTGCACGCTTCCTAATGCACAGAGCATGTGGCAGCTGGCACAGCTGGCCATGTGACCCTGAGAGAGGCCTTCCTTCTCTCTGGGCCTCTCTGAAGTGGGGATTTGGGGACGGGGTCCCTAAGCCTCTGTGACTCTGTGGAGGGATGGGTGTCACGGCCTGTCTTGCTGCATCCTGGGCTAGTCCGGAGGCCAAGCCCCCTGTGGTCTCGGTTTTCAGATGGGCTGACCCTACCGCCACGTCCCCACAGGTGGTCTTATGGCCTTCTTCCTTTGGGTGGTGCCTGGGCCTGATGAGCTCCAGCAGGCTCTGAGGGCCGTGTCTAGCCTACCCAGAACCACCAAGCCCACTCGAGTCCCGGGCTAAGGACATAAATGATGATAGCTGGCATTTATTGAACCACTACAGGTGGCAGGTCCTCACAGGACCTATTTTACAGCAGAGGGAACTGAGGCACAGAGAGGGGTGGAAACTCCCCAGGTCTCGCTGGAGACTGGCGGTGGCTGGCGGTGGAGGCGCTTCTTGGTGCCGCATTAACAGGAGTCCAGCCACGTGGACACCCCTCACTCTGTGGGATCCACAGAGCAGTGCCTGGGAGGCCAGAAAGCTTTGGCAGACCCACGGTGTGCCCTGAGCTGAGTGGGGGTGCTGGGTCACAGTGAGGCGGCAAGGCCTCCCCTCCGGGCTCACGGTCAGGTGGGAGACACATGCCCGATGCCCCAGCACACGGGTGTGGAAGCCCAAGAGGTGCCCTGTGGCTGCTGCAGGAGCTCCCACAGCCTGGGGGGCACCACAGGGGCTCACTGTCACCCAGTGCTGGAGGCTGGAAGCCCCAGACCAGGGCGCCTGCAGGGCTGCGCTCTGAAGATGCCAGGGGAGGACCCTCCTGCCTCGTCTCGTGGCTCCATGTGTTCCTGGCTGTGGCTGCATCACTCCAGTCTCTGCCTCCGTCTTCACATGGCTCCTCCCTGTGTCTGTGTCCCCTCTTCTGTCTCTTATAAGGACACTTGTCACTGGATTTAGGGCCCACCTTCATCCAGGACCAGCTCATCTTGAGATTCTTTTTTTTTTTTTTTTTTTTTTTTTTTGAGACAGGGTCTCACTCTGTTGCCCATGCTGGAGTGCTGGAGTGCAGTGGTGCGATCTCGGCTCACTGCAAGTGATTCTCCTGCCTTAGCCTCCCGAGTAGCTGGGATTACAGGCACGTGCCACCATGTCCAGCTAATTTTTATATTTTTAGTAGAGACGAGGTTTCACTGTGTTGGCCAGGTCTCGAACTCCTGACCTCGTGATCCGCCCACCTTAGCCTCCCAAAATGCTGGGATTACAAGCGTAAGCCCCCATGCCCAGCCGAGATTCTTAATCCTATCTGCAAAGACCTTTTTCCCAAATAAGGTCCCATTTGCAGGTCCCAGGATGTGGACCTATCTTCTGGGGGCCACTATTCAGTCTACTATAAGAGTGGACACCTGCCTGCCTGGGGGTACAGGGGTTTAGGAAATACCTCCCAAGGGGGTGAGTGTGGCCTGGGGCAGGGATGGGGACGGGGTGGAGGGGCAGCTCCCGCAGGCACAGAGGCAAGAGTTGGTAGGTCTGGGACTGAAGGATGTGACTGGGCAGCCTGGGGAGGGAGGGAGGGGCTGGCTGGGCAGCAGAGTTTGGAGTTTGGGATCAGAAAGGGTGTGTACAGGGGACTGGGTAAGGGACAGGCTGGACCGGCATTCTAGAAGGTTCACACAGGCCACACCAGAGCTGCAGAGGCCAGGAGGGAGCTGCCAGCACCACTGAGGAATGAGGCAGCGGGAACCAGGCCCCAGACACGGATTATTCCCATGTGCATGGGGAATAGCCCTCTTCGCACGCGGCACAGTGTGGACCCCGGAGCTGATGTCATCCAAGCCCCCCACCCACCCCTGCTCTATGGCAGGAAGGATGAGGCCAGGCAGGAACAGCAAGCTTCTCCCTGCAAATGCGTCTGCCCTATTTGGGACAATTTCCCCGCTGGAGCTTGACACACACAGATCCTTTCCTCAAGACCGCTAGGGCCACAAAAGGTCAAGGGTGAATGTACTTCTTTGTAATTCAGCCCTGCTAGGAAAGAAATATCCTCTATTGTGGGAGCCACCGAAATCTTCAGCCAGGGGTGCCATCTTCACCTTCCTACACATTCACCACTCAGGTCTGCAGCTTCAGGCCGAGCCTTCAAACCCACGTCCACATCCAGGTTGCATCCTTCGGAAGAGGGAGGAGGCCGGCGAAGCCTTACCTGGCCAGGCCCCACTTCCCCAGCACAGGGACGAGATTGCTTGCCCAAGGTCAGCCCTGATGGGTGACGCAGGGACAGAGGGTTTGCCCTCCAGGTTCCCCTGGGGGCAGAAAGGATAAGTGGACGGAGGGAAATGGGCCGTTTACCTGGCAGGTTCATGGCATGGACAGCAGCGCATCAGGGCTGGGGCTTTTCAGCCTCACCCACTGACGTGTGGGACCGGATCATGCCTCGTTGCAGGGGGCTGTTGGTGTGTGGGGATGGGTAGCAGCACCCCTGGCCTCTGCCCCTAGATGCCAGCAGCACTTTCCCCACTTCCCAGTCAAGACAATCGAACTGTTTCTGGGCATGTGCAGTGCCCCCAGGGCAGATCACCACTGGCCAGATTGGTGGTTTCAAGCTCAGGGTTTGGAGTCCCCTCTTGACTCTGACCACTGGAAAGTCACCAAACCTCCCTGGCCTCCATTTTCTAGTCTAAAAATGGGGCGATCACGGCTCCCTGGGTGCACGGGCTCATGTGATAATTGAAGGCAAGAGATGATGCCAGCGTCCGGCACAGTGAATGCCCTGAGTAACGGCACACAAGTGACCTGGCATCCAGGCAGCCTGGTTCCGCTCTTGGCCTTTTGCTGGGTGCCCTTGGGTCTTTTTGGAAAGAACGATAGGTCCTGCCCGGAGGCGCAAGTGCTCAATCTCCCTAAAAGCCGGTACTGTATTTGGGGCCGCCTCCCCAGAGAGGAAGCTAGCAGGCATTGATGGAATTTGATCTGAGCCTTGGGACTTGGAGAAAGGGGAAGAAAAAGGCCTTTCAGATGAGAACATTGAGGGAATGAACTCAGAGGAGGGGACCTACTGTGAAGCACGGGGCTCCTTATCCCAAGGCCTGTGGGGTTCTGAGTGCCTCTCTTTGCATGGGTGCCTTCCCATTGGCAACTGGATCTCAGCCTCGAAGGAGTTTTTACCCCACAGAAACTGGCAAACGCTCAGAGCGGCCTCCCCTGAACCCTGCCTGAGCCTGTGCACCGTGTGCCGATTCTCCCTCCCACCCCCAATTACATCTTCAGAGTGCGGTATCCTGTGTCATTTTGCTGGTGTACTGGAAGAGAAGGTGATTTAAAAATCCTTAGCAAGTTGATGCTGGTGTATCCCCCTTCTGCCCATGGGAAGGAGGCTCTGGACCCAGGGTACAGGGGTGAGTCACCCTGGGTCCCCGCGATCAAGGGCTTGTTTGTGGGGGTGATGTGTGAACACAGTCAAAGGTGTTCTGTGTGCTGCGATGGCAGGGGTGGTTCCCCTCCAGGCAGGTCAGGAGAGGGCTTGGGGAGGAATGGTATTAGATGTGAGTTTCAGAAGCAGTGAGCTCCCTGTCTGATGAGATAGCCAAGCAAAGAGGGGGCAAGAGGGCAGCTTTGTGGCAGTGTCATTAAGGGGGTTTCAGCACATGGCCCCGTTCCCTCCAATACCCCTCCCGGTTCTAATCTGTGACCCACATCATTGAGGTTTGGTCTGTGGGAGGCTAAGGATAATAGCCTCAAATGAGGCCCAGCTGAAAAAAAAAAAAAGATCTCATTAAAAACAAAAAGCACATCTGCTTGTAAGTATCGAATGGATGTCTTGAGAAGAAGGTTATAATTTTTTTTTAATTTTTAGCGCGTGTGTAATGCCAAGTCTGAAAGCTCCCTCATCCTTAGTCTCCTGCAGCTCCAGAGCCCTCGACGGATAAAGCAGCTGTCTCATTGCCAGACAGATGCATGCAGAGCGGCACCAGCCTGCCAGACTCCCTCTGCCTAACTGCGTTGCTTTCTAATTTGCTCCCACATTGGTTGAAAATGACTAAAGCATTTTGCGCAAAGTCCAGACAGTTCTCAAGTCAACTGGCATTTCATCGGAAATCTCTTCTTCTGTAACCCCAAACTTGGGCCATTACTGGGTTTGCTATCTTGGTTGCTTTCGACAACCAGAGGCTTCTTCAAAGCCCATATTCTTCTCGGAGAGGCACTTTTGCTGGATTAGGGGTGACAATGAGTGATTACACTCACAGCATCCCAAATGCCAAATTAATGACATTCCGCCCTGCAGACAGGATGACTCAGTCCGTGCCGCAGCGATGGCTTGGTGGGAGGAGAGGCCTTGAGCGTGGTGTCTTGTTGGGATATGGGAGCTGGCCCGCCCCGGTGACTTTGAGAGTCGATCCTCACTGCAGACAACAGCTGCCTGGGGCTGTGAGCATTTGCCCTCGGCTAGGCCAGGTGGCTGTGCCCCTTCGAAGGCCCCCTTCAGCCCTGGGTTCTGTACTGAAGGAGCTCCTTTCTTGCACACGTGTGTATGACCCCCACTATGGGCCAGGCCCCTGGCTAGGGGTATGGCAGTGAACAGATAGGTGCAGCTGCTGCCCCACAACCTGGTGTCATCCCAAGCAAGCAGAGGGCAGGATTAGGGGCGAATGGCTGCACGTATACGCCTGTGTGCTCCCATCCCACCTTCCTGCTAGATTCTTTCTTCAAACTGGGCCTGTGTGTCCCATCCCAAATTCCCACTAGATCCTTTCTTCAAACTGTGTGTTCCCATCTCACCTTCCCACTAGACCCTTTCTTCAAACTGGGCCATCCTTTCTCTGATAGCACAATAGCTGTGTCTCCTTTTGAGGAGTGTGCTGGGTTTGGAGGTAGGACGTGGCACCCTTTGGTTGTGACTACTCTTTCCTGGCTCTCTGGGTTTGGAGGGAGGACATGGCACCCTTTGGTCGTGACTACTGTTTCCTGGCTCTTTCAGCTCCTTCTCCTGAGGTCCAGGAAATTCCAAGTCGGGGAACAGCTTCCCGCCCAAGGAACAGCTTTCCACACAAGCCTGTTCCACCCCACTTTGGAAGTGCTCGCCGGGTCTTTGGAAGTGCTCACTGGGTCTTTGGAAGTCCTCACTGGGTCTTTGGAGTACTCACTGGGTCTTTGGAGTGCTCACCGGGTCTTTGGAGTGCTCACCAGGTCTTTGGAAGTGCTCACTGGGTCTTTGGAGTGCTCGCTGGGTCTTTGGAAATGCTCACTGGGTCTTTGGAGTGCTCGCTGGGTCTTTGGAGTGCTCGCTGTGTCTTTGGAGTGCTCGCTGTGTCTTTGGAGTGCTCACCAGGTCTTTAGAGTGCTTACTGGGTCTTTGGAGTGCTCACTGGGTCTTTGGAGTGCTCGCTGGGTCTTTGGAATGCTCGCTGGGTCTTTGGAATGCTCGCTGGATCTTTGGAAGTGCTCACTGGGTCTTTGGAGTGCTTGCTGGGTCTTTGGAAATGCTCACTGGGTCTTTGGAGTACTCACTGGGTCTTTGGAATGCTCACTGGGTCTTTGGAGTACTCACTGGCTCTTTGGAGTGCTCACTGGGTCTTTGGAAATGCTCACTGGGTCTCTGGAGTACTCACTGGGTCTCTGGAGTGCTCACTGGGTCTTTGGAGTGCTCGCCGTGTCTTTGGAGTGCTCGCCGTGTCTTTGGAGTGCTCGCCGGGTCTTTGGAGTGCTCGCCGGGTCTTTGGAGTGCTCACCGGGTCTTTGGAGTGCTCACTGTGTCTTTGGAGTGCTTACTGGGTCTTTGGAGTGCTCGCCGGGTCTTTGGAGTGCTCTCTGTGTCTTTGGAAGTGCTCACTGGGTCTTTGGAAATGCTCGCCGGGTCTTTGGCATGCTCGCCGGGTCTTTGGAGTACTCACTGGATCTTTGGATTACTCACTGGATCTTTGGAAGTGCTCACTGGATCTTTGGAAGTGCTCACTGGGTCTTTGGAGTGCTCACCGGGCCTTTGGAAGTGCTCACCGGGTCTTTGGAGTACTCGTTGTGTCTTTGGAGTGCTCACCGAGTCTTTGGAGTACTTACCGGGTCTTTGGAGTACTCACTGGGTCTTTGGAGTGCTCGCTGTGTCTTTGGAGTACTCACTGGGTCTTTGGAGTGCTCACTGGGTCTTTGGAAGTGCTCACTTGGTCTTTGGAGTACTCACTGGGTCTTTGGAGTACTCACTGGATCTTTGGAAGTGCTCACGGGGTCTTTGGAGTGCTTTCTGGGTCTTTGGAGTGCTCACTGGGTCTTTGGAGTGCTCAGTGGGTCTTTGGAGTACTCACTGGATCTTTGGAAGTGCTCACTGGGTCTTTGGAGTACTCACTGGGTCTTTGGAAGTGCTCACCACCGGGTCTGCTCTCTCCACAGGTGTGGTACATGGACGGCTATCACAACAACCGCTTCGTACGTGAGTACAAGTCCATGGTTGACTTCATGAACACGGACAATTTCACCTCCCACCGTCTCCCCCACCCCTGGTCGGGCACGGGGCAGGTGGTCTACAACGGTTCTATCTACTTCAACAAGTTCCAGAGCCACATCATCATCAGGTTTGACCTGAAGACAGAGACCATCCTCAAGACCCGCAGCCTGGACTATGCCGGTTACAACAACATGTACCACTACGCCTGGGGTGGCCACTCGGACATCGACCTCATGGTGGACGAGAGCGGGCTGTGGGCCGTGTACGCCACCAACCAGAACGCTGGCAACATCGTGGTCAGTAGGCTGGACCCCGTGTCCCTGCAGACCCTGCAGACCTGGAACACGAGCTACCCCAAGCGCAGCGCCGGGGAGGCCTTCATCATCTGCGGCACGCTGTACGTCACCAACGGCTACTCAGGGGGTACCAAGGTCCACTATGCATACCAGACCAATGCCTCCACCTATGAATACATCGACATCCCATTCCAGAACAAATACTCCCACATCTCCATGCTGGACTACAACCCCAAGGACCGGGCCCTGTATGCCTGGAACAACGGCCACCAGATCCTCTACAACGTGACCCTCTTCCACGTCATCCGCTCCGACGAGTTGTAGCTCCCTCCTCCTGGAAGCCAAGGGCCCACGTCCTCACCACAAAGGGACTCCTGTGAAACTGCTGCCAAAAAGATACCAATAACACTAACAATACCGATCTTGAAAAATCATCAGCAGTGCGGATTCTGACATCGAGGGATGGCATTACCTCCGTGTTTCTCCCTTTCGAGCCGGCGGGCCACAGACGTCGGAAGAAACTCCCGTATTTGCAGCTGGAACTGCAGCCCACGGCGCCCCGGTTTTCCTCCCCGCCCTGTCCCTCTCTGGTCAAACAACATACTAAAGAGGCGAGGCAATGACTGTTGGCCAGTTCTCACCGGGGAAAAACCCACTGTTAGGATGGCATGAACATTTCCTTAGATCGTGGTCAGCTCCGAGGAATGTGGCGTCCAGGCTCTTTGAGAGCCATGGGCTGCACCCGGCCGTAGGCTAGTGTAACTCGCATCCCATTGCAGTGCCGTTTCTTGACTGTGTTGCTGTCTCTTAGATTAACCGTGCTGAGGCTCCACATAGCTCCTGGACCTGTGTCTAGTACATACTGAAGCGATGGTCAGAGTGTGTAGAGTGAAGTTGCTGTGCCCACATTGTTTGAACTCGCGTACCCCGTAGATACATTGTGCAACGTTCTTCTGTTATTCCCTTGAGGTGGTAACTTCGTATGTTCAGTTTATGCGATGATTGTTGTAAATGCAATGCCGTAGTTTGGATTAATAAGTGGATGGTTTTTGTTTCTAAAAAGAAAAAAAAAATCAGTGTTCACCCTTATAGAGACATAGTCAAGTTCATGTTGATAATAATCAAAGGAATTACTCTCTTCTTGTTAAATTAGCTAAATCATGTAACCGCAGATAGGAAGGGCTCGCCTGGGGAAACTCTGGTTTCCGATGGGACAGGAAAGTCATACGGGCAACAGTATGCGGAAAGTACGTTTTTTAAGTAAAAAACAAAGGCAAACTTTGTACTATCCAGTTATCTAAGGAACAATAAAAACATTAGGAGATCTTTTTGCTTCACTTGTCATTTCTGAGAGTTTTAAAAATGACCGAGACTTCCAGGTCCTTGCAGACGGATTCCTGGGTTTGAGTGGCCCTTTGAGAAAGGGAAATAAATCCTTTCTTTCGGAAGAGGGCAAGGACAGGTCCCTGTTGGATCTCCAACCTCCCATCCCCCCAACCTGGAGAAGCAGCTTAGAATCTACCCGCCACCTCTTAGGTGACTCTGGGGCGCTACTCCAACTTGGGGCTGTGCACCAGGGACTCCACCCACACCCCATCTCCACCCTGCTGTCCCTCCATAGACACCACTGGAGGGGGCCTGGGGCGGCACCCACTTTAGTCAGCACTGGCATGGTGGGCAGAGACCCTGCTGAGGAAAAGTTCACTCATCTAGGGCTGCAGCAGGCACTGGAGATAAGTGACAGCCCTCTCTGGGACCCGTATCTCCCCAGGCCTTGGAAACTATGGCCGGGTGTGTGCAGCCCTTGGCAACCCTGAGGGGCCCAGGGCATCACATGGGCTAGATCCTGGGAGCTTCGTGAGGCCCCTGCCACTCAGCAGGCCCTGAGGTCTCTGCAGGACAGGCCACAACTCAATGTTTGGAGTCTTTCTGGAATATACTGGCACTTCCTGTCAGCCAGAGAAGGAAGAATGTCAGAGTAACTCCCTCACAACGTTCCTGGCACCAACTTGGCAGAAGAGGGCTGCTCGTCTGGGTCCCCAGGTATAGTGTGAGGTTGGGAGCCACCCTGCTCTCACCTGCCCTCTGCTTGGGGGCAGCTGGCACCCCCAGCAACGTGGGTGGCAGGGCAGTGATGTGGGTCATTGGGGAAAGCCAGGCAACCCTGTGAGCCTGGCCCAGTGGCACCTGCTCAAACCAGTGAGTGGATGAGCTTCCAGCATTTCCATCATTTGTCCTGGAAAGACAGCCAGCCGGGCGGTACCCAGGTGGAATCGTGGATGGCGCAGTCAGACAAAGCTGACGTCTGTAGTAGCCAGTGGAACCGAGTCCAAGAATGTCTGAGAAGGTGCGACACCAGCTCCTGAAACCACACAGAAGTTGGGGCTGCTGAAAGAGTGAACCGGTCAGGGAAGGTGGCAGCTGGGGACATTTGGGGACCATGTCTAGCTCCCTTGTTACCTGGCCCTGGACAACAGTTAGGAAAATACGGGATGACAAATAGGGCACAGGTGAGCCCTAACCCACTGGGTGGGAAGGGAAGGAGAAGCCAGCATCTGCGGAGAGGTGCAGAGCCCAGCTCCCAGTCGCCATGGCCATCAGCCGCTCGTGGAGTCGAAGTCTGCCCCAGGTCCCTTCCTCCTGGCCGCTAGGGCCATGTTTCTACAGTGGGTTGGGTGGGCCAGTGATGCCCCAGTCCCAAGCTGCCTAGAACCCCATGGCAGGGGCTCAGTGCCTGTCTGTGCCCTGCACACGCCTCTCCCAGTCGGGGTGGCCACTTCCCATCTGCTCTCCTAGGCCCCACCCGCCCCAAGCCTCTCGCCTGCCCTGCCTGCCCTGTGTGCCCTTCTGTCCCCGCTCTCTGCCTTCCCCAGGGGCCAGCTCAGGGGCCATCATTTTGGGAACGACTCCTTCTCACCTCCAGGGAGCATTCCTCCTTGGCCTGCGTTCCTCCAGGCCTCCGTTCTCCCGTTCCCTGGCTCTCACCAGCCCCTGCATCCAGCATCTATGAGTCTCTTGCACCTGACATGACATGTTCTTTGGGATTTGAGGGGGATTTGGGGGTATCCAAAATAGGTGAATTTCCAAACCCAAGACAAAAAAGCCCGATATTTGGGAGGGAGTGGGGCAGAAATGCCTAATCCATAACTACAGCCTCACTGGCAGGAAAGCAGCGCTCACACGCCACTGCGGAGTGCACTTTCAGTGAGGACTTTCAGGGCTGGAGGCACGTTTATACTTTTCTGTTTACAAATTGTCTCAGAGCGCGGTGGCACACAAAATGCCCCCTGCAAGACACAGGAGTGGATATTCAGAGAAAAGCCCTGAGTTTCCATCAAGCCATAACTCAGTCTAGCAGGCCAATGAGTTTACCCCGACGAGACAGAAACCTGTCCAAGCACAATCAAGTGGGAACTATTCTATAATTACAGGCTGTGATTACGGGCTGATTTCCTTGTAATCTCCCCTTAGTGACATAGTAAAAAACAAGCATTCAAATATCTGTTCTGAGTCACCAGAAGACAAAATAATGACCTGACAGGTCCAGAATGGATTTGCTGTCTCAGGCTGAGTATTTGCTAGGGAAAATATTCCTCCAGGATATTACATACACAAGAAAAATGGTTCTACCCAGAGAGCAAATAAAATAACCAGGCTGCCATTAAATCTCCCAGATTCCAATAACCGAGTATATTGGCTGATGGTGGAACATCTGTGGATGAATTTTCTTTATTAAAAGTTTGGCCCAGAGTCCATATCTGGCAGTTATTCGCAATACACAGAGGCCAGAGCAAGAGACAGTTCTGTTTGCAGCTGGGTCTGAAATTCTCCTAATTTCCAGAGGGAAGCCTGTGACTGTTGGTCCCACAGCTCCCCATCGAATCCTCCCCTGGCCCTGTCAGAGCTGCAGGTGCTCAGGTAGCACTTGGTGGGGGAAACAGAAGATGTGGGCGGCTCTGCTCTCTGAACCAGTGAGCAGGAGGGGTTGGCTCTGGGTAGGCGGCTCTGGGTGAGGTGCTCTGTCTCAACAATCCTTGGGAAGTGCTGGGTGGACAGCCAGTGCCCAGCTCTGTTCTTGGAAGGGATCCAGAAATGAAAGGCACTGTTATTTCCATAGCTGAACACTCTGGAACAGCCAACAGTCAGCAAGCCAGGTGACGTCGGGGCAGGTACTGAGCACAAACGGGCCCATTGTCTCAGCCCGAGGGACTCTTCAACCCAGAAACCCTTAGGTCATCTAGTCGTAGTCCATAAAGCTGTGGAGTGTGAAAATGTTTTTTATTGGAACATTTCACCTAATTCCCTTTGAAAGCAGCAAGTGGGCTAGGCACAATGGCTCATGCCTGTAATCCCAGCACTTTGGGAGGCTGAGGCGGGCAGATCACAAGGTCAGGAGCTCGAGACCAGCCTGACCAACATGGTGAAACCTGGTCTGTACTAAAAATACAAAAATTAGCCGGGCGTGGTGCGGTATGCCTGTAATCCCAGCTACTCGGGAGGCTGAGGCAGGAGAATTGGTTGAACCCGGGAGGTGAAGTTTGCAGTGAGCTGAGATCGCACCACTACACTCCAGCCTGGGCAAGACAGCAAGCAAGCAAGCAAACAAGCGAGAGAGAGAGAGGAAGGAAGGAAGGAAGGAAGGAAGGAAGGAAGGAAGGAAGGAAGGAAGGAAGGAAGGAAAGAAGGAAGGAAGGAAGGAAGGAAGGGGCAGGGGAAGGGAAGAAAGGAAGGAAGGAAGGAAGGAAGGAAGAAAGAAAGAAAGAAAGAGAAAGGAAGAAAAGAAAGAAGAAAGAAAGAAAAAGGAAAGAAAGAAAAAGGAAAGAAAGAAAGAAGAAAGAAAGAAAGAAACAAAGAAAGAAAGAAAGAAAGAAAGAAAGAAAGAAAGGAAGGAAGGAAGGAAGGAAGAAAGAAAGGAAGTGGTGGCTTGGAGCAGATAATACCTGGATGCCACGCCCCCGGCAACCCTTGGACCTCACCGCCCCGTTGAAGAGGCGTCATGCCCCATGCTAGATGGAAAAAAGTCAGGCTCTGAGACACCAGCAATTTCCCCGGGCCACTGGGCTTCCAACCCAGAGTCTACAAGATGAGCACAGCCCAACATGGAGAAGGGTCTAGGACAGCAGTTGAAGCTTGGAGATCAGCTGAGCCTGCGATTTGGGACAGCAGACAGTTCCTAGTGCTCAAGGGGGACCGGGAGGCAGAGGAATTGGGTCAGCTCCTGGTCCAGCCTCCTATAAGGCCTGGCCAGTGAGTAATTTTGCCTCTGTTTCCATCCTCAGGGGGGTGAGGTGGAAGGGAGCCATCATTCAGGGCAGCGGGGAGGACTGACTCTGTTTTCTGTGAACTTTCAGTTCCTATCTTCTGCCTATTGTTTTCTATTCAGTTGTTGGTCTTACTTTCTCAAATTTTGGGAGTTCTTTCTATGTGTGGAAAGTCAGCCTTTGTGATTCTGTGGTCTGAGGTGCACATATTGTCTAGTCTGTCATTTGTCTCCTGATGTTGGTTATGTGTTGTGTGTGTGTCTGTGTGTGTGTTTGAGTGTAGTCAGGGTTATCTATCATCCTTGTGATGCTTGTGGCTTCGGGGTTGGAGTTAGGGCCGCCTTCCCCAACGTGATCCCTGCTTCTCTTGGTTCTTGCAAAGTCTGTCTGTTTACCCTGGGGCTGTCCATGCCCTGGCTTTGATAGTGTGAAGTGTGGAACCAGTTTCATCTTCTTCCAAAGGCTGCTCCTTGGCCCCAATGCTATTTGTTAAATGGCCCAACTTGCTCCCCTGGACCCTTTGTCCTGGGGTCCATCCCTGGGCCCTCCTCTCCCTGGGTATGTGCTGGCCTCTGTGTCCAGAAGGCAAAAGGACCCATGGACTCACCTGAGCAGGGGATTTTTCACAGGCAACCACCTTGCACACTTCCTATATGGTTTTTTAATTCTTAATTTTTAAAATTATTTTTATTTTTATTATTATTTTTTTTGAGACAGGCTCTTGCTCTGTCGCCCAGACTGGAGTGCAGTCGTGCAATCCCGGCTCACTGCAACCTCCACCTCTTGGGTTCAAGCAATTCTGCCTCAGCCTCCTGAGTAGCTGGGATTACAGGCAAGCACCACCATGCCTGGCTAATTTTGTGTGTGTGTGTGTGTGTGTGTTTTGTTTTGTTTTTTGTTTTGTTTTTTTCTAGTTGAGACAGGGTTTCACCATGTTGGCCAGAATGATCTTGAACTCCTGACCTCAAGTGATCCATCTGCCTCGGGCTCCCAACGTGCTGGGATTACAGGTGTGAGCCACTGCACCTGGTCCCTGGATTGTTTTATAAAGTGATCTCTGAGTAGCTTATAAACCATGATGCTTAACCCCTGTGATTGTCAGGCCCTACTCCAGGAAGCATCTGGAAACCTGAGCACCATCTTTTGCCTTCACCAGTGTTGTTGGGTCAATAAAGACCATGGTGACTCCGGGGTGCTGTGTCTCTCGGACACAGTTCTTGTTGTTCTAAACCAAGTGCCTAACTCCAGAGACGCTGCCAGGATTCTAAGGCAAGGTGAGGTCTTGTCTTCGGAAGGATCTTTCAGGGAAACCCTCACCCCACAGGGTGCTGTGTGACCTCCGTCTTACAGAAATAGACACGGGGAGATTACGCAGCAGCCCAGGCCCACTGATGAGCCGCAGCTCTGGGTGCAAACCTGGGACTGCCGAGCCTGGGCGCTGCTCTTTCCTGCCTTCAACCGGCCTGCTGGCACCCACGGTGCGTCCTCCAGTTGGTGAGTCACCGGCCATTTATTCATCACGCAGCAGGCAGTGGAAGGTGCCAGAATGGCGTGCCCTACGAAGCTCTGTGCTGGTGAGTCACTGCTGCCAGCATGGAGTAGGGCGGCGGAGGGAGGCGAGGCTCTGGCCAGGGAAGGCCGAGCCAGCAGGCGGCATCACTTCCGCCTCTGCCCTCTCAGGGGAGGATGGCTGATGTGGAAGCTGAGCCTTTCCTCTGTGCGCTCTCTATCCCTGTGCCCCACCACACACACACATGTGCACACACACACATGCATGCATACAGCACGCACGCCAGCTAATACCGAGCACCCCACCAGAGGCCGAGCAGCTGCGGGTTAACAAGCGGGCCTGGCAGACTCGCTTTGCTTCCTCTGGTTTAATCTCCTCCCTGGAAAACGGGAGTGGTAAGCCCACCCTGCCTGTTTCCCGGCAGACTTCTGCTCCCATGTCCCACGGCTCCAGTCCCCCAGCCTGGCAGGAGGAACAAAGCTCGGGCATGAAGTCACCCAGACCTGGGCTCGAACCCTGCCTCCACCACGCACAGCCTACTCTGGGCCGCAGTTTCCCCACCCGACACCCGAGGATACCAACGCTGGTGTCACAGTGAGGGGGCTGTGCTGGGGAAGCATGGGTCCAGTGCCAGCAGACGCCGCTCCCCATTCATGGAAGTGGCAGCCACGGCTCTTGCGACGGCTCCCCCAGGCTGGCGGGGGCACCGGGCATCACATCAGATGACTTCAGGGGTCTCTTTGCTCCCTTTACCTGGAAAAGGCCTCAAAGTAGGACTCTTCCTGGCCTCAAGGCAAAGCACCCTCTGGCCGGGCGCAAACCTCCCTCTCCTGTGCTCGTGCAGTCCCTCCCTCCAGGGGCTCCCACAGCCCTTTGCTCTGCCTCTGAGGCATTGTCATCCCCACTCGGCAAGTAGAGACATCGCGGCCCGGAGAGACTAGTTAACACCTGCCCAAGTTAGCACGGTAAGGGAGAGATGGGCCTGAGACGGAACCCAAGTCCCCTGACACCCAGCCTCAGGCTTTTTCCAAGAGCCATGTTTGGGGAAATTGGCGTGATATCGAGCAACTGCCTTCGAATGGGCCAAAGTTTTCAGAATTGCTGGGGGACCGGAGCCCACTCCTCCGGAGGCCGCTTTCTTCCTTCCCGAGTCAGACTCAGGAGGCTGGGCTGTAGCAACACTGGAGGTTCCAGCAGCTGACTCTGTGAAAAGAAACAGCAATTTCCTTATTGATCTTCTCCTTCCCGCTACAGTCTGGAAAATAAGGTCGCCAAGAATGATGTTGTTGCTGCGTGTCTCTCGTTGTTTCAGTTTCGCTTATTGAATTGTTATCCCTGGAGGACCCCCAGCCTCACAGCCACTACTTCACCCCCAAACAGCTTCCTGTTTCAAGGACATCAGTGGCTCATCCAGATTCCACGAAAAGTGCCTTCTCTGGCTAGTGCCCTCCAGCACTGACCCCTCCGCTGTCCCCAGCACAGCACAGCCTGAAAGGTGGCCAGCTGTCCGTCCACCAGCATCGCGATTCCCCAGCTTCCAGCCTCCTCACTTCTGTAATTAGCAGGACGGGCCCTCCTATCAGCCCCCAGGCTGTTTGTCTCGCTCAGGCTGGCTCCTGTTGTCCCTGTTAAATTGGCTGTGGCAGGCCATAATAAAGAAGAAAAACTGGCTGCATCAGGTCACTCCAAGAAGCTGACATTAGCTCCAGAAGGGCTGGGAAAGGAGAGATTCAATTAAACTTTTACTGCGGCCCGTCGGCTCCTGGCCTGGCCTGTGAATTCTGGAGCTGGGCTGAGGTTTGGAGAAGACTCACAGCCAGAGGAGCTTCCCCGGGGTCCCTCCTACCAGGAGACTGTCAGTCTGCACTAGTCCCAGGCAGGCGGGGGGAGCGTGGCCCTGTGGGGTTACCCTGCAGCCCAACTCTGCAGAAGGTTAATGATCGCACAGCTCCATGCCAAAGGCTCAAACCAGACACCCCAGCCTCAAGGGGCTCTGAGCCTACTGCAGAAGACAGAGACAGGGACAGACAATTCCAGAAGATGTTCCTGAGTCTCCAGTTCTTGGATATGAAACCAGCAGCTAATTTAGCCCACTCAAGTGCAATAAAATCACAGACAAATGCGGCGGCCTCTTCGGGCCCTTACCGATTCTTTATATACAGGCTGAGACTAATCTAAAAGGTGATTTTCTGGATAAAACCATGCGATTCTTAGACCCCTTCACCTTCTCTTGCTCCCCTCACTAGCACAGGCTTTTGGGGGAGCCATTTTCCTCAAAGGAAGCAAAAAGAAACACACGAGTTTAACGCCAAGAGAGTTTCTGTGGACACTGAGGTGGGGTGAGGGCTGGGGATACTGGGGATCCCATCAGAGTGCTCCAGCACTGGCTGCTGTGTGTCCCTTAATGGGCCTTAGGTTTCAAATCTGTAAAACGGGATTCACATAGGACCCACCCCTGGGGACCTTTGAGAGCAGGCCCTGAGCCAACCCTGAAAAAGCAAAACGGCCGGGGGTGACACAGGGTCCCAGGGCTGGGGCAGTGAGGTGGGGACAATAGGGTGCCAGGGCTGGGGAAGTGGGGTGGGGATGGCAGGGGGTAACACAGGGTCCCTGGGCTGGGACAGTGGGGTGGGGATGGTGGGAGGTGACATGGGGTGCTTGGGCTGGGGCAGTGGGGTGGGGATAGCAGGGGGTAACACGGGGTCCCTGGGCTGGGACAGTGGGGTGGGTATGGTGGGAGGTGACATGGGGTGCTTGGGCTGGGGCAGTGGGGTGGGGATGGCAGGGGGTAACACAGAGTCCCTGGGCTGGGACAATGGGGCCGGGATGGTGGGAAGTGACACGGGGTGCTTGGGCTGGGGCAGTGGGTGGGGAGGACAGGGGTCTTGACTGGTGGGCACCAAGCCTCCGTGGGGATGGTGGTGGGAATGCAGGGGCAGTGAGGTGTGGCCCTGGGGGCTGCTGACTTCTCGTGGCTCCTTGTCACCCCCATTTGCTGAGCATGGGGTGCTGGGCTGCAGGCTGAGCCCTCGTGTTCATTACCTCCTCTCATCACTACAGCAAGCGCCATTTCTCATATTGGAAAACTAAGGCTGGGAGTAGTCAGGTGACTGCCACTGGGCCTCAGAGGGCCAGGCAGGCTGTGCCTAACCACCTTGCTGTGCCCCAGTCGGGCTGTGTCCACATCCCAGCCAGGCAGCTCAGGTGCTGGCTCCATTGTGAGGTCTCAATGGAGACAGCTGCCGCTGTCTGATGGGCTCTGCTTGCCGTCCCTGGGCCAGGCCTGCTCTGGGACACTGATGGGCTGGCAGCTGCTCCATCTGCAGATGAGCTCAGGTCCCTCCCAAGCACTGTCTACAGGTGTTACCTGGGGAGAGTCTTGACTATGAGTTGTCCAGGTTCTTGGCATTTTGAACCTGGACAAAGAACCTGAACAAAGAACCTGAACAAAGAATTGGACAAAATACACAAACAAAGCAACAAAGAATGAAGCAGGGAAAGCACAGATGTATTGAAATGAAAGTACCCTCCACAGAGTGGGAGTGGGCTGGAGCAAGTGGCTCAAAGAGGACTGGTTACAGAGTTTTCTGTGTGTAAATATCATCCAGAGGTTTCCCATTGGTTACTTGTTTACACCCTATGTAAATGAAGTAGTGGTCCGACATTGGTTTGATTGGTCTGATTGTTTACAGTCTGATTGGTTACAGGAGGCAACCAATCAGAGGCTGAAAGGAAGTTACCAGGTTACACCCGTATGCAAATGAAGACTTGGCTGGCGGCCAGTCTGATTAGTTGTGGGAGGGGAACAATCAGAGGTACTTTCCATTTTTCCTCTGCCAGGCAGTGCAAAGTGGGGAGTTGCAAAGGGAGTGGCCTCTGATTGTTTTGTTACTTGGGCATGGAGGTGTGGGGTTTTCCTTTTGATTTAGTTCTAGGAAGTCAGCGTGACTCAGCCTTAGGTTCTCTGCCTCACAGGAGCCGGCTCCTGAGTGTCTGTTGTGCCCTGCAGAAGACTCCAGGCTAGACGGGAGTCCCTACGGTCCTGCTGGCCTCTGCTCTCCTCTGGGCCCGCCCCATGCCTGCACACGAAGGTTCTCAGTCTGTGTGTGTTGAATACACGAAGGACGGTGCACACCTCCCACCGTGAAACATTGGGAAAGCATGCAAGGCAGGGATGGGCCTTCAGAAGCAAACTGAGGTCTGGAGGCAGCCAGTGCCCGGCTTCTGGCACCTTCCAGTCATCGTTCCACTTCAACAACCATTTCCAGAGCTCCTTGGGGGCGCGCAGCCAGCTGAGCTGGTGGGACTGTGAAGAGGTGGCTCGCCCTCCCTCGAGGCAGGGCCTGGCCTGGTTCTGGCTCTTGTCCTCACCTGGACGCTCTGTTTTTGGAATGAGGGCCACTCCATGTGCCCTGGACATTCGGCTGCGATCCTCTGAGGCACGGAATGGATTCTCCTTCCTGCTTCCCAGAACTGAGACTTGGGCGATGATGTAAAAGGAGGAGAAGCACCCGGGAAGCCCCGAATTCCTGACACAGGAAACCTCTGGGGGACAGGGAGGCCGGCCCTGAAACCCTCTTGTCTTTTGAAATCGTCCACAGCCCCTCATCAGGGACAAGGAGGAGGAAGCCAGCACCTCCTTTCTGCTCGCCAACCCCCAGCCAGGCCCTGCAGACTCTCCCTCCCATGTCTAGGCAGTCTGAGAAGAAGCAATTTGGTGCATGTGAATTATTCAGAGCAGTCAAAGTGAGAGGAAGGACTGAGGCAACCCATCTAGAAACAGCCAGAAAAGAGATCCCAGCTCGAAACCACTCATAAGGTTCATCTTGAAAACAAATTAGCGGTGAGTTAAGGAAAACATTATTTGATTAGATGCAACCGGTTGTTTCAAGAACAATACTCATCAATTGCTTTTCTCCAGACAGGATTCTGGATAACCCTGTGCTCTTCTGCAGGCTTTTCAATTACTGGCCTGCTGACGTTCACCTCTGGCAACCCCCCTTCATCACTGACTCCAGAGAGCAAAGGTCCTTTGGACTCGCTCATGGTCCTGTCCCAGCCACACTTCCGGCCAGCTCAGCGCAGGTGCGCAGTAGCTCCCTGTGGAGGGCAGGAAGTTGTGTCTCTAATGATCTCACAGGAGCACCTCCTATGTGCCTCAACACTGGTCACAGCCTGTGCCCCTGACCCCAAGCCAGGGGAATGCCCAAGCCAGGGCTCTCCACCACCCTGCTCAGGCCCCATCATGAAGCGCATCGCATGCCTGGTTGGGACTGTGCACATCCCTTTATTGTAAAATTATCCCAAATTTGGTGCTGCTGGCTTGGGGCCATCTCCAAAGACACTGCACGTTTAGCCTTAGCTGTGAAGGTTCATGTTCACCCCTAGACAGGACACTTCCTGTGGAAAAAGTGGGGGTAGAGCAATTGTGCAGATAATAGGCAAAGCAGGCAAAGACCTCAGGAGTCTAGAATTTTCCCCTGCAGGCAAGGCGGGGTGTGGGCACGGGGCCTGGGGCCGGGCAGCACCGGACGTCAAGGTATTGCCGAGAACGAGATGCACCATCATGATGGGGAGAATCTTTTCCGGCTTCTCATCATCACACAAGCGTGAGAGGCGAGAGACAGGACGGCGTGCAGGGAGCTGGAGTGTGGGTCGGGGTCGCCTGCCTGGGACGGGACGGCTGAAGCCCGTGGCTGTCTCCACATGGCTTCCCCTTCTGAGTAGCTGGGTCACTGTTCAAAGGTCTAGGGCCCTTCCCTTCCGCCACTCTGTGTCCTGTTCATGGGGCTCCTGCCGTGTGGAAGGTCCCAGGTGGGAGCTGTCCGCCCAGCACAGGGAGGAAGGAGCCCCTGCCCTTGTAAACGGCCAGGGGCCCCATGGTTCTGTGGCTGCCAGGATAGGCTGACGGCTGGTGGATCGGGGCCATAGGTATCCGTTCATCCACTCTTCAGCTCAGTTAACCAAATAACCATGAATCACCATTTGTTCCTGATGCCATTTTGGGCCTGGGAACACGTTGGTGACCAAGACAGCAAGGCCTGGGCCTCATGTACAGGAGGGGGAGTGGAAAGGGCAGGTCAGCGGATGACAATGTCAGGGGTGGTGAGTGACAGGAAAGCAGTGGCAGGGAGAGGTTGACAGTGCCGGAGAGAGGAGGCAGCTGCAGGAGCATCTTCGGGACATCACCAGGGAGTGAGTCCAGGAAGAGTCGGCCCCCGCAAGACTTCACCCGAGACTAGCAGGACAGAGCAGAGGTGATAATGGGCAGTCAGGGCCTGAGGGGGGTGCCTTTCCATCTGCTCTGACTTTCACATTGAGGCGTGAGTCGAGGTCAGGGTCAGATGAAGGGGAGGGGCCAGGGCATGTAGGAGGGCTTGCAGGGAGCAGGTATAAGCCCGTCAGTTTGAAGGGTGGGAAACCGGTTCCCTAGGACTGCGCAGGGTGGGAAGTTCCTGCCAGTCAACAGAGGAAGGGAGCGAGGGGGTCAGGGAGATGGTGCTGGGCAAGTGGGAGTGAGGGGCACTACCTCAGGGGCCATGGAAATCCAGTGGGGCGAGGCAGAGGTGGGCAAGGACAAGGGGCAGGCAGGAATTAAGAGTGAGAATGCGGCTGCAGCCAGGAAGTGAGGTCTGCGCGCAGCCAGGGACTGGAGCACTCCATCAGGCGAGCTGGAGAGAAGGGGGCTTGGAACCAGGATTCGGGAGGAGGAGCTGCTGCCAGGGCTGACAGGGTCAAGGGCATGGCCCACCAGGAGGGTGGCTCGGGTGGGGGACAAGCTGGTAGGCAGGGCCAAGGAGCTGAGAGGCTACACGGGAGGGAGCTGACCCACAGGACCAGGACAGGGGGCTTGGAGGAGGCGAGCAGAGGAGCTGGGGCTTTGCACAGGGTGAGGAGAGAGGGCTCGACCATATGGGAAAGGGAGGAACCACCCATGGGCATGGAAAACAGCCTTCCCTGGAGAGCCTGCGGAAGCAAGGCCTCACCTCTCCACACAGCCAGGTGTCAGAGCGGGCTGGAGGGCACTCAGAAGGTGGTGTTCGTGGGTGCAGATTTGCACTGAAGGGCCTCACAGCAGGGTGCAGGGAGGGTGACTGGGGTTCAGGTGGGAGCAGTGTGCACGGGGCAGAGGTCTCATGGAGACCCCAGGGGAGCCAGGGTCAGAGCCACGCCCTCTTGCCCATGTGGCTCCACACAGAGCCCACAGGAAGCCGTGCTGATACCAAGCCTGAACTCCTTCCCTCCTCACCACTCTGCCTGCGCTGCCCCTCAAGGGCTGGACTTAGTTCAGGAGACTCAGAGTCTACATCAGAGCTGTGTGTTCAACTCAGTCCGCATCTGTCCATCCCTCCCTCACCCATCCGGCATGGACTCGGAACCTGGCAGGTGCCAGGCCTCATACCCAGTATCAGCATGCCAGGGGGGCAGGGAGTCTACAACTGAGAATGACCTTCTGCCAAGCTAGGTATCCCAGGGATGGCCCGCGCTGGCCACCTCTGTTTGGTATCGGTTGCAGCCTTTGCTTCTGAAGGACACAGGATTTACCTTCAGCCTTAAGACTTGGGGCCACTAGGGTGGTAGGTGCAGGGAGGAGGCCCGAACTCCAGGCAAGGAAGAGTCTTCTAAGCATGGTGAGCTCCCCACTACTGGTGGTAGGGAAGCAGAGGGAGGAAGCCATTTCCACCCCCTCCCCCGGGGAGTGGGAATCCGTGTCCCTCAGCAGCCTCTGCCCACTGAGTTTCATTAATGGGCAATCTGCCAGGCCGCGCCTCGCCCCTGGGGAGCAGGCACCAGCCGAGCCGGGGTGATTTCTCCAGCACTGCTCGGAGGCCCCACCCCGCCCCAGACCATCTGTTTGCGCAGCTCCAGGTCGTTTTTCAACACGTCAGCAGCACGACCGAGAAACGTCTCTGGCTCCGGACCACCCCGCCAGCTCCCGCCGTCAGAGCTCACCCAGAGGATGGTATTTCAGCCCCTTCTCAAAGTCAGCAGAATATGATTTTACTGATTGGAAGCACTGGGCTTGCCGATTTCCTATGTGAGGAAAAGCATGCATTTTCCCGTCTCTTTCTTAAATGAGTCGTAAAATAGATCGTGCCTCTAAAAGGGCCACAGAAAGCACTGGCCACAGTGAGCTTCGTGGAATTCGCTGACTGCATAAATCAGGGAGATGAGTTTCAGAGAAGCCTTGTTCTCCCTTACTGGATATAAAATGGTTGACTTCTAAATTGGGAGAGAAGTCAGCCCAAATTTCCCTGAGGCTGCCAGAGGGCACGAGGACAGAGGTCCTGAGAGGGGAGATTGGGTTTTCTAAAAGGCACCTGCCAGGGAAGAGGCAAAAGATGCCAACCCCATGCTGGCCCTGAGCCTCGGGGAAGCGCCTTCTTTCTGCTGGGGAAGCAGGAGAGCCCAGTGCTGGCGTTCCCAAACATCCTCACAGTCACCTTCCAGATACGCCATTTCCAAGGACCACCCGTGCTATTTACTTAACAGTTTTAGAAAGAGAATTCCCTCACCCTATTTCGTAACCGCATTTTAGCAACAGTATCTCTAACCCATGGTTATATATATATATATGGGCAGGCTATATTTTTTCTGATACTTCACAATAAATGGTAGTAGATAATTCCTCCAGGTCTCATCCTCTCCTCTCTCTTCCATAGGGTGCCGCAGGGATCCAGGCATCTCCATCTGTGAGCCTCCAGGGTCTCTGCAGAAGAGGAAGGCTCCACCCACACTTCCTTGGCTAGAGTCAGTCATGCGGCCACAGCCTAGTGCAAGGGAGGCTGGGAGGTGTGGTTTCAGGATACCAGTGAAGCAGGAAATGAGAAGAAAAGGGGACCTGTTTCTGACATTATTAAAATAAAAAATGCATCTCTGCATACCTCTCAGGCCACATCTGGGAAAGGCTGACTTTTCTGAGAGGCCAGCATGCAGTGCTGGGTGACCTTGAGCAGGTGACTTACCCACTCTGAGCTCAAGTCTTTGCCACACATATGGAGAGGCTCACTGGAGTTTTCTAGCTGGGAAGATTCGACGCACAGCCCACCTAGCACTTGGCCCAGGGCAGAGCCCGCTGCGGCTCGTTCCGCCCCCACCCCCACAAACCGTGTTGCAGACACCAAGGGCGTGGCCCTGCCAGGTGCCCTCTCTTAAATCTTCTATAAAAGGAGAGGGCTGGCTGGGTGACTGTTTCCAACCCAACATCCACAAAGTGGATAAACGGGCAGACGCGAGTGACTTTCTTAAGTACACAGCCAGCTTGTTGTGGGCCCTGTCTAGGGTGATGGCATCCCTGGGGGCCACAGGCTGTGGGCCCCATTGCCTTCAAGCCTGCGAGCTGGCTGCCACAGCTCACCCACTGCAGGGGGCACACTGACGGGCTTCAGGTCCCTCCTCCAGGACACAGGGAGGACAGGGATGGAGTGTTTTTCAGAAGACAGGTCAAGGCTGATGACAGGTCCGGGCTGATGGGGAGCAGCCGTGAAGCAGGCTGTTTGCATCATCACTGTAGTCTCCACTCTGGAAAACCAAAATCAGGTGACTCGCTGAATTCAAACCGGGGAAGGCTGAGCCAGAGCCAGAACTGGGGTCTCCCCTCTAGGCCAAGTCTGACTGAGAAGCTGGGAGGCCTGTGGCTGGTGCCCAACAGTTCACTTGGTGGCTGGGGGCTCTCAGCAGCAGCCAGGCCAGGCCCAAGCCACACAGACTCCCACCTCTGTTTCTGCGGAAAAATAGCAAACACGATTCCTCAGGAGACCAGGGAGAGGTGGGGACGGGGGTGCAGCTCAGACCAGGACCGGGGCCCTGACAGAGGACCCCAAGCAGAGAGCAGGGCAGTGGTGCCAGGGAGGCAGTCTGGCTAGCCACACCTCTGATACAGGCCGCAGAGCTTGGCTGCTCTTGCCTTTGGGAGGGCCTCCACCACGGTTTTGGCAGTGCTGATACTGAAACCTGTCGGCTGTTTCTGAGCATCTGGACATATGATGTAGTGCTTATTGATGGCAGGAGAAGCAGGGAGTGACCATGCATGTTAGCATGTAATTTATTCCACACCCATAATTCTGTTCTGCAGCCAGTGATGACAGGGAGACTCGCTGCCTCTTATCAGGCAGGGGCACCTTCATGACATCGGCCCCTCCTTGGAGCTGAGGCCGGGTGGGCTTTATTCAAGGACCGCCCCCCCGTGCTGTTCTCAGGCTGAGATGAAGCTAGGATGATGGGATCTAGCCGGGTGAGTACTGGCAGAAGCCCCTGTGACTGTGGCAGACAGAAAGATGCCATATCCTCTTCCCCAGAACCTGTGAATGTTCCTATCTAAAGAGGCTTTGCAGATGAGCTTAAGTTAAGGATTTCATGGAAAAGGGAGATTATTCTGGATCATCTGCACAGGCCCTATGGAAGCTCAAGGGTCCTTATAAAAGGGAGTTAGGAGGCTCAGCGTCAGAGGGAAGACATGAGGACCGGCCAGGGGGTTGGAGGCGAGAAGATGCTGCCGGCCTTAAGGAGAGGGAGGAAACGAGGGGAGGGAGCCCATGGCCTCTGACCTCTGCCTCGAGGCAAGTTAGTCAGAGACCCCTGCCATTCACAGAAGACAAGAGGCAGCCCCCTGGGCTCCAGCTGCTCTTTGGTGAAGCCTGGAAGGGGTAAGAGAGGCGGTGCCCTGGACACCCTGGAGAACCCACGCTTTTCAGGCTTGAGCCTGGGGTGGATCCACAGCACGCTGGTGACCTTGTTTTTTAACTTCCAGCCATGGGGATTGAGGCCCCCACTGGGGGCAGGGAGGGAGGAAGGAACAAGGGGAAGGGATCTGAGGCCATCTGTGACCCTGCCCTGCAGGGAGCCCACAGGAGCAAGGTCTGTGGACAGGGACCCGCCCTGGCCCTGTGGGGGGCCCTAGAGCTGCCAGAAACCACCGCCAAATCCCTTTTCTAACCCCATGAGCTAATTTCCCGAAGGATTTGGCTAAAAGACACCTAGGGGGTTGTGACAAATTTAGACCTCCCATGAAAGTGCTGAGTCACGCTTTGCCTGTTTGGAAAACAGCGAGCTAATTAAGTTACTGTTGGAGGCAGAGGCTGCAGCAGGAGGAGGCAATGGAAAAATCCTCTGTGATGCTCGGCTCCACTCAGCTCAGAGAAACGTGCATCACCAGGGAGGTGACCCCACGTGCTGGGCTGTCAGCAGCCAGAGCCTGGCTGGCGGAGCTGTAAGAAGAGGTCTTGGGGATCCCAGGTACCCCTCGTGGTATAGATCATAGGGTGGCCTCACTGAGACCCAGAGGAGGGAGGAGCCTGGTCCACACATGGGAAGAAGAGGCAGAATCTGGAGAACTCAGCTGTCCCTATAGTGTGAGTCAAGCCTTCCTTCTATGAAGGGACCCTTAGCATCCCCACCCCCACAACTCTACCCCTGCCTCCTTCCTTCACCCAACATCTGGGGAACCTCTCTGAGCCAAGGGATTTGGCTGCATTCAAACAGCAAGTAAGACATACATGGTCCCTGTGCTTCAGAGCTTACAGTCTGGCCACGAAGACCCCTTGGGAACAGCCACAGCTGCTGCATGTTAATTTAGGTGGAGGGTGAAACTGATAACACAGGAATGGAGAATGTGAGCTCAGATGAGGCAGGCAGGGATGGTTAGAGCCCTGATCGGAACAAAGGGAACAGCATTTGACTTTGAAAGAATTGCTTAACAAAGATCTGCTGACCCCCATTCTGGGAAGAATGACTGCAATGGGTGGGCCTAAGGACAGACCAAACCCATCCTGGCCCCCAAAGAGCTCAAGTCCAGGGGGACACGAGTCCTGTTCAGATGAGAAATAAATGGGATGAGACAGGGAGACCAAGCCAGCCTCCCCAGCTCCTGTGCTGCATCAAGTCCTCTGCCCTCCAGGTCTCACCCCCTACTCCATCCTACCAGCCTGGGACCCCGAGGCTCCGAGAAGTGAGTGGGTCCACCCAGACACCACCTCTTGGCCCTGCTCCTGCAGGTTCTCTCAGCCCCTTTTGAGAGCGGACGCTTGGGTTACCAACCACGAGTGGAGGGGCCCACAGCAACACCATGGTGACTTGGGACCCTGAGAGCCCCTCTGTGCCTGGAAACCGCTCCCTCCACAGCTGACCTGACATGAAGCAGTTGTGGGGTCTGATCTTCACCACGGAGGGGTGTAGGGTGGAGCTGACTGTTAATGTAAGTCCTTGAGAGGCTGGGCTGGATCTGGAGCCCAGAATTTTACCAGGCCTCATGCCAGTGATGGGGTTCAGGCAGGAAGACATGCCCACCTCAAATACTTCTCCTTGGTGAAGTCTGAAGCCCCTTCTTGGGGGACAGAACATCTTATTCAGTTTTGGGGTGGGAGAGTCACCCTAGGACTTATGTTGACATTGCAGGTGTGTGCAATGTCATGTGTATGGAACCCTTTCCTGAGGATGAGTTTGCATGGAAGAGGCAGGCGGGACCCCAAAGCAGCTGCGTACACAGACCACCCACCTCCCTTGCCCCAAGAATACCCAGGTTCATTCCCTCCACACTGTCCTTCCCAGACTCCAACCATTCTCAGCCTGAACACCTTGCTCTAAACACCAGGCCTTGGTGCAGGCTATTCCCTCTGCTGGGAGAGCTTTCTCCACTTCAGGTTGCCCGACTCAGAAGCAAGATCACATCCACGGAGACACTCTCTCTGTGAAGACTAGACTTCCTGTGGGCAGCCCAGGGGTGGTTTGGCAGTTCAGCTACCAGGACAAAGAGCCTTCCAGCATCTGCTCTGCCATCCCTAGATGTGGCTTTTGTCTTCATGGCCCAGGATGGCAGCTGAAGCTCAAGCCACCACATCTCTGTTCCAGGAAGGATGGGGCAAAGAAGAAAAGAGTCGCAGTGTATTCACAAATTGCCTTTTAGGGATGGTATCCAGGGGCTGTCATATGACACTTCTGCATATCCTATTTGTCAATACTGAGTCACATGACTACCTACTGCTGCAAGGGAGGCTGGGAAATGTAGTCTTTATACTGGGTGGTCATGAGGCCAGCCAAAAACCCTGGATTTTCTAACTGGGGAAAAAGAGGAGGAGGTGAACAGCTGTCTACTCCAGCCTTCCCACACCCTGTCATATTTGGTCAGCATCCCTGTCACATGGTCAGACAGAGCTCACACCAGACTTGAGCGGGGCCCAGCCAGTGGGCAGATAGAGCCTGGAACCAGGCAGGGAAAGGAGGGAGGCATCACACACATGCCAGTCCCACCCAGTCCCCTCCATGCTTCTGGGCTTTTCAGTAAATTATCCTTTTGTCTCAGAAAGCTTTAGAAGCCTCCTGGCAATTCCAGCTGGAGTTTTGAGTTGTTAGGGGTGGAGAGATGGTACAAGACATGAGCTGCCATTGCTGCTTTGGAGCAGAACCAAATGTAAACATGTGAGCTGCATGCAGCCACGCCCCC
Source organism: Homo sapiens (assembly GCF_000001405.40). NCBI lineage: Eukaryota > Metazoa > Chordata > Mammalia > Primates > Hominidae > Homo > Homo sapiens. Next base: position 135,140,064 of record NC_000009.12, read on the forward strand.
CCACCCGCTCCCATGGGTGCCATTCACCCAGCACTGCAGGGGAAAGGAAGGGGGCATGTGGGGAGATCTGTCTCCTCCTCAAGATCTGCTTGTCTCAGGAACAGATGAGCACAGCATACGACACTTCTCAGAAGCTGGTGTCAGCCATGAGGCTGGGGCCTCTGGACAATGAAAGGACCTTCCATCTATTATTCTGCGTGTCCCCGCCTCCCTGGTGGCATCTCCAAAAAAGGAGCAGCTTATTGCTGTTTGATGGGGGACACGGAGGCACTTGAGTGCTGCGAGGGACAGGCAGTTCTCTCCCTGGGTGCCTCTCCACCTGCACTGGGCCATGCCCTCCCCTCACTCCCACACAGCACCACACGGCACCACATGCTCTGTCCTGCCTGGGGACCTCTCCACCAACTCAGCACCCACTGGGTTTCATCTTGTCACCGGCCTCTTCAGGCAGCAGTCCAGGCCTTCTGGGCCCCACCCTACACTGTGGTTGCTTCCTCAGGTTGCCCCAGCCTGGGCTGCTCTCCCCTGCAGCTCCCTCTCTGCACACAGGTGTGCATTGCCTCTTCTCCCATCTTTGCTCGGGCTGGTGCCCCTGCTCAGAATGCCCTTCTCTGCCCTGGCTTCTCTGTGGATCCTCATCTTACCCACCATCCAGGCTCAGCCAGAGCTGGCTCAGTAATTCACATTTCTTATGCACTGGGTCCTGGCTGGGGGTCAGAAAGACTGGTGCTGGTGAAGGGGGTCCTGAGATGAAGAGAACATGGCCTCTGGCTTCTAGGAGTCCCCATTCTGCAGGATGAAAATAGATAAGTGACCAATGGGTTCTGGACCAGAGACCAAGGTACCCAGGGAAGCAACCGTGCCCTGCTAGGCACCCCATGGTCCCGAAACACTCTCTTCTCACTTGCAATTATTTCATCTCTATTATCTGTCTCCACCAATGGAATCTAGCTCCATGAGAGCAGGGCCAGCTCTGTCCTGTTCACTGATATAGCCCCAACACTCATGATACCATCTACTCAGAAGACAAAAACATTTGTTCACAGGATGTATGGATGGATGGATGGCTGATGGATGGATGAAAGGATAAGCGGATGGATGGATGGATGATGGGTAAATATATGGATGGATAGATGAATGGATGGATGGATGAGTGGATGGATGAATGGATGATGGATGGATGGATGGATGGATGATGGATAGGAGATAGATGGATGAATGGATGATGGATGGATAGGTGAATAGATGAGTGGATGGATGAATGATGGTTGATGAATGGACAGATGATGGATGGATAGATGAGGGATGGGTGAATGGATGATGGGTGATGGATGGATAGATGGATGAATGGGTGATGGATGGAAGATAGATGGATGAATGGATGATGGATGATGGATGGATACATGAACAGATGGATAGATGATAGACGTGTAGATGAGGGATGGATGAATGATGGATGATGAATGGATGAATGAATGATGGATGGATAGATGAATGGATGGATGAGTGGACAGATGGATGATGGATGAATGGATGATAGATGGATGATGGACGGATAGATGAATAGATGGATGGATGAGTGGATGGATGGATGGATAGATGATGGATGGCTGGATGGGTGATGAATGGATGATAGATGGATGGATGAATAGATGGATGGATTAGTGGATGGATGGATGGATAGATGATGGATGGATGGATGGATAGATGAATAGATGGATGGATTAGTGGATGGATGGATGGATAGATGATGGATGGATGGATGGATGGGTGATGAATGGATGATGGATGGATGGATGATGGATAGATGGATGATGGAATGGGGCTGAGTCATCCAGTGGCATCCTATCCATTCAGCCTCACTGACCACTCAGTGGAGACACTTACTCCTAGCTCCCTCCCCATCCCCTGTGGCATTCTTCTCCATGGGGCTCATCACCACCTGGCACAGATTCTAGATGTTTACTTATGTACTTGTTCACTGTCCATCTGCCTCCCCCAATCTGAGGCTTGTCTGCTGTGTTTGTTGATGTATCTTTAGGGCCTAAGAAAGAGCCTCCAACATTTAGTAATGAGTTAGGAGGCAGGACTCAACTCTGGACCACATTGGAGGCTAGCTGAAACAGGGAAGAGGCACCAAAAGCACCTTTCCATAACATGCCCATCATTGTCATGGCAACACCTGAAAGTTACCACCCCTTTCCATGGCAATGACCTGGAAATTACTGCCCCTTTTCTAGAAATTGATGAATAGCCCATCCATCCACATTCATCCATCATCTGTCCATCCATCCACTCATCCACTCATCCATTCATCCATTCATCTGTCTATCCAGATTTGCATATAGTTAAAAATGAGTATAAACATGACTGCAGAACTGCCTTCAGCCGCTCTCAGCACGTTGCCTGTGGGGTAGCCGTGCTCTGCAGGAGCAGTCATGGAACTGCAACACTGCTGCCTCAATAAAGTCGCTTCCTTCTACCACCGACTGCCTCCTGAATTCTTTCCTGAGCAAAGCCAAGATCCTTCCCAGGCTAAGCCCCAATTGCGGGGCTTGCCTGCCCTGAGGCAGGAGAAATAAAACAAACTTTTGTTGTATGTAAGAATTGATGAGTGAGCTAATGAAAGAACACACACACAAGACTCTTCTCCCAAATAGAGACCAGGATTGATGCCTGGCTTCCACTGAATGTCACCTTAGGGGAAAAGCCTTCCAGAACCAAGACCAAAATAGCATCGGCCTCTGTCTCTGTCCACTTCCCTTACTTTAGCTTCCACACAGTGCATTTCACCATCAGCCATGTTACCTACTCATTGTTTCCCATCTTTACTCACTCAGCTTTAAGCTCTGAGAAAGGGACTTTGTTTTGTTCTCTGCCAAATCCCCAGAGTCTAAAACAGGTCCTGGCACATGATAGAAGCTCTAGCAATATTTGTGGCAGGAGAAAGTGTTGTCAAAGCTGGAGTGTGCAGGAGGACTAGGGGTTCCCCCAGCAGCCCCAGTCGGAGCCTCCAAGCCTCTCTGGGGCCCTTCTCTTGGAAGCAGCTCGGTTTTAATTTGCTGGGGCTGCCATGCAAAGTACCACAAGCTGGGCAGCTCAATCAATGAAATGTATTTTCTCACAGTTCCGGAAGCCAGAACTCTAAGATCAGAGTGTCAGCAGGGTGAGTTCCTCTGAAGGGAAGTGAAGGGGACACAAACAGAAGACAATACTATTTTGGACTTGGGCCTGGAAAGGTTTTTCCCCAGAGCTGGCATGCAGTGGGGGTCAGGGGTCAAGCCGGGACTCGATCTGGGGGAGTCTGCTGCACGCTCTTTCCGTAGCTCCTATCAGTTCATTCATTCAACACAAATGAGTTCCGTTCCTGCCGGGAGGGGCATCTGCTCCAGGGCCCTCTCTGTCTGGGGTCTGCTGGCCGTCTGGGGTGCTCCTCGCCTTGTGGACACCCCACTCTGGTCTCTCCCTTCATCTTCACATGAAGTTCTCCTCGTGTGTATGTCTGTCTCTGCGTCCAATTTGCCCTCCATTTTTTTTGTTTTTGTTTGTTTGTTTGTTTTGTTGAGACAGAGCTCTTTCTGTCGCCCAGGCTGGAGTGCAGTGGCACGATCTCGGCTCACTGCAACCTCCGCCTCCCAGCTTCAAGTGATTCTCCTGCCTTAGCCTCCCGAGTAGCTGGGACTACAGGCGCCCGCCACCACACCCAGTTAATTTTTTGTATTTTTAGTAGAGACGGGGTTTCACTGTGTTAGCCAGGATGGTCTTGATCTCCTGACCTCATGATCCACCCGCCTCGGCCTCCCAAAGTGCTGGGATAACAGCCGTGAGCCTCCGCACCCGGCCTAAATTGTCCCTTTTTAAAGGACAGCAGTCATATTGGACTAGGGCTGCCCTGCTCCAGCGTGACCTCATCTTACCCAGTAACATGTGCAAGGACCCAGTTTCCAAATAAGGCCACCTTCTCAGGGACTCAGGGTCAGGACTGCATGTGGACTTGGGGGGCGCGTTTCAACCCACAACAAGCCAGCTCCCCTGCTCCCTCCTTTTCTGCCCTCCCACGTCACACTCAGTCCTGCTGATTTGGCTGATACAAAATTACCCTCAAGTCACAACATGGACATTCCCTCTGCCCCTCAAGCGGGGTCTCCAGGCTCCGTCCTGCTTCCTAGGGTCCCCCCAGGTCTGGCAGACACGGGTGCCCAGAGAGCACCAGGTCATTTCACAAACTGGCTGGAGTATGATACGGATGTTTCCGCCTCCACCAAATCCACACTCAGGCACCTCCAAAAGTCTCTTTTATTCAGCAAAGGAGAGGATTCCTGTCTGGGTCATCAAGAAGGAAATCCAGAAAGACTTGAAGCCCAGGAAGGAGGAGGAAGCACGTACCCCTTCCACTCCATGTGGGCACAGGAGAGCTGGCCTGTCAGTCAGGACAACAGAAAACGGCTCATTCCCTGTCCCCCAGGATCCCCACGAGCCCTGCCCACCGCTGGGAGCCCTGGGGTGAGCCGTGCTTGTGTTTATTTTGGAAACTGTGAATCTTTGTGTTTCCCTGGAAAGCCCCGGCCCATGTCTCGTCAGCACCCTCTAAGCTTGCCAAGGTCAGACACGGGAAGGCTGCCCTCCCCGGCTCCCCATGGTGGCAGCCAAAATGCGTCTGCAGGAGACAGCTGTGCGGGGGGCCTCAGAACAAGATCAGCAGGCGTAGGGCACGCCCCTGGGGGAGTCTGACCCAAGGCTGATGCTGTTTCTTTTGTCTGGAGGAAGGAGGGTTGCTAAGGCCTGGAGGGCTGACGGTGTAGCGCATCCTCGCCTTCTGCCTGGATGGAAAAGTCAGATCCCCTGATTCCAACCAGGGCCCAGAGGCGGGCCCCAGAGACACTGAGCCAGGATGGCAGGGAAGGGAGGGAAGGCCGCTGAGGGCTCACCTCCTGGGCCTTTCTTTCTGGCAACCTGCTGGCATGGCTCCAAACCACAGGCGGCTCTGTGGAGGCTCCACCCTCGCTGGAGCCGACCCTGGGGACAGTGCTGCTCTTCCAGGCTGAGTTGTCCTCCACACCCACCTCCAGCCCTTCCCCTGTTTCCCTTGTATCTGGGGAGAAAATCTGGAAACAGAGGGACCCCACATCTACTGATCACCTGCTCCAGCCAGGTCTTTCCAGGCATGCGGCCACAGACACCCCCGCCTTGCCTCACTCCAGGCTCAGCTCCCCACTTGATGTCATGTCCACTCGGCGTGTCGAGGACGGATCCCAAGGTCTCACACCAACACCCCACGCCTTCCCGCTCACTACGCACTGGCCACCACATTTTTGTAGCTGCTCAGACCACAGCCCAGGAAGGGCTGTTGACTCCTCTCCCTCACCCAACACCTACCCCAGCAGGAATCAGTGCTGACTCAACTCCCAAAGTGCACTGTGGATCCGCCTGGATCCCTCCACCTCCTAATGAAGGTTCATTCCGCCCTCATCTAAATTACCACCATCTCCCCACCCAAAGCCAACGCCTCCCCATGGGTCTCCCTCCCACCAAGCCCATCATTCATTCTCCACAGTCCACAATCACACACCACGACCACCCTTTCCTGCTTCCCCGGAGCCTGGACACCCTGGCAGCCAACAGTGCACCCGCCCTTCTGAGCACCCTGGACCAGGACACAGCCCTGCCCAGGTTTTTAGCCAAAGATCCTCTCCCTGGAATGCCCTCCCCAGACCTCTGAGGGGTGAAGTCCTCCTTGTCATTCAGATGGCAGTCTAATGTCCCCTCCCTGGAGACTGCATCACTGACCCCACTCTCCCAGGCCTCTTTCCCACTCTGCCCTGCTCAGTTCTCTACACAGCATTTGTTCCTGGCTGGGGTTGCTGTGTTCATGTATTGGTTCCCTCGCACCCTCCCATTGGAAGGTTCACTTTACCAGGGAGCGTCTCCTCTCTGTTGGTGCCCAGACCATCTGGCCTGCCATTGGCCCTTGGTCAACTGGTGATATCGTTGAGCATTCCCCAAGATGGTACCACTGGGAGATGGCAGGGCTGTGGACCCCGAGACTCCATATACTTTCCATAGCCCGTGGCAAGCAGGCCTTTCTTTCCTCTGCCTCCTAGGATTCCTCCTGGGCTTTGATTGCATCTTGGTGCTTCCAGGCCAGCACCTTCAATCTATAGAGAGCAGAGACGCTAGAAAATGCACCCAAAGACGTAACACAAAGTGTGCCTCTCAGACTCTCCCTGAGCTCTGGGCAGCCCCCTTCCTCCTCACTGCAGATGACCTCCAGGGTTCAGGGGATCTCCTGAGAGGCCCCTGAAATTTTGTGTATGAGTGTGTGTTAGTTTCTTGCAGCTGTCATAACCAATTATCACACACTTGCTGGTTTTAAAAAACTGAAATTGATTCCCACAGTTCTGGAGGCCACAGGGATCTGAACTCCAGCTGTGATCTGGGCCGTGCTCACTCTGGAGGCTCTAGGGGAGGGTCCTCTCTGCCCCCTCCAGCTCCTGGTGGTTCCTTGGCTGTGGCTGCATCGCTCCAGCCTCTGCCTCACGTGGGCTCTTCTCTTCTGTCTTCTCTCCTCTTTTATGAGGGCATTTGTCGTTAGATTCTGGTACCACCTAATCGAGGATGATCTCACCTCTAGATCTATAACTTAATTACACCTGCAAAGACTCTTTCTCAGCAAGGTTATTGAAGATGTTGGGTGGGGATAGCTGTGCTTTCTTCTCATTTTCTAGCATCTTGGAGCTGCAAAACATTAGCCCCCTTATGAAGGCAGTGAATGGCTGTTCACCTTTGAGTCCTCCATGCCTGGCCCAGGCACATGCTCTGTGAATGCTCAGCCTTGTGCTCTATGAGATCCTGCAGGACGGAGAGCAGGACGCCATGCTGGCTCCCCAGCCCCAGGCCAATTAAAGAGGCAGCACACACTGAACCAAGCCCCACCCACCCTCACGATCTACAGGCCTCCCTGGTCCGTGCACTGCAGCACAGCCTGGGTCAGACAGCACAGGGAAGGCACAAGGTCAGACTACCTGAAGGACTTCCCATGGCTGTGTGTGAGGTGCACAGTCCTCCACCGTGGAAGCTGCCAGCAGACCTTGGAACCCAGAGATAAATTGGCACCCAGAAGGGACGAGCCAGTGGGCAGAGCACCCCCTCTGGCTGGCAGCTCATCACGGACCTGGACAGCTCAGGAAACAGCCGAGGTGCACACGTGGATCTGATTCATCGTTATTTTACAGAAGTCCAAGAACGAGGAGGAGGCAAACGTGTGACCCACTTCTGCCGCTGATGGGGCTGGCCCTGGCAGGAACGCTATGGCAACCAGATGCACGGGCTTAATTACATCAGCCTGGTGCTTTCTCACAAAGATGAATGGGGACAGACACTTTCACCGCTCATAGTCAGAGAGGAGAACCAGGAGCCGGCTGTTTACCCGGGGAGCTCCTGTCCATAGTGCCCTCCCTGGGCAGGTGTGCCCAGGCACCTGCTAGGAGCCTGGGACAGACAGGGCCATGGGCCGGGGCTGCGCCCGACCTCCTCCTCCTCTGGCTCCCACGGGTTCCGCACCAGCTGGTCTTCTCACCATGTGACAGCTGCTTGGTCTGGCTGGGCTGGGCCAGGCCAGGCAGGTTCCCCAAGTGCTCCCCTGCCCACCTGGCCTCTGTCCAGGCACCGAGAAAGCAGAGGCTCCACATGGCAGGCGGCGGGCAGGGCGTCAGGGGAGCCCTAGGAGGGGCTCCAGGCGAGTGATGATGCCATGATGCCATTGCTGAGTGCTCACTGACTGAGGCCTCATCTTCAGAGCGTGCCCACGACGGGGCTGCTGCTCTCTGCTCCTCCCAGAGGAGGGGACAAAATGCAGAGGAGTTAAACCAGCATAGCTGGCCCAGGGCAGGACCCAGGACCCTGGGTGCCAGGAGCTGCTCCTTCTGAGTCACAAGTCTGTGGGATCCATGGGCACATGTGCACAGGCTTGGGGCTGGCTGTGCACATTTGACATGGCCACCTCTGTGGCAAAGTGGGTGACATTGTCTGCCTTCCACAGCGTGGCCGTGCCAGCCCGCAGGTTATTAGCTCCTGGTGAGGGCAGGGCCCCGGTGGCAGTGAGGTCGGCAGTTCCTGCTGTGCACCAGGCGCCCCTCTGGCAGTGCTCGCAGTGTGGTGTTTCCTCCGGATGACAAGCCCAGGATGAGGACAGCAGGGGACAAGGGAGGGAGGTGGAGGCCCGGCAAGGCTTCCTGGACACAACCTGCAAACTGGGCCCCAAGGCTGAGGAGGAGAGAAGGACTCTTCCTCCTTCAGGGCAGCCCAGGGCCCAGAGCAGCTCTGAGTCCAGCAGGGCTCACTGAGGATGCCAGGGGCATCTCAGATCCCCTAGAACCCTTGGCTCTCCCAGCCCTCCCATCCCTCAGTGTCCCAGGGGCACAGACAGGGGCGAGGGCAGGGAGAGAATTCGCTCATTCTCTCAGCAGCCATTAGACAGAGACCAGCCGAGCACCTACCCTGTGTGTCTCCATCTGGTGCTGGAGAAGCAGCCAGAGACATAGGTTGCAGGACTGCTGCCTGCGCAGCCAACTTTGCCTGGGCTGACAGTGAAGGTTGCACACGGCAGTGGCTGGGGGCTGCCTTGGGCTGGGCTCACTGCCATTTACAGGAGTCCAAAAGCAATGGGGCAGTGAAGGACGTGACACAATACAGGAGTTAGAGGTGCTCGTCCCTGTGGCCATAGGCCAGGTATCCTGAGGAGGGGGTCAGGTGACCACAGGGTGGCCAGGGCAGGTGGCAGGAGATAGCAACAGCCACACCACACCTGGAGGAGTGAGGGAGCAGCAAGCTGGACACTAGAGGGAAGGATATCCCAGGGCAGGAGCTGAGGAATGAAGGCAGGGGAGGGGAGGCAAGGGCAGCCAGGGAGGGGGGCAGGGCTCATGGAGCTCCCAGGCCACTGCATCCAGCTTTTACTTATCCTGAGACGTGGCACCACCCAGGGCCTGAAGCCTGAAGCCGTGGCCTAATCTGTAGCTTCAGGAGTCACGGTGGCAGCTGAGTGGGGTCAGAAGACTTGTTGGGAGGCCGCTGCAGCAGTAGAGAGGCACTGACGGTTCCTGAGGGGCCCTGGGGAGGTAGGGAGAAGTGAGCCCCAGAAGCCTGAGCCTAAGGGGGCACCCAATAAACTGGGAGCAGGTGTGAGAGACAGCGGGGCCAGGTGTGACTCGGGACTTGTGCTTGGTGGTGGGTGGGTGGTTTGGGCTGGCTGGTTGGTTTTTGGCCCCACTGCCTGGACGGTGTGGCTGCTGCCAGCTGCAGCAGGAGGGCTGTGGACAGCTTGGGCTGCAAGGGTGGCAGGAGTTTGGTTGGGGTGTGCCGAACTGGAGGTGTCCACCCAGCAAACAGGTGCAGGCTCTGAGAGGCTCCCAGAGCTCAGGGTGAGGCCTGGGGGGTGCTGGATATACTGCAGCCCAGCAGGTGGAGGGCCCAGGATCGATGGGGTCATTGGGGGCCCGGTGGTGTAGGGACCAGCCCTACGAGGCTTAGTGGGTGTTTTCCCCATGTGTGGAAACAAGAGATTGTAAGAAATAAAGACACAAGACGAAGAGACAAAGAGAAAACAGCTGGGCCCAGGGGACCACCACCACCAAGACGCAGAGACTGGTAGTGGCCCCGAACCACTGGGCGCACTGATATTTATTGCATACAAGACAAGGGGGCAGGGTAAGGAGGGTGAATCTTCTAAGTGATTGATAAGGTCAAGCAAGTCAAGTGATCATGGGACAGGGGGCCCTTCCCTTTTAGGTAGCTGAGGCAGAGAGAGAAGGCAGCATACGTCAGCGTTTTCTTCTATGCACTATAAGAAGGATCAAAGACTTTAAGACTTTCACTATTTCTTCTACTGCTAACTACTACGAACTTTAAAGAGGAACCAGGAGTATGGGAGGAGCATGAAAGTGGACAAGGAGCGTGACCACTGAAGCACCACAGGGAGGGGGTTAGGCCTCCGGATGACTGCGGGCAAGCCTGGATAATATCCAACCTCCCACAGGAAGCTGGTGGAGCAGAGCGTTCCCTGACTCCTCCGAGGAAAGGAGACTCCCTTTCACGGTCGGCTAAGTAACAGGTGCCTTCCCAGACACTGGCATTACCGCTTGACCAAGGAGCCCTCAAGTGGTCCTTATATGGGCATGACAGAGGGCTCATCTCTTGCCTTCCAGGTCACTTCTCACAATGTCCCTTCAGACCTGATGCTATACCCACCGATTATCCCTAGGTTATATTTGTAATGTAACAAAGAGTAATATTAAAAGCTAAATGATTAATAATGTTTATCCTAATGATTGATAATTGTCCATGATCATCTCTATATCTAATTTGTATTATGACTGTTCTTATTCTAACTATTTTCTTTGTTATACTGAAACAGTTTGTGCCTTCAGTCTCTTGCCTCGGCACCTAGGTAATCCTTTGCCCACATGGTGGGTCCAGGCTGCTCTCGAGGCACCCACTGTTAGAGATGGGGAAGGAAAGGGCTGGATGTGCTTCCTGGGGCTGCTGTAAAAGTTACCACAAACTGAACACTGCGCAGATTTACCACCTGACACTCATGCAGGTCAGAGGTCCAACATCTCTCGCCTGGCTGAAGTCAAGGTCTGGACAGGGCTGGTCCCTCTGGACACTCTAGGGAGAGCCCGTTTCCTTGCCTTTTCCAGCTTCTAGAGGTCATGCACTCCTTGGCTCCAAGCCCCTCCTCCATCTTCAAAGCTGAGATGTCGCATCTCTCGGTGCTTCCTGCAGCCGCATCTCCCCCGGCTCTCTCCTGTGCCTCCTCCACTCTTAAGGACCCTGTGACTGCATGGGACCCACCTGTGGAATCCCAGATAATCCTCCTAGCCTATGGTCAGCTGATTAGCAACTTTAATTCCAACTACAACTGTCATCCCCGTGGCCGTGCAGCTGAGCACATCCGTGGTGCTGGGGACTGGGATGTGGGCATCTTGGGGCTGTTCTTCCCCTACTGCAAAGGGTGATAAGCTATGGGGCGTGCATGGCCCAAGTCCCAGCCTCCTGGAGCTCAGAGGGCCGGGGGAGATGAGGCTTGAACAGGGCCACACACATCAGTGTGGGATGGGCACTATGATGGCAGAGACCAGCACCGCTAGAGAGGACACCGGAGGCCCAGAGCCTCTCCAGGGAGCTGCCGCTGGAGCTCACAGTAAGGCAGGAGGGCGAAGGTCACGCCAAGAGTGGGCACAGCTCAGTGACCCTATGCGTTGTGATTTGCAAGCCATGGAGGAAGTCCCTGTTTTCCCAGCTGCAGTTGCCAGCAATGTGACCCCCAAATTGCATGGCCAGCCAGGCCTCTTCCCCGAGCTCTAGACCTGCCTGGGACCAGTGACCGAGCATGCCAGCACCTGATGCCGTCCTGCCCTCAGCTCTGCCTTCCTCCACCCCATGCTCCCTCCATGAGATTCCACTGCGTGATGGGCTCTTCCAGCCACCATAGTACCCAAGCCACAGGGACCAGATTCATCAGTGTCTTTACTTCTCCTCCTCCTCACACTGGGCCATCCCAGCTGCAAAGGCAACCTTGAATCCCCCAGCCTCCAGGCCGCCCTCATCCCATCCTCACCATCTCAGCACTGGGATCTTTGCTCCGGGATCCCCCCCAAATCCATCTTCCAAAGTGCAGCCAAAGACCTCCCGTCCCCCAGGCCTTGGCCTGGCCTCCCTGCCTGAGCCTCCTCAGCCTCCTCAGCACCAGCTCTGCCCCTGCTGACCACAGCTCAGATGGGCTGATTTCCTTCTGTTACTTCAGTGCTCTGGGGTTGCTTTTCCCTCTGGCCTGTGGTGTCCCTTCAATGAGTAAGGGAGCAAGACTTGCTCCTCCCTCTGGTCTTGACTTGTGTGCCTCTTCTTCCAGGAAGCCTTCCTTGACTCCTACAACCACTGCAGCCCAGATGTGGCACAAGCAGGGCTCAGGGGGGTGTAAGCAAGAAAATAAATTTGTATCTTTTAAAGAGCTGATGGTCCCTTTAAAATTCAGTGTGAAATTTCTTCTTCCACCCCAAATGAACCCTCAGGCTAGTCTGTGACTTCCTGTCATTCTTAGGTAATGAGACCCACCTTTCCCTACCTTGTTCAAAGAGAGCCTCGATAGTAAAAATAGCTTTGATTTAGCATTAAATTAAATTAAAGTGTTAAACACGGATTTAACATTAAATGTTTCTCCTCCCCCCAACTTGGGGGCTGGTCTACGGGCACAGCCAGGGTGGGCAGCCTCTTCCCCCTGCTGCTTTCTGCCCCTTGGGGTTGGAGTCTAGGGAGAAGGCGGTAAAGTCCTCACTTGCCTGGTGCTGTCAAGAGTCAGGCCGCGGACTCTGTGATTGCCACATGCTCTGAGCTGACACATTTGCCTATGGCTGTGTCTATGCCTACATCCCTCTGTGCTCCCTCTTCCTGGACTTGCAGAACCCACCACCCCCCACAAGAGGAACTAGGACAGGGACTAGCTGAGCCCCAGGCACAGGGGCTGTGTCTGTTAAATGAATATATTAGTGCTTACAAAAAAACAGGATACCTTTTGTTCTTGGAAGGCAGAGCTCCCAGGGCAGCTGCTGTCTGCTCTCCATCTGGGTATGGGGACAAATTCCTCAAGTGTGACCGCACCCACTCTGACATGACACGGCTCTGATGGCAAACTCTGGGGCCAGGGCCTAGCTCCGCCCCTCAGAGCAGAGTCCCCTCCCAGCCTCATGTGACCGCTTGGAGTGAGTCACACCTGCTCCCTCCTGTGTGGCGAGGGTGGGCTCTTGTCGGCCTGTCATACCTGCTCCCTCTTGTGCAGGGAGGGTGGGCTCCTGTTGGCCTCTGGTCTTTCCTCCTTTTTCTCTGTGATGGAGCCAACAGGAGGCTTCAGGGAAGCACGTTCGAGGCTGCCGATGGGGTGGAGGCGGGTGTATTCCATCCCTCCCTGCTGCCCCTCCAACTGTGCCCTGGCCCCAGCTTCCCATCTTCTTTATCCACGACATTCCCGCCAGACAACTCTAACCTCCAGCTCAGGTCTGAGCACGTCCATCCCCCGCCCCTGTTGGTGGCTTAAGAAACTGGCTGCAGAAGTGAGGATGGAGGCCATGGAGGCTGCTGAGTCATGGCCAGATCCCACTTTGGGGAGACTCAGCTCTAGAACTCGACGTCCCTGGCCTCTCTCCCCCTCCTGCTGGCCTCTGACCTTCCCACGTTTGCTGTCCCTGTTCCTGCATGAACTTCCCTCCTCCCTCCCTCAGAGCCTCCTCCCTTGGTTCCTGCGCTGGCAACCCTGGTGTTTGGAATTATTGGAATTAGCACCTCCTTCCTCTGACCACCCCTCTTCCCTGCCCTCTGCACTGCATTTGCCACAGTGACTGCGTGGTGAGCACATCCCGTCACCGCCATGTTCCCAGAGCCTCGAGCAAGGTGGGGCCCGGCCACTTAACTCCATGGGGTGGGGCAGGCCTGGTAGATGGAAAAAATCAGACCTAGAGAAACTGAGGACCTGACACTGTGGCTCTGGGACATCCAGCTGTGTGGCCTGGGGCGGGTCAGTTCGACGCGCTGAGCCTTGGTTTCCTCATCAGTCAAAGGGGCTAATAAGTGATGTTGTGAGGTGGTTGTGATGACTGGGGGGTCACGCATGGACTGTGGGGAGCCCTGAGCCTGGTGTGTACCAGCGCTGGTGCTCATGACCACACCACCCCCACTTTAGGGAAGGGAGGGCAGCTGGTGTTCAATCCCCACCCCTCTGCACCCCAGCAGGGACGCAGGCAGGACACCATCAGCTGAGCCTGTGTCTCCTCCTGTACAGTGGGGACAGCAACACCAGTCACTCCAGGCTCTTTGTATGGGAGACAGGGGCTGTAAAATTTCTAGCTCAGGGCCGAACACCTAAAAGAGATGCAGTAACCGGCTGTGGAGATGACATTGCTAACTGCTCAATAGAAATATGGCCTGAATGGATTTTCTCTTCATCACGCTGCTTCTGTGCAGAAGACCTGGAAAGGAGCTAACATATATCTTATTTACATATATGTGTGTGCACACACACAGGCACATGGCTGTGCAGAGGGCCTGGAGAGCAGCTAGTGTGCTGTCTCACTAACACGCATGCACACATGAACCGACATGGCCAGACACACACACAAACACACATGTGCACACGTACACACCTGCATACATGCACACATAAGCAGTCACGTGCACACATGCACACACTCACACGCACACACAACGTGCAGAGAGGAGGTGCTTTGAGAGAGGTCAAGGGCCGGCAGTGGTTGCTGGCTCAGGAGGGCTGTGGCTGACCCAGGGAGAGAAGATGGATGGGCCATGCGTTGAGGCCTCTGTCCCCAGCTGTACATTTGCCTGAAACTGCAGGGGCAGCAATTTTCTTTCCAGCCAGTTTGATGTCGGTTTCTTTCAGGGCTGAGCTAAGCGTTCTCAATGGGGAAGAGTAGCAGCTGAGGGGCCTTTTCCCTGGAAAGGTCAGAGAAATCCCATGGCAAGAGAAGCCCTGGGCTGGGTGAGGGGCTGGGGCTATGCATGCTTTGTAAGGCTTAGGGGACATCCCACGTGAGAATAGACATTGGAGCAGGTCAGGAGCTCAACTGTAGAGGTGTAGGACTCAAAGGGGAAGGGGCCGGAGCTTGTTGAAGTTGCAGATTCCTGCCTCCTTCCTTCAGGGATTGTGATGAAGGGAGCCTGGGCAGGACCCAGGAATCTATTTCCACAGCCTCCCCAGGTCATCCTGATGCAGGTAGCTCCAAGTCCAACAGGCTGATAGGATATTCTTCGTGAACTGCAAAGCCAAAATCAAGTCTGCTTTTTTTCTGTGATGGAGATTAGGCTTCCTTGAAACTCTGCAGTGAATTCTGCCACTCAAAGCTAAGCATTGCTATCTCGTATCCTTCTGTCTGTGAAAAGAACTGGTCCAGGCAACTGTCAAGAGGAGCAGTTCAGTTTTCACATCCATTTCCCAAGGCCTCGTCCTGCACAGGACCAAGAGGGCGGTCTAAATGTATTCCTTCATTAGAGGCTCCAGTGAGATGGGGGACCAGGTCGAGGTGGAATTCAGCTGTGTGTCACAGAAGCCTGACCACGGGGGCTTGTCCAGATTCAGATTTATTTTTCCACAGAACAATAAGTCCAGAGGCCTGCCATCATGCCCACTGTGGTGACTCCAGAGGAACAATATGGATGCAGGCTCCTTCATCGTCCCACTCTCAGCCTCATGGCCACAGAACAGCTGCAGTGCCCCGGACATCATTCACATTCTAGGCTGTTGGAAGGGGAAAGGGTAAAAGACAAAAGATGTGAGCAGCTGAGTCTGCTTCCTCTAATGAAGAAACCAGCAGCTTCCAGGAGCCCCCCACAGTGGACTTTTGCTTACATCTCATCACTGGAACTGGGTCCCATGGGCAGTCCCTGCGTCAGTGCTGTGTAGATCTGAACACTGGCAGCCAGGCCTGCTGCATCAAACTGTTGCTGCCAAGGAAAAATGATAGGAGAGATACTGGGTGCATGCCTGCCATGCTGTTCCCAGGGGACAGCCTCCTCCTCACGTCACAGGATGGAACACAGATCATTAGGGTCTGCATTTGGCTGACATGCAGGCGTTTTCTTCTGGCAAAGAAAATCTGACTTCCGGCCAGGCACAGTCGCTCTCGCCTGTAATCCAAGCACTTTGGGAGGCTGAGGTGGGTGGATCATCTGAGGTCAGGAGTTCAAGACCAGCCTGGCCAACATGGCAAAACCCCGTCTCTAGTCAAAATACAAAAATTAACTGGGTGTGGTGGCACGTGCCTGACATCCCAGCTACTCGGGGAGGCTGAGGCAGGAGAATCGCTTGAACCCGGGAGGTGGAGGTTGCAGTGAGCTGAGATCGCATGGCTGCACTCCAGCCTGGGTGACAGAGTGAGAGTCCATCTAAAAAAAAAACAAAGAAAGAAAGAGAAAAGAAAAATAGAAAAGAAAATCTGACTTCCTCGAAGCCCCTCCCTTTGGTTGCACAGCCACAAGAAAGCCCCTCATCCTCCCGAAATTGCTTTATCAACAGCGTGGAAGGGAGCAGGAATAGGTACCTCGGTCATGCACAGGGAACACTTAGCACGGGCCTGGCACGGGGCGTCCGATGATGACTGTAGCTGGCATTCTGTTGCACACATCAGAGAGCTGCATTTACTTCTGTGTTGGATGAATCCACCGCTGCAGAAGCTCCCAGTGCCACCAGGTCCCCCCAGAGACAACGCATCTTCTCCCCAGCTTTGGATGGGACTTACCTATCTTGGAAAAATATGCAGTTTTCATTCCTTGGCAATAACCAGATTTTGGACTTCCACAAGCTGCATGCGGAAGTGAAAACTGGATTAAAAGGAGTAGGGACAGAGGTCTCCAGAAACTTAGGAAAGGTCTCAAGTTTCATTAGCACTGCCTGGCAAGCTCAGCATTTTCTCCTCCACTGCGGGCCTCTGGTTTGCAGCCTGGTGGTCAGTAAGGTGTGAGCATGGGATGATTCTCCCGCCTACGCAGTGCTCTGACCATGCTTCCTCAGGTGCTGGCAGGGCCCTGGAAAGGCAAAAGCAGCAGCAACGCCCAGAGGCCAGAAGTCCGAGAGCCCGCGCCTCAGTGGGATCTGTCCATGGTGCTGACCTCCCAAGCTGCCTCAAGGTCTTAGCTCCAAGAGGCCAAGAATTTCCCATCTTCTCCAGCTCTATCCACGTGACGGCGTGACCCCACTCTCCGAGTTGATGAGGCCTGTGGGGCAGAGCCCAAGCTGGATGGAAGGGAACGAGCTAATCAATTAGGAATGTCTGTGAAGAGCGAGCGGGAGGACGTGAGAACAGCCTCCCACGTGGCTCCAAGTCCGCCGTTCCTCTTCCAAGGCTTTCAGGCAGAAGAGCTGGGGTCCTATCTTTGCTTCCATTTTCAAAGAGGGAGACTCTAGAAATAGCTCCTTTAGAGGGTCAGAGCTCAAATCCAATTTAAAGCCCACTCTAGTATTTGAGATGAGAGAGAGTGTTGTTATGTTAGTCTCTCCTCCCAAATGGCCCTGTTGGAGATTTTTTACTACTTCACTCCTCCCTCCCTCTCTTCCTTCCTTCCTTCCTTCCTTCCTTCCTTCCTTCCTTCCTTCCTTCCTCCCTCCCTCCCTCCCTCCTCCATTCTTTCCTTTTCTTTTGTCTTTCTGTATCTTCATAACAGGATGCTTCATAAAAATTTCATGGGCACCCACTGCTTCTCCAGCATGAGTCTGTGCTAGGCTCATGCTGAATGCTCCCCATGCACTATCTCATGTAATCCACAGCAACCCTGGAAGCCACTATTATTACCTCCCCATTTCATGGATCAGGGAGTGTAAGTCCCGGCTCAAGACTGCAGAGCCGATGGGTAGCAGAGCCAGGGTTCAAACCTAAAACTCCATGACAGCAAAGTCTGAGCTTATATCCATCTTGCCATAATGGTCCTTTAACTTGTTTTTAGAGATGGGGTCTCACCCTGTCGCCAGGCTTGAGTGCAGTGGTGTGATCTCAGCTCACTGCAACCTCCGCCTCCCAGATTCAAGCGATTTTCCTGCCTCAGCCTCCTAAATAGCTGGGAATAGAGGTGTGCACCACCACACCCAGCTAATTTTTGTACTTTTAGTAGAGTCGGGGTTTCACCATGTTGGGCAGGATGGTCTTCATCTCTTGACCTCGTGATCTTCCTGCCTCAGCCTCCCAAAGGGCTGGGATTACATGCGTGAGCCACCATGCCTGGCCAACATTTTTTAAGTTCCAAAATGCTAATTGGAAAATGAAAAAAAAAAGAAGAAGAAGAAGAAGAAGAAGAGAAATCAGCTATGTTATTTCATGGAAAGAGAAACTTAATTAGAAATGTGATCTGTCAAAAAGTTTTCCGGTATGTCTGGAATACTGCCCGAAGCTCAGGGAGAGGTGGTGAGATGGGGCTGGAGAGATTATCTGGAGCTGGAGCCCCAGGCAGTTTTGTTTGTTCTCGAGGTTCAAGCAAGACCTGCGTGCAGAGCCACTATCTTCTGGGAGTGGAAGTGGAGTTATTAATGTCCTCTGGTCCTGGAATTGAGACTGATGCATGCAGGGTGACTTGTCCTCTGAGTAAACGTGTCCCATCTCACCTGGAGAATGAGCCTGAATAGGGTGATATGACTGAGGAGAAGATCTGAGATGGATCTTTGTGAAAAGCAGGGACAATTGGGAAAATCTGAGGCTAATTAGCCCTTCCCAGCCTCAGGCTGCAGGTCCGGAGTTACACATGAAGGCACATCGGGTTGGCAGGCTGGAGAACCACAGGCATGTTTTTACACAGCTGAGAGGGGTTGGAGCCTCCCAGTGCTCTGGAAATAGCCGTTTCCCCTGTTCATTCATCTTAGGAGGCCAGAGCCTGAGGGTGAAAGAGTTCCATCCCCAAGGCTGGCCTCTCCTGCCCATAGCCAGAGCCATGAGACACGGGTACTCCACAAGCTCTGGGACTTGGGTCTTCATGTATGTACTCCTCCTTGGGAGTGGGGAGATGGTGAAAGTTTGTGTTAAATTTGCTCCAGATGTCCTTAGGCAGCCAGACTTCTGCAAGGAGCTTGTTCAAAATCCCAAGGATGAAAAACTGCTGTCTCTCCAGGCAAGATGCACATTCTTCACCATGACGATTCACAGAATCCCACTAGACACCAAGAAACTCTGCTAATGCTGACTCAGCGAAGGGGCAGGCTCTGCCACAGCTGGTGCCACTAAGTCCTAGGGTACGAGAGTCTGTGCAAACAGGCTGCATCCCCTGGCTCCACTAAGCCGAATACAGACAGAGGCTCTGCGCACTCGCCCCATCCAGCAGAGGATGCCCATGGCGATCATTTTAGTGCTTATCATGGAGGGCAGGCTGATGGGTCAGCGTGGCCATCACAGCTTCAGGGAGATGTTCAAAAAGGCTGGAGCCAAGTGGGCAGGGGATGGGGAAAGGAGGGGCTGTCTGGAGTGAGACAGATGTGCTATGAACCTTGTCACTGCTGCTGGCTGTTGGAGTGACCTTGGACAATTCCCTTGTATTAGCTGAGTCTCTGAATTTTGCCTGTAAATACAGAGCGCCCACTTAGAGGGGGAATTGGGGTTCACTGAGTTTGTATAGCACCTGGTCCATGTGAAATGTCCCCTCCCCTCCTGGGGTCTCTCCCTGGGTAGGAGGGAAGCTGATTACAATGGTGATGGCTGACTGTTACCCAGCACAGGTGCAAGCCCCAGGCCCTTCACCTGGATGGCCTCACCCTGACCTTTCACCCACTCAATGAGGGAGGTGCCCTTGTTAGCCCCATTTTATAGATGGGGAAACTGAAGCCCCAAGGGACTAAGAGAACATCCTTTCTGGTCATTTCCATGCCCTCAGGACCCCACCCTGCTTCTTCCAGAGTAGCTCTACTCTCCTCTGCTTCAGATCAGTCTGGAGAAAAAGAAATTTCTGCCACTAACAAAGCTGGAGAACCACTGAGCTCCAAACGCCTCCATTTTAAAGGCAGGGAAATTGAGGCACAGAAAGATGGGGGATTCAGCCAAATTGTACAGGGACATAGGATAAGACTTGACAATTCCCGAAGACCTGTGGGACTGGAAAGCCCAGCTGGTCTTTGGGTGTTCAGCTGTCTGATGGCCACTGGGACCTGGAGCCCAGGGTGCCTCTTTGCAGGGCCAATGCTGGCAAGGAAGGAAGGCGTGTGTGTAAGATACGTGTGCATGGGGGGACGACTGGCTGTCAAAATCATTCACGGAAAACACCCACTGGCTTCCCCGCCTCCCACACCTTCATTCCAGGTCCCTTCGTCAGACATCCCTGTATCTGCAGATTGTCCTCCATCAATGAACACAGAGCCAGGGCAGGCACTGCCCAGCTCTCAAGGACATCACAGTCTGGTGCGGAAAACAGATCTGTACCCAGATACTCATCTGCAAGTGACACCACACGCCAGGCCCTGTGCAAAGCGCTGGCTCCACTTTAGGAAGGCGCTGTCCGTGTTCCGATTTTACTGAGGGGGGAAAGGAGGCTTGGAGATTAAGTAGCCAGCCAAAAGTCCTGCAATTAGTAGATGGCAAAGCTGAGCTTCAGAGGTGGTGATCCAGGCCTCCCTCTCCACGCATGTGGGGCTACAGTCTTCAGATACTGGAGGCAGGAGGACAGAGCTGCCAGCACGGAAAGGAGGGACACCAGCAGCTGGGCCCTCTGAGTGATTGCCACCCCCATGGCTGGGAGGCAGAGCCCAGCGGCCTCACTGCCTTGAAGAATCAGAGACCAGGGTTCTGAGAGACCAAGGTGGCTGGGGTTTGCAGAGCAAAGTACCAGGGAGCAGGGTGACGCACCGACAGAGGTCCCAGGGCTTGCAGGAGGGCTTCAACCCGCTGGCAGTGCTCCTATCTGCACATGTCTATATGAAACTGCACACACCTGGACAGAACCCCTGGAAAGCAGGAAGCCAGACAACTCCCAGAACTCACATGGTCTGGGAATAGCTCAGATTCTCCCAGCCAAGTAGGATGCAGCGGCAGGTAGCAGCCTTAGGAAGGTAGCACCCCAGTCCCAGACTAAAGGCTGCTCCCTACCTACCCTAAAAACATGTAAAGAAAGACTTGAAAGGGGCAGACGGACGCCGAGTAACTTCACTGAGAATCAAGAGAAAGTCCCACACTCTTTAAAGGATGAAAACAAAGTTTGTAATTGTCAACATCCCATCAAAAATTACTTGGCAACAAAGAAGCAAGAAAATATAACCCAACACCAGGAGAAAAATCAACCAACAGAAGCGGACCCCACAATAACACAGATGATCAAATCAGCGGAGAAAGACATAAAAATAGCTACTATAAATAGCTTCGTATGTCCAAGAATATAGAGGAGAATGTGGAGATAATGAGGAGAGAGGTGAGAGGTAAAGACCCATGGGGATGAAAAATACACTAGCTGCCATAAGATACAATAGAGGAGGTTATCAGCCAATTAGATGGTACAGAAAAGAGAAGGTCAGTGAACTGAAAAATGTCACTTGAAGACGCTGTCCAGCTGAAGCACACAGAGGAAAAAGACAGGATAAAAAAGCACACGGGTGTGAGCTGTGCGATCCCACACAGTGACGGAACACACTGGATTCAGGGTCTCAAAAGGAGGAAAGTAGGGAAAAAATATTTGAAGAAATAATCGCTGAAAATTCTCTACATCTGAAGAAAATGATAAAACCCAAAGATCTAAAGATCTCAATGAAGCTTTAGAGGTACATACACAAAGGAAATCAAACCAAAGCGTGTCGTAATCAGGCAGGGCATGGTGGCTCACACCTGTAATCCCAGCACTTTGGGAGGCCGAGTTGGGTGGATCACTTGAGGTCAGAATTTCGAGACCAGCCTGGCCAACATGGCGAAACCCTGTCTCTGCTAAAAATACAAAAACAAGCAAACAAACAAAAATTAGCCAGACATGGTGGCACGCACCTGTAATCCCAGCTACTTGGGAGGCTGAGGCTGGAGAATCGCTTGTACCCAGGAGGCAGAGGCTGCAGCAAGCCAATATTGCACCACTGTACTCCAGCCTGGGCAACAGAGTGAGACTCCTCCTCACACAAAAAAAAGAAAAGAAAAGAAAAAAAAAGCATGTTGTAATCAAATTGCTAACAGCCAGAGACACTAAAAAGGCTAAAAGCAGCCAGAGATAAACAAAGGAACACGAATAGGAAGGACATCAGACTTCTCACCAAAACTCATGCAGGCCGGGAGAGCGTGAAGCAGCATCTTCCAAACACATAAATGGGGGGAAAGCTGCCAACCTAAGATTCCATACCAGAGAAAATATTTTTCAATAAAGAAGGTGCAGGAAACATTTCTTAGACATATAGAATAGGAAAACTATTGCCAAAAATGTGAAAGAAAATTCTTTAGGCAGAAAAAAAAAATGATGCTAAATGGAAATTTGAATCTGCACTAAGGATTGAGGAGAGCCAGACAGGATCACTCTGTGGGAAGTTATGTTTTTCTCATTGCTTTGCTCTCTCTGAAATACAATTGTCTGTTTATAGCAAACTTATTAAAAGCTTAGGGCGGGGTTTATAGCACAGGGAAGTGAAATGATCACAGTGGTAATATCAAGGATGGTGTGGGAGGGGTGGGGGGAATGGGCACAGGTGCCTCAGCCCGACCCTCATTAGGTCACAGTGATAACACCAAGGACGGGGGTGGAGATGGACACAGGTGCCTCAGCCCAACCCTCACATGATCACAGTGGTAACACCAAGGACGGGAGGGGAGATGGGCACAGGTGCCTCAGCCCGACCCTCATTAGGTCACAGTGGTAACACCAAGGACAGAGGGGGAGATGGGCACAGGTGCCATGATCCGACCCTCATGAGATCACAGTGGTAACACCAAGGACAGTGGGGGAGATGGGCACAGGCGCTGCGGCCCGACCCTCATGAGATCACAGTGGTAACACCAAGGACAGAGGGGGAGATGGGCACAGGTGCCATGATCCGACCCTCATGAGATCACAGTGGTAACACCAAGGAGAGTGGGGGAGATGGGCACAGGCGCTGTGGCCCGACCCTCATGAGATCACAGTGGTAACACCAAGGACAGAGGGGGCGATGGGCACAGGTGCCATGATCCGACCCTCATGAGATCACAGTGGTAACACCAAGGACAGAGGGGGAGATGGGCACAGGCGCTGCGGCCCGACCCTCATGAGATCACAGCGGTAACACCAAGGACAGAGGGGGCGATGGGCACAGGTGCCATGATCCGACCCTCATGAGATCACAGTGGTAACACCAAGGACAGAGGGGGAGATGGGCACAGGCACTGCGGCCCGATCCTCATGAGAAGTGGCGCAGTGTTACGTGAAGGACGACTATGTGTGGTGAGTTAAAAATGTAAGTGATGAACTCTGTGACAACCACTGGAAATGTTCAAAGGAAACAAGCAGAGTGTTCTGACTTCAGAGTCCCTGCTGTGACCCCTGGGGCTGGCCTGCTTCCTGGTGAGACCTTTGTGCCGGGGGACACGGGACCCTGTCATACAGAGCTGTTAGCTCTGAATTTTTCTTGGGGTGTGGGGACAATCACGAAAGGCTTTTTATCTTATTTTTTACTTATTTATTTTATTTTATTTTATTTTATTTTATTTTATTTTATTTTATTTTGAGACAGAGTCTCACTCTATCACCCAGGCTGGAGTGCAGTGGTACAATCAGGACTCACTGCAGCCTCAGTCTCCTGGGCTCAAGCAATCCTCCTGCTTCAGCCTCCTGAGTAGCCAGGACCACAGGTGCACACCACCACACCTGGCTAATTTTTGTATTTTTTGTAGAGACTGGGTCTCGCTTGCTGGTCTCAAATTCCTGAGCTCAAGCGATCCTCCCACCTTGGTCTCTCCAAGTGCTGGGATTATATCGGCATGAGCCACCACACCAGGCCAGGAAAGGCTGTTTAAAGGGGACGTTTGAATGGTGTCAGAAAAGTGAGTCATTTTCTGTTTTATGCACCTAGCTAGTGAGGGATTTCCTACTGATTCATGCTTAAGATTTTCAAACTGGACCAAGAGATCCTCCCTCAAGAACCCCTCCAGAGGCTCCCTTCCTCCCAACGAGCCCAGGTCCACAGGCACACACAACCAAGAGATATGATAGGTCAGTTCTTTTGAGTAAAAATTCGCCAAACGCGAGAGGTCTCCTTCAGGAGGGCCCCTTGCAGCCCAGGCCCAGAGTCTTTTGGAGCCCCCAGAAATAGCAGCATCCAAAGAGAGACACAAGAGCCAGATGCCTGCGAGAGGGGCACGGGGGAATTGAGGTGGCCAATGCCTGCGGAAGGGAGGGGATCTCTCTAGCAAACTCCACATCCTTGGTGTTTCTAGTGCTTTCTGCAAGGTGTCGTCTCTGTTCCAGGATGTGGCTCTGACAGGCTCCTCGTGGAGCAGAGATAACCAGCTCTCACAAGTCTTCATCCTCCTGCCGCCGGGACCTTGGGGGTGAGCAGCCTGCCTGCTGAGGGCTTACACTCAGGAGGGGCACTGGCAGCAGGGAGAAGGGTCAGTCTCAAGAAATGTGGAAGCAAAAACTGGGCAGCTTTGGCCCCGGCAGATGCTCCAAAAGGGACAGAACAGGGAGCTTGATGGGGCATGATGGGCGGGGTCATTTCGGATGGGGGCCCTGGGAGGTTCTCACAGCCGCATGTGACTGTGGTTCTGCTGATGACGTCGCCTGCAAGGAGCCCATTGCTCTGTGGTCCATGGGTCGGGCAGCGGCCTCCATCCTTCCCATCCACCACTGGACAGAACTGGGGCCCCTGGGTCGGGGGCAATGCAGGGTTCACTCAGTGTCCCAGAGCAGGCTGACCCCCCTCCCTCCACAGGCAGAGGAACAAGGGCTGTCTGGGCCGATGAGGGGGCTGGGGGGTGGCATGTTTTGTGCTAAGTCACTCTGCAGAGGGCATCTGTCAGTCCCGCTGAGTCCAGCTGGATCTTTGGCTGACCCCACCCCAAGCCGAGGGAGATATTTGCCTACTGGACAGAAGAGTCGGTCCCATGTCAGCCCAGGGCAGTGGAGTGTAGGAGAAATGCTTCTTAATAAGTGAAGACCTGGTGGAATTGTCTCTCCTGCAGGGTCAGAACAGAGCAGGAGCTGCGGGAGATCAAGGTGCCCACTGGTTCCAGATTTTGTCATGCCGGTAAGCATTATTAATTTCACATCTCAGAGCCTATTGAAAAACCGGAAGTGCAGCGTTCATGCTCAGCAAAAATCTTTTCCCATGCATAGCATTCCTTAGAAAAGGCAAGTTTCGGACGAAGGAAAAGGCCACACGTGGACACAAGGTTCTCTGTTTATCATGAACGACCGAGAAGACGGGAGCAAGAATGGTTCTGTGGGTTTGGAAATCGATGGTTCTGTTTGTGAAGAAGTAGGAAAATTGCCTGTTACCCTAAGAAGTCTACGGGCCGTGGTCAGAGCTTTAGGCTCCTGATTCCCCACTCGGGTTGAGGTCACCGCTCACCTCTGCAGGTGCAGGCAGGAGAGAGGCAGTGAGTGGGTACAACCGGGCTGTGAATTTGCTGAGGGAGGCATTATAATGACGGCTCACAAATCCAGGCTGGGACCACATCAAGGATTATGGCGGGAGTGGGGTTGAGAGCTGAGCTAGGTGCTTAATTACCGAGGAGGGCAATGTGTGTTCCCTCCCCTTCCCCCCAGACAGCAGGGACAGAGGCGTGAGCCAGCATCACCCCCTCTTGACACAGAGCTGGTCCCTCAAAGTAAACCTCAGGGGTCATGACTGATGATTGTAGGAAGTGATGTGCTTGCTCTTCCTCAACGGGAAAGGGGGTCTGAGCCAAGCGGTGGCTCCCAGCAACCACACTGTGACCATAAGAACAGCCAGCTGCAAAACAAAGACAAGACTGAGAAGACAAAGCCGAGAGAACCACAGGGAAGCAGGACCAGGGACCAGATCATGCTGTTCCTGAAACCCGGGGGCCTCTGGTGCCTCCGTTAGAAGAGGAAATAAGCTCGCGTTGTTGTTTGAGCTGGTTAGAGCTGGATTTTACATTTTGTGCGGCCAAAGCCTCCTAACAGAGTTAGAGCCTTGCTACGGAGTCCAACTTGCATCCCAGGCTCTGGAAACCCTCTAACGCACGATCCTATTCATCTGCACGAGGGCCCTGTGACCTGGGAGTGATTCATCTTCCATTTTGCAGATGAGGAGACTGGGGCTTAGAGAAGCCAAGAAGCATGGCGTGGCCCGCAGCCTGGAATCCCTGGAGCCAGCATTGGATGTGGGTCTGCTTGGGCCAGAGTCCTGATCTAATTCACGCTCCCTTCCACCTGGTGCTTAGGAGCCAGAGTGGCCATCCCTGGGGAGAGGAAGTGGATAAGATAAGCTGCCGGCAGCCAGGGGTCCAGACTTCCCGGCGGGGCAGGGGAAGGAGACATCACTGGGAACAAAGCTTTCACCGCTGGCCCGAATTACCTGGTCCCCCTGACAGCCAAGTGGACGGCGGCTGCCGGGAGCGTCGGTGTGAAGTGTGTGCACGCTGGGGAACAAGACACATCGGCAGCTTCCACTGATGGGAAAATAATGAGGCCACATCGCCTGGCTGAAAAATGTACCTGTCTTCATTATTCCGGCAGAAATGAATAAAAACTTTCCATTTGAGGAATGGAGCCAATTTCCAGCACGGCGCGTGGGGGGAGGTGGGCGAAGAGAGAGCTTGGTTTGCAACTATGTGTCTTCTCAGCATGGCTGCATGGGAGGCATCCATGGAAGAAACAGGCGGTGTTCAGAAGTGATGTGGGAGAAATTCAAGGAAATATGCCATTCTGAGTTCAGCCTCCTCTGAACCTCTTCTTAAGTCTCAAATACTGCATGAGTGTCATGTGATGGCTGTAACCCCAGGAACCGAGCCCGGCTTCCAGTAGGGAAGCATGACGGGAGGTCAACAGCTGGCCCCTCTAGCTTGCCCCCCGGGAGAGGGCTTGGCTCCCCTTGGCAAGCCGAAGGGGCTTCCACGGATCCAGGGGCCAAGAAGACTCCTCGTGACCACGCACGTGGGGAGACAGCTCCACACAGAAACCCTACAGATGTTTTGCAGTCCACCCAGCGGCAAGAAGGTGCAAGTGAAATTGAGTTTTCCGCAACCCCAAAGCTCTAAGGAGAGGGTGTGAGCTGAGATTAAAGGGTGGGTGTCTGGGCCTCAAGGGTGCCCGGAGTGTGTGAGTCATGTCTGCTTGGAATGGGGCCCGGGAGCCTTCCTCTCTCATCAGAGGAAGGAGTGAGATGGTCTCCCCTTCCCGAGGACATTGTCAGGGGAGACCTCTTGCGTTCGGCGAATTTTTACTCAAAAGAACTGACCTATCATATCTCTTGGTTGTGTGTGCCTGTGGACCTGGGCTCGTGGGGAGGAAGGGAGCCTCTGGAGGGTTTCTTGAGGGAGGGGCTCTTGGTCCAATTTGAAAATCTTAAGCATGAATCATTAGGAAATCCCACACTAGCTAGGTGCATAAAGCAGAAAGGAATCCGTGATAAATAAAAATCCATCTGTAGAGGAAAAATACCACCTTCATGAAACCCATTATGCGTGGAACACATGTTTCATTCTTATGAATTTCAAACTGAACGCATGACATAATCAAAGTGGAAATATGGGGGCTGAACCCTTATCCAAATCACGTCAAGGGTGTATATGAAGTTTTTCAGAGTGCCGGAATCTGGCTTTTACATCCCACACAGCTTGAAATACTTCCGAGACTGTTGGCTGGAGGAAAGTTTGGGGTCTGAGGTTTGTCGTAAGATCTGCCGTAGTCCAAACAATCTTGCTGCAAATGTCAGTGAGGACGCATTTCACAGGAAGAGTTTTTGGCCCAGCAGATGGCTTGACGTGAATCTGTGACCAGACGTCAATCGGTGGTGGCGTCACCATCAATTGGAGCCATCTGAGGTCACCGTGTCCAATGTGATGACAGGAAGAATGAAGAAGGCCAGGGAAGAGGCCCTGGCATTGAGGAGTTCCGGCCCACGTGGTCCCAGCTTGTCATGAGCCCTGCCCACTGGTCCCCAATTGGGTGGACTCCCTGGGCAGGGGAAGAGGCGGGGGTTCAGGGTTCAGGACACTCAGGTGTGGGCATACCCCCATCTCGTACAGTTGGGCAGGCACACACAGGACAGAGCTGGAGCCCCACTTCCTTGTCCCTCACCGGGGAATATCCATGCCTAGCCTTTTGTGTGTCTGCCACAGTGTGGCTGCAGGAAGGTGGTCAGGTCCTGTGCTTCCCCTCCAGGCTGGTGTAACTGGTGACACCCGCACAGGACGGGCGACTGGACCCCCTTTGCCTACCCAGCACTCCATCCTCACAGCCGGGAGAAGCCAAGCCAGTCCCGTCGGGATTGATCATGGGAGGCAGGGGACCCCGCTCTCCCAGCTGCCACCGCAGCAGCGCTGGTCCAGAGTGCTGCCAGCCACAGCCCTGGCCTCCCGGGCTTAGCCCCCGGGGTGGAGACAGGTCTACATTTGCATTTTACAGCAAAAGCCTCATTTCCAAATCTTTTTCACATAAGATTGCCTCTGTGGATGGAGATTTACCAGAGTCCTGAAGCCACGGATGGCTTTTAACATGATGGGAGTTCTCCGTTTTTTTACTAATTTAATTTCTGGGGCTATTAAAGGTAGCCTGAAGAAGTACCATCTGTTGAGTGGATGACAGACCAGAGGAGGAATTTCAGCAGCAAGACTGTAAATTTCCACTTGATCAGGGAACTCAGTATCTAAAATCAATTTGCGGAGGCCTTGAAATGCTTATCAGGAGAATTTCTCAGTCAGGGGCCTCCCCTTGTTCCATTTTTCATTCCAATCAATCAGCTCCCGACACCCTCAGCCCAGGGAAGGGCCCTGACACTCCATGTCCGAGCATGTTTCAGAAGTGCCTGTAGAGCCTCCATCAGAAAATAACATACGGAAGGGGGTTTATTTTTATCAAAATTCCAAGAGTCCCGAGCGTGCTTCACATAGAGAATGCCGGGCCTATTCCCACGGGAAGCGTCTCTTTCCCGCAGTGGGAGCAGCCCGCCGTGTAAGCCGGTGCCCGCCTCTATCTCGACCCTCACCGCACAGGAAGAATCCCCTTGTCCAAAGCCCCCCTTCTCACAGGGAAGGCCAGGCTTATGCACCAGGAAGCCCTCCTCTCAGTGATCTTGACTTCCAGTGCTCCCTACAACTCGGTCAGGACTGTTTCGTAAGCATCCACCAGTGCCAGGCGCCGGGTGGAGCAAGACAGAGTCCCTATCGCCCAGGAGCTCATGGCAAGCAGGGCAGCAGTGGACAAATGTCTGTGTCCCCTGAAATCCATACATTAAGACCTAAGCCCCAGTGTGGTGGGACTGGGAGGTGATCCAGTTCAAGGGTGAGCTCTCCAGGGGGGATCCGTGCCCTCATCAAAGATGCCCCAGGGAGCTGCCGTGCCCCTTCCGCCAGGGCAAGGCATGGGAGAAGAAGCCGTGTCTGAGCCAGGAGTGGATCCTCGCCAGACACCGTCCGCCGGCAGGTTGACCCTGGATGCCTGGCCTCCAGGGCAGTGGGAAAGGTGCTGTTTCTGAGCCACCCCAGCTGCCGTGTGTGGCAATGGCCGCGCCACAGACTCAGGCATGGGCACAGACAAGAAACATAAACCCACATACTCGCAGGGATTGATTTCAGCCGCTAGAGTTGAACCGAAGAAAGGGAACAGCCAGGTGTGCGCAGATCTGGGAAGGGTGTTCCCCACGAGAAAACAGCAGGCACAAAGGCTGCCGTGGGAACCAGTGTGTTTCGTACAGGGGCAAGAAAGAGAAGTGCCCTGAGTTGGGGTCAGGGTGTTCGAATTGGAGACCAGATCCTCTAGGGTCCAGAGCACCACAGGGACGAGTGGGGGACAGCAAGCCCAGCCCCAACCACAAGGGCAGGAGGGTCCTGGGGGTAACATCTGAGCTGAGTGCAGAAGGAAGAAAGATAGTTCTGGATGAGGCAGTGGGGCAGGCCCTGCTCAGACCCAGCTTTGAGAGCCAGGGCCACTTCTGGATCCTTCGCGCAGTGGCCTTGGGTGTGTGATCTCTCCAGGAGTCCTGTTCAGTCAGGAAAACAATCACTGCTACGTACTTTCAGTCAGCAGAGACAGACGAGAGACCCAAACACAGAGCAGAGAGGTCCAAGGCAATGAAGGGCTGACAGGGTCTGCATCTGTGTGTGCATGTGTGAGTGTGCATGTGTGTGCACATGAGAATATACATGTGCATACAAGTGTTCGTGCATGTGTCTCCATGTGTGAGCACATGTGTGTGGATGTGTGTGTGCATGTGCATGTGTGAGTGCATGGGTGTACATATGTGTGGATGTGTGTACATGTGCCTGTGCATGTGTGTCTGTGTGAGTGCACGGGTGTGCATGTGTGCTTGTGCGTGTGTGGATGTGTGTGCGTGTGCTTGTGCAAGTGTGTGCATGTGTGTCTGTGTGAGTGCGTGGGTGTGCATATGTGCTCGTGCATACGTGCGGATGTGTGTGCATGTGCCTGTGTGAATGCATATGTGCATGCATGTGTGCTTGTGTATGTGTGCACAGATGTGGGTGCAAGTATATGCATGTGTGTGTGCACATGTGAGAGAGACAGAGAGAGAAGGTTCTTCTCTACAGGTATAGGAAGTGCTTCCCTTTCCTTACAGAGGCTGCCCCAGCTCCCACAGTTAGTTCTTGCTGCAGTCAATGCTGTAGAAATGTGCTTGGCCCTGATGCCTCGGGAGACAGGCAGCAGGAGAGACAGGCCCTGGAGGAAGGCTGGGGTGGGCAGGATGGCTGACCAGTGCTGCCAAAGCAGGGTCCCAGAGCGGTGGTCCTGACTGAGAGTCCCAGGGCAGTTGGCAGCCTCACCTGTCTTGGGGTCTGTCCTGAGAAGGGAAACGGGAGCAGCACTGGGGAGAACATAAGTTCGGGGGTCAGACTGATGTGTGTTCAAATCTCGCCGCCTGTACAGTGGGATCCCATGGCTTTCTGCATGGGACAGAACTGAAATTGGGGAAATAAATCAGACAGTACCCGGCAGAGAGCTCTCCACACATGTAGTGCTGCTTCTGGGAGCAGCTGTCGTCCAGAGGGGGCCCACGTAGTGCACAGGGAGCCGCCCACTCGTAAGCCACAGTTTCAGCGGCTGCCCTCACACCTCCAGCTCCTGCCGGTTCTGTCATTTCGGCAGCTGCGCTCCTGCTTTCGGGGTTCTGAAGGTTTTTGACTTTCAAACCCCCTTTGAAAGGTTAATTCTTTGAGACGACTCATTCCATTAGCTCTCATTAGCTGGCTCCTCATTATCCACTAGTGCTTTCATTACCAGCAGCCACTTTCACTAACAGGTAACACCTCTGCCAGGCAAGCGGGCAGCCCACTGGGAGCAGAAACCAGGGCAGGGTGGCGCGGCCACCATTGAGAGGCACCAGGGCCAGTAGGACAGGAAGGAGCCAGGGCCTCTGCCCTGGTGGCCATGGAAATCCCTGTGTGCAGAGCCCAAGGGAGACCTTCTGAGAACTGGGGAAACTGCCACTGCTGGGAGGCCAGAGCCAATAACCACAACTGCAGCAAAGCCAGCTCGTGCCCATGGGACACTTCAGATGTGGTCCCCACATAGCCCAGGATACCTGGGAGGAGGTGGTGAACTTGCTCATAAAAGGCCACATGGGACCAGGCATGGTGGCTCACGCCTGTAATCCCAGGGCTTTGGGAGACCGAGGCAGGTGGATCACCTGAGGTCAGGAGTTCAAGACCAGCCTGGGCAACATGGTGAAATCCCGCCTCTACAAAAATACAAAAATTATCTGGGCATGAGGGTGGGTGCCTGTAATCCCAGCTACTTGGGAGGCTGAGGTGGGAGAATCCCTTGAACCTGGGAGGCAGAGGTTGCAGTGAGCTGAAACACCACCATTGCACTGTAGCCTGGATAATAAGGCGATACTCCGTCTCAAAAATAAAAGGCCATGTGGTAAATATTTGAGGCTTTGCAGGACGTAGAGTTCAGTCATAGCTACTCAACTTCCACGGTAATACAAAAGCGTCCATAAGCACTAAGCAAACGAATGGATGCAGCTGTGTGCCAATAAAACTTTATTTCCAAAACCAGACTGATGTGGCCTATGGGCCATGGTTTGCTGACCCCTGTACTGTGGCATTTAACCTTCAGCACATCCCTGGAAGCATCTATGATGCCTATCTTGCTGCTAAGCTGCCTGAGACTCAGGCAGATCCCACAACTGGCCATCATTACACAACCAGTGAAGGGAAGGGCAGCCGGGAGTTTCAGCCATCACTGTCCCTGCCAGCCGGCTCACCTGCTTGAGCCACTGCTGAGGCTGGCCCCATACCCTCTCCTTTCATTATCAACCAAGCTCCTTGGATTTCTCAGTGTTATCCAGAGAATCAGAGGCAACAGCATATATTTAGAGAGAAACCTACCACAAGGAATTGGCTCTCCTAGTTTTGGAGTTCAGGAAGTCAAGATCTGCAATCAGCAACCTAGAGAACCAGGAAGCCAGTAGTGTGCAGTCTGACCCATGTCCAAGGGCAGAATGAGGCAGGAAGTGGGACTCGACTCAGGAGGCAGGGCTTGGACATCAGACCTAATTGAGAACTAGTGAAAACAGGGATGGAGCCAAAGCACCTCTCCATCAGACCCACCCACCAGTGTCCAGTGTCCATGTCAGTTTACTATTGCCATGGCAACACTCAGAAATTATGGCCTATTTCTAGAAACGTTTAATTTGTGCATAGTTAAAGTGAGTATAAATATGACTGCAGAATGGCCTCTGAGCTGCTGCTCTAGACACACCTATGGGGAGCCCTGCTGAGCAAAGAGCAGCACCTCAGCGTCAACAGAAGTTGCTAACACCACCAACTCACCCTTGAATTCCTTCCTGGGTGAAACCAAGAACCCTCTCAGGCTAAGCCCCAATCTTGGGGTTGACCTGCTTTGCATCGAGAAGACCAACAACCCCACTCAAATGCAGGCATCCATTCGTTCGCTTAGTGCTTATGGACGCTTTTGTATTACCATGGAAGTTGAGTAGCTATGACTGAACTCTACGTCCTGCAAAGCCTCAAATATTTACCATGTGGCTTTTTTTTTTTTTTTGAGACGGAGTATCGCCCTATTATCCAGGCTGGAGTGCAATGGTGGTATTTCAGCTCACTGCAACCTCTGCCTCCCAGGTTCAAGGGATTCTCCCACCTCAGCCTCCCAAGTCCATTCCCTCTTACCTAGCTTCTTTGCTCTATTCAGGCCTTCCACAAATCAGAGAGGCCTGCCCACATCGGGGAGGGGAAAACTGCTACAGGTTCCTATGTGAACCTCATCCAGGATACTCTGTGACACACACACCCAGAACCATGCTTGGCCAAATATCTGGGCACCGCATGGCCCAGTAAAGCTGATAAATGAAATTAACTATTACACTCCTGCAGGAGGCATTGCTATAATTATTGTGATCATTATTAATGATTCCATTTTGCAGATGAAGGATTGACCCTTCAAGGGTTCAGGAGCTTGTCCAGGGCTTTGGGGCTACCAGGCTGGGAGCTGCAACCAGTTCAGCATCTCCCCTCCCCAGCTGCTTCCTCAACCTGCACCAGTCAGCCTCAGAAACCCCGGGGGTGGAAGTGTGACTTGGGAGGTGGCGGGGACGCCCCTGCGGCACCCACACTTTGCTTTTCCATTAGGGCAGTTCTGTGAGGACCCCTCAGAGCCCACTCCCTGTCAGATGCTGGCAGCTTCCGAGGGGCCAGGCAGAATCTCCTGCCTTAGGAGCGGGCTTTATTTTTCCTCTCTTCTAGTTCAGGCTGGAGATTTAATGGTTCCCTCTCCTCCTCTCATCCTGTGAACTCATCCTCTTCAAACCACACACAGTGGTTCTCAGCCCCTACCGGCACCCAGCTCCATGGCTGGCCCTAAGGAGGGCAGCTGGGAGGGGAGGCGTGGCCGGGGCATTGAGGAGAGCAAGGGGGAGCAGACTTGGCTTGGGCTAGCAAGCATGTGGAGATGATGCGTGTTGTGGGAGCTGCCTCTGTGCCCTAATGCGCTCTCTCCAAGAACCGGGTCTCAGGGGTCCCACGGGCACCGTCTCCCAGGCAGTCCATCACAAAGTACCACAACTGACCGGCTCAGCATAACAGAAATCCATTTTGTCACCGTTCTGGAGGCCAGAAGTCCAAAATCTAGGTGTCGGCAGGGCTGGTTCGTCTGCGGGCTGTGAGGGAGAAGGGCTCCCAGGTTCTCCCGGCTTCTGGTAGCCACCAGCATCCTTGTTGTTCCTGGGCTGGCAGATGCTGCCCCAGCCTCTGCCTCCCACTTCCATGTGTCTGTGTGTGTGTGTGTGTGTGTGTCTGTGTGTGCATGTGTCGTCTCCTCTCTGCACAAATCTCAGTGTCTTCTGCTCCTCTGTAAGGACAGCAGTCATGTTGCATTAGGGACACACCGTATGCAGTCTGACCTCATCTTAAGTAACTACATTTTCATGACACCTGCCAAGACCCCATTTCCAAATAAGATCACATCCACAGGTACCAGGGTTAGGGCTTCAACATGTCTTCAGGGGGATTTAAATCACCCACAACAAACTGATATGTGAGTTTCTCAAGCGTTTCCAATACTGGCTTCAGCTCAGGGTCCCTGTGCCTGGCTCTGGTCAGGGCATATGACAGGTGGGAGTGACAGTGTGGCCTTGGCCGTGGGGATCCACTAGCAGCCCCTGTCCCCAGGGAGACAGGAGCAGGATCAGGGGTGGGACTCAGGGACTCAAGACGCTGTCATGGCCAATGCACTGGGCTGAGGAGAGAACACAGGGCCTCCCTGCCCACCTCCTGGCCGGCTGGTTAGTGACAAAACCTGGTCAGGAGCCTGTGAAGGTCAAGGGCACAAGTTGCCTGCGCCTCGATGGAATGCCACTGGACTGTTCAAGCAGTGTGGTGCTGTCTGGAGAACAGTGTGGCCACCCTCTGCCGCTGGCCCCTGACTCTTAAGGCTGCTGCTCTGGGAGGGAGGCCCATGGGATGATTGGCCTTCACGTCATGGCAGCTGGTCAGCAGCACTCAGGGATGAACCCTCTGCTCTCCAGCCACGCCTTCTCCCCTAGCGTGGGAAGCTCGTCAGTTGATTCCAGCCCCAGCACTTACCAAGTTCCTTCAGTGGCCAGGTCTGTGCTGGGCGCTGAACAGATCAGAGGGTCCCGAGACAGGCACTGCCCATCAACACCTTAGGGAGGTGCTGTGTGTTGCTGGGACATAGCCATGCCCAGGAGGCTCCGGCCACCCCCAGCAGCCTGTCTGCATCCCAGACTGTGGGCATGAGCTCCTGACTTCACCCAAGGCCTCAGAACACATTCTTTGCTGGTCTCACAAGCACGGGTCTTCCAGAACATTTCCCCAGCACTGACATCAAGCAACTCAGGCATCTTCACAAGCGTGCAGTTCCCCGCCTTGCACTGGGTCACTCTGAGCTAAGAAACATTCCTCTAGGTTCATGTTCTCAGGGCTTCCTGGTGGCTGCCCCTCCTGGGGGTCCAGCCCATGGCCCGGGCGTGTACCTGAGAGCTCTGTGGCTTCTCCCTGACATGCGGGTAGCCTTCTGCTCACTCTCTGACCTCTCAGAGCTCCTACCATGGTTCACTGTCACCGTGGGGGCCACTGAACATGTCAGGGCATCGGTGCCGGGTACAGTCCAGGCATAGAAACTGTTACGGAGGCACTCGATCAGCACATCAACCCTGTCTCAGAAAGGGTGCTACTAGGGAAGCCTCAGGAGAGCAGACAGCATCGGAGCTGGGCCTTCAAGGTGGTAAGAAGGTCATCTGAACAGGGAAGGACATCTTAGGCAGAGCTGCATGTGCAGACCTGCCCAGCACGGCCAGTAGGCTCACCCTTGGTCCAGTCCACTGAAGCTGCTGGCATTGAAGGCCAGGGAACTTCTTACCTGTTTCACAGGTGAAAGGGGCTGGCAAGCCAGGTCCCCCCTTCTTGCCTTCCTTTGCCCCACTCTGACAAAACAGAGCATGGCCTTTTCTCCCCTGAGTCCCCATCAGGCCACAGTCACCCCCATCCCACCTCAGCCCCATTGCTGAGCTTCTGATACCAGGGGCTGGTTTCCAAAATCCAGGAGGAGGCTGGCTGTCCCCACAGCCCCCAGAGCCAGGGTCAGCTGGCTGCTGTCTTTCCCAGAGTTGAGCTGGGGCCGTGGCTTCCCCCCAGGGCTCTGAACAGCAAGCTCTCTTCCCAGATGATGATCCACCCCAGAGTGACACAGCCGGTGCGTCTGGGCTCTCCTGGGGACCAAGCCTCACCCGGCAACCCAGTGGAAACCATGGCTTCTTTTCCATCCTTCTTTCTAATGGTTTGTCATTCACGCCCTTGTTGATGCCAACATTGTAAGAGGCGGCCACGCACAGGCTTTCAGCTGTGGCATCACTGGCCATCAGCAATAACAGGCTTCCCAGCACCCAAAGCTCTGGGCCTGAGACAGGAATGACCGCATCTCTGTCCCAGCGGCAGGAAGCCCCAGGTGCTCTCAGCCTGGAGTCGTTGAGGATACTGGATGGCAGCTCCCACCTTTGCAGAAACCCTGTAATGTGGATATTGTGTGGTGTCGTCTCACCCGGACGTTCCCTAAGCCTTGGAGTTACCCCTTCCAGCGCCCTTTCCGGCTGTCAGAGGAGGCTCCACGGTGTGGGGCGGGGCCGCAGAGCCCAGGGCACCATGCACGGCCCAGGAGGACTCCAGAGGAACATCAGCGCTGCCTCGTACCACGAGCTCATCTTCCTCCAATCCTGTCTCTGCGACCGGCGGGGCCGCACTCATCCCAACAACCCACAGAGGTGCAGCAGGCCCCAGACAACTCCCGGGAGGGGGTCTTGCTGACAGCCAGCGGGGCAGGGCCCCTGGTCTGGACAGGCCCATCTGCAAGACTGTTGGGGGCACACGGCCCAGCCCCTCCTGCCCCACCCCAGCATCTGCGGCACGACAGCACCGGTGCTGGAATAATCCATCGCTCCTTGCCACATGCCAGGGTCTGCAGTGTCAGGGGTCACTCTGGGAGGCACGAGTGGATGTGGGCACCATAGTCACAGATGATGAAGGGCCTGTGAGGCCTGGAGATAGTACCCAGAAATCTTTCACATCCAAGGACCTTGGATTTCTTTAGTCCGAAACAAGAAAAAAATCATATCCACACACCAGTCCACCCTGGGTCCATTACATTCAGGTATGCCCGAAATGAGCTGCCAAGAACTCCCTGGGGAAGGGCACGAGGCAGGAGCCCACCTTCCTTGTCCAACGGACTGCAAACAGGGTCTTGTGGGGACCCCCGGTCACCAGGACACACCACAGTTCTGTGTCTCCAGAACACGTGTCCCTGTGCTCCTCCCTGGCTCCACAGCCTGCAGTGGCTCCCAGCTGCTCTTAGACACATTCCCCAACTTTCTACAGCCTGGAACTGACAGCACAGTCTGACTCCCTCTCCCCACATGTGTGTTCGTCCAGGGTCTCCAACATTTCTCATGCCACACACACACACACACAGGACGTAAGAGGTGTGTGGCATGCCAGGGTGAATGATCGAGGCAGTGAGAGGGCAGAGGTGTGGGCTCTGCCATTGAAATCCTGGTTTCTTTTCCCCACTGGGTGTGGACTTGGGGGAAAGCTGGAGGCCACTTACATTGGCCTTTCAGCTCCTGGAAAACACCAAGCACTTTCCTGACCCACACAAATATCTTGTAGATGCTGTATCCTCTACTGAGACTGTGGTTCTGCTCATCTTACATGCATACCTGTACGCATGGACACATGTCTGTCCACCTCACATGCAAACCTGTACACAATGGACACATGTCTGTCCACCTCACATGCAAACCTGTACATGTGGACACATGTCTGTCCACCTCACATGCAAACCTGTACATGTGGACACATGTCTGTCCACCTCACATGCAAACCTGTACATGTGGACACATGTCTGTCCACCTCACATGCAAACCTGTACACATGGACACATGTCTGTCCACCTCACATGCATACCTGCACACGTGGACACAAGTCTCTTCATCTGACATGCAAACTTGTACACATGGACATGTCTGCTCATCTCACACATATACCTGTATACATGGAGACATCTGTGTTCACCTCACATGCAAACCTGTACACGAGGTGGACACATGTCTGTCCACCTCACATTCAAACCTGTACATGTGGACACATGTCTGTCCACCTCACATGCAAACCTGTACATGTGGACACATGTCTGTCCACCTCACATGCAAACCTGTACATGTGGACACATGTCTGTTCATCTCACATGCATACCTGTACACATGGACACATGTCTGTCCACCTCACATGCATACCTGTACATGTGGACACATGTCTGTTCATCTCACATGCATACCTGTACACCTGGACATGTGTGTGTGTGTAGCATATACACACCCACACCCATACACACCCCTTTGGCTGGATAGTGCTTCAGATTTCAGTGCAAAGATTTTAGCCCAAACACTGCTCTCTGAAGCAGATTTCTCTAACCCTTGGGCTCTCTCAAGGCACCCTGCGTTCTCTCCTTCACAGCACCTCCCGCAATTGCAGCTTAACAGGGGATCCAGGAGAGGACTTCCACTCCAGCCATAAGGAAGGAGCCTGTGCCACACTGGCTCTCTTGCTGTAAACATCCGTAAGACTGGATGAAATGCTCCGTGCAATGGGTTTCAGATTAAACAACACACAGGACTGAAAGCTCTGAGAGTTGAGACATAGACCATAAGTCCCACCACTGGCTATTGACCGAGGCACCTGCTGGACCCTGGGGGTCCCGCCTGCAACCTGGCTCGTAAGGTTCTCTTTTCTTAGCTATGTCCCAGCTCAAGCAGAGGAGAATGACTTTGCTGAGCTGGGGAGGCGGGACTGGAGCTCAGGCTGGTGAGGAAGCTGGAGTTTGGGGCCAGAGGCCGGAGCCCAGGAACAACGGGGCTGCGCAGAGGAGCTTTGGAAATCTGCACAGGGGCCCCAGACACGTGGTTGCACATGAGGAAGCTGCTCCATGTGGCCTGCAGGAACAGCTGCTGGGGAGATTCCAAATGCTGGGAACCAGGAGCTCTCACCAGCAAGAACGGAGTTGACACGCCAGCAGGTGACTCTGGAGTAAGGGCCGCCTGCCCCAGGCACATTGAGAGAATTCATGGCCTGCACTGTAAGAAAGCTGTTCCAGGAAGCTCTTCGGGATGAAGGAATGGACGCCAGATGGAAATTCCCATCTGCAGGAAGGAGTGAGGAGTCCTGCATGGGAAAATGTGTAGAAAACCATGAAAGGGGTGTTTTTTCTCCTCTCAGTTTCTTGAAAAGACCACGTCTGCCTCCTGAGATGACGTGCTGAGAAAGAGACAAGCTCACTTCTAGGGTGCACCTGCCAAAAAGGCAGGGCCACATCTTCACCACCAGGAAACAGAAGACTAGACAAACTGGAAACAACCCGCAAAACAACTGACCCACACCTCCCACAAAGGCCACGACCAGGCCGCACAGGGGTCAGGCCACATGGGGTCCTGGCCACACAGAGGTCAGGAGGCACAGTGGCCGGGCCACACGGGGGCTGGGCCACATGGGGGCTGGGCCACACAGGGTCGGGCCACACAGGGGCCAGGCCACACGGGGGCCAGCTGAGGAATGCTCCAGAATAAAGGAAGCGAAAGAGATACAAGGATTCAGTGCAATGGGTGATGCCGGCCTGCTTCCTGGACTGGGGAACGAGAGCTCTGCAGGAACCATGGGCTCTCCTGAACAAATATGAATCCAGACAGACCGAAGCTTGGTGAAAAGCGACTCCCTCCTGATTCTGACAATCACGCTGTGCTTACGTGAGAGACTGCCCTCGCTCTCGATAGCACCCCGTGCTTACATCACAGCCCTGTGGACAACTATGAGCAGGACCTGGGGCCCACGGGAGGATCACACAGCAGGCTGGGTGGAGGGACAGTTCTGTCCAGCCCTTTGGGACTCTCTGTAATCCCAGCCCACAAACCTGCCAGGCACAGCTGCCTCGGACTTGGGTGTTGAGACCCAGCTCCTCCATATGGATCCTGGCCCCTGCACTGCCCCCTGTGTCTCTGGACAAGTTCTCACCCCTCCAAGCCTCTGTTTTCTCATCTACAAAAAAGACATGTCACCACATGGTTGTGGAATTAAAGGAGAAGGTGGCACCCAGCGCTGGGCAAGTCCCTCACTGGTGGCATGGCCTGAGCAGGGCCAGGGCTCGTACATTCATAGTTTTCTCAGAGGGCAAGGATAGCTTTCCCCAGCGGGCAGTCCCTCCGGATGTCCAGCCACCTGCCCCATCCCAGCACTGGGCCTCAGCTCTCAAGAAGCCACAGCAGAGGATGCTGCTGGCAGTGCTGAAGTTAGAGGTCTCGGGGCCATAGTCAAACGTTCTCACCTGTCCTTCCTACTGGTGTTCCTATTCCTCGGAGGGAAGTGTCCATGTCCTTGGCAAGCCCGGCCTTGGGCCATCTGGCTCTCAGTGACAACAGGAGGAGTGAGGTGAGAAGCCGCCACTGGACACGCTGAACTGCATTCTGGCCTTTGTCACAGCCTGAGGCCTCTGGAGGCCGATGTCCCTGGGATTACACGGTGCTAATTATTCTGGAGCTGACTGGAGCCCAGAAAGCTGAAGGCAGGACCCTGAGTCTCACATATGGGTGGAAGGCTTGGCTATCCTTACATTCCGCTGGGAGGGAAGATTCCAGAATGAGGCTGTGGTTGTGTTGCCTGGGTCAAGTCCATTTGAAAGTCCCCCAGAAGGAAGTGGGCTTCTCTTCCAAAGAGAAGCCCTCCTGCTGGTGAGGAAGCAGCCAAGTTCCAAGAGCCCTGCTTAGGGCTAAGCCTGTCCCAACACAACGGCAATGAGCAGACCCCCCCAGGCAGGAGGTTGGGAGGGGGTGGCCCATTTCCACTCCTTTGTCTCCAAGGCCTAAGAGTGACCATCCTGTGACCCCACAGACCTTGTGTCGACCTCCACCCCCAGGATCCCCATAGCTTTCCACGCCTTGGCATACCCGGTCAGCAGCACACAGGCTGAGAAGGGTGTGGACCATCTTCAAGGTCAGCTGTTTCAGCCCTTCCCTCAGGGAGCAGAAGGCCACCCCCCGGCTGGCACACCCACTCTGCCCTTCCCACTGTGGGGCTGGACAGCTGGTTGGCTCTCTGAATGTCAACCCTGGAGCAGGGCTAATGACAGCCACCTGCAGCTTCTTCTCCAGAATAAAGAATGGGACTCAGCAAGTGCTTGGCCCATAAGTGTGTGATAAATAACAGCTATCACTATTATCTAGTTATAAAAGCAAATGCCAAGAAAATTAGCAGGTGCCTGGTGCCACAATGCCGCTGATATGAGGGCCATTCCAGGATGCAGCTGAATCATCAGAGTCCAGTTGACCCAAAGGCCGAGCCACTGGGCAGGAAGGGTCCCCGTGGGCTGGAGGGACAGGGTGGGTCTCAGTGGGGTTTGATGACGTCCTCAAGGAAGCAATGGAGTGACAGATGAGGGACTTGGGGGCTAAGAGAACAGAGAGGCCTGGAGACTGTGGTACTTTGAACATGGTGGGGGTGCTGGTGCACCAGAAGGTGGGGGCAAATGAGGGCCCAACCCTGTGGGAAGCCGAGGGCTGGCTGAGTTCATCCTGCTGCAGGCTGCGTGCCCCAGCGTTGGGTTAACCCTGCCATGCCCCACCCTCCCCGGTGTCCAAGAGCTCTGTGCATGGCCGCTCAGCAGCCCAGCCCTGCCTGTCCTCCCACAGCCCGACCAAATTCAGGTCTGAGTGGGTTCTGGGGGCTGTGTAGAAGGAATGCAAGAGTCACACTTGGGGTTCCTGGCTGCATCCCAGACCTCACTGGCGCACGAACACCATCCACAGGTGCACACACGTGACGCTCCTCCACTGTGTTGGGCAGAGCAGGCACAGGCATCCGTACGATTCAACCACCAAGCAAGCCAGAAACGAGTGCTCTCAAAACACTGGCACTGTTGCAGCAGGGTTGGTTGGAGGCTGAACATTGATGGCAACAGTTGGTGTGATGGTTAATACTGAGTGTCAACTGGAGTGGATTGAAGGATGCAAAGTACTATTCCTAGGTCTGTCTGTGAGGGTGTTGTCAAAGGAGATTCACATTTGAGTCGGTGGACTGGGAGAGGCAGACCCACCCTCAATCTGGGCGGGCACCATCTAATCAGCTGCCAGCGTGGCTAGAATAAATCAGGCAGAGGAAGGTGGAAGGACTGGACTTGCTGAGTCTTCCGGCCTTCAACTTTCTCCCGTGCTGGATGCGTCCTGCCCTCGAACATCGGACTCCAAGTCCTTCAGCTTTTCAGCTCTTGCATTTACACCAGTGGTTTTTCAAGGGCTCTCGGGCCTTTGGCCGCAGACTGAAGGCTGCACTGCCGGCTTCCCTGCTTTTGAGGTTTTGGGACTTGGACTGATCCACCACTGGCTTCCTGGCTCCTCAGCTTGCAGATGGCCTATTGTGGGACTTCACCTTGTGACTGTGTGAGTCAATTCTCCTTAATAAACTCCCTTTTATATGTACATCTATCCTATTAGTTCTGTCTCTCCGGAGAACCCTGACTAATACAGTCTGTCACCCCCTAATTCCATTAGACCCTATACCAAGCCTGCAGGGGACAGAGACGAGCAAGCCCACGTCCTCACACCTGAGACGTCACTGTCACACTGCATTGGCAGGACCTGCACTCAGAGAGCTCAGGCTGAAAGTCGGGGCAGAGACAGTTGGGTTGCCCAGGCCACAGCACTGATGGGCTTCAGGGCTCAGCTCAGGTTGTGAAGCAATGGGGCCTACGTTGGCAGCTCCTGCCATGCAGGAGGTATACGAGCTAGGCCCTAATGGGTTAATGGATCTATTATGAGGAATAGCTTCTTGGAGGGGGGAGCCCCAGCAAATCCAAAGTGGATGCTATTACTCAAGGCTGCAGCCCAGAGTTTTCCTTACATCTTAATTCATTAGTTGGTGCAAAAAAGCAGCAGAATCTCTCAGGGGCAGCGAGGACCTTGAGGTGGTCTCTGTGTTTTCAGAAACTTGCCACTCCCTCTTCACACTCAGCCTGGAGTTAGCCACGCTCCTGTCCAAGAGAGTGGAGGGACAGGTGGGCCGAGGGCCAGCAGAGTGGGCGAGGCCTTGGCCTTCAGAAACTCAACCCCACCCGGACACAGCTGGTGGTAGGCCTTCTCAGCCCCTCGTCTGAGTGCCCTCTCTCCGTGGCCCTTAACTTGTCACCTGGAACATAGGAAATGTGGGCCCCAGTTTTCAGGAATTGTCAGAGACGGTGACAGTAGTGGTACCTGTAGCTGCTGGCCCTGCAGCTTGCAAAGGGCCATGGGTCCAGCAGAAGGTGTGGGCTTCCGATCGCCCATCTTCCGCCAGCCCCTCCCACCCTGGGCTGCGTGGCCTGTTTGCAAACCACAGACATTGAGTTATTCTTTCTAAGAGCCACATAGATGTTCTTGGGTCCGATTCTTAAACATATTCGCAATCATACAAAGAGTGACCCAGTGACCCAGCAGTTCCTTTTTTTGAGAAATTATCTTGGAGCTAAATCAGCCAAGTGAGCAAAGACTAAGCAGCAAGGGTATTTAATGCTGCGTTGTGTAGCAGAGCAAAACGGAAAACTCACAAGCCCTTCAAC
This sequence comes from Homo sapiens, assembly GCF_000001405.40. Taxonomy (NCBI): domain Eukaryota; kingdom Metazoa; phylum Chordata; class Mammalia; order Primates; family Hominidae; genus Homo; species Homo sapiens. The sequence goes on from NC_000009.12 coordinate 135,183,339, forward strand.
ATGGATGCATTGCTCTGGTCATGTGTCTGTGCAGGGAGTCCGTGACAGGAACCAACAGAAGTGGGGGTCATAGAGATGCTGTTTGGTGCAAGGTCTGAGCCAAACCTTGTGCAAAACAGAGCTGTGTCTCGCCGCAGCCCGGGAGCAATACTCTGATGGAGGAGGTGTTATAGCTCCTGTTCCCCAAAGCAAAACTAGAGCCTGGAGGGTTCCCTGTCTCACCCTGGGTCACACCTGGCCTAATTTGAAAACTAGGTTCTTAACGGAGACTCAGTGTGGCCAATAAAGTGACCACATGGCACACATTTATGGCTGTGGATGGATGCTCACAGAACCCTAGGTGGAAAAGAGCTGGCTGCTACAGTGCAAGCACTCTAGTGGCAGACAGGCACATCTTCCTGCACAGACACTCGGAGGTAGGCTAAGCAGGCACCCCATGTCCTTCTGCACACTTTCTGCATTTTCTGATCAGTTTGTTTGCAATAACTATGTATTAGTTTTATTATCAGGGGAAAATAATAAAGCTATTTTTAAAAGCTGGCAATGGATACCTCGGAGATGGGGAGCATATCTGGCTGCAGCCAGCTGCAGATGAATCATCTGAGGACACTGAATTCAGCGGCGAGGCGCTAGGGACTCAAATGAACTGGAAAGGCCAGGTGACTAAGACTCGTCAGCCCCTTACCCCGGGCAGGGACCCGAGGGGTCCTTGGAGGAGGGGCCCAGGGCAGAGGGGCTGTGAGCAGAAGGGAGGAGGGTGCCAGCCCCTGATAGCCATGGGACAGCTTTGTCACTGACGTATGGGACATCCTTCTGCTCTCCCTGGCCCCCCGCCGACAACAAAGAGAAAACAGCAGCCCCGACTTAAACTCACACGTGTGCCCCCCTCTCAAGTTTGTGGGCGGGGGGGTGTACAAAAACACCATGTCCTTTTTAGGAATAGCAGCACATGGAGGGAGCGCCATCCAGCGTGGAGGGAAGATGCTGCCCAGCTGTGCCACTGCCCAGCAGCCTCCGGGCAAGGTCCTGCTTGAGCTGACTCTCCAGCAGCCGAGAAGGTCTGTGCCAGCCATGCACACACCCCTGAGCGTGTCCCCTGCCAGGACTAAGCACGGGCAGCCTCTGGACATCTGCAAATTAAAAAGAAGACACCCCTGCTCTTTCCAGCTGTATGAACCAGTCCCGGACCAGACGCCTGTGTCTGCTAAGGGTTTTCTCACTTATTTGCTAAACCCCTGTCCCTGCTCTAAGAAGAGCACCTAACCTGCCCACCTCCCCGTATACGGTCTCCCCCGGCAATGAAATGAGAAGCACTTTTGGCCTCATGTTTACTTGATGGATGGACAAAACACAGAACATGACGCAGTCACCACCGCCGATGGCCACAGAGTGACAGGTGATTGCGGGAAATTAAACAGCCCTCCCTAAGTCATCCATCATGAGAACCTCATTCCTTCCCTCGGCCAAGGGTCGGCAGTGCTCTCGCGGAGCAATTCATCACCGGCGGGCCATGTCATCGCAGGCCGTCGCCTCTCCGGGAAGCCGGGATCGACCAGGCCCGGCTCGCCCGCCCGGAAATGCCTTTTAAGCGCCATCCTAAGTGGGAATTTAATTGAAGTGTAATAAGGCATCTAATGTGAGATTAAGAGGCAAGGCCACCTGGAATGAGCCGTCACTTAAATAATTACTTTGCTTTCTCGGTCACAGCTCCCTCACCAGTGACCGTGTGGTCATTTAGCATCAGTATCGGAGGTAGAGGCGGTCCTGGGGGCTCGCCAGGTCCTGTTTCCCAGCCCGCCTTCTGGGCAGTGGGAGAGGTGGAAGACCAGCCTGGTGGGGAAGTGGGGTCACGTGGCCGGTCCTGGCCAATGAGATGCGCAGTCCCTTTTCAGAACTGGGCCCGGGTCTCTCTGCGCCTTGCTCTTCCCTGCCCTCCCCAGGACGAACGCAGGCCTGGCACTGGGCTGACGGAGTGGCCGCTGCCCGGGTCACGCCATAGAGGCCAGCACTTGCAGCGGCTTGGCCTGGCCCCAGAGCAGTTTCTATGTGCGTGAAAGGACCGAAGATTCAGGTCACCATAGCGTAACGCAGACCAGATGGACACCCCACATAGGGCCCCTGCAGCCTGCGAGCTAGGGGTGCTGCCTGCAAAGAGGAAGGACGTGGGGTTTGCTTCACCTGCCTCCAGTTTGGATGAGACCTCGGGACCCACTTCCAGTGTTTCCATTTTAGAGGGAAGGGCAAGAAGCTATATTTCAAGAAGGGGGGCCATGCCCCGCCACCTGGCAGCGGAGCCTGAGCTGAACCTGCTTGGCCCTCCCAACCTTCTCAGAGCTCCTGCCTACCAGGACCTGCTGTAGGAGCTTTTGGGGTCTTGGTGACCCAGTCAGAGCCACTCGGTCACAGGATCAGCTGCTGCCTGGTGAGTGCCCTCTTACCGGCTTCCCCCTAAGGCCACTGGTAAGGCTGGGACCTTTATGGGTAGAGAGGCCCGGCTGGTCACGACCACTGTCCTGTGAACATCATTCTGAAGTCGACGGCACTGACTTGTAAGTGGAGGGGGCAGATCCAGTAGAAAACACACCGCGGGTTTTGTAGGTGGTGGGAAGTCTTTCAACAGGCATTTTTGGACAGCCTGCTGTGCGCACGGCACCCAGTGTTCTGTGAATCTTGCCATTGATCTCAAGGCCAGCCAGATGCCCATGAAATATCGGGCACGTTGGGCAGCAGGCTTTTATTTTGGTCTGAGTTCAGCCTGCTGTTATTACTTCCTCATCTTTTCCTTTCAGGTTTCCAAAAGCCTGGGCCCGTGGTGAATCCTGGCTGGGAGGAACTTTGAGGGCACCCCTGGGCTCCTCCCCTGTGCCCTGCCCCCCGCCGACGCCATCCCTGATAGTGCCCAGATTCTCCTTAACTTATTTCCAGGAGCGGCAGCGCTGGCTTTCTCAGTGCCTCTGGGGACAGGCCGTTCACCCCGCCCGCCACTACTCGGGCCACTTTTGACCCCCGGGAGTATTCGGCAACAAGTCTGGCAAGAGCATCAGTGTGGGTGGCCAGTGACCACGTGCAGCACTTGGCCTGCAGCAAGAGCCAGCTGCATGGGCTGGGCTGGAGTCAGGGGCTTGTCTGGACCTCATCAGGATGCAGAGGAGGGATCTGGCCTGGAGGACCCTGCCCTGCACGTCCGCCTCAGAGCCAGGGTGACCCTTTGCCTTTGTCCTTGAAGAAATGCATTTCAGGGACTCAATGTCCCTGATTGTCCCGATCCAGAGTCCAGAGCAGGAGAGGCTGTCACTCCCTCCCCTGTCCCTGGAACATTAGAACAGCCCATGGGAGGGGCAACACTGTCCTTGGGAGACCTCAGTCCTCATCCATCCCACCCTGAATGTCAAAGCCACGTGACGGAGTTCAACCAGCTTCCTCCAAGCTGGCCATGCCTTTCCACACCCGTCTTTGGCGGGTTCCCTTCTGAAATTCCTCCTCTTCCTCCCACATGCGCCTTCCCACGACCTCCATGCTTCTAAGGAGCAATCGTGCCTCCTGGATGCCTCTCTGTCAGCTTTCAATGTGGGGAATAAAGACCTACGGAAGTGTTGGCAAGCCAGTTAAAAATAGCCCCATCTATTAAAAGGTGAAAACGTGGTGAGAAACACAGGCAGGGTGGGGGTGAATGTGCTGCCTGCCTCAGCCCTGCCCTCTTTCTGGAAGAGCCAGCCCTCCCCAGACTCGGCAGCCCAATCAGATGCCCTGACCCCACCAGCCACCTCCAACCCACGCGAGCCCTTTGGGTGGCGGCCCTGGCTGCCCAGTGAGTATCTATCTCAAGCCTGTGTGGATGTCAGTTTGCTTTTTAATCTTGTTCCCTTGATACATATCAGCTTTTAAATCAAGGAATGTGTCTTCCCAAATGAAGAGGCTTTTATTAGGCACCCTGTATCGCTTTCAAAAGAAAAAGTCACATTAATTCCAACTATGTGCCGTGTGTTTGGATTGATTCTGATATCACAGCGTCAGCAGTCCGTTTTCTTCGCAGAGAAATTCCGTCATCTCTGACACCAACATCAACAGCAGCCAAAGGGTCTCTGGTGTGGGCAGGGGACCGTCCCACACAGACCTCAGTTGCAGAAGCCAGAAGCAGCGATGAACAGAAACCTCGGGAGAGCAGAGAGCTCCGAGGAGCGGCGGGGAGGTAGGGCTGTGGGTTAGGGCGCCACTGCTCGCAGCCGGGTGAGGCAGGGTCTGGGTGGTGCTGCAGCCCCCGCACTGTCTCCCACAGTGGGTCACGTTCCTCTCCTCTTCCATCCACCACAGTTCACACAACTGCCAGAGCGGGGTTCAAGGCCCCAGTCCCCTGCCTGAGACCCTCCAAGACTCTGCAGCACCCACAGGCCATGCCTGTGCTGCCCACATGTTCTGTGATGCTCCCCAAGGCCCCTCTGCAGCCCCCGACACCCCACCCCCACCCATCTGCATACCTATTCCCCAAAGTGAGTTGTTCCCCTGGGCCTTTGTAAGTGCCCTTCCACCCTCCTGAAAATCCCTCCTCCAAGACCATCCATGGTTCCCTTCCTCTCTGGAACCTTCTTTGATCCTCCCAGGCTTAACTCACTGAGTTCCCCCTTCCCCTGAGCTCCACACAGTACTCAGCAACCCCACTTCTACAGCAGAAGCCACTTCCTACGTGGGCTCCTCTCTGGAACCTTCCTTGATCCCCCCAGGCCTAACTTATTGAGTTTCCCCTTCCCCCGATCTCCACATAGCACTCAGCAACCCCACTCCTTGAGCAGAAGCAACTCCCTTCTTGGGCACTGGCGTTTTTGCCCATCTTTCCTTTTGAAATGCAGTTTCTTAGGGCACCAGGAAAGACCATCAGTGCTCGTTGACCCAAAGTTCAACGTGCTCACAGACTCTGAGCATGATTTTGCACCATCTGTCAGTAGGTCCTTGATTTTCTGTTTTTTTTTTTTTTTTTTTTTTTCAGAATCTTGGGCTAAAGATCTATGAGTGCTGGGACCACTCTCCTTGTCAGGTGGTAAAAAGCTCTTCAGCAAATCAAAGCTCTCCTCTCCCAAGCAAGCAGTGGGTCCTTTCCTCCCCTGGAGGCTTCTCAGGCAGGGCCACAGTTGGGAGAGCTGAGATGCTGTGGCAGAGAGGAAAGGAGGGTGCGACCCCGCCCTGCCCCTGTGCCTTGACCTCAGCTGTCTCCTCCGTGAGGCATGACCCATGACACACTTGCCGCATGCCCACTATGCCACCATCCTTCTGCACACGCCTGCCATGCCCCCACTGTGCCACACCTGCCATGTCACACTCACCCCACACCTGCTATGTCCCCACCATGCCACACCTAGGTCACACCCTTGCCACACCCCCAAACCCCATCGTGGCATGCCTACTGAGTCACGCCCTTGCCACACCTGCCACCCCCCACTGTGCCGCACCTACCATGTCACACCTATGCCACACACACCAAGCCCCCACCATGCCATGCCTTTACCATGCCCCTACTGTGCCCTGCCACACCCCATGCCACATTCCCCATCCCCTGGTTGCACTCTGTCACTCCCCCACTACATCATATCATATACCCTCGCCACTTCAAGATCTGCCCACTGCTATGCCAAGCTCTGTGACACCAGGCCCCTGTCACACCACACCAAACCCCCATTATGCCACACCTCACCTCCACCATGCCACACCCCCACTATGCCACACACATCGCCACCACACCACACCCCCACTATGCCACACCACATCTACACCACGCCACACCCCGTCACGCCACACCACACCCCACACCCCCGTGTCACACACCCCACCACACTGCACCACACCCCCCACCAAGCCACATCACACCCCATGCCACACCCCCATTATGTCACACCACACCCCCACCATGCCACACCTCACCCCCATGCCACACCCCCCACCATGCCACACCTCACCCCCATGCCACACCCTCCACCATGCCACACCTCACCCCCATGCCACACCCCCCACCATGCCACACCCCATGCCACACCCCCCACCATGCCACACCACACCCCATGCCACACCCCCCACCACGCCACACCACACCCCCACCACGCCACACCACACCCCATGCCACAGCCCCCATCATGTCACGCCACACCCTCCACCATGCCACACCTCACCCCCATGCCACACCTCACCCCCATGCCACACCCTCCACCATGCCACACCTCACCCCCATGCCACACCCTCCACCATGCCACACCTCACCCCCATGCCACACCCTCCACCATGCCACATCACACCCCCATGCCACACCCCCCATCATGCCACACCCCACTACTCCCTCATGGCGGAGGCCCATCCTTATCTCTCCCTCAGGCAGGAGCCCCTCACTGGTCTCCATCTCTTGACCGGCCTTACTTACATCTTTCAGTAATTCCCCTCCACTGTGGCTGTGTTAGCCCGGCTAAGGTACACCCTGGACCTCACTTCCTACTGTAAAGGCTTCTGTGGATCCCCTGGAGCTGGGATGAAGTCTGTGTCCCGGGCTGCCATCCACGGACTCTATAGATAGTCCCAGAAGCATGAGCAGAGCCGTCCTCCCTCCTCTGACGTTCCCGGCTGGTCTGTGCCTGGGCCCTTGACTCCTCCGTTCCCCAGTCCTTATTCTTCCTCCACCCACTCACGAAGAGAGCCTCAGCCTCCATCTTTTCAAGGAGGCATTCTGACCAAAAGAGAGGCTCAGCCTCCATCTTTTCAAGGAGGCATACTCCGACCAAAGGAGATGAAGTCGTCCCTGGGTTTGGGGGGCGGTCGTTGTGAATCTTCACAGAGCATATATTTCTCAGCCATTGCAGGGGCCAAGCCCGGTACTGTACTGTATCTGCACTGTACCAACCGTGTGAGGCAGGGACAAGGGCCTGGCCCACTGTGGGAGGTCAATCTGAGTTTGCTGAGCAGTCATAACTCCTAATGCAAGCTAGGTCTCCTCTGCGTGGGAGTGCTTGCACTAAGGGAAGTCACAGAAGCCTTGGAACACACTCAGCGCCCAGTACACCCGGTCACAGAGGCCTGCACGCAGCCCCATGTGCACAGACCCTCACTGCACCCTTCTGATTTGCCTTCCAGCCTCTGGTTGTGGCCACCAGCTCTCCTCCACTCAGCTCCTGCGGGCTACAGCCTCCTTGAGAGAGGGTTATGATAATGTGGCTGAGCCTGCAACGGCCCCTAGGATATGCACTTGAGCCCTACTTGGCTGCCAGCTGTTTAAAAATGGAAGGAAGAGATTAAAAATGAGCAAAAGCGAAACGGCTTTGAATAAAGTCATCGACAGCCCAAATGTGCAAACTAATTCAATTTCTGCATCTTTCCTGCTCTGAAGTGTGCACACTCAAGAGCCACAAGTTTCCTCTGTCAAGGCAGGAGGAGCTGAAATGCACAAAGCGGACCTGCCTGCCTTCCTCAATGGCCACTCGTAAATTTCCCAAACTTCATCCAAACACAGGCATCTCCGTTAGAGCTCCTCAAAGAAATGTCTGCGTCCACTTGGTAATCACCCACACAACTACTGAGGGCAGAGAGAGGCAAAGCTTAACTAACAAGTTCCTCACCATGAGAACTGCCTGGGGGCCAGCCACTCAGCACCCACAGCCTGCGGGAACCCTCTGGCTCAACCCACACGGTGCCTCTGCTGTGGGACAGATTGACCACCCACGAAACTCAGCTGCAGAAGAGAACAGCAACATCTGTCATCCCAGTGTCCTGTTGGTCAGGAATTAGGGAGCGGCTTAGCTGGGTGCTTCTGGCTTGGGGTCTCTCATGAGGTTGCAGTCAAACAGGCAGCAGAGGCCACCTCACCTGAAGGTCTGTGTGGCTTGGAGGATCTGTTTCCAAACTCACTCACCTGGCTGTTGGGAAAAGGCTCCATACCACCCGGACCTCGCCGACGAACCACTCACGATGTGGTAGGTGGTTCCCCCCGCAGAACGTGACAGAGAGAGACAGAGAGAGAGAGAGACAGAGAGAGAGAGGAAGAGAGAGAGAGGGAGAGAGAGAGAGAGAGAGAGAGAGAGGCACCCAAAATGGGACCCACAGTGCCTTTTATAACCTAATCAAGGGAGGGGCTAACGCAGCTTCTGCCAGCTTCTGCCTGCCTGAGGGTCGCTGGGGGCCATCCTGAGGCTGGCTTCCTCATGGGTGTGGTCTCTCCGTATTAAGATGAGGAACGCACTCTCATACCATGCAGGCCACCTGCCCGAGCTCATGCAGCCAGTGGGGCAGAGGAAGGAAGGGACCCCAGCGGGCTGATTCAGAGGTGCTTGGACTCAGGGGCTGTGGGGGGAGCCCCATCCCTGTGGCTGCTGTCCACTGGGCCCGTGCAACCTTGAGAAAGTTGCCCAGTGGCCTGGGTCTCAGCTGCACCATCTCTTCAAAGAGGACAGTCATCCCAGGGCCTGATGGTCCCAGTGCCCGAGGGTGACCTGGGGGCCAGTGTGAGGAGAAAGTGGAATCATTCCACACATCTGAGGGGGCCGTGGGGCCTGGCCAGGATGGGACCCAGCCTGGAAGCCAGCACCAGTCTGCACAAGCCAGTGTGGCAAGCAGGGAAACTGAGGCTCAAAGAGCTACTGAACCCAAAGCCAGACCACCGGTGGGGCCAGGGGTCAGACCACAGGGACCCTGGATCCCAAAAGCTTCACTGCAGGCCCCACACACAGAGGATGGAGGGACTGACCCTAAGAGCAACTGAAAGGGCCCACGGTAGGGACCTGTTCAGGGCCAGGCCTGGCTTTATCACCAGGACCTGCAGGGCCACCATCTGAGGCAGACGTTGTCATTGTCACCCACTTAGGTGAGAGGAAAGTAAAGGCCAGCGACTGTCCCAAAGTGGAACAGTTGGAGGTCAGCCTGGGTCCCACCCTGGCCCACCCTCAGCTGCTGTGCTCCCACTACCTCCCCCCTAGAGCTTAGCGGCCACCTCCCTGCTGCTCCGTCCGTGTGCGTCAGGAAGACCAGCTGCCGAGACAAACATCCCGTGCCTCAGAGGCTTAAAGCAAAGTGCATCTCACTTAAGCAGGCAACAGCTCCCTCCTCCAGACTGATCTGTCCCGGGGTCCTCGGAGCCCCTCCACTCAGCCCTGATGGGCAAGAGAGCAGGCAGCCGACCCACCGTGAGGGATTTGGGGGTTGCAGCACTTCTGCCCACACCCCGTTGGTCAAAAAATGGACACCCGACCCCTCCAGACTACAGGGGAGGCCTGGGGTGCAGCCAGGTGCCCAGGAAGGAAAGGAAACTAGAACTGAGGGGCTCCTAGTGCTCCCGTCCACACTGTGCCCTCTGGGTCCTTCCTGTTTCCACCAAGCCATGTCTCACTCGAGATCACAGGTCACAGTGGGCAGCAGAGCCAGAGTTTAAACCGGCCCCGCCCCTGGAGTGTCTCGGGGGACTTCTGGTTGGTGGCGCAGATGGCGGGCTGAATTATTGAATTTCTCCAACTGACAGGACCCTGGTTCCTTCATCAAACCGACACCTCTGATCTTGTTGGGGAAGTCAGGCTGCCGAAGCTGCCCGGCCCGCGGCGCCCTGCCTCCTCCTGAACTTGACACCCAGGCCTTGACATAGGAGCGCAAGGAGCCCACATCCCAGTGAAAACAGCACTGTGCCCTCCACAGGGAGCAGGGCTCCATCCAGGCTGCAGGGCCCCATCCTCCACGTCTTCCTCCCAGCACCAGCCCGTCCCTCGTTCGTGTGGTTCAGAAGAGCCTCGGCAAGGAGCCAGAGGGAGCTTTCAGCCCGCAGACAAGTCACTTCACAACTCAAAACCCAAAGGAGGCCCTCACTCACCCAGAGTCAGGCCAAACTCCTGGCTCTTGAGGCCCCCAGTGCTGCCCCCGGCTCCTTGACCTTCTTTCCCACCCCAGCTCTCCCCCTCCCTCCCTTCAGTGCTCCTGGCCTCCTCATTGCTCCTACCTCGGGACCTTTGCACTTGCCGTACCCGAGCCTGGCATGCTCTTCCCTGAGTTCTATGTGGCCCTCCCTTATATCCTCAAGTCTCTGCCCCAGTGCCCCTTGCCCACAGGGATGCACGGACCCCATGTTTAAAATGAGAATCCCCTGCCCCTCACTCCCACTTTGCAACGCACTGCACCTGAACACTTGTCAGCCACTTGTTTTTGTCACTGCCACCCCCCCTTTCCGAATGTGCATTCTGGAATGGGGGATGTTTGTCTGCCCCGGTGACCACTGTTTCCCCAGCCCCTTGCACAGGGGACATGCCTACTATTTGGTTGTCGAATGAAAATACAGAACATTCTTCTTTTCGTCACCATCTGTGCACCCCCATCCGGACTGACCACAGGAAGATGGCAGGTGTGTCCCCACCACAGTGACAGGGACTGGGCTCACCCGGCCCTCCCCACCAACTCCAACCCCAGTGGCTGAGCAGACCCCTGGGCTGCACCCACATCTGAGGAAAGGCGTTGCACCCGCGACTTTAGTCCTTGTCTCCTACCCGAGGTCCCTGGGAGGCTGCCCTGCGGTGGGATTTCTCCCTCATCGACAGCTCTGCATTCTGACAGCCTGTCCCCAAAGCAATGGGCAGAAGGCCCCATCTCTGAGACCTTTCTTTCCAAACAAGTGACTTCGCTGAAAGGCCAGGCTGGGCTGTCACATGGCTGTGGCCCTTGGGCAGCTCAGCACGTCACTGTGTTCAAATGACAATATTCTCAACCAAGAAGAGGGTGCAGGTGGGGTTAGAGAGGCCCACGGGACCTGACAGACAGCTGGAGGTTCCAGCCCCTGCCTCTCATCTCTAGGAGAGCCACCGAGGCCGGCAGGGAATGGGCTAGCCAAGTTCACACTGGCCCGGTGGCTGCGTCAGGATGGCCAGAGGCATCCCCAGGGCCAGAGCAGCCAAACCTGAGAGGCGGCCCCAGGCAGTAGGAGGACACAGACTTGGCCATCGGGTCCCCTGCCCAGCCACTGCCTGGCTGACCAAGCCTTCCTTGTTATCCCAAATGTAATGTGACAGCAATGACCACAACACAGTTGTGGCCACCACGGTGCAGGGGTGCCCAGACCCTAGGTCTGCACATACTCACATTGGTGCCCTGTCTCTCCTTTGGATTTGCTGTCACTCCTCTGGATCTTCTTGTCCCCAGGGTCCAGCCCCCTGGTTCAGCTTGGCCCTTCCCCTCCATTTCCAGAGGCTGCCAGGATCGCTGGAACTGGGTGGGGCACGAGGCCAGGACGCGGACTCCAAACCTCTTCTCAGCCAGGGAGAGGCTCAGTGGCCAGGCTGAGGGAGGCAAGCGAGGGCTGCTGGGGTCATTCCCTCAGCAGGCTTCTGCAAACACAAACCAGCCTGCGAGGAGATGCTGGGCCTGAGTGGCACTGAGTTTGAGAATCCTCATGGTCATAACCTGGAGGCATCGTCTCTCGTCTTGCTGCTCACAGATATGAAGAGAATGTTCTTCCTTGACGCCATAGACAGCACCTCCACTGTGCACCGAGCCCAATGCCTCACTTACAATGGGCCCTTGATACCCAACCTAGGACAAATAAGTGTCGGACCCTCCTGCTGCCTGGATGCTGGGATTGAGGCAAATACAGTCAAAAGGGGCAGCCATGTCTTCCTGGGATCTGGCCACCAGCGGTGGCAGCCACACCTGCCCAGGACCACTCACCTGCTGCATGGCTGGAGGACCCCAGCTTCCCAGTAACCAGTGCCACACAGTCTCTGCCAGGGTCTGGGCCCAGCTGGGAAGGCAGTGCTAGCACTGGCAAAGCCAGAGGTTGGGGTCCTGTGAGCTGCCAACGTGGCCATGTACCCCCCAGACCTGCAGGGGCCCTGCTAAGGACCAGTCCTGGGATGAATTTGAATAAGAGTCTATCTGGGCGCATGGAGCTGACCCCAGAGAGAGCAGGGGTCTGAGCAGGGCGGGAGGAGGGGCCCCTGTGCCTGCTGTGGCTCCTGCCCCCTCTCTCTCCCATCACCCATGTGCCCAGAGGCCCTTCCCTGCCCTGGTGGGGGCTACCTTCCTGTCCACCTGACACCCCTGCTCAGATGGGGGCATGTTGGCTCAGCCCACAGCTGGGTATGAGCAGTCAGTCACCCCAGAGCACCTTCATTTTGCTTCCAATGAGAGCTTTGATAGTCTCATTGTCACCGACAGCACCTGAGAGAGGAATCTGAAATCATACACCACCCAGGTCCCTCTGCCTTGAATGACTGGGCACGGAAGGAAATTCCAACCACAGAATCAGGCGCAGCCCAGGGTGACACGCGCTGGGGAGAGGGTGCCATGCTGGGGTCCTGGATGCTGATCGGGCACTGCCAGGGGAGACATTGGGAAAGTTCCTCCCCGCTGTGACCCACACTTCTTGTCTAAAGGGTGATGGCAATGGTGAGTGAGACAGCCTGGGACCACTGCAGACAGTGGGTGGGTGGGTGGGTGAGCTCGGGGCCTCCGGAGCATGCTCTGTGGGTCCCTTCCCACAGAAGAGGGCCCTGTGACCAAGGAACACAGGAAATTCTTCTCTCACACACTCAGCCAGTCGGTGAGGCCAAGCACGGCCGGAACACCTGTGGCTGCCCTCATCTGCAGGCATCTCATTGCATCCGCCAAGCAAGGTCAGCAGCAAACAGCCCCCAAGGCCCTGCAGCTTGAGAAATTCCAGTTCATTCCCAGATGTGCTCCATGTCCATCGTGGGTCTGCAGAGAATCTCAGTAGCTGAAGTGGCGGGAAACCAGGGTGACGAAGGCTCGCTCCTTGCACAAACGCCCTCACTCATCTCAGAAGTGGGGCAGAACAGGGAAAGTCTCCAACCGTTCTGGCTCTTAATGTGCCCTTCCCCTTCCCATTTCCCCTTCACATTCCCCTTCTCTCTTCCCCTTCCCATTTCCCTTCCCAGTTCCCCTTCCCATTTCCCCTTCCCTCTTCCCCTTCCCATTTCCCCTTCCCATTTCCCCTCCCATTTCCCTTCCCATTTCCCCTCCTCGTTTCCTCTCCCATTTCTCCTCCCATTTCCCCTTCCCTCTTCCCCTCCCATTTCCCCTTCCCTCTTCCCCTTCCCATTTCCCCTCCCATTTCCCTTCCCATTTCCCCTCCTCGTTTCCTCTCCCATTTCTCCTCCCATTTCCCCTTCCCTCTTCCCCTCCCATTTCCCCTTCCCTCTTCCCCTTCCCATTTCTCCTTCCCATTTCCCCTCCCTTTCCCCTTCCCATTTCCCCTTCCCATTTCCCCTCCCATTTCCCCTCCCATTTCCCCTTCCCTCTTCCCCTTCCCATTTCCCCTCCCATTCCCCTTCCCATTTCCCCTTCCCATTTCCCCTCCCATTTCCCTTCCCATTTCCCCTTCCCTCTTCCCCTTCCCATTTCCCCTTCCCATTTCTCCTTCCCGTTTCCCATCCCCATTTCCCCTCCCATTCCCCTCCCATTTCCCCTTCCCTCTTCTTCTTCCCACTTCCCCTCCCATTTCCCCTTCCCATATCCCTTTCCCATTTCCCCTTCCCATTTTTCTTTCCCATATCTTAATTGACAAAGCAAATCACAAAGCCGTGCCCACCCCCAGCAGCGAGGCGGTGCCCCCTCACCTGTGACCAAACAGAGGGAGTCCTTGGCAATGGGCACTTCCAACCACCTCTGCAGCTGTGAATGTCCCCCTGAGATGGTCCCACAAAACAGACTTTGGGAAATGCAGCATTTGCTTATTAATAACCCTAAAGTGGGAGAAATGTTTTAATTCAGGATTTCAACCCAGCGTTTCAGGGGAAGGCGATCGCCCAGTGTAAACATAAACAAGGCTGCCTTCCTGCATTTCCCCAGGCACAGGTATCTCCTCCATGTTCGCAGTTTGGACTCACGTGTCTATTCATATGGAAATCGTTTCCCCAGCCAATTGTGACATTTGGATACTGAGTCACTGTTTGAGCTCATCCCTGACATCCCACAAAAGATGGAAAATATTGTGGACACAGAGTCTTGCTTATATGTTTCCTGGAAGCAATTTTTAAATAAATGACTAACATGAAATAAAAACAAATGGAATGCAACTGCATTCTGTCTCGGAGGGAGCAGGTGGAGTTGCCCCTTCAAACTCACAGCTGAGGAGTTAGACTTGCGCATGGCAGGGGAGGCTGCGCTTGAAGACACTGTGAAATGGGGATATCCCAGGAAGGCAGCCTGGGCTGTCCCTTCCCCAGCCTGTCCATGTTTCTCAGAGCAGTCAAGGAAAGCCCCAGACTGCAAGGTTTCTCTGGTTTACCCGGCGATCTAGGGCTGCCAGCTTCCCTTTTCATGCCTCGGTTTCCCCATCTGCGGTGGAAACAATTGTGCTCATCTGCAGGGAGCATGTGACCAGTTTCTTCTTTTCTCCTCTGTGTTTGTCAAAGTCTTTTCTCCCCTCTGCAAGACCCCACCTCCCTGTGAAGATGACAGTGGTATGTGCCATCTGGTCTACTTTTTGGAGAGCTGGGTTGGGGTCTGATCCTGGGCAGTAGCAGAGGCGGCGGCCAGGGCCCTGTTGAGCCACGTCGCGTCCCTGAGCTGGGCTGTGTTCTCTGCACTAAGAGCTGTAGGGGTTCCCTCCTTTAGAGGACAGACCTGTGGGTTTTACAAGGTGTGGGGCCAGAACCCACTCACAGCAGCAACTGACTCAGGGGCTCAGGCAACGACTTCTCTGCTCTTTCTCTTTCCCATGCACAGAGAGCACAGCCTCACTTTCTTACTCTGCAAAGGAGATGGAATTGTCTCCAGCCAAATCAAACTTCTGGAAGGTTCCTAAAGCCACCTGGCTCAAGCTACGTTGCACCCTCCCACCGGGATGCTTTTCCTCTTTCTCCCTTTCGTCGACTCCTCTTCATCCTCCGAACACCACCTTAGCCCATTCCCCAGGAAGCCTTCTCAGCCCCCGCCTGGCTGACACATACCAGGTGGCGCAGGCACCCGAACCTGGGTGTGGGTGCACCGCACGGAGGTTTAAATCGCAGCTCCACCCCTTGCAGCCACTGCTCTGAGCCCCTACCGGCAGGCGGGGAGAGGCAGGAGCCATCCTCACAGGCCCGCCTCGCCTCCCTCTGTGGATCCTGTTTCCCCACCTCCCTAAAAGTGGATCCTGGGCCTCTTCCTTCGGAGCTTCTGCCCTGTCACTTAACTGCTGGCTTCATGTCTGTCTTGAGTAACTCCTCCAGGGTGGAGACGGTGTCTCCTGTGACTGTGTCCCTTTGAGCATCACCCTGAGCCCTGCACACTGCAGACTGTGAGTGAGTAAGGGATAGCTGGGTGAATAGGTGGTCCTGCAGCCAGAACCCCCATTGAGGGCCCCGCTTTGACATATAGACCCCTGGGATCTTAGGCCTCCAGATACCCTGATCTCTGCATCCCACAGGAACCTGTAGACCACCCGACACCAAAGGGAGAGCAAGCCAGGGCTCAGAGCCACTGCAGTCCATAACTCACAGGCCACTCAATTAATGACCCATGGCAGAAGCATGGTGAGTGCAGCCGCCTCTTGGAAGCCACCCCCCGTGTATACAGCACTTGGATTTGTTAAAATATTGAATCTGTTAGGTGGAAAATGAAAAATGCTAGATGAGCCGCTCTTCAGTCTGGCCTCGGGCACATCATGGGAGAGCAAATGCAATCTGCCCCGCCTCACTGGCTCGTTCAGCCCAAGATTAATGGCAGAAGGGTCTGGAGAGGGGCAGGTCTCCAGGCTGGCCGGCTGGAAACCGGTGAAATACGATGGTTTGTAATCTGTGTACTTGTCATGTAAATGAGTGTCCTCAAAGGGCTCTTACATGTGTCTTGGCTTCCATGCAGAAAGCTGAAAGCACCAGACTGAAGGAGGCATTCATCATCCGATCATCCGACAGGTGCAGCTCCGCAGCCCAGAGGTGCCACCACATCCTTCAAGGGCAGATGCGGGGCTTTCTTCTCCCTTCGCAGAGGGGAGGCAGGTGCCTGGGGAATTCGTGTGGCCATAGCTGCAGCACTGGGGAGGGTTAGCCACCCCCTCCCCCACCCAGACCATGGATTTTACCCCCTGGGGAGGGTAACTGGGAGAAAGGAAGCCAGCCCTAGGAGACTCAGCATGCCTGGGAGTTAGTGAAATCAGCCTCTTAGATCTATTTTCCAGCATGTTCTGTTGACAGGGACAAGAAGGCTGATTTTTGAGAGCTGCTTGGGTGTGGCATAGATTGGACATCGGTAAGGACTTCCATCAGACCTGTCTTGAATGGCAAGGAGAGGTTTTGCAGCTGGTCTTCCTAAAAGGCTAGAGAGTCCCCATGCCTGCTAGACCAGGGAAGGCTGGCAGAGTGCGGAATGAAGATGGAAGGGATGAAGGTGGACAGCCAAATTTGGCTCCAGTCCTCTCTTCTCGTGCTGTACCCAGGACAGACATCACTAAGCAATCAGCCACTCATTCCTGCCGAGCCCAGCAAGGACAGCAGATGCCTCCTCCACACAGCTCCTGGGCTGTAAGCAATATAAGCTGACATTGACTAGCTTAAGCCGCACAACCTAAGCAATAATGGCAAAAGGCAATGGGCTTGCTGGGGGACATGAGCAGTTCACAGTGTCCCCGCCAACACTGAAGAGCGGGACTCAACAAGGACAGACCCTGGAGCAGCTCCAGGGGTCCTGGGACCACCACTCAGATTCTCCAGAGGAAGGGTCACTGCCAGGATGCCTCCTCTCCAGCCATGTCTGACCCTTGTGTCTATCCTCTCAAGCTCAGGCTCTGGGGAGGAGAATGTGCAGCTGGGGCCATGTGCTCACCTCTGGCCAGGTGAGGGCATAACTCAACCAGTAACCCCAACCAGACAGATTCCAGAGGGAGTAGTAGTGAGGGGTGCTGGAGCCTGAGGATGGGAACTGGGCCATGTGCAGACAGCCGCAGCTGGCCTCTCTTGGCTCTTCCACAAGCCCCTGCCCAGCCCTGGACCTTAGACCAAGCGTCTGCTCCTGCCTAGGCTGGCAAGCTCTTCTGCCATTGTAGTAGTCCATTCTCACACTGCTAATAAAGACTTATTAGACTGGGGAATTTATAAAGAAAAAGAGGTTTAATGGACTTACCATTCCACGTGGCTGGGGAGACCTCACAATCATGATGGAAGGTGAAGGAGGAGCAAAGTCACATCTTACATGGCAGTAGGCAAGAGAGAGCATGTGCAGGTGAACTGCCCTTTATCAAACCATCAGATCTCATGAGACTTATTAACTGTCAAGAGAACAGCATGGGAAAGACCCACCCCCATGATTCAATTCCCTCCCAGTGGGTCCCTCCCACAACACATGGGGATTATGGGAGCCACAATTCAAGAAGAGATTTGGGTGGGGACACAGCCAAACCATATCAGCTATCAGCCATGGAGGTGAAAGAAATCATGTCATTGGCACTCACTCCAGATCTAGGGGACTCTGGAGAAAAGCAATGTGTGGGCAATGGTGATGTGGATGCCCCATTTGGCAGAGAGAGCAACTCACTCTTGGAGAACCCAGATCCACAGGTAGCCCCCCACTCTGGTTCACAAGCGGGCAACCCACTCTTGGAGAACCCAGATCCGCAGGTAGCCCCCACCTCTGGTTCACAAGCGGGCAACCCACTCTTGGAGAACCCAGATCCGCAGGTAGCTCCCACCTCTGGTTCACAAGCGGGCAACCCACTCTTGGAGAACCCAGATCCACAGGTAGCTCCCCACTCTGGTTCACAAGCGGGCAACCCACTCTTGGAGAACCCAGATCCACAGGTAGCTCCCCACTCTGGTTCACACAGTTCAGCCTGGGGCTTTGACCCCACACCCTAGGCCCATCCCATTTCTCCACAAAGACTTAAACCCGTCACCTTAATGTCTCACATTTTATTTACGTGTGTGATGGATTTGGATAAAACCAAGAAACAAAACCGTTCTGATTTTTTATATTATTTGATCTGGTTCCCAGTATTGTTTTTATCCTACTCTGATATTGGGGCTGTTTTGCTTAAAATGAAAGTTGGGGGAGCCCAACCCCATGCATGTGACTGTGATCCAGTGTGCGGAGTCAGGCTGGCCCATGCGTTTCTTGATGGTTTTCCTATAGGTGATTGTGCCCCTAAGAAGTGATTTTTCTGTGTTTGAAACCCTGTAGAAACGCATCGCTCTGTGTACTCTGCTGCTTCACTGTCGCTTAGTAGCGAGTTTTGGGATTGTTCCATGTGGATGGGGGAATTGCCAGTGCATGCATGTTCGAGGCTGCATAGTGTTCCAGGTGTGGCTGTATGGAACATGTGTCCATTCGCTTCCTGATGAACAACAAAAAAAGTGGGGAGGGGAGAAACCAGCCTAGCTCAGCTGAGCCAAGGAATGGGACAGGGGAGACTTCAGTTTCCAAGCATTGGCGTGTGTGTGTGTGTGTGTGTGTATGTGTGTGTGTGTGTGTGTCTGTGCATGTGTAGGTGATGCACACACACACACGTGTACAGGCTCCTGAGTGATGATTGTGGGGTGGACCAGCCTGGGCTTTCATCGTAGCAGCTGCCAGAAGCTCACCTTCAAGCCAGCCAGCAGCCCCAGCCAGGCTGTGGTGTTTCCTGCGCTGGTGTTTGGAGCCTAACATCTTCAGTATAAAAGTGGGCTGCCGGTTTTGGTTTTTGGTTTCTTTCAAATCTGTAATACACTTGTCAGATGTGAAACTGCATTGGAGCACAGCGCCACACATGTGTCATCCCACGGTGGCACCTGGTTATCAAATATTCGTGTCGGCTTTAACCAGCCTTGCTCGTGACCTGCCCAGGGAGCCTGCTGATGCCTGGCACTGGGAGAGGCTGCTGGAGGCAGTGAGATCATGCCCTCCAGAAGGAGCTGGTAAGCCCTGGGAAGCTGGAACGATAGGGTCACCTGCACCTGCCCGAGGCATCTCTTGCCTGCACCTAACCTAGGCTTCTCTCACCTGCCCTGCTTGAGGCCTCTCTCGCCCACACCTGCCTGAGGCCTTTCTTGCCTGCACCTGCCCGAGGCCTCTCTTACCTGTACTTGTGGGACCCTCATCCTTACTCACCCACACTGTGGCCTCTGTTTTCGCTGGGCAGGATGAGGGCCCCTGGACAGGAGTGAGTTTCATTCTCCTGGGACTATCAGGCCCAAGGAGCCCTCCTCTCCCCTTCCCGGTTCTGGAATCCCACCTGGCATGGCTCAGAGGGCCTGGTTAAGTCCTCCGATTCAGACCGAACCTCAAGGAGGGTCCGTCTTCAGTCAGGATCAGGTGACCTGGAGCCTGAGGACCTGGGGGCACCAGCCAGGCAGGGGATTTCTCTGAGCACCTGAGGGAATGGGAATAGGGTCAGCCAAGGCAGGCAGTGGTCTCCACCACATGGGCTCAGGGGTCCAGGGTCTGAAGTTCTCAGATGGAGGGCAAGGCATCGGCAAGCTTGATGGGGCACACCCATCTCCTGGGGACAGCTTGTTAAAACAAGCCCCTGACTGCTGGTCTGGGCAAAGTGAGGCCGAGGCTTCTGAGCTGGGGCCTGGAAGGTCCGTTAGCTGACTGGTACCTTTGTTCCAAGTCCACTTCCCCAGCACAAACGCCGTGTGCCACTCTGTCTCAGGGAAATTGCTGCAGGTTTTAGGTGAGCCAGCCTCATGAGGGACTCCGGGGCCCAAAGCCCAGGAGATGCTCAGCTGTGAGGACTGTGGAGAACACCAGGCCATCTCGCAAGATGGGAAGAGGGCTCAGCTTGCAAGTGACTCCTGCCTCCTACGTGGCCTGACTCTCCGGAGGCAGAGACCCCACCCCCACCCACCACATGCCTCCCCCAGGGCATCGATCTCGCTGACGAGAATGACAGGTGCCACTCCCTCTCTCCCCAGGGCAGGGTCTGTCCGGCTCATCCCTGGTCCTCTGCAGACCAGGACCCTGGTCTGTAGCTGTTGGAGGGACAGGGGCAGACCGTGCCTTATCCTTCCGGCTGTGCCTTCCAAGCCCCACCTGGTTTCCTTCCTCCCTCCCCATCAGTCTCCCCTAAGAGAGCCCACCTCCTCCTCCCAAATTAGGTCTTCCAAGAAGGATGGATCTGCCACAGGTATGCCTTGCCCAAGCTGCTGGGCTGGATTTGGGGGAGCTCAGCACCACCACTGTAAATGAGAAAGACTCTGATGACGACAGCAGCATAGCCAAGCAGGGGAATATTCCATGGATGCTGCTTTGTATGGGAAATTACATAGGCACTGGCTTAACACACTAATGTCAGAGCAAATAAATATACATGGCCACCATCTCCCCACCCCTGCTGTCTTTCCCCAGCCCCGTGGTGACTCTGGGGCCTCCACATCTTTAATCTTACTGATTCATTCTCCTGCCTTCCATGTGGCATATTAATGTTAGGTCAAAAAGTATTTCATCACTTATTCTGAAGGCCTTATTTCATTTTTATTCAAGAATGTGTAATCCTGAGAAAAAATAATTACATATGAGAGCAACAGTGCAGCTCTGTCCTGAATTCACAGACTCATGAAATCTCAAAACTAGAAAAAGAAACTAAATCCAACCCTTTTGTTTCACACACGGGGAAACTGAGGCCCAGCAGTGGGGAGGCGGTGTGTGGCCTGCCCAACTTGTGAGTCTGTGCCGAAGCCAGGCCTGGCACCTTGTTCCCCCGAAACGCATCCCCACGTCTTCATAGACCAGGTGGGGACAGAGGTTTTTACCTTGGTCATTTCATAAGAGAGTGAGCTTTCTGGGTTTGGAGGTGATTCAGCAGACCAGACAACCACCTCTCAGAGATGCTGTAATGATGATAACCACTGTCGTTCACCAAGCATTCCTGGGGCCAGGCCCTATGCTGCATACACTAATGTGCGTCACCTTGTTGAATCTTCAGCTGCTGTGGCTGTTCCTATTTTGCAGATGGGGAAACTGAGGCATGGAGCATTTTGGAAAGTCACCAAGGCCACACAGATAGTGAGTGAGGTGCCAGAACCGGCACTCAAGTTTATCTAACTCCAAAGCTTGTGCTCTTAACCAGCATGCTACCCTGCCACGGGGAAGTTGTCGTGCTGAGGTGGTAGGACGTGGCTTCTAAGGTCTCACTCAGCTCTGAGAACCCACAGAATACTTGAACATATTTCGAGGGCACTTCAGGGTAGCCACAAAGGACGGCATTCATTTTCTATTGCTGCCGTCACAAATTGCCACAAATCCAGCATGTGTCTTCCCACTGCCGTGCAGGTCAGAAGTCCATGGGGCTTGGCTAGTCCCTCTGCTTAGAGGCTCACAAGACCCAGCTCAAGGTGTCAGCAGAGCTGTTTCTTCCTGGAGGCTCTGGGGATAATCCGTTTTCTTGCTCATTCAGGTTGTTGGCAGAATTCGGGTCCCTGTGGTTGCAAGATGGTCCCTACTTCTCTGCTGGCTGCCAGCCAACGGCCGTCTCAGCTCCTAGAGATCAGGCATGGGCCTGGTTCTCAACCCTTCCCCCACCTTAAAGCCTGCAGTGGTGGCTCAGCTCCCTCTCCCACACAGAGCTTCTGTCTACCTGGCCTCTTCACCTTTTGGACTCTTTTGCCTTCTTCTTCCACTTTTAAGGGCCTGTGATTCCATTATGCTCACTTAATCCAGGGAGGTCTGTCATCTTGGGGTCCATATCTTCATCACACCTGCAAAGTCCCTGTGGCCGTGCAAGGCAGCATCCTCACAGCGGCTGGGGACTGGGGCATGGGCGTGTCTGGGAGGCCATTATTCTTCCTATTCCATCGGTGAAGACGGGGGACCCTCCTCCTGGGCAGAACATCAAGGGATACTCGAGAAGGCCCAAGGCAAGACTCTACACATATGCATGGGCCGGGCTTGGCCAAGCAGTCAGGGACCTGCAAGGAGCCACATCAGAAGGCTGGAGACATGGAGGCTGAGGAGAGATGCGCGGGTGAACTCTCAGAATGGCCCAGAGGGTAAGCACATTCGTATCCAGACCCACAGTGCCCAGCTCTGGTCCCCTGTCCCCTATGCCCGGCGCCCTCGGCTTTGCCATTATGCTGCTGTCTGCTCCGTGTGAATGCTCACCAGAAGGTCCCCTGGGGAGGGGGCTCTGCATCGTCATCCAGAGAACAGGATGAGTCAGGCCCTTCCCCAGCCTCTCCGGGGTCTGCCAGAGGCCCATGCACAAAGCGGCCTCCTTGGCAGGGATTAAGGCTGCGCAAGGGATCTGCAGTGAGGACTCATGCTTGCCAAGGGGGCCTGTCTTCTGCCTCTATGTGTGCCCATGTGCAGACAGCAGCAAAGCGTTCTCACCCTCTGCCATGGGTTGGACTGTGTTCACTCAAAAATGCCGAAGTCTTAACTCCTGGTCCCTATGGATTCAACCTGATTGGGAAATAGGGGCTTTACAGAGAAAAATCAAATTGAAATGAAATCATAAGGGTGGGCCCCAATCTAATAGGACCGTGCCTTATAAAACGGAAAATGTGGATACAGACACAGACCTGCACGAAGGAAGAAGGCCAGGCAAAGGGGAAGGCCAAGGTCGGGTGATGCTCCTGCAAGCTGAGTGTAGGGACCAGCCCCACAGGGTCAGTGGATCTCTCCCCGTGTGCGGAGACAAGAGAGTGTAGAAATCAAGACACAAGACAAAGAGATAAAAGAAAAGACAGCTGGGCCCGGGGGACCACTACCACCAATGCGTGGAGACCGGTAGTGGCCCCGAATGTCTGGCTGTGCTGTTATTTATTGGATACAAAGCAAAAGGGGCAGAGTAAAGAGTGTGAGTCATCTCCAATGATAGGTAAGGTCACGTGGATCACGTGTCCACTGGACAGGGGCCCTTCCCTGCCTGGCAGCCGAGGCAGAGAGAGAGAGGAGACAAAGAGAAAGACAGCTTATGCCATTATTTCTGCATATCAGAGACTTTTAGTACTTTCATTAATTTACTACTGCTATCTAGAAGGCAGAGCCAGGTGTACAGGATGGAACATGAAGGTGGACTAGGAGCGTGACCACTGAAGCACAGCATCACAGGGAGACAGTTAGGCCTCCGAATAACTGCAGGCAGGCCTGACTAATGTCAGGCCCTCCACAAGAGATGGAGGAGCAGAGTCTTCTCTAAACTCCCCCAGGGAAAGGGAGACTCCCTTTCCCGGTCTGCTAAGTAGCGGGTGTTTTCCCTTGACACTTACGCTACCGCTAGACCACGGTCCGCCTGGCAACGGGCGTCTTCCCAGACGCTGGTGTCACTGCTAGACCAAGGAGCCCTTCTGGTGGCCCTGTCTGGGCATAACAGAAGGCTCGCAATCTTGTCTTCTGGTCACTTCTCACTATGTCCCCTCAGCTCCTATCTCTGTATGGCCTGGTTTTTCCTAGGTTGTGATTATAGAGTGAGGATTATTATAATATTGGAATAAAGAGTAATTGCTACAAACTAATGATTAATGATATTCATATATAATCATATCTAAGATCTATATCTGGTATAACTATTCTTGTTTTATATTTTATTATACTGGAACAGCTCATGTCCTCGGTCTCTTGCCTCAGCGCCTGGGTGGCTTGCCGCCCACAGCCGAGGGCACCAGAGGCCGCAACAGGACCCCAGGAGCAGGGGAGATGCTCAGGGCAGATTGTCCCTCACAGCCTCGGAAGGAACTCGCCCTGATCTCAGACTTGGAGCCTCCAGAACTATAAGGTGATTCATGTCATGGTTTAAGTCACCCACTTTGTGTTAGTTTTAAAAGCAGCCTTCCAAAACTGACATAGCCTCCCAAACTGTTGCCAGCCGGGGGGTTCAGACCACACCTGGGTGGTCTGAAAACAGGCACCCCCTGCTTTATTTTATTTTATTTTATTTTATTTTTTGAGACAGAGTCTCTCTCTGTCACCAAGGCTGGAGTGTAGTGGTGCTATCTCGGCTCACTGCAATCTCCACCTCCCGGGTTCAAGCGATTCTCCTGCCTCAGCCTCCCGAGTAGCTGGGACTACAGGCGTGTGCCACCATGCCTGGCTAATTTTTGTATTTTTAGTAGAGGTGGGGGTTTCACCATGCTGGCCAGGATGGTTTTGATCTCTTGACCTCGTGATCTACCTGCCTCGCTCTCCCAAAGTGCTGGGATTACAGGCATGATTACGTGCCCAACAGGCACCCCTTTTAATGGAGTGGCCTGAACTTGCCCTCTGTGGACAGGGCGTGTGTGGGTGTGATGGTTCATATGAAGCGTCAACTCGATTGGATTGAGGGATGCCTAGATGGCTGGGAAAATATTGTTTCTGGGTGTGTCTGTGAAGGTGTTGCCAGAGGAGATGGATGTCGGAGTCGGTGGGCTGGGAGAGGAAGACCCACCCTCATTGTGGGTGGGCACCATCCCATTGACTGCCAGCGTGGCTGGAACAAAGCAGGCAGAAGAAGGTGGGATGAGCTGGCTTGCTGGGTCTTCTGGCTTGTTTCTTTCCCCCGTGCTGGATACTTCCACTCCTCCTGCCCTTGGACATCAAACTCTAGGTTTTTCAGCCTTTGGACTCTTGGACTTGCACCAGTGACTTGCCGGAGGCTCTCGGGCCTTCAACCACAGACTGAAGGCTGCACTGTCGCTTCCCTAGTTTGAGGCTTCCAGACTCAGACTAAGCCACTGCCAGCCTTTCTCTTCCCCAGCTTGCAGATGGGCTATCATGGGACTTCGCCTTGTAATCATGTGAGCTAATAGACTCTGATCGATAGGTAGGTAGGTAGGTAGATAGATAGATAGATAGATAGATAGATAGATAGATAGACACATAGATACATAGATAGAGATAGATAGATAATAGATGGATAGATAGATAGATGGATAGATGATAGATACATACAGATAGATGATAGATAAATACATAGATACATAGATAGATACCTAGATGCATAGATACATAGATACATAGACACACAGATAGATAGATACATAGATATAGATAGATACATAGATAGATAAATAGATACATAGATAGATAAATAGATACATAGATAGATGATAGATGGATAGATAAATAGAAGGATAGATGATAGATAGATACATAGATAGACGGATAGATACATAGATAGATATAGATAGATACATTGATAGATACATAGACAGAGATAGATAATAGACATAGATAAATAGATGGAGAGATGATAGATAGATAGATAGATAGATAGAGTAGATGATAGATAGATACATAGATAGATACATACATACATACATACATACATACATACATACATACATACATGCATATATTCTACTAGTTCTGTCCCCCTGAAGAACCCTGACTAATACAGTGGAGGATTTGGATTTTCTTTCCCTAGCTTCCATTAGCCACCTAAACCTACTGACAGCCTTAGGCCTCTCCAGGCAACGCTTTGCAGTGACTGAAGTCAGGCAAGGGGCTTATGCAGCCGACTGCAGAGGAAACAGAATTGTTTATTGAAGATTCATTATTACAGGGCCTACTGGGGGATAAGTTCTTGTCAGATGGGATATGCTTCTGTAGCATGTAACCTATGCCTCTTACCAGCAGCTCATAATGTGGTATTCAGGACACAAGGACAGATAACCAAGACCTGGAAGTTGGAGCCACACATGATCATCCACCTGCAAAAGCTTTGCTTCCCATCCTCAGGCCTCTGCTATCTGCTGGTTTGGGGGTACTAGAACCTAACACTTCCATTCAGGGGCCACAAAGGCCATTTCATATTCTCTATGCTGCCATGCAAATGGGCAAAAGGAAGATAACATGCTGGGTGACTGAAAATACAAGGTAACTAGAGTTGCAGCATGGTGTCAAAGATAAAGCCAGACACTAGAGATAAAGCCAGACACTAGAGTGGTCAGGACATTTCAATGAGTTATAGCTACTGTAATAGCGAAGATGGCAGCATGAATGAACTCGACTTCCATTTGCGTAGAGGCGAGTGGGTGTTTGAAAGGGAGAATGAGGGAGTAGAGAGGGGGTGAGCTCAGGAGAGTCAAGGAAAAATTACTAAAAGCAGGAAGGGGGACTGGTCCGTAGGAAGCCCATCTGGATTTGCTAACTGGTGCTTGTTGGAATCAGGCCCCTGCCTGCCTTCAGAGGCTGGGAGACAGGTCCTGCCTTCAGGTGTTGGCTGAAACAAACAGGAAATTCTCTTGGCAGCCTTGAATTTCTCAGGAAGCCTCTTCGAGGGGGGCTACGGTCCCCCTAGGGTGCAGCTTTGAGCCCTTGGAAGTGATTAGGTGGAATCTCCCCTACAGACACAAAGAATCTCACCAGATGAGCTGCTAGCTGAGGGAAGAGGGGCCTAGGGTGGCAGAGGAGCGAAGTCCTAGACACCAGCACAGCCTCACCCAAGCACTGCAGCACTGGACCCCTACCCACCTCCTCGCTGCCATTCCCACTCCTGCCCTTATCCCACCAACATATTACAAAGCGTGTGCCAATGGTGGGCATTATGTAACAAGTCAGTAGTTGTGGGGGATTGAGAAGAGGACAGGACTGGAGTGGGAAGCAGTGGCTGATGAGATTTAAGAACTCCTTCTGGGGAGGACTAAGTGGTTTGCATGGGGTTTCAAGGGAGCATTCTTATAGAACATTATGTGAAAATCGTCAGAATCAAGATGGAGTCACTAGGGTCAAACCCAAACAAAATAGTCAGGAAATTAAGAAGGCTCCCACTCCCTGCACACGTCCCTGTGATAGGAGCTATCACAAAGGCTCTCTGAAGGGCTCTTATGCACATATTCCTGTAGCAAGAGCTTTTCCCAAGGACTTTCCAACTTGCAGCTTGTTACATGAGTCATGAGGACAGCTGACCAGATGCACAAGAACCTCTGCCTGACAAGCTGTCTCTACACATGAACTGATGTCAACTCCTGCAATAAGACCCTGTAGCCAGGGTTCTGTTTGCTTCAAAGCAGGTGAATTGTGGTTCTCTCATCTGCCATTAGGAGCTTTGCCTTGTCTCAGCCTCTTTGGACATGCTGGTGGTCCCCATAGCCTGCACAACTCAGATTTGGAAGCCCCTGCACACTTACACATAAACTCAATATCTTTGGTGAATCGCTGTCTATTCATAATTTAGGTTGAGAGTAAATATGGATGAAGGGTGTTGGATGGACAAAAAAGTGACCTGTCTCATTTTTTAGCAGCCACATTAGCCAGGATTCCATTGCAGAAAACAGAATCGACTCCAGCTGTTACTGCAGGAAAATGTTTATGGTGGGGCACTGATGGCTTCGATAATCACGGGGGCAGGGGCACTGCTTGAGAAAAGAACTATAGGCCAAGTTTCAGGGGTCACTCCCAATGTCACACCACAGAGCTACCATCCCTGGTGCCATTAGGAAAACTCGGGCTCTGGACACACATCACCACGTTGCTAGGAAGACTTCACATTCTGGAGTCAACTGGAGCAGAAAATGACTTCTTCTGCCAGCTACTGGTCTTGCTGCATCTTCTCTGATCAACACTAACAGAAGGGGTGCCTACATCTGCCTGTTTACAAAGACAGCAATGGAACCCTAAGACCCCAGACCAAATGCCTATGCCACCGTGCTTGCTGGCAGAAACCAGGGCAGCCACAGAAGTGTGGCCTCTCCCCAGTCTCCTGCAAGGACATCTGACTGCCAGGCCTTCCTCACACAGAACCCCCATGTCATGAGGAAGTCTGGGGATGCCAGTGGTTCTCCAGGCTCTGTGCATGGGAAGGAGCCTAGAAGGAAGGTAGACAAGCTGTTAGGCAGCAGTCGATGGAAAGGGCCAATCCACCATTTTGGTCACCCATCCTCTGAGCCCTTCCCTCCATCAAAGGAACTGAAAATGTCTGATATTCTATGCCTGGCTTCCTTTGCAGCTAGGGTGAGTCACGTGACCCAGACATCACCAATTGGAAGCTCCCACACCAGGTTTCGAATCATAGTGAGAGGCAGTGCAGAACCCAGTTTTTACAGCAGGGCAGCAGCAGGAACAGCAGTTCCAGTGCCAGCATCTGGAGCTCAGTGTCATGCCAGCTGCAGCAGGGAGGTGTGGCTGGGACTGCACCCCCCACCGAGCAGGCAGGAGCCCCACCCTCTTGGGTGAGGCTGCAACCACGCAAGTTGTGGCTGCAGATCCAAGCCTCCCTGTGTTCTTGGGAGGTGAGGAGCAGGCAGAGCTCTTCCCTCCCCGGTGGAGCTGCAGCTACCCAAACCAAGGCTGCAGACCCAGGCCTCCCACTCCACAGGAGCCCCCCCTGGGTGCAGCAGCAGACCCTGGGTATCCCTGCACTCTTGGGGGCCCAGGAAGGCCCCCCCTGCCCTCACAGGTTTAGAAGTGTCTGCTGTCACTGCCTGGCTTCTCCCTGCTGTCGGCGCCTGCTCTGATCTTGGAGCAAAGTCAGGGCCAAGCCTGAGCACCATAAACAGCAGAGGGAGGCAGACAGATTCTTGGGCAGAAGGGGGCAGGTCCCCAGTGAGACCCCACCTTCAGTCCAGGGAGGGCCTAAAGGCTGGGGGCTGGGCTGCCAGTCCCACAGGCTAGCGTGGGAACTTGTGGTGCCTTTTCTGGGCCCACCCATGGCCACCCATTGACCAATCAGTGCACACTTCCTCCCCTCTGAGGCCCATAAAAGCCCTGGGCTCAGCCAGAGCTGAGCAGACATTGGGATGACCAGCTGCAGAGAGGAGCTATCCTCTGCTGAGAGCTTCAGAGACACACAGAGACATGGGGAATGCCAGCTGCAGAGAGGAACAACCCACTCCAGGGCCTCCTGTTTGCTAGGAGGTGGGCAGACATCAGGACGACCAGCTGCAGAGAGGAGCTACCTTCTCCAGGGCCTCCTCTCTCTCTGCTGAGAGCTGAACACTCAACAGGACGACCTGCCTGCAGAAAGCAGCTACCCACTGTGGGTCTCCTCTGAGCTGTTCTAACACTCATAAAGCTCCTCTTTGTCTTGCTCACTCTCCACTTGTCTGTGTACCTCATTCTTCCTGGAAGCAGAACAAGTGCTTGGGCAAACCCACCACTAGCCACAGAGGTTTCTGGCCAGAAAATTGACACTCCAAAGATCCCATAACAGTATGAGAAGACTAACCTTTGCAAGCTGGCACTTCAGCAGACTTAAGCACCAGTCCCGACAGCAGCTACGTCCAGCCTAGTTATCTGGACTCCCTCATTTTCTGGGAGCCCCCAGCATCCTTTCAATTGGTTCCTTTGTGTGTGTTTGCTGCAGGTGGTGTTCCTGCTTTTGACTCAGAGCTCTGCTGGATGTGAGATGCTGTCGGAGGAGCTCCAAAGGTACCCTCAGCTGTGTGGACAGGGTCGTGGAGGGAGGACAACTCTAAAGACTCACAGCTTCAGAAAAGGCATCCACCGATGCATCCCACACATGCTGTGTGCAGGCACATGACATGGCCTGGAGACCTCAAGGGCCGGGACTCCCGGAGGAAATGCAGCCTGAATGTTTTTGATTCTGAAAAATCATTGACTGGAGAATCCTTGAGGACATAGGCACTGTCTCTGTGTGGCCCAGCCACAGCTTTTTATGCATGGTGAATGACAAAATGTCTTCTCCAAATACAGGCTTTGAGGTGGGGAGGGCCCTGGCTGAGGCTGCAGTTGCCATAGAAAACAAACTGTTTGGGGACCCAATTGCCCTTTCTGGAAGGAGCTGTCACTTTTGTTGGAGAATGAGCTGCCTCTGTTTGGTGGAGGAAGCTGTGCTGAGTGACACCAGGCCTGGGCAGACCTTGACCCTGAGTCCACTGGTTTCTAGTTGTATTTGGCCAATGGGGAGTTCAGGCTGGAGACTGGAGGGAGGGAGGACAGCAGGGTCAGGAAGCATCACCCCTGAGCCCTCCCTGTGGGACACCATGAGTCTGTCCCTCAGGCCAGGTCCCTGTCTAGGCAGACAGCTCTCTGTGTTCCTTCCCAGGTCCTGGGGGTGCCCCCTGCCTTGTGCCTTTGGTAGGGGTGGTGACAGCTCAGCTGCTGCTGGCCTGGGTCCCTGCACTCTCCCGCGCGTGTCGCTTTCTGCCTCCCAAGGGTCTGCAATGGTCCCTTTCCAGGCCTGCCCCTTGCAGGGATTTGAGTGAGCCACCTGCCTCCCGATGGGATGCTGACTGACATGGAATGGGCCCTGAACGAGCTTTGCAGTGAGCAGAGACCTCCTGCCTCCATTCAGGGAACAGAGCCAGGGGCATGGGCAAGGGATGGAGGGGAGGGCAGCTGGGTGAAGAACAAGAGTTGGAAGGGCAGAAATTCCAGGTTAGGGTGGGAAGAGAAGTTGGGTCAGGCAGCAGAGACATTTGGGTGGTAAATTAAGGAGTTTCGACTTCTTCCTGCCAGGGCTGGGAAGCCACTGTCCACATTCCTGGGGGAAGTCAAGTTCCATCTTCAATAGTAAACGTGGCCTTTTGTCCCCAGATAGAAAGTGCCCCCGTATCCGTCATGCCCCAGAAATATATCCATGTGATTCCAGCACCAAGACTCTCCCTCAGAATCCTCCTTAAAATAGCACTCCATGCAGCCGCTGCAAATCCCTCCTGAGAAGCAACAGATAAACCCCCTCCTGGCCGGGTGTGGTTGCTCACGCCTGTAATCTCAGCACTTTGGGATGCCAGGGCAGGCAAATCATTTGAGGTCAGGAGTTCGCAACCAGCCTGGCCAACATGGTGAAACATTGTCTCTATTAAAAATACAAAAGTTAGCCAGGCATGGTGGCGGGCGCCTGTAATCCCAGCTACTCAGGAGAATTGCTTGAACCGGGGAGGCGGAGGTTGCAGTGAGCTGAGATCGCGCCACTGCACTCCAGCCTGGGCGACAAAGCGAGACTCTGTCTCAAAAAAACAAAAACAAAACAAAAACAAAAAAACAGCTCTGCAGTGGTCCCCGTGGTAGCCTGCGTTAGTGGGGCCAGGGCATGCTGAGGCTGCTGGGGTTCGACGTCTAATGCCTAGCATGCTTTCTGGCACAAAATAGGGGCTCGCTAGGATGGATCAGCGGGCCTGGAGAGTTGCCTGGTCCCAGAGGAAGGTGCTGGTGCAGGGCCCACTGCAGGCGGGGAGTAGGGCAGGCCTGCAGCTGCACAGACAAGCACCCTCACCCGGCTCTGCTTCCCAGAAGAATGAGCAGCTATTTAGAGCTTTGGAAGCCCCCCGGGGCAAAGGGCTCTGAGTACTGCTGGGAGTCACTGGCGGTCAGCGAACGTGCTGAGGCCATTTTGCTCCTGACAAATAGAGTCGGCAGCATTGACTGGTGAGCTGCCTGCCGGGGACGTTCAGATCTGGGCAGCATCTTGGGGTGGGAGGAAGCCTGAGGCCGCTGGGTACATTGCCACTCCGGAGAGCTAAATGTCTTCTGTGGCAAATAAAAAGGGCCTTTGGTTGACATGTGGGATGAAGCCAGGAGGACAGGAAATT
This sequence comes from Homo sapiens, assembly GCF_000001405.40. Lineage (NCBI taxonomy): Eukaryota > Metazoa > Chordata > Mammalia > Primates > Hominidae > Homo > Homo sapiens. The sequence goes on from NC_000009.12 coordinate 135,214,661, forward strand.
GGAGCCTTTGGCCTGATCATTTGGGCCCTGAAAAAAAACAAAGTCCCCCCACCCCCATTCCAAGTGTAGAACTGAATGCAGGTCTGGGGGCTCCAGCGTCCTCCAACAGCCCTTTCCTCACCCCAAAACATGCACTCCCTCTCCAATACCACCCCTGATTGTCGTGAGCAGCAGGCTCTGGCCTCCCGGCATTCCTGTTGCCACTCGCAGTGACTTCCCCGGATCCAGCACCTTTTCCAGGCCAGCAGCTGTGTGCCTGACTTACAGTCTTGTTCCCACTGACCCCAGAATCCTGCCGGGTGGGTATCACCCTGCCCCCATTCTACAGAATTGGAAACTGAGGCTCTAAGAGGTTAAACACTGACCTACTGGCCGTGTGCGGTGGCTCATGCCTGTAATCCCAACACTTTGGGAGGCCGAGGCAGGCGGATCACGAGGTCAGGAGATGGAGACCATCCTGGCTAACACGGTGAAACCCCGTCTCTACTAAAAATACAAAAAAATTAGCCGGGCGTGGTGGCAGTCGCCTGTACTCCCAGCTACTAGGGAGGCTGAGGCAGGAGAATGGCGTGGACACGGGAGGTGGAGCTTGCAGTGAGCCGAGATCGCGCCACTGCACTCCAGCCTGGGCGACAGAGCGAGATTCCGTCTCAAAACAAAAACAGAAACAAAACACTGACCTACTGGTATCACTGACCCGTGAGCAACAGAAAAAATCACCCACAGCAACCCCACATTCTAATATCGGGACCCCGTGGGTATTTTACTTTACATGGTAAGGGGGAGTTATGTTTCCAGATGGAATTAAGGTCGCTTGAGAGAGAGAACGTGAGCCCAGGGGGATCATAAGAGTCCTTAAGAGTGGAGGAGAGAGGCAGGCCAGGGAGCGGCAGGGAGACAGCAGCGTGAGGAGGAAGGGTTGCAGGCAGCCTCTGGAAGCTGGAAGCGGACCCTCCCCTGAGCCTCCAGAAGGAGCCAGCCCTGTGGACACCTGGACTGCAGCCCAGTGTGGTTTATTTTGGACTTCTGCCCTGCAGAGCTGTGAGACAACACGTCTGCATCGTTTTCAGCTCTGAACCGAGTGAGGGTTAGCGCAGCAGCCTCAGGACATGCACAGTAGCAGCAAAGCCTGGGCTTGAACCCAGCTCCGTCTGAGTCTGAAGCTTCCTACACACAGGTACCAAGCTCTCTGTGATGCAAGGGAGTGGCCAGAGAGGAGAGGGAGAGAACCCGGGAGCCACAGCAGCCTCGGCGCTTGGCTGAGAGCCCAGCACGAGCCCCAGGTGTTGGAGTTCCCCAGCCTGGGCCTTCCCCCTGTGGTTACTGAGGATGGCACCGAAGCCCGGCTGGACAGGACTCTCCACCTTGGTGGGTCCTGGTCGCCCAAGGCCAGAGACCTGCTGTCCACTCACACTCCCCTCCCACACACACGTCAGGCTCCCCTCAGGAAACTGGCCTCAGTTTCCCCATCAGGAATGATGGTCTCAGACCTACTGATCTCCTGGGTGCTGGAGCCCCCGGCTCAGACCTTTTAATAGGGACAGGGTAGCCCCAAGCAGGGAATACGGCCCCCATGTCAACCTCCACAAGGACGTTACCGCCGGGTTTAGGAGGCCAAGTGCCTGATGTGCTTGCCCTCAGGCCTCTCCTACAATGTGGCCCAAGGAGTAAGGCCAAGGCAGCGTGGGGACTTCGGGCCACTGTCCACCTGTCCACACCCTGGTCATCCTCAGGCCCCCCTGTGGTTATTCTTCTTGTGAGCCACAGACCCTTTTCAGAAGCTACTGAAACTGGTGCCCTGACCCCGGGACCGCACTCTGCACACAGGCTCTGCCTGATTCCAGCTTCCCTTCCCTTGGGGCCCAGGAGCCCCACATCAGGGTCTGGGGAAGAAGCCATGGCTGCCCATGCTGGTAGGTAGCCAGCAAGACACAGTGGCTTAATAGGATCCTAGACTGTGTTGGGGGAGTGTGGGCTGGGAATGGGGTTGCCAGATATATGGCCTGACACCCTGTAGAGTCTGAAGTTCAAATAAACAACAAATCATTGTGTTGATGTAAGTTTGTCCCAAATATTGCACGGGACATAGTTGTACAAAAATATATATATTGTTTCTCTGAAATGCGAATATAACTGGGCATCCAGCACTGTTTGGCATTGTTTTGTTTCGTTCTTGCTAAATCTGGCAGCCCTCGTGGGAAGGAGAGTGAGTGTGAGTGAGGAGGGGGAAGGGGGTGCATCTGGAGCCTGGTTTTCCAGTGACATTTCACAACACAGAGAAAAAGCACTGAAACGTGGGACACATTGGAATCAACACATAGAAGACAAGGAGGAAAACGTGATAAGGTACAGATGGCCTTTCCAATGGCCTAAAAATCTCCCCAAACACACACGATTCGAAGGGCGGCGCGTGCCTTCCGGGGCTGCCTGGTCTTGGCAGGACCTCAGGCTTTTGCAAAAGCACTTAACTCTGCTCCTATCTGTTCTCATGGGAGGTAGCCAGGCCCTACACTTCCAGGCTTGTAAAGCATCATTCAGAGGTGCTGTCAGCTACCAACAGAAATTACTCCCTTCCCCGTGCAGCGTGGCAAATCAGCACGTGCGAGACTTGAAGCCCTTATAAACCTGCCAGCGTCTAAAACACAAATTCAAAAACATTACAGGCAAACCTAACACGTTGAAATTGAAATCCGATACCCAGCCGTCAGCAATCCCACCCCACCGCCAGACGTTAATTACCCCACAGCCATAATGAAATGCCGGGATGCCCGGATGAGCTCTGAAAATACTTTCTGCTTGGCACAAAAGAAGCTGTCGAGGAAGTTTTCGTGTTTTGATTTCTTTCCCGCTCCCTGACTATATTTTAGATGAACCCTTTGAAAACTCACAAATGCGATCTTGTTTTCTGGTGTGTCCTGGCTACTCCCCTCTCATCTCAGCAACCTTCTCCCAGCCTCCCTCCCTCCCTCTCTCCCTTCTTTCCTCCCCTCCTCCTTCTACCTCTGTCTTCCTTTTCTTTCATTGCCCGTATAAACCTAGTTTCTGGGGTACAGTGAAGATAGGCCTTGGAGGTCGGGGAAAGGTACCTGTAACTTGGGATGGTTATTCAGGGGAGATGTGAGTGGTGCCCAGTGACCTCAGCTGCGGCCAGGTCTGCTGCAAGGGCCGGGCTGCCCTGGGCAGATGGGCTGGAGACCTCACCAGGGATTAGATCTGCCTTACCAGTGGCTTCCAGTTACCTGATGACTCTTACCTGCTCTAGGTGGTTTAACGGCAGACCTGCCCCAACCGCCCTGTCCCCTCCCCTAAATATAACCTGGCTCTCAGCTGGCACCCCCAGGCCCTTCCTCCTCCGGGATCATCCAGGGAACTTAGACCCAGATGGCAACACCTACTTCCTGGGGACCTGAAGGAGGTGGAAGCTCACTCCACAGGGGCTCCGGCCCTGGAGCAGCTCCAAGGCTCTGCGGCTCAAGTGACTGAGTGGGAATGTGGGGTTATGGTGTCAGCCCCATTCCTGGGCCAAGAAAGGACAGTGTAGTCATGGACAGTAACTTGCTTCAAAGAGTTAAAAGGGGACCAAGTCCTCCCCGGCTCCTCCGGGGGGTGGTTACTACAGTGACCAAGGGGGCTGCAGTTCCATGCCAGGTGATGCTGCATGAGGCATCTGAAGGGGGAATCGCATATGCTATTTGACACACGTGTGACTTCCCAGTGTGATAATCATTCGTTATTAAAAACGGTGATTGGCAGTACTGCTCTTCACGTAGATTGGCAAATCACGGAATAGACTGTAATGTATTATAGTGACTGGTCATGGTCTGGCCACACTGCAGGCGCCCTGCCCGGGACAGCTGGGAGTGAGGAGTCTGTGGACACTCGGTAGGTGGCACCGCCCTTGGCCATGGGCAAAGCTGGGCGTGAGCAGGATCTGCGGCTGCAGCCCAGCTAAGGGCTAATTTCCCAAAATGTGTGTTTTGCCTCCATGCTTCGAATCCGAGGGAAGCAAAGATAGCTCCCCTGGGAGCTGCTTTTGTTTTAAGGGGAAATTTAATTTAAGACCACGTGACCTGGTTTTGTCATTTGGCTGTGACCCAGAGAAACCGGCTGAGCGGTCGTGGTGTGGGCTGTGGAGTGGGGGCATTCTCAGGCCCTGGCTCTCGCCCTGGCTGCGCCTCTGGAGCTTCCTCTTCCAGGTGTGGGCTGTGGAGTGGAGGCATTCTCAGGCCCTGGCTCTCGCCTCGCTGCACCTCCAGAGCTTCCTCTTCCAGGCAGGCAGTGCGTGGCTCTGATTCGCAGTCTGGCTGGAAAAGCTCCCCAGCCCAGGATGGTTCCATTGCTTGGATTCCTTCTCAGCTCTCACTCACAGCTGCAAGGACTGCCCCTTCTCAGCATGGCCATGAAAAACAATTCTGTGTGATTCTGCCCCCTGCCTGTTTTTCCCCAAACCTGGGGACCCCCGCAGGCAGGAATCCTGCCCCTTTCATCCACCACTGTGTTCCTGGCTTCTACTGCCATGCCCACATATCCTGGCGGAGATTCGAAGTTGCTTTGTTGAATGAGTAAAGGGGGGAATTAACAAACTTCCCTGGCCCCTGTGTTTATGAAATAAGAAAATGTGGCCGGGCACGGTGGCTGACGCCTGTAATCCCAGCACTTTGGGGGGCTGAGACAGGTGGATCACGAGGTCAGGAGATCGAGACCATCCTGGCTAATACGGTGAAACCCCGTCTTTACTAAAAATACAAATAAATTAGCCGGGCGTGGTGGCAGGCGACTGTAGTCCCAGCTACTCGGGAGGCTGAGGCAGGAGAATGGCGTGAACCTGGGAGGAGGAGCTTGCAGTGAGCCGCGATCGCACCACTGCACTCCAGCCTGGACGACGGAGCAAGACTCTGTCTCAAAAAAAAAAAAAAAAGAAAGAAAGAAAGAAAATGTGTGGTTTGATGTCAAGCCCAAAGAACCCAGACCTCAGAGGAAGAAAATCAGAGAGAGAGGTCGAGTCTGTCAAAGATTCCTAATTATTCATCATTTCTGAGCCACTGGTTAGAGGCCAGCCTGGGACACCAAGGGCTCCCCTGAGTCCTTCCCAGGCCTAGGGTACATGGCCTTGTGCATTGTGGAGCAATCAAAGATGCCCAGGTCTCGGCTCAGCATCCCCCTCCAGTAACCTGTCCTGTTTTTCACGCCCACCGAGAAGGCGCAGTGGTCCCATCCCATAATCAGGAAACCCAGGCTCAGAGACTGGGAGCCAGAAGAGCTGGAGGCCACACAGCGGGGAAATGGCAGGGCAGACTGCTGGCCCCAGGACCCAGGCTGAGTCCCCACGCTGTTCCAGCTGCCCCTCACCCAGGCCTGGCGGCACCCCAGCGCCCCTCCTCTTCTCTGCCCGACATCCAGGCCCAAAACCATGGGAAAGGGGCTCCTTTCACTGCCACACCTAGAACTTAGAAAACAAAACCAGCCCGAAGCTCGGTAAGTCGGCATCCACGGAACATTCACCGCTTACCCAAAAGGTGGTGCCGCACCCCGAAAAGTGTGAAATTGGCCCTCGGGAATGAATGAATGAGTGAATGAATGAATGACTTTCCCCATCTGCCACCATGAGTGACTGGAGAGAGCCCAGGTCCCACAGACTGATGTCCACACTCTGCGCATGGCATATGGGAGCAGAAAAGCCATGAAACAGGGTGGATTCCCTGCAGATTTCAGCCTCTGCGGGGAAGGGGGCAGTACCGAGACACAGGCCCTCTGACCCACCCTCAGGAGCCACCATCCCAGCACCTGAGGGTCCTGAGATAGCCCCTGTCTGCCATTGGATGCCAGTTCCCCATGCTCTGACCAGGGCATCCTAAAGGCCACAGCCAGAATCATTCCTGGGTCTGGAAGGTCCACCTGGGGGGCGGAGCTGGAGGTGAGGGCAGGTGGACAGCAGGGCTGCTGGGGGCGATCTTAGCTGCCTCCATGGGCCCTTCTTATGGGCTACTGATGGAATGGTGGGGAGCAAATCCGCAGCTGGCCCAGATCCAGCACCACTGGACCCAAACCTGTCACCTGCTGCGAGTGAGGAAGGAGGAGGATCTACTGCCTCTGTTTCCCCTGGTTGCTCAGTCCACAGGGTACAGACGCGAGGTGTCTGAGCTGGAAGGTGATGTCCGGAGCCCCAGTCCAACACCTCGTGGACCTGGGTCAACCTGGCTCAGCCTCTACGAGCTGTGAGGCCACCGGGAAGTCTCTGACCCTCTCTGGACCTGGCTTTGTATCTGAAACGAAAAGCACAGCTCTCTCGCGGGCTGGCAGAGGAGGTGCCGTCCTGAGCTGGCACCTGGCTTCCATGCATTCTCCCGTGGAAGAAGAATGGCACCAGGCAGGGCAGAGACGTGGGAGCTGTAACTCGAGCAGGATGGCCCTGGGCCTTCCGGGAGCCCACCCTCGTGGTGGAAAGCACTCCAGGCACCCACACACCGGAGGGAGATCTGGGGCTTCCTGTGTGGGGTGCGGCCCACCCCCAAAAGGCAGTGCAGGAAGGCCCCTTGGAACTGAAATCTGCAAGAGGTGCTGAGCTGAGAGGACACAGCGGGCAATCCCCGGCGGGTGAGCTGGGGTGGGAATGGTGTCTGTGAAGCCCACAGTAGGAGGGCACCTGGACCACTGGGGGACCACAAGGGTGGGAGAATGGCCAGGGCCGTGGTGGGCAGTGATGGCACGGGCCTTGAGGCCAGCGAGGATCTGGCCTCTGTCAGGACAGCCAGGCCTGCTGAGGAGGGACGGATGTTAGGTGCCCAAAGATGGCGTGCCTGTGGCTGCAGCCATGTTACAGACCCTTGGTGTGTCTCCAAGTGGAGATTGTGACTCAGCCTCCAAGGGTGACCATGGGGATTAATGAAATCCCTGTGGAAGGGGCCCAGTCACTACTGGCTTTGGCACAAGTCCAGTGGGGACAGTGGGTCTGGCTGTGGACAGTCAAAACCCTGGAAACAGGTGTCCTAGGCTCGAATCCCAGCTCTTCCCCTTGTTGGCTGTTGCCCCTTGGGCCACGTCCCTGACCTCTCTGAGCCCGGAAATAACAATAGCTCCTCCCGCCCGGGGTGGGTGTGAGAACTGAATCAGTAGGTGGAAACGCACTGAGGAAGCCTCAATACATATTGCTATTCTTGTACCTGTTGTTTGAAACCCACCCGGCCTGTGTGACACAAGCATTCCTGCCCTGGGAGGCGAGGGAGGACTTTGGAGGAGGCACCTTGCTCCCTCCAGACACACTGATGGCTCCTGGGACCGGGTCTCACTCCATGTGTGGGGGGCCCTGGAGCCAGAACCCAGGGAGTCTGTGGGCGTCAGACTGTCCTTGCACTGCCCTGGGCTGTGCTCTCCCTCCCCCAGTTGGGACGCCGGAGCTTCGGCCCTGGGCCTTACAAGGCTGACCCTGGAACTAGGCTTGGAGGAGAAAGCCAGACCCTCCCCAGGAGAGCGCTGACCCTAATGTTTGGTGGGACACAGACAGCCCTGAGGCACCGGCAGCTCGCAGGGAGCAGATGCGGGGCCACCAGCCACCAGCAGGGGTGGCAGAGGGGCTGACTCGCCCAGTCCTTCCCATCCTGCCCCCTCTCCTGGGGGCACGAGGTGAGCATTCCCAGGGGAGATGCCCCAGACCACTCCAGGGCCAGGTGTGGTGGGGAATTCCAGCCCTCACTCCACAGCAGCCTGGGAGTCAGGCTGTCTCCTAGGTTACCGCCACAAGGTGCACCTGAGTAGCCCTGCCTCCCACAGGGCCAGGCCTCCTGCAGGGAGCGAGGTTCCAGCCACAGTACTGGGCCCCTGGGGGCCACTGGCCTGAGACAGGAAACAAGTTAGCGTCCGTGCTGCTAGGGAGGCGAGGCCTGGCCTAGCAGGGGCTTCCGGTGCTGAGGCTGCTCAGCCCAGCCACCCCATCCACCACAGCTCAGCTGAGAAGCTGCATCTCTGGCAGTTGCAGAGCAAAAGGCCCCAGAAATGCGGCAAGGACTCAGCCTCCCCTCCTCCCAGAAGGAAAGGCACAGCGGCCCTGAAACACAATCGTCCCCAGCACCTGGCTTCCTCATCTTAATGGATAGGAGGCATTTTTGTAGCAATAAAAATAGATTTAACAACCAGACAGTGAAATTACTTTTTTTTTAGGAAAAAAAAAAAAACAAGGTAGTAAATATTCATTGATGTTCCCTGTGAGATGGCTGGGGTCATGTTTTGGAAATAGATTACAACACATATGCGTCTGCGCTCACAGCACGCGGCCATCCAGAGGCGCACATCCATCCATCCGCTTATTGGAAGCAGGGGCCTCCGTCTGAGCCGCACATGATCTCACCGCTCCCTGACACAGGGCCCTTCTTACTAAGCCACAGTGGGATGAGTACAAGCTCCTGGGTGGCAAAGCATGGCAGAAGGCGCTAGAGGAGGGAGGGTCTGGGTGGCTGCTGGGGTCTGGGGGCCACAACCGCTGTGGGCTGGGGTCCCCGAGTCAGACTTCCCTCCATTTGGTGAGTGAAGGAAGCAGCCAACGGCAACAGGCCCCCACCCCAACCCAGGGACCTCCCGAAGGCAGGCCCTGGCTTGAGGCCCCCTTAGGCAAGGATTCCAGAGCCTAAATTGCAAGAAGAGAAAAAGCCGTCTCCAAGCCCTGCCTGCCGAGACCACGATGTCTCATCCCTGGGGAAAATGCAGGCGCTGTGTCTGTGATTTGCATTTTCAATCATTCAGCAAATCTGCCTCAAGCCCCTCCGAGGTGTGAGCACTGTGAGAGATACCTGGGTAGGAAAGCAGGGGCCCTGGTCGCTGGGAACCCAGAGTCCAGCTGGGGCCCTCGGGCAGAGTGAGTGCGGCCAGAGGTGGACAGGACACACAGAAGGGCGTGTGCAGGAGGGCCAGAGGTGGACAGGACGCAGAGAAGGGCGTATGCAGGAGGGCCAGCGTGCGTGGGCTTTACCCTGAAACAATGGGGAGCCACAGAAGGTGTTGGAGGAGCAGGGGAGTGAGAGGGAGGGGTGCTCATTTGCAAAGATTATTCCTGTAAGTCCGGGGGTAGGAGTGGGGGTGGGGGAGCAGCCTGGAGGGCGGTGCAGACCCGAGCAAGCAGGGAGGCACTAATGAAGGAGTCACCCCAGGGGGGCTTCAGGGGTGGGACCCTTCTCTGAAAGTCTCCTGAGGGAAGACACGAACTGGCCTTCTGGGCTCTTCCAGCGTGAGCTGGGCCCCAGGAGGAGGTTCTTTCCTCATTAGGGCTTGTAACTAAGCGACGAAGCAGCAACCAGGCTACGGAGAAGATTCTGGGTGTGGAGGGGCCTAGCCACAGTCCCCGCCTTCAGGACAGCACACCCTGATGGCTCCACCCCGGGAGCAGGGCATACTGGTCCTGAGGGCACCCTCTGGTCCTGGGCTGTGTCTGCCTCCGTCTTGGGCACCCCAGGCCTCCCACCCGCCTATGGGCACCCTGGCTCCAGGCGTGGGGCTTTCTGATGCCCTGTGCCCACACTAGTAGGTCTCCACCCTGTCTCTTAGAACATTAAATATCCTACAAAGCCAGCGTGTGACTGCTACCTGTGCAGATCATACTCCCCGACCCTTCCCAAGGGGGAGCACGGTGGCCAGGCCCCAGCTACCTGTCCAGATCATACTCCCCGACCCTTCCCAAGGGGGAGCACGGTGGCCAGGCCCCAGCTACCTGTCCAGATCCTACTCCCCGACCCTTCCCAAGGGGGAGCACGGTGGCCAGGCCCCAGCTACCTGTCCAGATCATACTCCCGACCCTTCCCAAGGGGGAGCACGGTGGCCAGGCCCCAGCTACCTGTCCAGATCATACTCCCCGACCCTTCCCAAGGGGGAGGACGGTGGCCAGGCCCCAGCTACCTGTCCAGATCTTACTCCCCCACCCTTCTCAAAGGGGAGCACGGTGGCCAGGCCCCAGATCACAGGCCAGACTGTCGGGTTGAGCCAACTCACACTCCCTGGGTGCTTGGCACAGGTAGCACTAAATGTCATTGCTCTGCCAAATTCAACAGCAAGGGGCGCGGAGGCATGTGGGGAGCCCCTCCCTGTCAGGGACTGCTGTGTTGCACAACTCCAAAGAGGGCCAGCCACAGAGAAGGAAACATGAGCAGAGGCCCTCAGAGTTAGCAGTAAGGTATTCCTGCTCTTCTTACAAAAACCCTGGGGGCAATATTTATCCACCCTATTTGCAGTCCATATGGTGGTCCTGCAGCTGCAGACTAGCCTAGTGGGGCTCGCACTCAGGGGCGGAGCTTACCCCAGAACCCACATGTCCATGAGCCCACTCTGTTCCTGCCTCCTCCTGGCAGAACCCCACCCCCTGCAGAGCCCCCACTCTGAGGACAGCGCCTCATGCCTTTTGCCTCCGGCCCTGCTCTAGCCCCGCAGCGGTCCCCAGCCCCGTTCCAGGCATGAACCAGGCCCAGGATCTGCTTAATTCAAGCCCCCAGGGAGCTGCGTCCCCACCTGTGCTCTCCAGCCACCGCAGCCTTTGTCAGGGAGCAAACGGTGCAGGCTGGCAGGCGGTGGTTTTGTTTTAAGACCAGCCAGCGCCCAGCTCCTCTGGAGCGCACTGAATAAATTTCCCTTTATTAGACACAGACTTTCCCATTACCGCGTCTTCCCCTCATTATTCCTGCATCAGCTCGGGCATAATGGGCTCCAGCCCTCTCTGCAGTCAGGAGCCTGGTCCCTCAAGGATGCTGTCAGACACGGCGTCGGGCAGACACGGCGGCAATGGGCAGGCGCTGGGTGGGCACACCTGCTCTTCCTCACACATCAGCCCATGCACCCCCCACGAGGCTTGGGCCCCTCGAGCTTGGTTTACAGTGGAAAGAAAGAGATGGAGCTGCAGGGTGAGCTCTGCACAGTAGGGTAGGGGCAGGAAAGGAAACGGGAGCTGCTGGCTGACAAGGCCTTCTACACACTTCCGAGGGCCTGGCACGCTCACATGCACACCCACACCCACGTGCACTCACACACACACACATGCACCTACTTATGGGCACACTCACCCGTACACACATGCTCACACACCCACATACACTCACACACACACACTGACATGCACATATGTGCTCACACACCCACACACGCTCACATACACTCATACACACACTTGTATGCACACTCACCCACACACACGCTCACACATCTACATGCGCTCACACACATGCACACACTCATGCACACTCACACACATGCTCACACCCACATACACACACACTCACACACCTATGCACGCTCACCCGTGCACACATGCTCACACCCACGTGCTCACACACTCACAGATACACACATGCACACTCATATACACATCCACATGCACATACATGCTCACACACATGTGCTCACACACAAACACATGCACACACACATGCTCACACACCCACATGCACTCACAGTCACACACATTCACACATGCACTCACACCCACACTCATCTTCACACGCATACACAGATACCCACACATGCTCACACATGCATAGTCAGGTATACTCACATACACACGTACATACACACATGTACACACATATGCACTCACACAATCACATCCACGTTCACACTCTCACAAGCACACACATGCACACCCACATACATTCACACACGCACACAAAATACCTGCACTCACACATGCACTCACATACACACACATTCACAGATTCTCACACTGCTGAACAGTCACACACATTCACATACACACATGCTCACTCACATGCACACATGCACACTCACAGATGCACACTCACACACATTCACATGCACACACAAATGCATACCCACAGGCACACCCACACATTCACACACACATCCACACCCATGCTCACACATGCACACTCACATGCATTCAATCACACACACCATTGCACACACATTCACACACACCAATGCACACTCACACACCAATGCACACTCACACGCACACACATTCACACACCAATGCACACTCACACATTCACACACACCAATGCACACTCACACATTCACACACACCAATGCAACTCACACACATTCACACACCAATGCACACTCACATGCGCACACACACTCATGCACATTCACACACACACACATGCCCTCTCTCTCCTGCAGAACCACCTCCTTCCCTAGACCACTTGGCCCTCGGGCTGGGTTCAAGACCCTCTACCATCCTTGTGCAGCCCCTGGTCCCCACCAGAGCCCCCTGTGTCCTAGAGGGCGATGTCCCGAGTTCTGGTGTGACTGGGCCTCTGACCTGCTCTGTGTCCTGGGCCTCAGTCTCCTCTACTGCCCTGTGGGATGGGGGTGAAGCCCAGGGTCTCCAGGCCTACCCTTGCTCCCACCAGGCTTCCTGTTGCCCATCACCCTGCACCACTCTGCCTTCCTCACCAACCACCCATGCCTGCCTCTTCCCATCAACCCAAATCTGGACCCACAAGGCTTCTGCATGGCTCTCTGGCTCAGCCTCTGCAAGGGTCGTGAGGCTGGGGTGCTATCCCAGCCCTGCTGCCCACCCGCTAGTGCCTCCTCCTCCCTGGGCCTGGGATCTGGACGTTGGTACCTCCTTTATTCTTTTTGAAGCTTCTCCAGTTTGAGGTCAGGATCCTGGGAACAGGCTGCATTTGGTGGGGAAGAATCTGCCTCAGCAGCTCTGCCCACAGCCAACAGAAGGGGCTTCAACCTGCAGGATCCAGCCAAGATCAGGGCAGGAAAGGGAGGCTGTGGGACCCACAGCCTCCCAGCCTCAAGCAGCCCATGGCCCACAGCCCCGAGCTGACCCCCACTGGCCCCTACTCGGCCCCAGAGCATCTGATGACGCCTAATGTTGCATCTGCACTGTCAGCTGAGCTTGTTGGTAGCCTGGCAAGGCTCAAGACCCCGAGAATCCACTGAGAGTCAGCCAGAGACACAGCAGGGCAGACATAAGACAAGAGGCGTATGGCCCTCTGCAGCCTCCTGGCTCAGGCTCTGGGACCTCTGGGGCCCCCCAGGAGGGAAGTGGGAGCCACAACAGCTGCAGAGCCACCCTGCGTCCACCTGCCCTCTCAGGGCAATTTGCAGCCCACTTTCTCACTCTGCAAAGAACGGAGCCTGGGCACCGCACCTGAGTGTCAGAGAATGGGCAACACAGCGTCCACCCTCAGAGGAGGAAAGGCCAAGGTGGGCTCTGCCCTAGGACCCCCTCTCCGCCTGTCCTCCTTCAGCCCCGCCCCTGTCCACTCAATCCCTCACCTGAATATCCCCCCGTCAGTGCTGACACCCCAGCAGGGCAGCCAGGGCGAGAGCAGCGTGCAGGCAGAGGGGTCGTAGCCCGTGCACCAGGGGCTCCCTCACCTCCCGTGGGGCAGGGGCTGCAGATGAGACAGGGAGGTCAGGAGAGGGGCAATTAAGCGGAGACCCCAGTGACAGGGAAGAGCAAACCATGAGGGTAGTAGGGGCACGGCATGTCGACCAAGAGCCCAGCTGTGCAAAGGCCCTGAGGCAGCCGTGAGCATGGGTGGTTGGTGAGGAAGGCAGAGTGATGCAGGGTGATGGGCAACAGGAAGCCTGGTGGGAGCACGTGTGCAGGGGTCCATCCAGGAGTCCAATGTCATGCTCACAGCAGTCTGGAGGGCCCCAGCCCCACTATCGAAGGAGGTCACCCGCTAACTTCTCCCAAGACAGGGAGCTGAGCAGTCAGCACTTGTCTTGCCTGACCTTTTAGAATTCTTCTTAATAAAGAAGACGGGGTAGCAACCAGCACATCGAAAGGAAAGTCCTTTTCCTTCTCCCAGCTGTGGGGTCAGCCAGGGGAGGGAGGGAAGACGCCTTTGAAGCGGGCAGGCCCACTCTGAAAAGGAGCCAGAGAGCAGAGGAGGTGCTTTCCCTTTTCTTTCCTGGGAGAAAGTGCACCTGTCATCTCCTTGTGCAATTCTGAAGATCATCAACCTTCACCCTCGGGACCGACAAATTCTTTATAGGACAGAGTGGGTGGGAAGACAGGGTGCGTGGGGAGGGTGGGCAGATAGGGAACAGCTCAGAAAGGAACTGAGCCTTGCTCCTCTCCTCAGGGCAGGGAGGACAGCCAGGGACGCAGGGATCCATCGTGGCCGAGCAATAGTGACTCAGCTGTCAGGGGCTCCAGGCTGGGGTCCTGCCCTGGCACACTGTGGGGGACCTAAAATCACGAGCCTGGGCTTTGCTCTCACCTGCAGGAGGCCGGCCGGGTCCCCGTGTTTCAGGTGGGGCTCCTGCAGCATCAAGCGCTCATGGGGCCACCTCCGGGACCTGCCTCCGATGGCCACCAGGTAGCGTGGCCAAAAGTAAGAGCAAACCCCACTGTGCAACTGGACACTGTTTCTAGCCAGTCAGCTGTTTGGTGTCATCCTCCAATACAAAGTTCAGGAAAAAGCACCCACGGGCCTGGATTCCATACCAGCCTGCTGGGTGCTGGACTCCACACCGGCCTGATGGATGCTGGACTCCACACTGGCCTGCTGGATGGCGCAGGCAGCCCGCCTCCTCTGCCACAGGTGCCCCCACCAGCTGGGGCTCTGCTCTGCTGCTCCAGAGTGAGAGGAAAAGCCCAAGGACCCCTAGGGTCTACCAAGCCAGAGGAGCGACGAGCTCCAGGCAGGTCTTGGGTGGCCTCAGTTTCCCCGTGAGCCCTTGCAGGAGCCAATGCCACTTTGGATATGACAGCAGCCACTCTGCCCTGGGAGGAGCAGGATGTCCTGACTACAGACACACGCAGGGGCACAGGCATGATGAGAAGCCCCATGTGGAGCCTCTGGCCCCATTCCCTGCGGGAGGAGGGGCCTGGGGCCATAGCTGCTGTTGAAAGAGGACAGACCGTGTGGGCGCCCCGCTGCCTCTAAACCCTCAAGAGTCTGCACGCTGGCATTCCTGACTCCAGATGGGCAAGCGAGGGCAGACAGGGCAGGTGGGAGGCCCCAGGTCCCAAGGAGGGAGAGGCAGACCCAGGTCTGCATCCCAGGAGCACCGTCCCTCCACCTGTCTCCATGTTGAGGTTAAGTTGGGCAAAGTGAGTGAGCATCAAGCTGTCACTGCTCTCTTTCCCTCTGCCAGCCCCTCTCCAGAGTCGTGTCTGGTCCCTTTGTCCTTTCCTGTCCTCAGTTCCCTTGGGAGATGGAGACCCCTCCTGGCTGTTGTGAACTGACATTTGACCTGGGGCCGCCTCCCTCCCACCGTGCGCACACCCTGGTCTTGCAGCCACCTTGCTTCCTCCCAGCTGCACAGCTCACGTCCACCCCAGGACTGCTCTCTGCTAATATGCTGTCCCTGATACTCTCAGGGTTTCTTCTCTCAGGTCATCTAGGTCTCTGCTTCCCCGCGCCTCTCAGAGTCAATCAAGTGGTTTCCCTTGTGTAAACCAGGAGCAGGCAGTGGGAATGTTCACCAGGGCCTCCTGGCCACCAGCTGGGAGGAAGGCACTGGAAGTGAACGCATGCCCCTGCGTGGATGCCCATGGCCCGGCCCAACTCCAGGCATTTTTTTCCCCCAGGAATCCCAGGATGGGACCTGAGGCGGGTGGAGCACTCTCTGGGCTTTCAAAGATGCACCACGACTCAGCTTCTGCCGTATTCTCCCCTGCCACGCAGCCACCAAGGGGCATCTTCCTTGCAGACCATCCATGTCACTGTGAGCAGGTGACATGCATAAGTCACCCTGAGACCCCACAGGCCCCTGGAGCGGGTGCCCGGGGAGACACAATGAGATAAGCTGCAGCTTTGCTCATCCAGATGCTCTCCCTGCCTGGAGAAGTGTGAAGGGTCTGCACTGCCTGAGTGGTGCCATGCTTCAGGGGAAGAGAAGGTGCAGACCAGCAAGGCCGTCTCACCTTAACTGTTCACTCCACAGGTGTGTGCCGCCAGACCCCTCTGCGCAGGGGCTACACTCAGAGGTCCCAAGCCCTGTCCTTAGGGGACTCACCATCTGCGAAGGACAGACCATGGGACAGGAGCTCCGTGTGTCACACATCAGTGGGACTCATCCCTCCCCAGCGTGACAGCCACCCATCGGTGTGCAAGGCCCCAGCCACTCCTAATGCACTGGCTGGAAAATGCCCCTCCTACCCCACCCCACAAAGCATTTGGGGTGACAAGCAACAGAGACTGAAGCTATTGGAGGGGTCACCGCCAATCTGCTGGGGGTTCCTCATGAAAATGTACAGGTTTTAATTGAGATGATGGGCTGAGAAAATGCATGTGCTTTTCTTCCCTCCCAAAATTCCATCAGAGAGAAACTGATTTCGAAACAATAAATCTGAACTTTCTTACACTTCCGGCCATGATAGAATAACAGAGACAGGATTAATGCTCTTGCCTTAAGCAACTAAAGCAAGCAGGGAAATATATGAAGCAGTGGTTTTCAGACAATTTATGCAACATGCAGCACACAACAGTGATCCCAGAGAGCAGGCAGCAGACGGGTGAGCCCTGCAGGAGCCCCCCTCATGCCTAGAGAGAGTTTTCAGATGAGCCCCGGTCCTGCTGCCTGGAGGAGCCACAGCCCAGGGTTCAGGGACTCTGAGGTGCGGGCATTCATAGTGCTGGGTGCTGGAGAGGAGGAAGCTTTCCTGAGAGTGAGCTCCAGAGGCTGCAGAGAGGCCCTGGGAGCCACTGGCTGTGCATGTCCCTGAGCAGGCTGCAGGGGCCAGGGAGAGACCACACCGAGTAGCAGACAGAACCATCCCCAGAGCTCGCATGGGAGATTGGGAACCGCTCATGTCCCCTGCAGGCAGAGTGGAGAGACGTCCCGGCACAGCAGACACTGGGAGAGGGACTCAACAGGGTGCCCACCTCAGGAGTGGGCTCAAATTAGCCCCAGACCAAAAGATCATTCTGGACATCACTAAAAAGAAAACTTCAAATAGATCAAGCTGATTCCAATGTTACTGTGTCCCAGGATACAGCCCCGAAATACTTTTCAAGATACAAAAATATTCAGCCCCAAACAATGTAAAATTAATAATCTCTGGTATCCAAAAATGACCAGGCTTGCAAAGAAGCAAAATATGCAATCATAATTACAGAAAAATAAATCAATAGAAACAGACCCAGAAATACCACAGAATTTTCAGATGAGGACATTAAAAACACCATTATTAGTACATTTCATATTCAAGAAAATAGAGGAAAGTGTGAGTGTGATCAGGAGAGAAATTAAAAATATAAAAAAGATCCAAATAAAACTTCTAGGGATTAAAATCAACATTTGAAATGAAAAAATACTAAATGAGGTTTAACACAGACATTATAGGACAGAAGATTAATGAATTTGAAGATATAGTAATAAAAACTATTCTAAATAAAACACAGAGAAAAATATTGAAAAAAAATGAACCAATCATCATAAATTCTGGGACAACATGAAGAGTCCTAGCATCTGGAATTGGAGCCCAAAACAAAGGCAGGGGTTGGGATGGGCACGGAAATCATATTTGAAGAAACAAAGATAAAAATTTTTCCAGGTTCGATACAAACTATAAACACACAAATCCAAGAAGCTCAATAAAACCCAAAGAGAAGAAACGTGAGAATACCACACCACAGAGCTGAAAACCAGCCAATGGCTGAAAACTCATGATAAAGAGGAAATATTAAAGCAGCCAGGGGGAAAGGATATTACACACAGAAGATCAAAGAAAGAGTGAAATTTGATTTCTTATAAGAAACAACGCAGGCCCGAAGACAACAGAGGAACAAGTTTAAAGCACTGGGATTTTAAAAGCTGTCAACACAAGAGTTGTAGAAATAGATGCCCAGTAAAATACATTTCCATAATGTAAGTGAAGTAAAGCTGTGTTCAGACATACAAAAGCGGGGGGAACCCACCATGACAGCAACACTGTGAGCAGTGTTAAAGGACATATTTCAGGCGGAAGAACATGATACCAGATACAAATTTAGAACTTGACAAAGAAAGGAATGTGGCCGGAAATAATAAATATATAGGTAAATAAGTAAGTGATGATATGTATCATCTTAAAATTTATTGAAAATAATTGTCTAAAACAAAGTAAATACAAAGTATTGTGGGACTTCTCATATGTGTTCAGATAAAATGCATGGCAACAACCCTATAAAGAATGAGAACAAGGAAACTTACACTATACATGGAGTAAACTTTCACTACACATGAAGTGGTGTGACATTTTTAGCTAGAATGTGATACGTTAAAGATGTTTATTGTAAACCTCAGAGCAACCACAAAAAAAACACCCAATAATAGAGAGCAAATGGAGTCTCTATTCAATTAAGTCTGTATTCAATTAATCCAGAAGATTAAAAAGAACAGATGAGACAAACAGAAAACAAATAGCAAGATGATAGATTTAAACACAATCATATTTATATTCATATTAAATGTAAATAATCTAAACATTTCAATTAAAAGGTATAAGATGGTCAGATTCAACAAAAACAAGTGAGATTCAACCATGTGCTATTATAAGAAACACACCCTAAATTTAAGACACAAAGATGTTAGAAGTTAAAAGATGCAATATGATATACCCATGAAAATTCTAATAAAAGAAAAGCTGGAGTGCCTCTTTTTAACATCGGACACAATGTATTCCATAGCAAAATATCTTATCAGGGATAAAGAGGGTTATTTTATAGTGATAAAGGGGCCAACTCCTCAAGAGGACATAACAATCTGAAAGGTGTATGCATTTAATAAGCGATCTCCAAGGTACATGAAGCAAAAGCTGGTAGAACCAAAGGGAGAAATAGACAAATCCACAGTATAGTTGGAGATTTCAACACACTTTCTAAATAATTGATAGAATAAGTAGACAGAAAGTCATTTAAGACATAGAAGACTTGAGCAACATTATCAACCAACTCAACCTACTTGACATTTCTGGAACATTTGACCCAGCAAGAGTAGAATACACATTTTTTTACAAGCACACAAAGGAAGTCCACCAAACTGTATTCTATTCCATAGAAAAAGCCTCAATGCTTTAAAAAGATTGAAGTCATAAAAATGTGTTTTGACCACAACAGATTTAAATTAGGAATCATTAAGAGAAGGTATTTGGAAAATTCTCAAATATTTGGAAATTAAACAACACATTTCTAGATGGGAAAAGGAAGAAATTGCAAGAGAAATTAGAAAATACTTTCAGTTAAATGGAAATTAAAAATGCAACATATCAAAAGGCTTGGAAAGTCCCAGACTGCCAAAGTTCACTCAAGAAGACTTAGAGAATGATATATATCAAACAAATTGAATTTGTAATTAAAATTATCTCCACACATACACACAAACCCTCAATGATCAGATAGTTCCACTGGTGAATTCTATCAGATTAACACCAATTCCACACCAATTCATCCAGAAAACAGAACAGGAGGGAGAATTTCCCACCTTATTCTATGAAGCCAGCATTTCCCTGATGCCAAAACAGAAGAAATTACAAGAAAAGAAAACTATAGGCCAATATCCCTTGTGAACATAGATGCAAAAATCCTCAATAAAATATTAGCAAATTGAAACTCACAATATATAAAAAGGATAATACACACCATGACCAAGGTTTTATCCAGGAATGCAAGGTTGGTTTAACATTTGCAAATCAATCAATGTAATTTATCATATTAACAACAACAAAAAATGAGCATCTCCATAGATGCAGAAAAATCTTTTGACAAAAATCTAACATCTACTCATGATTAAAATTATTAGCCAACTAGGAATAGAAGGTGGTTCCCTCAACCTGATAAAGGACATCTATGAAAAGCATACAGCTGACATCATACTTAATGGTGAAGGACTGCTTTGGCCCAAAGATTGAGAATGAAGCAAGAGTGTCCATTCTCATCCCTTTCATTCAACATTGTATTGGAGGTCCTAACCAGTGCAAGAAGGCAGGAACAAGAAATAAAAGGTACACAGATTAGAAAGGAAAAAGTAGAATTGTCTCTAACCACAGACAGCAACAGGATTGTCTAGGTAGAAAACCCTAAGGATTATTTTGAAAGCTACTATCTCTAATAAGTGAATTTAACCATTTCCCAGGACACAAGTTTGCCAGGGCTGCCTCAACAAAGGGCTGCAAGCTGGGCAGCTTAAACAAGATAAATTCATTTTCTCATGGTCCTGGAGACTTAAAGTCCAAGATCAAAGTGTCAGTGTGCTTGCTGTCATTTGAGGCTCTCTCCTTGGCTTGTAGCTGGCCATATTCTTCTTGTGTTTTCACATGGTCTTCTCTCTGTACCTGCGTGTCCACATTTTCTCTTACCATAAGAACAACAGCAATGCTGAATTAGGACCGACCGTAATGACTTCATTTTAACTTCATTACCTCCTTAAAGCCCCTATCTTTACAATCATATTCTGAAGATCTGGGGGTTAGGACTTCAATATATAAATTTTGGAGGAGCCACAATTCAGTCCATAACAGTCAATAGATAAAAATCAATTGTATTTCTATATGCTAGAAACAAATCATCAGAAATTACATTTTTTTAAAGTACCATTTAAAAGAACATCAGTGAAATAGTTGGGAATAAATTAAAATATGTTCAATTCTTATATACTGAAAGTGATAAAAAAGCTGAAAGATATTAGATAGATGATAGATAGATAATAGATAGATAGATGATAGATAGATAATAGATAGATGATAGATGATAGATAGATAAATAGATAGATGATAGATAGATAGATAATAGATAGATAGATAGATAGATAGATACACAGATACATAGATAGATATCCCATGGTCATAAATTAGAAGACTCAATGTTGTTAAGATATCAGTTTTTCCCTAATTGATATATACATTCAGTGCAATTCCAATCAAAATCCTGATAGACTTTTTCACAGGATTTGACAAACATATTCTAAAATTTATTTGGAAAAGCAAAGGACCTGGAATAGCAAAAACAATTTTAGGGGAAAAAATCAAAGATAGAGGACTTACATAACCTAACTTCAAGACTTATTACATTACAGTACTCAAGACAGTGAGTAACCAGTACAAAGATAGACATGGATTAATGGGACAGAACAGGAACCTCAGACATAGACCCAAACAGATATGGCCACTGATTTTAGAAAAAGATGCAGTAAATCCAATGGCAAAACCTTTTCAGCAAATGGCATGGAGACAGTAGGAGCTTGCATGAAGAAAATAATTCGATCCCTACCTCAAGCTGTTCACAAAAAAGCAGAAGAATTAAAGAGTTCAGTATTTTAATAGACTACAAAAGTTTTGGAGGAAAATAAAGAAGCACATTTTCATATTCTTTGGGAGAGGGAAACGTGAAGTAAACTGAAACCCGAAAGCCACGAAGAAAATGACTGACGTCTTTTACTCATAAAACTGTTCTTATAGCTTCTGTTTGACCAAAGGCACTATTTCTAAAATTCAAAAGACAAGTAATAGACTGGGAGAATATATCTGCAACCCTTAAAATAAACAAAGGATTCTTATCATTCATAGAAAATATGAAGAGCCCTTGCAAGCAAAGAAAAAAATTATGACAAACCCAACAGAAAAATAACCAGAGGTCATAGCAAGCAACTGAGGGTGTAGGGGGCATGCAATTAGAATAATTCAAATAAATTCAAATTAAAGTAGTGAGATAATATTTTGTCTCCAAATTTTCAATATTTTTTTTTTGAGACAGTGTCTTGCTCTGTTGCCCAGGTTGGAGTGCAGTAGCATGGTCTTGGTTCACTGCAGCCTCCACCTCCTGGTCTCAAGTGATTCTCCCACCTCAGCCTCCTGAGTAGCTGGGACTACAGGTCCGCACCACCACACCTGGCTAATTTTTTATTTTTTGTAGAGATGGGGCTTAGCTCTGTTGCCCAGGATGGACTTGAACTTCTGAGCTAAGCAATCCACCTGCCTGGGACTCCCAAAGTGCTGGGATTACAGGCGTGAGTCACTGCACCCAGCCAACAAAAATTTTAAGTAGTGAAAAACATCCAGTCCTGGCTCCGGGATGGAGAAGCAACCAACCAGGGTTGCCCCACACGATGGAAGTGTCAACGTGCAAAGCGTATTTATTGGACAACTTCACGGTGTCAATAGAAATGGACAGTGAGCACACCCTTCAGTGGGGCAAATTCATGTCTAGGACTCTAGTCTATAGCAGCAGCCGGCCAGGTGCACAAAGATGAGTGCATTCGTCTCCCATTGCCACTGTAACAAATCTCCACAAACTGAATGGCTTTAAAAAGAACAAATTTATTCTCTTACAGCTCTGAAGATCAGAAGTCTAAAATCACAGTGCTGGCAGGTCTTACAAGAACGCTTTCAAGGGCCCACCAGTTGATCCAGGATGGTCTTCTATCTCAGGGTCTGTACCCCTAATTGCATTTACCAAGTCCCTTTCACCATGCAAGGTGACATAGTCACAGGTTCTGGGGATGAGGGTGTGGACAGCTTTGGGAGTGTGGAGGCAGGATCCTCTACTACAATGGTGATCCAAGCATGTTATTTGCAGCATTATTTGAAAAAGCAAAAAACTAGATGAACCACATGCCCATCAATAAGGGAACAAGTCCATAAAAATACAAAAGCTGCTTCACATTAAGAAGAATGAGGCCGGTGCTGTGGCTCATGCCTATAATCCCAGCACGTTGGGAGGCTGAAGCAGGCAGATCCCTTGAGCCCAGGAGTTCGAGACGAGCCTGGGAAACATGGTGAAACACGTCTCTACTAAAAATACAAAAACTAGCCAGGCATGGTGATGCGTGCCTGTAGTCCCGGCTACACAGGAAGCTGAAGCAGGAGGATCACTTGAGCCTGGGAGGTTGAGGCTGCAGTGAGCTGTGCACTGCACTCCAGCCTGGGTGACAGAGGGAGACCCTGTGTCAAAAAAAAAATAAAAATAAAAGGAAGAAGAATGAATGGAACTTACCAATCACACTGACATGCAGAGACTTCTGAGCCCCATTGATGAGGCTGGGCTGTGCTGAATCTGATCCCACTCGACTGAAATAATCTTGATGATGATGATGCTGATGCTGATGCTGCTGCGTATGACATGCTTACCAGTGGCTAACGTGGAGCAAGTCACAAAGCAAAGAGACGTCCAAATTTTATTCTATAGACATTTGCTTGAATATTTCAGAATAAAAATGTGTGCGTTCACTGCTTGTGTAATAATATTAAAGGTAAATGAAGTATATTGTTTGCCCTCTGCAGTGCCAAGCTTTTCCCCAGTTTCCTGAGGATGGGATTCTTGTCCCCACTCCATAGACAAGGGCCTGAGACTAGAGGGGACTCACATGGTGGATGGCAGAACTGGCTTCTACCCAGATCTCCAGCTCCACGGCCTGCAGCTGTGGCCGCTGGGCCCCCCACCACCTGCTGATTATTTTGGAGCCCTCCCCAGGACTGCAACCCATTACGTGTTTCACGCTTCCTCCCAGCTTCCCAGGACACAAGGACAAAGACCCCCGCTCCCTAACCAAACCTCAGCCAGCCTCCCCTGAGCCTACTTTTTGAGGCCTCACTCATGGGCCTCATCTTTGGCCACATAGTCTGGTTTTAGCAAAACTCCTGCTAGGTTTGCTTAGCAAAAGTCCCCCCACCCTTGATATCTGAGGTCAAGAACCCTCCTGGGCTAAGCCCTCAACCTGGTTGTTGGCCCAAGCTCCTCATCCCCCATCCTGGATATCAAAGTCCTTGAACTGCCTGTAGCAATAACCCCTGGGCTTTGGTGTCTAACTTGGCTCTTCATAACTTTCCACCCCGACCCTCGCTCCACTCAATGCCTGCAAATCCCAGCTGCCCTGTGGCATTGAGAGTTGAGCCTGATTTCTCTCTCCCACTGTGATTGTTTTGACACCTATTGCAATAGTCCTGAATAAAGTCTTCCTTGCCCCCTCTCCCTTTTTTTTTTTTTTTTTTTTTTTTTTGAGACGGAGTCTCGCTCTGTCACTCAAGCTGGAGTGCGATATTGCAATCCTGGCTCAGTGCAACCTCTGCCACCCGGGTTCAAGCAATTCTCCTGCCTCAGCCTCCCAGGTAGCTGGGATTATAGGCATGCACCACCATGCCTGGCTAATTTTTTTGTATTTTTAGTAGAGACAGGGTTTCACCATGTTAGCCAGGCTGGTCTCGAACTTCTGACCTCAGGTGATCCAACAGCCTCGGCCTCCCAATTCCTTGCCGTTTTAACAACTGTCAGGTTAATGTTTTCTCTAACGATGCCCATAAGCAGAGGCCACTGCAGGGAAACAGCACAGTCTGAGGTCCCACACGGGAGCCCAGGGCAGCTCTGAACAGTTGCAGCCTCTGATCGCACCTTAGCGGATCACGTGAGTGCCTCAGAAGGCAGTCAGCAATCCTTTGCCATGAGAACATGTTTTCCAGTAAAACCACAGTCTTTTACCCCAAAAGGTTAGCAGGTGGAATCAGTAGCTGGTTCAAGAAAACTAAGAACTCTCAATTTTTTACCTCGTAAATGTGTTCATTAAACCGGATGCTCAGAACGTGGTATTCTAGATTCCCGAATAACCGGGTCTGAACTAATGAGTTTTTACTCTGCTTTGAACATTTTTGCCCTAATGATCTGAAACATATTTTTAAAAGCAAAACAGGTGACGGGGATGCGAGGAAGCAGGTCGGCAGGCGGCCTCGCGGGTGCAGGGCCTGGGTTGCTTCTGCACTGCAATCCATCCTCGTTGTGTCTGTTGAGCCCAGAACTGTGTCAGGTTCTCTGAAGGATACAGAGAGGCCAAAGGTGTGTCCCTTGTCCTTGAAATGCTCTCAGGTATAATCAGAGTACAAGTACAGATCCTCTGCTGAGCACTGACCACCCTGGGAGCTGAGCCCCCCTGGCCTGCGGGCCCTGAAGGGTGAGGAAAGCCGATCGGAGCTGGGCCTGCCATGTCCCCAGAGCTCAGGCACGTGACTGTTCAGCAAGCGGACCCCCTCACCCAGGCTGGAAGGCCCAGTTTTCTGCCCAACCTGGTGGCAGCTCTCAAGCTCTCAGAGCAGGCCATCTACCTTGGGATCTCCTGGAGCTTGGGCCCTGGGTGGGGCCTTGAGCGCATCCCTGACAGGCGCCCGGTGTCATTAACTGCCGTGCTGCTGGGTGTGGCCCCACTGTGAGTACAGGTTGGCTCCTGTCTGCCTCTCTCTGCCCCGTCTCCCAGCTTTCCCCCCTCAATGCCTGGGCCCCTTTGCTTCCATGGTGCCCTTTAACGTGCCAGCCCCTTCCTGCCTGAGCCATCCCACACACTGTTCCCACCGCGTGGAAACCTCTCTCTTATTACTTGTCTAGTGAACTCCTATTCACCCAACAAAGCCTCAGCTCGAATGCCCTCATCTGATAGGCCATGCCTTGTGGCACATTCTTCTTTCCTCTCTCAGCGTGTCCTGATGTGTGATGGTGTAGGTATAAAACTGTCAGTGTCCTTGGCCTCTCAGGCTGGAAGGCAGCATCATTAGAGGCAGGGATGCATCAAACCTTGCATTTGGGAGACAGCCTGGTTCTGCAAAGGTCAAGGATCAACTGCCATGAGTTCCTACACATTCCCTGGAGACACAGAGGACCAGGAGGGGACTCTGCAATGCCTTTCTGGACAAGGCCTTAAGTGGCCTTCTCAGCCCCCAAAACTATGTTGCACCTGCTGCTCGCTGGGGAGCTCACTTAGATCAGTGCTGGCTCCAACACAAAGGGGCAAGCCAGCTTTCTTTCTAACTTAGGAACAGGAAGCTGTTCTCTTATCAGAGAAGTTCCAGCACCAGGAAGCAGGTGGAGGAGGTATTTTGGGGTTTGGAAGAGGCCCTCAAGAGCCTGTGAAATCACACCAAGTAGGCAGCCACCTACTCAACCTAAATATAAAGCCAGGCTCAGGCTGTCAGAGCGGCCTCCAGTCAACCACCCCCACCTGGCAACGTGGGGCCCCAGAGTGGGGAGCCGCTTGTCCGTCCGGCAGGAGCCCCCAGACCACCCCTCTGCTGAAAATCACTCCCAATGTCCATCTCTGCTCCATCCCAATGTCCGACTATTCCCAAGGCCTTCATCCTCATGGGCGACTGGGAACTGGTGTGATTCAGAAAGGTTAGTTAGCTGGAGTATTGACGGCGTATTCACGAGACTTGAAGAAAGCATGTGAAATAAAATCCTTTGGCCATGCCTCGGAGGGTCCATTTTAAAGCTTCCGGGGTCCTTGGAGTGGTTCTCCTTTTCTTCGGCTTTCTAGATCCCTCCCTTTATTTCATGACCTCAAGGGTGTTCAAGGTCATCTCTTCTAAACCTCCATCAGCCTAGTAAAAGGACCTCAGAGTTGGGTGTCTACAGGGCTGAGGCCAGGCCCACTCTTCCCTGGCTACCATCCAGCTATGGACAAGGCATCAGCCTCCACATTCTTCTTGCTGAAATAGGGGCAGCAGTCGCCAGGCCTGGGAGAGGCTGTGAGGATGAGACACCGCCTGGCGCACGGGAGGTGCCCAATAAACCCTGGCGGGGAAGAGCTTGTTTCATAAAGTTTCCAGCATGAGATCATTCTGGTCCATTTTATTTTCAAGCGTGACAAGTCGGCGCTGAATCTCTGCTTTAACGCCTTCTATGGCTCTCTCCGGGGCAGCATCTGCGTGGAGATGATTGGATGCTCTCCTGAAGGAGAGCCCAGCCTGCCACCAGGCAGCAGGCCCCCAACCAGGTCAGAAGGAAAGGACCAGCAGGCTGGGGGAGGGGATGTAAAGGCCGCTAAGCCCAGGGTGGGCTTTTTTCCACATTATAAAAATAACAGGTTGCAATTCACTTGGAAATCGGGAGATCCACTCAACCAAGAGTGCAGCAGATACATTAGCCGCAGCCAAATCCATCTGCAGGGGCTGAGCACCTTGTGGACTGATAAACGAGGAAACCTTAGGCTTCCTGGCAGGGTGCGGGCCATGGCCTGTGGCTGCCCCGCCCCTGAGTTTGAGCCGGCCAAGAGCCAACCATCCTGAGGGCTCTGGGTGAGATGATTCTCAAGAACAAATCTAAGTTCATTCTGGTTCCCACTGACAAATCGCCCATTGCTCTCTGCATCGTGACAGCTGCCGTCTGCACCTTTGTGGGAGATGAGCGATGTCTGCTGGTAGTTTCAATGCCAGGCCTGTCTCTCTGTTTGCTTCTCCTGATGCTCCAAGAGGAGCCAGCCCGTGAATTTTACAGAGCTTCTCCTGGCACGCGCCATGAAGCTGCACAGGTTTGAGATACGCCGGGATGGTTCCCCTGACCCTGCAACCCCAGCAAGCCCAGGCCTGCAGGAGGAGCCATCGGGCAGCCACAGGCGAGGAAGAGCCTGCCAGGGCTGCTGGGGCCTTTGCAGGGAAGTTTGGTACTTAGAGGAAAAGCGTGGAGATTAACGTGAGGGGTTGGGAGAGGTTGCTTCCCACCCTGAGTGCCCCTTCTGAACCCCCAATGTCTGGTGTGTGTCCTGGGCCAATCTGCCCTCCACACTCCTGCTGCCTGCTCCCCGACCCCAGGCCCCCGGCCTGCCTTCACACCACCTCGCTGGCGCCTCTGCCACACCTTGGCTGAGGCTCTTCTGACCACCAGACTAGTGCCCGGTGGCCTTTCTTCATTGTCCTCCTCACTGTCCCCTCCAAGGCCACCCAGGCAGGACCCTCCCTGAAGCATAGCCTGAGCATGTCCCCTTCCCCGCAGCCTCAGGGCAGCCTGTGTGACTTCCCACCTCCTCCTCCAGAGCATGCCCAGGCTCCACCCTCATCCGCTGCTCACGGCTGTCCACTTCCCAGCCCTCGCCTCCTTTCCAGCCTCTCCGCTGTCCCCTGCATCCTGGCCGTTCATTCATTCATTTGCTCAACCTTGGCCCTGCGTGAATCACTCCTGACTCTAACCTGGTAACCCCTGTGCAGGTCTCAGGGCACCACTCCCCTCGCCTCTCACCTTGCCCCACATGCCATCTGTGCCCCTGCCCCGGGGCCCTTGCAACCTCTGCTGTCTCTGCCTGCTGGCTACTGTCTCTTCCCTTGGACGTCAGAAGCTGGCAGTTGGTGATGAGTGTGGAGGACTCAAGCTGCGCCAGCGTCAGTCGGGACCCAGAGGAAATCCCAGCCCCGCGGCTTGCCCTGGGGATGGCCCTGGGCTCTCTGAGTTTCCATTTCTTCCTGCCTTGGAAGGAGACTGAGATAGCAGAGCAAGGGGCCTGGTTCCAGCCTGACAGGCAGCAGGTGTCCAGTGAAAGTTGTGAGCTTTCAGCTGCTGTCAGAAACATAGTCTCCGGAGAGATGATCTTGGGGGCTTTTTGGGGACCCGAGGCCCGTCTATGGTCAGCAGACCAGCCCAAAAGTGCACGAGGGGGACCAGGGCAGCCCCCATGCCCGCCCTGGCAGCCCAGACAGCACTGTAGAAGGGCGGGAGGGGCCTGTGGAAGGCCCCTGGGCTGCAGGTCTGGATGCCGGCATCTTAGCCATGACCCTGCAGCACTGAGCTGGGGTCTTGGGGCAATTCCTCCTCAGAGGAAACAGCATCAGACGGAACGATCCCTGAGGTCCCCTGCAGCTCTCCCTTCCTATAACTTGTATACAATCCACTGCAATCGCTGTGTTCATTTGAATACCTGTAGTGACGCACGGCTCACTCCCTCCAGAGACAGCCGGTGAGCCTTCCCAGATGACTTTTTCCAGCCACTCTGGGCTGAGTGTTCGTGGCCCACCTCTGATAAGGGAGCCCCTGTTCGCAACCCAAAACTGCGCTCCCCGCACCCACAGACATTCATCTTTGGGATCCCCAATGCCAGTCTCAACCTCCGCAGGACCTCCTGAGACAGCCTGGGAATCTGGGAGCTGCGACCCCTCCCAAAGGTCAGAGCCCGTGGGCACAGCTTCCGGCAAGGCCCCTGTTCACTTCCTGTTGCTCCAGCAAAACCAGGCACCTTCTTTCACCAGGGTCCAAGCCTGGACAGTGATGCAGACCCCTGCACCTGTGGGTCTCCCTTCCCGCCACCCATGTGGCTCAGCGTTTAGGTGGCACAACGTTCCGTTTGCACACTGCATTCTGGCTCCAGCTGCCTCTCCACCCTGTCTCCTAGCAGCCCAAATGTGTGCAGCACCAGCCGGACAGGCAGTGCTCTGGATCATGCCTCAGCATCTGGGCAAACAGATCATGGGCTCCCCTCCCCAGGCCGGTCTCCGGGACGGACTCAGCAGCTACTTCTTGGCTATAGCTGCACTCTGACTCCAATGGGCCTAGGGCAGTGGGCGACTGCCATCCACCACCCTGTCTAGACCCCGCCTGGCGGGCAGCTCTGCTGGGGAAGCCTGGGGCCCCTGTGCGTGGTGGGGGTTTCAGCTCCCGCTTCCCGAGTCGTGACTCACCGAGGATCGGGGCTGAGTGCGGTTTTATTTCATAGCAATGGGGCTTTTTCTTCCCTCCGGGAGCTAAAAAGTTGCTATAATTCTGCCAGCATGTCTCACCATTTCTCCTGTGCTGGAATAAAGGGGAAACACTTTTTTGGTTTCAGAAAGGGCTATTAGCTGTCAGGAAGCAATCTTTCCCTGACTGGAGGTTCTTTTTGCCGGGTTCCTGAGTCCCCTGTTCTGCTGCCTGGCTGCGAGCCCCCAGCCAGCGAGCGGCACCGTGCGGCTCGGCTGGCCTCCCGGCGGGTGATGGATGGTCTGCCCGGAGCTTTGGGGAGCACCGACACCCAGCCCAGCGGGCCAGGCGCCGTGGTCCCTGCTCACCAGCGGGTCTTCGCCCCGGGCTCTTGCGCCTCTGGCAGTGTGAAGTGAGCAAAGCGTCTCTGAAGCTCGAGCGTGGGGTGCGGGCGCTGTCGCCTCTGCGCCTTCGGGACAGCGTCATGTCCAGGTGACAGCGCCGTGTCCAGGTGACAGCCAGAGCTTTGGACCACATGGTCAGACTTTGGACTCTGGCACTGCCCCCACTCCCCGCCCCGCGTGAGGCAGGCAGGCTGCTCGGCTTCTCTGAGCCTTGGTCTCCTAATCTGAGTCACAGGTGGTACCTGGGGTGGTTGTGAGAACAAAATGACATGCATCACATTTGGTCTGATTAATATTAATGAGTACTATTAATATGAATGCTCACTAGACCATGGCCCATCCAGGCAAAGCCCTGACGGAGCTGAATTCCAGGATCGTTTCCGAAGCTTGGCAGCAGCTGGCAAAGAGGCAGGTGGGAGGACGCGCTCGGGCCAGCCTGGGTCCCCTTGCCTCCTGCCGGAGCAGTGCTTGTTCTAACCCTGGGCTCTGCCTGCTTGTCTGCCAAATGCCTGCTCCAAAGGTAGGTGTGGTGACTGTGCGGTTGGCTCAGGGCAGCTCTGGGAACAGTGCCCAGAACACACAGAGGCTCTGGGGACACTCGGGGGTGCCCGGTGGGGCCTTCTTCTGAGCCCTTTGCCCAGGTCACACCATCTGCTCCTGGGCTCAACATGTGAAGCCCGGCACGGGGGTGTTTGCTCTCTCTTGTCCATCTCTCCCCAGCCGGATGCAGCTCCACAGAGCCGGAGCCTCATCTCCCGTGCCCGGCGCAGAGTCAACACTCAGAACATGCTCAGAAGGTGGCACTGGCCGGTCCTGGCCAGAGGCTTGCATGCCATTCACATCAGACCTCAGTAAGCTGAGAATCGTAACCCTGGTGCCCCTCTCTTTTCTCCACTTCCCCGAGGCCGCCAGGGCACTAAGCCTGGAAAGGAACATTGCCCGTTCAGGGAAATCACTGTGATGACTGGCTGCCACTCTAGGGCCTGCCCCACTGCCCGAGGCCCGAATGCCCCTTGTCCCAGCTCAGTCTGCCCCCTCCGTGATCCTGCCCAGGGAGTCTGTCCCCAGGACAATAACATCAGAAGCCCCAATCCTGCAGCCCTCACCAACCACCAAGGACAGAGGGTGGGTCTCCCACATCCAGGAATCTCTCGGGGCTCAGATCCATGTTCCGTGGCTGCTGGAGCGAAGCACCACAAACTGTGTGGCTGAAAACAACAGAAACGTATCTCCACAATTCTGGGGGCCGGCAGTCCACACCCAAGGTGTCATCATCAGGGCCATGGCTCTCCCAAAGCCTCTAGGGGAGGACCTTCCTGTACTCGTCCGGCTTCTGGTGGCCCAGGCGCGCCCTGGCTTTTGGCCACTTCACTCCAGCCTCTGCCTCCGTCTCCACGTGGCCGCTTCTCCCTGTGGCTCTGGCGTCCTCTCCAGCAGTCATTGGATTTGGGGCCCACCCGAAATCCAGGATGCTTCTAGCTAGAGGTCCTTACCTAATTGTATCCGCAAATACTCTGTTTCCAAATAAGGTCTCATTCTGAGGCTCTGGATATACATGAATTTGGGGGACCCTGTGTACCCCCACCACAAGGCTCACACCTTGAACCCCCACAGGGCTGGGGACAGGGCAGCCAGTCACCAACCTGCCAGGATCGGGGCCATGAGATCCGCTGAGCTCATTTAGGCCAATCCCTCCACGTACATCTGGGGAAACTGAGGCCCGGGGAGAGAGGGGCTTTCTCAGGTCCTGGCAAGCTGCTGGCAGAGCTGGGCTTTGCTGGGTCTTCAGATGCCAGACAGAGCCTCTGTCCTCAAGTTCTACGTGAGCAGGAGAGAAGCAGTGCGTCCCCGATGTTCCATCTCCCTGGGTAAATGAATAAACGGATAATCAATGGTCTTAGGGAACATCGCTGAGGCAGCAGGAGGACAGGGCTGGGACAGACGTCTGGAAGCTGCCTTCACAGAGGACACACCGAACAGGGCCATGGGGGCTGGTGGACGCTTTGGGGCATGGGTTGCATGGAGAATTGGGGCCTACAATGAGGCCCAGGAGGACAAGAACTAGGTGGGAGGTATGGAGCCGGGGCTGGGTGTTCTTGGTGTGGGGCTCAGGGTAGCCACGAAGTTCAAGGAGAAGCACAATGAAGCTGATGTCTATTCCCGGGGTGGCTGGCGACGCTCAGATCTCTGAAGCACTCTTCTCAGGAGAACAGGAGGCTTGGTTGGCAGGAGGCAAACATCTGTTCTCCCTCCTTCCTTCTGCTCATCCTCCCCCACCCTCTATGAGCAAACGGGGAGGCCCAAGAGTGGGCACAGACCCACCGTGGAGCCCTGGAAGCCTGGGCTGGCCTGGCTGGAGCCTCTCCTCCCAGAGTATGGGCAAGAGAGGTGTGACTATGGGATGGTAAAGGCAGGCGTGGGACCTGAGAGGCCAGGGGCAGTAGAGAAGCCAGGAGAGGTGTGCGGGCCACATGCAAGAGAGGAGGAAGAGGGGAGGACAAGGAGCGGGAGAGACAGGAGAGACCGGGAGGAGGAGGAGGAGGGGAGGCAGGAGAGAGAGGAGAGGGGGGCAAGAGAGGAAGGAGGAAGGAGAGGAATCCCTGAGGCACGTGAAGCTCCACAGGCCTCGGGTGATGGAGAAGCCCTGGGGCTGCCAGCCCCGGCCCCCCTGAGTCCTGACACGTCCCAGCGGAGCCCCAGCATCACCCCTCATCCTGCAGCAACAACTCACCCAAATCCCTAGCAGGACGCCCTTCACTGGCTTCCCCAACGTCCTCAGGAGACTAGAGGGGGCCACTGTGTGTGTTCCTCTCCCCACCCTCCAAGGGGGTTTCCGTGGCTGGCACGCCTATTTGTTTTGGTTTAGTTTTGTTTTTTTTTTTTCATTCTTTAAACAGGCTTAGCAGAAGGGAAGGAATATTAACAAGGATGAGAAACCCCAGGGCTAGGGGCTGGGGAGAAGTTAGAGGCTGGGGAGAATTTAGGGACCGGGGAGAAGTAGGCTTGTTTTGTGTTGATTTCAAGAAGCCTGGGGCAGACGAAAGGCATTGGGCATCGTGCCTAAGGGGAGTGGAGGAAGAGGAGGGGCTTTCAGGAGAGTTGATGGGTGCCACGTGCTCCCTTCCTGGTATCAGGAAAGTCTAGTAAAGAGTTGGAGTTATGCCGGAATGAACCCTGCAGGACTGGGTTTCTCTGGGGTAGCTTCTGGGCCGGGATGCCAGGGGCCTGACTTTCTCGGAGCCTCCTGCCAGGCACGGTGTGCTGGGAGATGCCACATGCTAAGGTGCCTTCCGGTGCAGGGTGTGTCGGGCACGCTGGGACCGTCCGTCTACAGCCTCTGGCACAGGTGTCGTCCCACCCCAGGCCAGATTGGCCCTGCTGTGCCGCACGGAGCCCTGACAAAGGGGTCGGCAGTGCCAGGCTCTGAGCCCTCGTCCCCGTGCGTCGGGAGGAGCCTGTGGGCTGCAGCGGGCTGACTCCCAGGCGCCGGGACACCGGTGCTGGGTGGACGTTGCCATGAAGGGCCACTCGGCCAGGCAAGGGAGGAGCTGTTAAGGTTTCTTTGCTGTGGTTCATCCATCCTGGAATGCAGGAACCAACCTCCTAGGGGGTCAGATGATGATTAAATGGAGAAGAAGAGAGGAAAACAGAATGCAGGAGTGACAGGTCTCCCACGCTGTCCCCAATCACAAGATCATTGTGGAGATAAACACAAATAGTTCAGCCCGTGCCTCCCCAAACCCTTCCTTTTCTCCATCTGGGGTTGGCACATTGGAGATTCATCAAACCAGGCTTCTAGGCATGTTTCTGACCTGGCTGTTTGGGAATGAGCCCCAGGCCTCAGGATGTCCACAGGCACGCAAGTGCACTGCAGAAGCCCCGTGGGTCCCGGCCACTCCGCCTCTCCCTTTTCCAGAAGCCATGGTGTTGGACTCCCATCCTACAGGGCCCGCATTGGACAACAAAGGCTGGGTAATGAGAGCTATGCGGAGGCTGGCAGAAAACCCTGGTGGGAGGAGCTAAGACAGGAGGCAAGGCCCCAAGCACTTCTGAGGGCGGAGTCCACCCCTCTGGACTCTAAAAGACCGTGGAGGGAGGATGTTCCAACCCTGGGACTGGACAGAGGGGAGCACCAGCCAAGCCCTCGCTGGGAAGCAAGGGCTTCAGGGAGAGGCAGGAGACGGACCACCACGGGACAAAGAGGTCCCTTTCTCTGGTGGATGCCAATGCAGGAGGCCCATGCTATTTTCTCTACCTATGGCAGCAGCAATAGGCTACTACCCCAGGCTGTGGCCACGGTCAGTCCTAGAGGCAGCCTCAAGCTCCAGGGTGGCAGGTGCTCCATGAGTGCACCTGGGAGGGTAGAATCAACTGGAACAGCCTTGCTTTGGGAGACAAAGCACTGGAATGTTGAGGGGTTCCCTTGCTCGCTCAGGACAAGGCCTGGACACCCCTCACCTGCGCATTGCCCTGGGCAGTTTCTGCACTAGTGACGCGCGCAGCCCTGCTTTCCCACCACCTGACACCTGAGAAGGCAAAGCTTCAGAGTCGGTGGCCAGTGGCCTGACCTCTACAGGATGGCGTCCGGGTGCCCAGCACAGTGGCCATGCTACCCTGAGGGCCTCGGGCACCCCACCAGGAGCCAAAGCCACTAGCGCTGAAGAGAAAATGATGAGAATCCTTGTCGAGCCTTCCTGGGTGGCCCCCACCCCATGCCAGCCCTTGAGGGCACCGCAGGCCTTCCTTCCTCCTATCCCCATCATGGTGCTGTGAGGGAGGGTTTGCTATGACCCCACTTCACAGATGCAGAGACTGAGTCATGCAGAGGGCCAGTCCTTTCCCAAGGTTGTAAGCAGCTGAACCAGCCTCAGACCTTGGCAGTGGCTTCAGACCCTGACCCTCCCACACGAATCCCCTCAGCCAAGGGGCTCGTTCCTGCTTGGAGCCGAGCCTCGCAAACAGCAGCCACCACTGTGTCTGGCCCCTGCTTCGGGGCCACCTTCGGACAACGTCCTTGTCAAAGAGGATGAGGCCTGGGCACTCATGGCTCCCTGAGCCTCCAGAAAGCCCTTCCCTCGCCCTCCTTGCTGCCACCCAGCCTCACTCTGCCCTGCCTAAGTGTCTACTGAAGTGGACATCCACAGTGCATCTCCCAAGGCTGGAAGGCTCAGCTTCCAGAAGGGACAGCAGCCCAGGAAGGCCCAGGAAGGAAGGCCGAGGGAGACACACTGGGGCCATTCTTGGGGCCCTGGGGAGAGAAGAGAAGGGAAGGGACATGAGGGGAGGGAGAGGGGGAGGGAGGGAGAGAGAAGAAGAGAGGAGCTTATGGATCCTGCTTCCCCTTGGCCTTCACTGCCCTGAGGATGTCCAGGTCCTGTTTGCCACATGACCCACTGGGGCAAGAGTGCGGGCAGCCACCTAACTTTACTCTCTCTCCTCCCCACCCCAAAGGCTTGGAACCAGCCACCAGGTGGATCGCCCTGGGTGGGGTGGGCGTCTCCACTGCTTTGCCAACACCAGTTGTGGAAGACAAGGCTGCTGGGGTGGAAAGGCACACGTGACATTCCCAGGGCAGGGGCTCCCAGCCGCCCTGTGCATTGCATCCAAAGACACCCACTCAGCTCTCAAAGAGGCACAGCAGGACAGAGTGAAGGCCGGAGAAGCAGGTTGGAATCAGGCACTATTACAACACAGGGAAACAGAGCTCCGTGGAGAACTAGGCTCCGCTCAGGATACAAGGACCGGTGGGGATTTACAGCCGAGGAGCCGGGGGGCAGTGGGTGGAAAATGACTCTGAGGGGGCATCAGGAGTCCCGGAGGCTCTGGCTCAACTGAGCCAACCAGATTCTTGGCAAAGGCCAGCCAGGGTGATCAGACATCACTGGGGATGGTGGGGATGAGGAATTGGCCCGATATCAAGGGTGATCAGATACTGAGGATGGGGATTCTCTCTAACTGACGCGGCAGGATTCTCGCCAAAATTGGACTCCTTGGCCGGGCACGGTGGCTCATGCCTGTAATCCCAGCACTTTGGGAGGCCGAGGTGGGCAGATCACGAGGTCAGGAGATCGAGACCATCCTGGCTAACATGGTGAAACCCCATCTCTACTAAAAATACAAAAAATTAGCTGGGCGTGGTGGCGGGTGCCTGTAGTCCCAGCTACTCGGGAGGCTGAGGCAGGAGAATGGCGTGAACCCGGGAGGCGGAGCTTGCAGTGAGCCAAGATCGTGCCACTGCACTCCAGACTGGGTGACAGAGAGAGACTCTCTCAAAAAATAAAATAAAATAAAATAAAATAAAATAAAATAAAATATTAAAATAAAATAAAATAAAATAGACTCCTAATGACAAGGCCCAAGGCTGGGCTTAGTTGAAAAATGGCTCAGAGGAGCCTGCCTGGAGGCTGCTCAAGAAGGGAGACTGTCACAACCCAGCATAAGGAGGAGCAGTAAAGATGAGCCACCTCGTGAAACTCCAAGACAGCCATCTGACAGCCTCAGGGGACCCTGGGGGACCTGCAATCTCGGCTTCACGATCCTCTCCCAGGAAGCAGGGTGGAGCCGGTAAAGGAAGTGCTGTGCTCACTCTGGCCCCCTGCCGCAGGTCAGCAGGACACCGGAAGCCTTCAGCCAGGATCGGGGAGGGCCGGGCTGCACCCAGCTAGCCTGTGGGTTCTTCCAGCACCTCAGCTGAGGGTGAGTGTTCTCAGCCAGGCTGGGTAGCACTGGAGGGGCTGCCAGAGAGAGCTGGATTTGAATCTCCCTCATCTACTTAGCAGCCTGACAGGTGCCGTGGGACTCAGCTGGTCTGATGGTGGGTCACATGACCATCTGGGCGGAGAGCTCCCCGCAAGTAGCTCCCCGCAAGCGCCAGGCACACGGTAGGTGCTTCATAAGCTCTCATTTGATCCTCAAAACCTCATGAGTCAAAGAGAGACGACATCCCGGCACCACTCATGTTCATAGGCCAGCTGAGGCTCAGGGGGCTGACTTCCCTGCAGCTATTTGGGAAGCAGGACAGACCCCAGCCTGCACAGCAAGAAGTGGGGGTCCAGATGGCATCGGCCAAGCATCCACTGGACAGGACCCCACAGGGCCTCCTCACTCCAGAAGGAGCAAGCGTGTGCCCCCGGTCTGGGAGGTGGGTGACAGCAGGGGGGCTGGACCGGTTTTTGACTATGGGGGCTAAACCTGTGTCATCCCGGGGCCTCTTCCAATGTGGGGCCAGCCAGTCACTGGGGCTCTGCAGAGATGACCTTCCTCTTGGTGATGACTTTTGGCAAAGCAAACAAAGTGCGCCCCAGAGATCTGGGCCAGCTGTCACAGCAAGTGAGGGGACCCCTCAGATGACAGATCTGTCCCCATGGGGTCCCTGTGCTCAGCCAAGACAGCAGTCGGGGGCCAGGAGGGCGTTCGACAGGGAAGGGAAGCCCTGCACTTCTCCTCTCACAGCCTTGCGATGCAGGAGATGAGCCAATTCTTTAATCAGGGAAACGGCACTGTCCCCTCAAGACACTTAACTGAGTATCTCAGGCCACCTTTCTAAGTGCCACATCGAATTGTCAGTGCCACACAATTTCCCCTAGAGGCATGGTCCTGGGCTCTGTGTCAGAGGGCAGTGCAGTGCTCCAAGGGGTGTGGAACCGAATCCCAATACACATGAGGTCTTACTGCCCATTTCCTGTGGAGTTTCATTCACGGCTGTTCACATACCCACAGCCCAGGTGCACACACGTGCACACACGGAAAATAGCTCATGCATGGACACGCAAATGCGCACCCAGAACAACACACTTCACACGCGTTCCTAGACACCCTCACATGCCTGCGCACCTGCCCATGTGCCCGTGACATGCATGTGCCCGTCTTACACACGCACACATACACATTTGAACACGCACGCTTTCACACGTGCAGTCACACACCTGCCTACGCACACCTATGTGCCCGTGACACAGATGCACACGTACGCAACATAGGCACACGCTCACCTACGCCTCCACATGGCCAACCCTGGCCTCAGCTCCTTCACCGTCAGTGCTGGTCTGAATAGAAAGGACTAGAAGACTTGCATCCCCGGTGGTCTAAGAAACATCCAAAGTTGGAGGGCTGTGCAGACTTGAAGCACAACCTTCTGCTGCTGGGCGGTGCCTGGCAGAGCCGGGCTGTTTGATCCTTGAAGCAAGCATCTGCCCTCAGTGAGGGGAGGAGCTGTTTGATCAATCTTTGATCAATCAGTGTCCAGCAGGCCGGCAGGGCCTTGACGAAGTCTGGCCAGGAAAGTTGCAAAAATCCACGATCCCTCTGATCAAAGATGGCCAGTTTTTAGTCCATCAGCTGCTCCGCTGGGCCTGTCCTCCCTAGAGCAGCGGCAACATGGACCACAGACACCCTCAGAAAGCCGCCTTCTTCCTGTCCCCGTGCCCACGGACACAGGCTCACCAAGGGCTCCCCAGTCCCTAATTATCCCACAAGTGACCGGGGAGGAAAAGCTCCCCAGGGGGCTGCCCAGAAGGATGACCCCAAAGGCATCATCACTTGCTGATCCTGGACCCAAACCTCATGTCACCTCACTCAGTGAGCGCTGTGATTAGTTCAGGGGTCTTCAGAGAGGCAGCCCTCATCTGGATTATCCAGGGGGCTCCAAATGCCTCCTAAGAAAGAGGCAGCGCAGGCTAGAGACAGACAGAGGAAGAGAAACAGGAGCACAAAGGCAGAGGCTGGAGGGACGAGGCCCCACACCAGGGAGTGCCTGGGAGCTCCTGGAGCTGGAGGAGCAGGAAACCTGGGAGAGCGTGGCCGGCCCACACCCGGATCCCAGGCTTCTGGCTGCCAGGGCTGTGAGGAAATAAACGCTGTGGTTTTAAGTCACCAAGGTTGTGGTGATTCGGCATGGCAGCCTACCGGCAGAAAATTAACACCCTGATCCGAAGCCCTGACCTTGCCTGGTCACTCCCAGTCTCCCCGAACCCACAGCACAAGGGAGAGCCAGGCCTGGGCCTGTGGGGGATCACAGAAGGCCAAGCAGACCCGGTACTGACCGAGGCTTGGGGAGGGAGGATTTGTGTGTCATTCAAGCCTCAGGCAGGGCTGTCTCTCCAGGCAAAGCAGCGCTCCCAAGGCGAGCAGCCCAGACTGGGGGTGGTGGATGGGAGGTGGTCGGGGGTGGCTGATGGCCTCTGACTCACCCCTGATGCTTGGTCTGGGGGCACGGGTGGGGTGGGGAGGGGGACATCTACCTCATCCTTTGGCTCCAGCCTCCCCGCCCTCATGCTCCTCTTCCTGTCTGCAGCAGCCGGCATAAAAGGCCAAGTAACAAAAACAGCCAGCAGCAGAGGAGTTGAAACTCTGCCCCTCTCCAGCAGGCGCCACTCTGAGGGAGAGGCCGCTCGGGGCCCAGCCTCCTGCTGCCGTGCCGTCGGGCAGCCCTCAGCTCCTGCGTCGTCTGCCTGGCCACAGCGGGATCGCCGTAGGATAGGAAGAGGGCGTGAGGGAGCACTACCGCCACCGCCACCGCCACCGCCACCGCCACCATCTACCGCCTGAGCCTGCAAAAGCCCAGGAGGCTGAATCACAGCCACGCCTACCGCATGGCGTGTCGGGGGTGCTGCCCAGCCCTGCATCAGGAAGGAGGGAGCATGGATCCAGAGGACAACCACTGCCTCTTTGGTCCACCAATGCTTTCTTTCGACACCTGCCAGGACGAGGACCCATTCCCATTTCCTGGAGCACTTGTGGCCTGCAATCATTTAGGGAATTAACTCCCCAAAGGGTCAACACTGCTGGTCAAGAACCAACTGAACCTTTTCCAGCTAGTGTGAGCAGAAAGGGATTGATTAGAGGACTCTGGATGGCTTAAATTATTTCTGGGACAGGGTGGGATGTCTCATGGGAACAAGGAGCTGGAGTGTCCCGTGTAGCCGGGAGATGCCAGCCTCCCACAGGACAGCCCCAGCACCTGCTGCCTCCACTGCGGCCAGGGGGACCCCAAGTCAGGTTCCCCGTGCGTGCCACTGTGGCAAACCGCTCCCTTTCATACCCAAGACTGTCGCGGGGACAGCTGACAACCAGGTCTCATGCCTACACCTCAGCTCTGAGGGAAGCTTCGTAATTATCATGATAGTATTTCACCTCAGAAGGCAGAATTCATGGTTGGGGGAAGCACCAGGGTGGCTGAGAGGATGCCCAGGGGACGCGGCCGTGAGTGACAGCTGTCCACTTCCACGGATCCCACCCAGACCACCGCCTGTCTGTTGGGCTCAGCTGGTGCCCAGGGCCCAGGCGTGGAGGGAGCAGTCTGCACACAGCTGTCCTCATCCTGGTGTCTGCTGCCCCGTACTTCAACAGCAGACCCAAGGGTGCAGTGCCGGTGGGACCCAGCCAGCGGGGCGGACAATGGGGCAAGGAACTACCTGAAAGGGAAAAACCGTTCTCAACCCCTGGACAGCGTCATCTCTCCGGAACCCCTCTGCAGGGCTGGGCCACTGTCTTGGCTTCCAGACAATTAGAGAGTTAATCTTTTAGCAAAGGAGGCCCTGCCTGCTGGCCTGGACATCAGGATGAGACAGGAGGGCCAGCCTGTCCAGCTCGGGACAGCAGGAATGCAGAGCACCCCCATGGCCCAACATGTCTCGGCCATCCATCTTCCTGCGGACCATGGCCACACCCCACACTGCAGGGGCCCAGGAAGGCTCCAGAGAATGCCCCACCTGCCCACAGAGCACAGGCCCACCCCTCCACTTGCCCCTCGAGTTATGGGGGGCTGAGGTCGCCGCAGCTTCCCCTTCCTCCCTGCACACAGGGTTCCACGGTAGCCCCAGCCCCTTTGCTCTGGCACCTTTTGGAGCCTCGGGCGGTGCCAGCAGACTCACTCTCAGGTTCCTCCGTGGAGCCGGTCACCCTGGCCACAGTCCTCTCTGTGCTCACAGGTGCTGGGATGCACTCTCCCGGGGTGGGAGGTGCAGCCCCAGGGCCGCCTGCCTACTCGGCCAGGCTAGAGCAGAAAGGGATTCATCAGAGGCCTCTGATCAATCCCTCTCGTCACCCTGCAGCACACTGCGTGCTCCCAAGTGAGGCCCTGTCTCCTTGGACCTGGAAACAAAGAGGTGGGTGTGGAGAACCTGCTGAGGAGTGACTCCAGGAAATATGAGCAAGGTGGGGGGTGAGGCCCAAAGGGCCAGCGTCAGTAAAGCGTAAGGAACCAGGCCAGTTACCACCTCAGACCAGTTCCCCGGGACCCTCCCAGGCCTCTGTGAACTTTGCATGTAAATTGTCCCTCAGAGGGCAACGCGGCTGGGCACTTGTCAGCAGAGCCTGGGGCCCCTGAGCAGAGACGCTTCAGCAGGGGAAGAAGTGCCCACTGCACTGGGGGTGCCCTGGGGGTGGCCAAGGGCGCTAGCTCCACCTGCTGCCCATCCCCACCCCATGCCTCGTCTGGAAGCCACTACACGCCTTCACCGTAGCCTCCTGTGGCTCACACTTCCCACCTGCCCCCGCACACCCCAGCCTGTCTCCTCCCACCTCCAGTGGGACGCCTCTGCCGGGAGCAGGAACAGCAGCGTTTACCAGGACCAAGTCCACACCCCTGTCCATGTCCTCCCTGGCCTCTTGCAGTGCCCGCCATGGTCCACCCTCCATCCGTCTCTTTGCTCTTCGGACCCCACACTCACATGCCCCTCTCTCTACATTGGCCACCGTGTCTGTAGCCCCTGCATCCCCCCCTCCCGCTGCCCCCTCTTCCCATCCTCCATTGCAGAGGCCCCTGGGTCCTGGGCCTTTCTCTGCCCCCTCCACATGCTCCCCCCAGGGCAAGATCCGGCCCTCAGCTTGAAACAGCCTCTCTATGCACTGACTCCTCCGCTGGACTCCAGGTGTGTGGTGTCCGGATCCTACTGGAAGATTCCACCTGGATTCATGCATCTGCATGAATTCCGTGTGGCCAAAACAGATCTCCTGACCCCTCCCGGCTCCTCGCTGCCCCCCTGCTCCCCACCTGGGTAGGAGGCTCTGCCCTCCACCTAGCGACACAACTCAACATTAGGCCTTGCCCTTCAATCTTCCCCTCCCCGACCCAGCCCCGGCACAGCCGTCCGAAGTCCTGCTCCGTCCCCTCCTGCCCTCTGCCTCCTCTCCACCTGGGCGCAGCCCCCGCCTCTGGCCTGCCCAGGCCTCCCTGGGGTCCTCTCTGTCCCTGCAGGGCTGGGTGGCCCCTTGGAGTGTTTGCGCTCAGGACCCTCTGTGCCCAGGGCGCGCCTCCCCGGCTTTAACTGTCTCCTTGACATTCACGATGCTGCGCAAATGGCTCCTCCTTGGAGACTCCTGCCCTGACAATGCAGCCCTGTGCGCTCAGCCTCACGTTGGCAGAGTTCTCTGCGTGGCAGTGATTCAAGTTGAGTTTTCCCATTTGCGTGTTAATTATCAGCTCCCCTCGCCCTGCACGCTTGCTAGAACATGAGTTTTGTGTGAGTGGGGACCTCGGACATCCCATTCTCGGAGGGACCCCTACGCCCCAGCCCAGCCTGGCACGCGCAGGTGGTCCACGCAGAGTTGGCAAGTGACATTGGTGACAAAGATGGGGTCTAAATCCTCTTTGTAAAAGTGTCTTCCCTCCCCCATGCCAAGGCCAGTGTCATTCTGTCTCACTTATAAGCTGGCTCCCTCCCCTCCCTTCCTCTCCCTTTCTCCCTCTCTATCTCTGTCTCTGTGTCTCTTTATGTCTCTCTCCACCCCCCACCAACCACTGGCAGCTCGTCCACCCTCTGACGGAAGGCGGGGCTGGAGGTTTCCTGGCTCCTGGGCCAGGGCGCCTCCACCGTATGGGTTCTCAGAGCCCCACACAGGGGTGGGTACATTGTGTTGCCCTGATGCCCAGCCAGGGACCCCAAGGACTCTGTGCGGGAATGGGGGGACCCCACTGGGAGCCTCCCTGAAGGGAAGGGCCTTTGTCCCCCGGTCCACCCTGGTCCTCCAGCGGCCCTGACAGTCAAGTGCTGCAGCAGCCCTTAGTGCTACGTGGTGCCCCACAGCATAGGGAGGGCAGGCAGCGAGCAGAGGCTGTTCTCCCGGCAGCCAAGGACTCCCTCCAGCTAGTTGCAACCCAGCGATGTGCACAAAGGCTTGGTGCCCTTCCTGAGCGGCCCTAGGCCCTGGGGAGAGCTGGCTGCAGGACAGGTAGTGTGAGGCTTCAGTCTGGGAGGCACGAATCTGACACGGGACCACTCTGCTGCCAGCCTCCCTGGGTGCAGGCAAGGAACATGGCAGGGGCACAGCTGGCCACCCTGGGAGAAGCAGGAGGGATTTGGGAGCCCCGTCCTGACCAGGGTAGAGCTGGACAAGCTGCAGCCCTGGCTTCCCTGGGTCCAGCGTGGCCCCTCCCTGGCTGTATCTCCATGGCCTCAGGAGCCTTGAAAACTCCCAGGGACAACTTCCATCAGAGGCCCTCAGAGTACCTCCCAGGGGATGGGCCAGGCCAGGCATCAGAATTCTTTTAAAATTCCTCATTTGGCTTAAATAAGCAGCAATGTGTTCAGCCCCATTTAATCCTGGCTTCTGCACTTCCACCCGGGCCCCAGCAGCCACCCCCTCCACCAGCACACACAGCCTATTCTCCTGGTCCTCCAGCCACGTGATTCCGGGGCCTGTGACCTCTCTGGCTGCCAAAGTAGACAGTGCCTCTGACAGCTTGAACCAAACGGAAGTCTAATTAATATCATTTCCAGAAGTTCTCTGGAGTTTTTTTGAGACAGAGTCTCACTCTGTTGCCCAGGCTGGAGTGCAGTGGCGCGATCTCGGCTCACTGCAACCTCTGCATCCCGAGTTCAAGCCATTCTCCTGCTTCAGCCTCCTGAGTAGCTGGGATTACAGGTGCCCACCACCACACCCGGCTCCT
Source organism: Homo sapiens (assembly GCF_000001405.40). Classification (NCBI taxonomy): domain Eukaryota; kingdom Metazoa; phylum Chordata; class Mammalia; order Primates; family Hominidae; genus Homo; species Homo sapiens. The sequence goes on from NC_000009.12 coordinate 135,258,259, forward strand.
TTTTGTATTTTTAGTAGAGATGGGGTTTCACCCTGTTAGGTTGGTCTCAAACTCCTGACCTCAAGTGATCCGCCCACCTCAGCCTCACAAAGTGCTGGGATTACAGGCGTGAGCCACCGCGCCTGGCCCAGAAGTATTTCTTGGGCACCTATAGGGCCAAGCTCTGAAGTGGAAAAAGGAAGAAGCAAGTAGTTTGGGGCCAGAAAGACCGGTGTTGGGATCTCGCTCCCCTGCCCCACCTCCACCAGCTGCTCTGCCTACAATTTCTCATCTGCAAAATGGTTGGAGAAAGGCCTTGCGTCCGAGGGCGACGGCGGTGGTGCCGACCGCATGGGGCGACGGCGGTGATGCCAACCGTATGGGGTGACCGAGGTGATGCCAACCGTATGGGGTGACTGAGGTGATGCCGACTGCATGGGGTGACTGAGGTGATGCCGACTGCATGGGGTGACCGAGGTGATGCCCACTCTATGGGGCGACAGCAGTGGTGCTGACTGCATAGGGTGATGGTGGTGATGCCCACTGTATGGGGTGACGGTGGTGATGCCGACTGCATGGGGTGATGGCAGTGATGCCAACTGCGTGGGGTGACCGAGGTGATGCTGACTGCATGGGGCGACCAAGGTGATGCCAACTGCATGGGGTGACTTCGGTGATGCCCACTGTATGGGGTGACGGTGGTGATGCCGACCGCATGGGGTGACGGCGGTGATGCCGACCGTATGGGGTGACGGCGGTGATGCCCACTGTATGGGGTGACGGCGGTGATGCCGACCGTATGGGGTGACGGCGGTGATGCCGACCGTATGGGGTGACGGCGGTGATGCCCACTGTATGGGGTGACGGTGGTGATGCCGACCGTATGGGGTGACTTCGGTGATGCCGACTGCATGGGGTGACCAAGGTGATGCTGACTGCATGGGGTGACGGCGGTGATGCCAACTGTATGGGGTGACTTCGGTGATGCCGACTGCATGGGGTGACGGTGGTGATGCCAACTGTATGGGGTGACTTCGGTGATGCCGACTGCATGGGGCGACGGCGGTGATGCCAACCATATGGGGTGACGGTGGTGATGCTGACCGTATGGGGTGACGGTGGTGATGCCGACCGTATGGGGTGACGGTGGTGATGCCAACTGTATGGGGTGACTTCGGTGATGCTGTCTGCATGGGGTGACAGCGGTGATGCCGACTGTATGTGGGACACTCGGACACTCCTCCCCAGGAGCTGCGGGGCAGGTGCTCATGATGTTGTCACCTCTGCCTGGAGGTGTGCACAGGCCACGTGGAGCTGAAATGGGCCTCTGTGTGCTGCTCAGCATGAACAGGGATGGAAGAAGTGCTCAGCCAGCCCACGCTACCTCTCCCAGCCTCAGATTCCCCCCCCCCCCCGGAAAAGGGCCTCCAGTGCCTGCCTTACCTTCCCCAGGAGAGGCTGGGTGGGGTGTGTTTGAGTCCAGACATAAAGCAACCATTCTTGAAGCCTCTCCTTATGGGTTCTGTGGGATTAAATGATCAAATACAGAAGGAAAGATAGAAAACCTGTGTTTCCAAATTTCTAGCTCGTTGGTTCTTGGAATAATAACAAGTCCTTATCTCCACAGTACTTTTTTTTCTTTTTTCTTTTTTCTTTTTTTTTTTGAGACAGAGTCTCCCTCTGTTGCCAAGCTGGAGTGCAGTGGCGTGATCTTGGCTCAACCTCTGCCTCTGCCTCCCGGGTTCAAGCGATTCTCCTGCCTCAGCCTCCCGAATAGCTGGGACTACAGGTGCGTGCCACCACACCCAGCTAAATTTTGTATTTTTAGTAGAGATGGGCTTCACCATGTTGGCCAGGACAGTCTTGATCTCTTGACCTCATGATCCCCCTGCCTTGGCCTCCCAAAGTGCTGGGATTGCAGGCGTGAGCCACCGCACCCAGCCCTACATAGTACTATTACAAAGCATCAAACTCTTCCTGACACTGCCACCATGGGCTCTGTGAAAGCTCCCTGAGTTGGTCAGGGTGAGTCATGTCACCATGTCACAGCAGAGGAAACTGAGGCTTGGAGAGAGGAGGGAAGAACAAGTACACACGCCTATCAAAGCTCCCAAAATAAGCATCGCTACAGCTCCAAACGCTTCGAGGAGGCAAAGAAAGTGGGGCACGCCGCCGTTGCTGGTGGGTGTGGACGGGAACCCGGCCGCTCTGGAAAACAGCTTGGCAGTTCGTATAAAAACTGACCCTGCAGCTGCAATATGACCCAGCATTGTACCCCGGAACATTTATCCCAGTGAAATGAAAACGTATGTTCACACAGAAGCCACGCACACGTGTTGGTGCAGAATCCTGCTTGGCGATGGAAAGGAGCCAGCCGTTGACACAGGCAACACTTGGACGCATCTCCAGAGAGTCAGGCTGGATGAGGGAGGGCTCGTCCCCAAAGGCTGTACCCTGGACGAGCCCATTTATAGAACACTTTTGACATGACAAAATTGCAGAGATGGCGCACCAATTGGTGGGGGCCAGGGGCCAAGGAGGGGCAAGGCAGGGGGAGGCGGGTGTGGGTATGGAAGGGCAGCAGGGGGTCCTCAGGGCATGGGTGTCTGTGTGTTCACTATGTCAGTGCCAACAGCTGGTCCTGATGCCGTCCCGGGCTTCCGCAAGACGCTACCCCTGGGCGGAAACGGAGTAAAGGCTGCAAGTGGCCTCTCTGTACTATTCCTTCAAACTGCATGTGAATCGACAACTACCTCAAAGTAAAAACGTTAATTAAAATAAGAAAGGGAACAGGGACGGAGGATTGGGAACCAGGATGGGAGGCAAAGCTGTCCCAGCAGACCGAGGACTGGGAACCAGGACAGGAGGTACAGCCGCTCCAGCAGCCCCTTTCCACACGTGCACTGGGCAACTTTATTTTCTCAGCGGTGGTGGGAGCATGTATGTCTTTGTGTGTGTGCATGTGAGCGTGTGTGTGTGCCTGTGCCTCTATCTATATCTCTGTGTGCCAATGTGTGTCTGTGCGTCTGATTCTCTGTATCTCTGTATGTCTGTGTGTATCTCTGCATGTATATGTGTGTGTGTCTGTGTCCCTCTGCATGTGTGCCTCTGTGTATATGTGTGCATGTGTGTGCCTGTGTGTCTGTGTGTGTCTCTGTGTGTGTGTGTGTGCCTGTGTGTCTGTGTATTTCTCTTTGTGTCTCTGTCTGTGTCTGTGTGTGTCTCTATGTGTCTGTCTCTGTTTCTGTGTCCGTGTGTTCATGTGTATGTGTGTCTCTGTATGTGCATCTGTATCTGTGTGTCTGTGTATGTGTGTGTATCTCTGTGTGTCTGTGCATGTCTCTGTGTGTGTGTCTGTCTCTGTGTGTGTCTGTGTCTATATGTGTGTGTGTCTGTCTCTGTGTGTGTCTGTGTCTATATGTGTGTGTGTCTGTCTCTGTGTGTGTCTGTGTCTATATGTGTGTGTGTCTGTCTCTGTACATCTGTGTCTCTGTGTCTGTGTCTGTGTGTCTCTGTGTGTCTGCCTGTGTGCATGTGTCTGTGTGTGTTTGTGTGTCTGTGCTTCTCCATGTGTGTCTGCTTGTGTCTGTGTGTATGCATATTTCTGTGTGTCTGTGTGTCTCTGTGTTTCTCTATGCGTCTGTGTGTTTGTGTTTCTCTGTGTGTGTGTGTGTATGTCTGTGTGCCTCTCTGCATTTCTGTGTGTGTGTGCATGTCTGTGTGCCTCTCTGCATGTCTGTGTGTCTGTGTGTCTGTGTGCCTCTCTGCATGTCTGTGTATGTGTGTATGTCTGTGTGCCTCTCTGCATGTCTGTGTATGTGTGTATGTCTGTGTGCCTCTCTGCATGTCTGTGTGTGTGTGTATGTCTGTGTGCCTCTCTGCATGTCTGTGTGTGTGTATGTCTGTGTGCCTCTCTGCATGTCTGTGTGTGTGCATGTGTCTGTGTCTCTGCATGTTTCTCTTCATGTTTCTCTGTGTGTGTCTATGTGTGTCTGTGTGTGTCTGCTTGTGTCTGCATCTCTGTGTCTCTGCATGTCTACCTCTCCAGGTCCCTCTAACATCATGAGCCAGTGGGGCACCCCCTGGCAACCCCTATATACACGCTGGGCAACCGTAAGTATTTAGGGAGACAGAGGTGCCTCTTCTGCAGAGTCACCCATGGCCTCCAGGCTGAAAGCCAGGCCTCTTTGGAAAGTGTGGAGGAAATCATTAGTTCAGGCAAAGCCATCAGTGGCACCGTGAGTCATTAGGAGCTGGTGTTTCCTGAACCGAATCCCCCCTTGGATGACTTGGCTTTCCTGGACTGCTGGGCCCACAGACCCTTCTTCCTTGGGGACGAACCCAGTGGGGACAGGGAGAGCAGGAGAGAAGCTCAGACAGAGAGCGGCTGTTGAGGAGCTAGAACGGGACCCAGGAGCCGTGCTGTCCTCACGAATGCTATGAGTGATGGCTGTGTTCCAGCATGCTCCATGCTCCAGGGTCCTGGCTGCAGGATGATGGAGCGGGGCTGCCTGGGCCCTGCTGCCTGTGACAGAGGCCAGGCTCCCCTCAGGAACCCCCAAACTCCTAGTGAGGCTTCCAGAGGGCCTGTCCTCACCCGAGAAACATCCCTGCCGGTCACAACAAAGGAGTCACGTCCTGCTCCCTGCCTTCAGAGCACCGGGCTCAGTTGCCAGTGTCGGCAACCCCACAGGACGGGGCGTGTGGAACGGAGCTCCATGGAGGCCTGCACACAGCCCCACGCCACAACAGCCTGGGCTTGCAGCTTGTCACGCCCCATAAAGGGTAGAAAGCAAGTGCACAAGGGTCCGGAGGAAGCGGACGCCCCTGCCCCAGGGAGGCAGAAGGAATCTCAGAGGAGTCCCCACGGGCTGGGCCTGGCTCGGGGCAGAACGGGGTGTGCAGGGCAGGACGGGTGTGCAGGGAGCAAGAGATTTGACACTCGGGTAGCACAACATGGAGACAGCAGAGACTGAAGATGCTGTCCGTGAAGACGGGAGCATGCCACCCCAGCCAAGAGCACCTGGGCCACCAGGAAGAAGCAGGCAGGGTCCTCGCCCGGGAACCTCCGTGGGGAGCATGGCCCTGCCAGCCTGGATTCCTGACTCTGCCCCCCAGAACCCGAAGAGTGCATTTCTGTGGCTTTACCTCACCAGATTCCTGTTAGTTTCTTTCAGCGGCGCAGGAGATGAACCTCTCAAGCCTGAGGCGACCAAGTGTGTGCTGGGGCAGAACACGGTTTCCTCTCCAGGAGAACCCGCCTTGCTGGGCTGTACTGAGGGTGAAACCTGAAAACTCAGGCGCAGTCAGCCTCGCTGGCCCTCACTGGGACCCTGTTGCTGCTGTCCACAGTTGGCACTCTCTGGCATTGCATAGGTGGCCTTGGCAGTGCCCTCCACTTCCTGTGGGTAGCCTACTCTGGTCCTCCCAGAAGCTGAGGCAAAGAGCTCGCCATCCTGGTTTGCTGTCTGGCCAGGGGATGTGTAGCCCTTCTACTCAGATCCACACAGCCTCAAGGTCCTTCCTCGTCCCCTCCCTGCTCCCTCCCCCTGCCCCCTACCCCACCCCTCCCCTCACCCCCTCCCTTCTCTCTCCCCGTCCCTGCCCTCTCCCCCTCCCTTCTCTCTCCCCCTCCCTGCCCTCTCCCCTCCTTCCCCTCTCCTCCTCCTTCCCCTCTCCCCCTCCTGCCCTCTCCCCTCTTTCCCTTACCCCTTCCCTGCCCTCTCCCTCTCCCTCCCCCTCCACCCTCCCTCCCCCTCCCCTTCCCTTTCCTCCCCCCCACTCCCTGCCCTCTCCCCTCCTGCCCTCTCCCCTCTTTCCCTTACCCCCTCCCTGCCCTCTCCCCCTCCCTGCTCTTTCCACCTCCCTCCCCTCACCCCCTCCCTTCTCTCTCCCCCTCCCTGCCCTCTCTCCCTCCCTGTCCTCTCCTGCCACCCCAGATGGATCCTGCACTTCCCCTTGTCCTGTCCTAATGACCTGTCCGATGTCCACCAGGACTGCCAGCTCCCCAGGAGGGGCTTCATCTCCCTGTTCTCTGTGGGTCATCAGCCCGAGCTTGGCACAGCACTGCCGCCTGGATGGGCACACGAGGGAGCAGTCCTAGGTCCAGGGAACTGTCCTTGAGTGTCTTTATCAGGGGTCCCTCGAGAAACAGAACCAACAGGACATGTGTTCCCACATAGAGAAGGAGACTCAGGATTAGGAGGGCTCGCGGGATTATGGAGCTCGAGGAGACTCCAGATCTGCAGCCGGCAAGCTGGAGACCAGGAGACCCAATGATGCAGTTTCAGTCTGATGTCCAAAGGTGGGAAAAGATGGACGCCCCAGCTCCAGCAGGCAGGCAGGAGCAGCTCCCCTTACTCGTCCTGTTTGTTCTCTTTAGGCCACAGGGCCCCCTGCCTTCTCTTTGTGTTCTGACCCAAGATCACAGTGCCTTGACCACTCTGCAGGTTTTCCCAGCAAGCTCGAACCCAAACCCAAGCCTTGAGCATTCCCAGGCACTAGTAAAGGTAGCTAGGTCATTGCCCAAAACACCGAAAGAAACCAGCCCTAGCCCTGAGCCAATTCCTCAAATCTCCCCGGGACCACGCCTGACCCCTCGCTGTGGACAGGCGTGGGTGCCATGAACGCCGCAGCTGATCCCTCGCTGTGGACAGGCGTGGGTGCCATGAACGCCGCAGCTGACCCCTCGCTGTGGACAGGCGTGGGTGCCATGAACGCCGCAGCTGATCCCTCGCTGTGGACAGGCGTGGGTGCCATGAACGCCGCAGCTGACCCCTCGCTGTGGACAGGCGTGGGTGCCATGAACGCCGCAGCTGACCCCTCGCTGTGGACAGGCGTGGGTTCCATGAACGTCCCACCCTGACCCCTCGCTGTGGACAGGCGTGGGTGCCATGAACGCCTGACCCCTCACTCTGTGAAAGCTCCCTCATATTAGGGGTCAGGGTGCACCTGACCCCTCGCTGTGGACAGGCATGGGTGGAACCTCCCTTCCTCTCCCTGTCGGTCTCAGGGTGCTGCAGCCCTCTGCACGTGAGCTGTGAGCTCTCCTAACATATGTCCTGGGCTGATCGCCCTGGTGCTCACTTAGGGCTTCTTTCTTTGGGGTGTCAACAGGCCCCTTCGTGGGATGGTTCGGAGCACTCTCTCATGGGAACTTTCCTGCTGCCGCTTTTGGGGCGACTCCAGCTTGGGGTTTAGTGAAACAAACCAGAGGCCACTCACGTGGCAGAGGGCATCCACGCTCCTTGGCCCGCCATTCCAATGTTAATCTTACCCAGAAACACCAAAGGTAAGTCCGCGGGGCCTCGTGGCCCAGGCAAGTTGACACAGAATTCACCACCCCAGTGTGGGAGGGCTGCCGCGTGATTCGTGCCAACTGGCACAGACCCCGGCAAAGATGATCAGATGTTAAACTGTCCCTCAGGCCTGTCCCCCGGCCCGCCATGCTCAGAAAATTCTCATCCTGTTCCATGCTGTTGTGGCAAACCCTTCCCCCACAAATCCTCCGGGAACAGGGAGAAGGGTGGAGGAGAATGGGGCCCTGAAATGAGGCACCCCTACTTCCAACACTCACAACATGCTAAATCATGAAATGTCTCTGTCTCCTCAATCAGTTAAAATACCGGCTGTGGCGTGAGGACCTGTCAGACAGGGCTTACCTTGAATAATGCCGGGATGACCCATGGTTTTCTGTGGCTCCACCTTACCTCCTGTCAGCTCCTCACCAGCAGAAGGCAGACGCCAGCCCACGAGCACTGGTCAAACATCAGACGGCTTTGTACTGTCACCCCCCTCGTTCACCAGGCCAGGAGGCTGCTGGTGAGGGGGTCGTGGGTGTGCAAAGCACATGGGACTGCTTCCCTCCATACGCAAACATGTGGACACACACATGCTTGCATAGACACCCACCTGCACACACGTGCATGCGTACACATGCAGACACAAACATGCATGCGTATCTTCATGGCTGTGTGGCAAGGCAGGGTCTTCCCTTCCTCCACTGTAAAAGGAAGGAGTGCATCTCCCAGTCTTATCCACCCTCCTGGGCTGCCTCCTCCTGGAAGCCTCTCCGGGTTGGAATCCTCACTCCTCCCAGAGCTCACTCGGCCTCTCTTCTGGCCTCCAGGTGTGCTCACTCTCTTGAATTATGATGCTCGACCTTGAGTTGTGCTCCTGTCTATCTCAGCCTGTTGAGCACGCAGGTTCCCTCTTGTCCTGTCCTGCTCCCACTCTGGCTCCGAGCACAGGACATTTTATAGAGTTGGGATTTCATAAACACGGGTTATATGAACAACGGAACGCTAAGCGCATCCCCCAAGACGCTCACTGCTCAATCAAATGGCTGCCGCTTACCAATAACATAACCGGACTCCCCCCATCCAGGGCGGGGGCACAGCCAGCGTGAGGGCTTCCCTGAGCAAAGGCGGCTGTGCCATTGGCCCATGCGGAGTCACAGCCAGCAGCAGGGCCTTCAAGCAGCCCCTGGGAGGACGTCTGCTCCCTCCTGTCCTCCTGGCTCCTGTCACTCCCCTGTCCCCCTTTCCCCCATGCCCTGTCCTGCCCTGGGAGCCGCAGGAGCCTCAGGAACCCACTTTGTGGACCGCAGTTGAGGTCCCTCAAGTCACGTGCGTGCTCTTGGACTCACAATGCAGGGTGACCTGAAATCCTGACGCCCGGTTCTAGCTGGTGCCCTTCCCACTGCGCCCACTGGGCTTTGCCACCAGGAACGGACGTTTTGAGTGCATGTTACAGCTCTCAAAGTACAGCCTCATTTGTTGTCTCTCGCTGTCCCCAGCTCTGCAAAGTGCATTTTCTAACTTAGAGAGGTCAGCGGGGCCCCCAGAGCTGCACAGAAAGGCAGCAATGCAGCCGGGAGCCCAAGTCTGGGTCCTCTCAAATTCCCCCAACACCCTGACGTGCCCCAGAGGCCTCCTTAGGGGTGACACCTCTGGAGGCAGCAAGTGAATTATCCACACCCTCCTGCAGGACGAGGCTTCCCTTTCCAGAGCCCTCAGGACCTACCACCTTCCTTCCCCACCACCCCTCCCTCCCTGGCTCTGCCACCGGGTCCTCTGGGGCTCCTGAAATGGTCCATCAGACACAGTTGGCAGGCGCCTGCCGAGCATCTGCATGGATAGCCGTGTGAGGAGACATGGCATAATCACGGCTTGAGGCTCATTCAAGAAAAGTGGATCGGACTTTGGGCGACAGCTTGCCAATTCCATGAAGGCTTTAAGCGCCGCTGAGAACGCTGAGGACTGTTCTGTATGAGGCCCGAGCGAGGCCTGCATTGCGCACGTTGCCCCTTTGGAATTCTCTTAGCCAGGTGCCTTCAGTTACAGATGGACTTTGGTTTCCACACAGGAGATGACAGATAATGTACCCAGAAAGGGATTTCCTGTGTGGCCAGACGAGGGGCCCCGTACCCTGAGTAATGAGTGGGTAAGCCACACCCCTGGGGCAGCATCATGAGATTTAGCTTGCTCTGCAAAAGCTGTCTGGGAGCTGCACTTGGCCTCTGCGCGGGGGGCTCTCAGGGACCCAGGAAGAACCCCTCTTCCAGGTTCAGATCCACAGTCCTTACCCCTTGGGACCCCATTAGCAGACACAGAGTCCAGCATCAAGGGGTAATTTCATAAGAGCAATGCAACGTAGGGCCCCTTGGTCTCGCCTCATCCTCTCCTCCCTCGTATTAGGAGCTCAATTGCTGTCCCGCCCCCTCCCCCTGAAATAAACTTTTCACTAGAAGCAAGAGCCTGGCTGGCATCTTCGGGCACAGCCCCCCTCTAAGAGCAGCCCAGCCTCAATCCCGGCTCCAGAACCAGGAAGGAAAGAGTCTTTTCAAATAAAGCAGTGTTTGTTTTTAATTATTGGATTAACTACCGACACCTTTGCTTGCATCCTCTGCACTCTAAGGGGAATTAGCGGCAAAGCAAATTGTAAAGACTTGGAGCCAGCATTTCTCCGGTGAACTCCTTGCCTCTCAGCGTGACCGGCCTTCCCTTGCAGCGTCACGGAGTTAGCACAGGGCTCAGCACTCGTTGTCCAGTGAGGCTGCAACTGCTGGGCCAGCCACACAGAGCTTCCAGGGCTCAGGATAACGTCTCGGGGTGGCCCAGGGACAAGGCCTTTTCTGTCTGGGCTGTAGAGACGGGCACAGGCAAATTCAGAGTCAACACCAGCCTGGATGAGAGTGCAGACTTTCTTCTTCAGAGTCCTCCCACAAGCCGGGGTGCACTGAATACTGTATCACACTGGGGCATCGTCATATTCTTTGCTTTGAATCAGGACACTCATTACGACTCTGTCCACTATGGTGTCCAGCCCTGAGCTAGCTCAGCATGGGAGCCACTGTGGCCCACATGTGGACACATCCCCAAACTCCTGTGGGCTGCTCCGAGCCAGCATTTCTTCTGCTACCTGTTGGAATGACTCAAGTAGAGAGCAGCTAAGGCCTTGAGAGATTCAGAATAGGGACAGAGGGCCCTGGACACAGGAGCCTTAGAGCTGGCACAGAGGATGGGGCTGCTCCGCCCTCCAGGATAGGCCAGACTGGGCAAAAACTGGCCTCTGGGATGGAGGAGACAGCACTGATGTCCAAATAATGAGTGGGAACCCTGCCCTCCCACGGTCCTGGGTTCCTAGGGCTGGGCCTGGCCTCACTGGCTCTGGGGTCACCTACAGCCTCAAAGGTGACTTCCAGCACAGAGCTGGAGACCTGGATGGCCTGCATGTTCCCCTCCAGCTAAAGAAAAACCCAGCTCCCTGCCCCTCACTAAGAGAGCCTGTGCCTGGGGCCTGAGGCTGAACAGGGGCATGTCCCGACCAGCGGGCTCCTCCAAGGGGACAGTCGGTCATGTGTGGAGGTATTTTTTTGTTGTAACAATGGGGGAGTGCCCTGGCCTCTAGTGGACTGGGTGCTGCTGGCCAGCCTACCACACACAGGACACACCTGGGCAATGACTCATCCAACCTGAAAGGCAGCAGTGCCAAGGCTGAGAGGCCCTGTTCCAGACCAGAGGAAGGGGTGGTTCTCTGATGCCCAGGAGTGATGCTCCCTCCTCAAGGCTCAGACACCACGGGAAGGCCGCATGCATCCTCGGACCTGGGCACAAACAGGCTTTACAACTCCAGGGCTGCTGGGGAACCAGGGTCCCTGTGCAAGGAAGTCCCTTTCTGGGCACTTTATCTATCGCCTCCTGTGTAGAAACCAAGCCCATCTGTAACTGAAGGGAACTGGCTGACCCGGGCTGACAATTTAGGTGTCTGCTGGATTAGGTAGGGCCCTGGGTGCCCCCATGGGACAGAGTCCTAGGGCAGCATCCTTAAAAAGTATGGGTGTCTTCTTCCATTATCTTAGCAACATCACACGTAGCACACGCACCACACACATGTACACACACATGCTCACATGCACATACACCATGCATCCATGCATATATCCCTGTTCACACTGCCCACACATATGCCCACATACACACAATTCATTTAGCCAAACTCTCAGGCTAATTTTAAAAACATATAATTTTCTAATAAAAACTAACTGCACACATGCCCACTCCGCACACATGCCCACTCTACACACGTGCCCACATACACAGTGCACACATGCATGCATCACATATGCCCACATACACACATAGTGCACACATGCACACACCATACATATGCCCACAGCACACACATGCCCACATATGCACAGTGTATGCATGCACATGCCACATACATGCCCACATACATGCAGAGTGCACATATGTCCACATATGCACATAGGGCACATATGCATGCAACACACAAGCCCACATACACACACAGAGCATACATACACACACCACACACATGCCCACATATGCTCACATGCACACACCACACACATGTCCACATATGCACACAGTGCCCACATGCACACACCACACACATGTACACATACACACAGTGCACACACCACACACAAGCCCAAATATGCACACATGCACACACCACACACATGTCCACATATGCACACAGTACATACACCACACACATGCCAACATATACACAGTATGCACATGACCACATATGCGCAGAGTATACACCTGCACATATTCCGTGCACACATGCTCACACGTGCACCTGCACACACACCTTGCTTTAAAGGATTACTCCCATTTTCTCCTGCCCCGCCACCTCCTGGCTCATCTCGCCTGCAGGAGAAAAATGAGCTGAGATTAAGGCGTCTTGATGGAATCTGATGTGGCCTCTCGCATTACTCATCTGTGTGTGGCTCCTGCGTGAGGAGGCTTTAGTATTCCACGCACTCTGTTCCCCGCTCACCCCGATCCTTCACCGCCCAGAACGCATCCTTTTCATCCCTAATATTATTGTTCACATCCTCGCTGAGCTATTGTGGCGTCCTCTGTCCTTCTGAAGCTGAGGTTTCACCGAAATGAATGCAAACGACAGAAGCAGATATTTACAGCCCAGACCTGAAGCAGCGGCTGGGCCCTGGTGGCTTTTATCATTGAGGGTGAACCACACGCTGCCCTCCTCTAGAAAACCTCCCAAACCAATTTTGCTTGATCTCTTGGTAACGATTTGGTTCAAAGCCTCCTTTCTTATTATATTTGCTCTTTGGAGCATTTTTGCCCACAGTGATCACTTTATAATCACTGGATTACGAGACCTGCCAGGATTCACATGGCCTGCCCTCCCCAGCAGAGCCGTCTTCGGGTAGAGCCGTTTCAGAGCAAGGGAGGCCTGCGAGAACCAGAGGGCCCCCAGCCCTGCTCTTGTCTCCAGGCCCAGCAGTGAGTCTCACCGCAGTTTCTCCCGCTTTAGGACTCATTTTCCTCCCTGCTGAGACCCGCACTGCTCGGCAGGCCTCTTGTCTGCTCGTGGAGGGAGGGGGTCCCAGCTGGGAGGCAGAAGGTTTAGGAGAATCAGGAGGGGCAAGTTCACCTCCAGAGACACAGAGTGCTCTCCTGAGAAACTGAGCGCTGGGCTCTGAGCTCCAGAAGTTTCTCTCAAGCCCCCTTGGCCCCTCCAGCCAGCACCACTGCCCAGTCTGGACAGTAGACAGCCTGCAGCCCCAAACACTTCATCAGCCAACCCCTGCTCAGAACATTTACACACAGCCTCGACTCTAGGCTTGCTTTTTCCTCCCAGCCCTGAATTCAAAAAAAAAAAAAAAAACTTCCCAAAATATGAATTATGTATTGAAAACCCAGGCAGAGCAATCACGAGCAATAAATAATTCCAAGCTACAGACACATTAGTTAGCTGTACAATTCGCTTACAGGCCAAACCAACCATCTCATTAACAACCAGCAAAAGCAGGGCTGCCACCAAGGTGTGGATGCTGAGAAACTGTCACGCTGCTAGGCAGAGGCATCTCCGCATCATCCCGCATGCACGGGCCCCCCGGAGCCAGGCACAGTCCAGCGTCACTGGCGCGTTTGGCTCAGGCGGGAAGGTTCCATTCTCAGACAGCGAGGAAGACGTTTGAAGACATGCCACTCTGTTGAATGGCACGCACGCCCGGGTGTACGAGATAGTCCAACCACGTGTTGCTGAAGAGCCCTCCTTTATGGGCTTGCGAAGAACTCCATGCAGCTCTAGGAGTTTCTGAATTAACAGACAAGAATTTTATGGAAATGAGCACTTAAGGGACCTGTGGTTCAAGTAGACATTAAGTGCTTTGCGGGGGATCATTTTGCTCTCTGGGTTATTTTTTCTATTATCCCATTCAACTTGTTGGCATAATGAGTTGGCAATGTCTTCATAAATTAGTTGCTAAGCAAGGTTCGATCTTAACCCTGAACCTTCTTAAATAATCCCAAATTAGCAGGCATGTCCTTGCTGGGGGCGGACTGGGTGTGATCAGCTTTGGTCTCTCCCTCCGATTCAAGGAAGGCTCCGAAGCGTCTTCGTCTCCAGCAGCAGCTGTATCTTTACGGAGCAGCACTTCATGGGCACATTTCATGGCCATAACTTCTGAGTGGTTTCTTTGCGCCAGGCACTGTGCTGATTGATGTGAATTAGCTCATGGAATTTCAGTACTGTTACAAAATAACTATTATCATTATCCCCGTCTTACCTATGAAACAACAAGATCGGGGAGCTTAAGCAGCCCGCTAGGGTTCCAGGGCTGGTGGGAGGAAGCAGAAATGGGACATGCCCCAAGGTCAGCCCCCTCCTTTGACTTCTGAGCTATTCTGGACCCCATCATGCTGCAGTGGCGTAGACAGGGCAGACGTTGCGTTGTGGGCAGATGATGCTTTTGTCCTGAGGCACGTGCCTGGAGAGTGGCCGGGCCTGGGAGAGCCAGGAGCTCCCTTTCAGCCTGCAGAGCAGCCACATGTATCTCATTTCATCGAAGACAAGGGGTGGGCAGGGACCTTCCTCAGAGCCAGGCTCTCTCCTGAAGAAAGCTCCATCTTTCCCTCCAGAAGTCAGGTCCCTGGACCCGCAGCCACCATCTGGCATGCCTGCCCTCTTCCCGTCCTCCCCAGCCTTGGTGAGAAAACACACAAGGACCTGGACAGCCCGTGACCCCAGCAGCCTCTGCAGAGACGCGGCCCTCAAAGTGCTATCCACACTCTCACCTTCTCCAGTTAGGGATCCATTTGGCCCGAGGCAGCCCTGATCCATCACGGCCCTGAATCGCAGGCTGTAATGCACTCACTGCCGAAGAGCTGGGTCCAGGGTCCTGCCTCAGCAGCTGTGCCGGGGGCAGCACCTGGCCAGGAGGCTCAGAGAGCAAACATTTTTTTCCCCTTAAGTGAAATTCATGCTGGGTCTATCCAAGCTTCTCTCGGCATCTTAATGCCTTAAAAGCTTCAGCTTTCTCTCTGGGTCAATTTTCTTCCAACAAAATATGAAAATGAAGGCTTGAAAGCCCACTGCTGTGGTGTGAGCACCAGACCAGGCCATCAGAGCCTGAGCATTGCATCACACCGGCTTAAATATTTAAAGAGATGCTGGGTAGCAAAGAGCCCTCAGGAAGTGCAGGGCTGGGGAGGGTTGCGGGGTGCCAGAAGGACGTCGGAAGTCTGTCTGATGATGACAGGAGCCATCTGGCGGGGAACTGCCTGAGCCTCCCAGGGTGGCTCCTGACAACAGCTGTGAGGACCAGCAATGGTGACACAGGGATGTGGTCTCTGCAGCCACTCCTCCAGGGCCCGGGGAGGGGGCATCGTGATGGACCCAATGTCGCAGATGGAGAAGCTGAGGCTCAGAGAGGCAGGGGCCCTGAAATCTAATCCAACCCCCACCCCGGAAACCTTGGTATCTGCTCCTGCGTCTGGTTTTGGGCACTCCCAAAATGGCACAGCAGGAAGGATCATGAGACTCATCAGTCCAAACCCATTAGTTTCCAGAAGGAAAACTGAGGCCCAGCCTCGCTCAAGGTCACCCAGATTGGTCAGGGTGGGAAGAAAAACCTGACTTAGATTTTGTTTCTCAAACATTAATTTGTTCGTTTAATTGATTATCTCATAGATGTGTGTTGCACATGGTAGACCCTCAACTTGTTGAATGAATGAATGAATGAATGAATGACATCTACTCTGTGCCAAGCACAATACTGGACACTGGGGACCCTAAGGTGGGAGGACCATGGGTCTTGATCTCAAAAAGTAGAGTAGAGAAGACAGATCATCCATGGCCCTGGCCAGGGGCAGGTGCTGGGGAAGAGGGCTGGTGAGAGCTGGGACGGACACAGGGCTGCTGCCCGACTGAAGCTTGTATTAGATTCATCTCTGAGCTGCAAAGTCTGGGGACAGAGCACGTGGCAGGAGGCTAGCAGGGTGTGAGAGGCTGCCTCTGAGCAACCAGTGAGTGAATGATCCACAGCACACGGTCACAGGGGCTGCTCCATATATACACCCATGAATAAAGGGGCTGGTCCATGTACACACCCATGAACAAAGGGGCTGGTCCATATACACATGCATGAACAAAATGGCTGGTCCATGTACACACCCACGAACAAAGGGGCTGGTCCATGTACACGCCCATGAACAAAGGGGCTGGTCCATATACACATGCACGAACAAAGTGACTGGTCCATGTACACGCCCACAAAGGGGATGGTCCAGATAGATGTCTACGAAAAAAGGGGCTGGTCCATATACACATGCATGAACAAAGGGGCTGGTCCATGTACACTGGCATGAACAAAGGGGCTGGTCCACATACATGCGTATGAACAAAGGGGCTGGTCCATATACATGCCTATGAACAAAGGGGCTGGTCCATATACACACCCACAAACAAAGAAACTGGTCCATATACACACCCACAAACAAAGGGGTTGGTCCACGTAGATGCCTACTAATGCCTGTAGGCTGGAGCACCTAGCACAGCCAGACAAAGGCTTGTGAAGCTCTATGCAGGGACAAGGCTAGCGGCTGCCCTGGTGTGATGGTTAATTTTATATCAGTTTGACTGACCATAAGGTGCCCAGGTTAAACTTGGTTTCTGAATGTGCCTGTGGGGTGTTTTCAGATGAGGCTGGCCATCTGTGCCTGTAGACTCAGTACGGGTGGGCCTCATCCAATCTACAAGGGCCTGAATAGAGCAAAATGGCTGGGGCAGGAGGAACGTGCCCTCTCTCCTCCTGCCTGCTGGCTGGTCTGGGACACTGCTCTGGTACAGCCCCTGGGCTGGGGCTGATGCCATTGGCTCCTCGGCTTCTGGGGCTTTGGGACTCGGATTGGAACTGGACCCCAGCTTTCCCAGGCCTCCAGCCTGCAGGCAGTCTAGGGTGGGGCTTCTCAGCCTCCAGAGTGACATGAGCAGAGTCCCATATCAGTCAATCTCCTTTATACATCTCCTACCATTCTGCTTCTCTCACTTCTCTGGAAAACCCTGACTAACACACCTGGACAGAGTGAACGCTGGCAGAAAGCCGTCTTGGTTCATTTTCCTCTGCTCTGCGGGTCCTGCACTTACCTACCCTCACGTCTGCCTGCACAGATCCTCACCCAGGGTTTGGAGGGGACAGCCTGGGACTTGTGCTCACCTCCACCACTGGCTGGCTATGTGAGCTTGGCCAAGCCACCTCTTTCCTCTTTCCATGTCCTCATCTGCAGAGTGGGGAAAGAGCAGTGTGCCCGTCCTCCGGTTGTCCTGAGCCTGCCAGGACAGAGTCCAGGGGAACGGCCATCAGTGACCTGAACACAGCAAGGGTCAAAAAACTGGTAGCTCCATTTCCTGCTCCTCCGTCCCCTGGATCCACCTCCCTGTGTCCTCCTCTGGGCCGGGGCCCTGCCCTCAGATACTTGCAGGCTCATGGAGGAAATAACCAGGAGAATCGAGGGTTTCAGAACTGGAAAGAAGAGCAAGCCTGGTCCCCTGGGGACCCTGGCACGCCATCCGGAGTGGGAGCCTTCACCATGGGCAACGCCGCTTCTCACTGTTCATGGTGGGTGAAGGGTGTAAGCTGCCATCTACGCTTGGCAGGAGGTGAGACCAGCGAGTGGCCTTCCTGCAGGCCTGAGGAGGAAGTGCCAGGACTTGTTCTCCCAGGCATGACTTGGCAGCGACGGCGTTGCCAGAACACACACTTCCAGCACTTTCATGGAAAGCCCAGACCTGCTGGCTTAACTGGCTTGGAGCACCACTCCTGGGTGAGGACACAGCTCCCAGCCAGATGTCCTGGCAGGTGACGCCTGGAAAACACAATGTATCATGCCAGAGACCGTCTCGGCTCTGGAGGGAGGGCACTTGGCGTCACAGCTGTATTGGGGACCAGAAGGCGCTTGTCCCAGCTCTCTGGATTTCTCTCTTATTTCAGTAGAGGCCCTTTCTAAGTCCCCTGGCTGGCTCCTCGTCCCTCCCTGGCCTCCCTAACAAGGGCAGTCTCCAGGGCTCTGCCTTCAGCCATCCTCTCTCCCTGGACAGCTCACCTGTTCCCGCCTCTTCAAATACAACCTATTTGCTAAAGGCTTCCTAATCTAAAAATGTCCCCAGCCCGGGCTTCCTCAGCCCCTCGCTCCTCCTAGAGGCCTCCACCTGAGAACACCCCAGGTGCCTCAGTGACGAGAACAAGGCAGAACCCGTGTGGATCCTCCTTCAACCCCATAGCCACGCTCAGTCCTGCTCTTTCATGCTCTAGTGTCCCATCTCTGGAATGCTCACATCAAAGGGCTGGGAGTCCTTGCAGAAACCTCCCAACCCCTCCAACCTCCTGCCACACAGACAATTGGTCAAGGTGCCCTCGGAGCTAGGCCTTTAAAACACGTCACCCACCAGCCCACCACAGCCCCTGGGCCAGGCCGCCAGCGTCCCCTTTTCCTGGGTGCAGCCATGGCCCCATTGGCCCCCTGCTTCCACTCTTGCCACGTGTAGTCGGCAAACCAGCCCTCTGTCCTTCAATCTGTATCAGGCCACCTGCTGCTCGGAAACATCTGACAAGGTCCACGGATCTGGCCCCACCACCCTCCATGTCACGTGACACGCCCCCCCTCCTGGTGCACTCCGGACCCCCGGATCCCCCTCCTCCTGCTCCCATTGCAGCTGCAACAGGTCCCAACACCTGGTGGCTTCAAACAGCACGCAGTGGTCACATTACAGAGAAGAGGGCGAGGCTGAAATGGGTCTCACTGGCCTAAATCCAGGCACTCCCTCCGAGGCCTTCGGGGAGAATTTGAATCCCGCCTTCCCCAGTTCTGGAGGTGCCTGCATTCCTTGGCTCCAGACCCCTTCCTCCGTCCTCAAAGCTGGCAGCATCTTCAGTTCATCTCTGACTCTGACCTCTGCTTCCCAAGTCACATCCGCCTCCCCCCGACCCTGCCCAGCAGAAGTGGCGCTTTCATAAAATCACAGCTGTGGGGACAGTGGCCAAAGAAACACCAGCAAGGGGCCCTGGTAGGAAAACATCATGACCAGGCCCTCGGAGCTCAGAAACTGCCTTCGTGTGGATGCCTTTGTCATGGCAGGGCTCGTCCCACGCAGGGCAAGCAAAAAGAAAAACACTCTGGGAATAAGACACATCCTCCTTGGATGCCCAGACACAAGTGCCTGGAACCCCCCAGGCCCAAACCACTGCCTGACCCCAAATCAAGCCCTGGAGGTCAGTGCGAAGAGCCTCGTGCCTAAACCATTGCCTGGAGATCCCTGGCCTGGCTGAAAGCATGCAGCAGTCTGAGGCGGCATCCAGGTGTTTGGAGGATTCGATCTGTTTGACCTCATAGTAAAACAAACAGCTGTGGCCAGAACCAACTCTGCTAAGAGCAAGGCTGCTGGAAGCCCGGAATGGCCTCCTCGCTCAGACCAGAGCTGGGGAATAACCGCGGATTTAGCAGCCACAGTGCGTGCCTCTGGCTACAGAAGCCCTCGTCTTGCCTGATTCCTGCAGCAGGAGCGTGGAATTTTCCTCCCTTTGAACAATCGATGCTGGAGCTGATTCTGTTCGTCGCTTCCCTCCTGAGCCGCCAACGCAGGCGTTTTTGCTCAAGTCCCTCAGAGTCAACATGACAACCTTCCAGTGAGTAAAAAAAGGCTGTCGCCGCTCTTGATTACTTCAGAGAGGGTTTTTCAATTGTGCTATTGGCTTAAAATTGCATTTTACATTACTGGGGTGAAGGCTCCCACGCTGCCGTGGTATCCAGTGAAAAATACTGTCAGAAATCGATGCTTAAAACCTACTAAATCTCTTGGCTGGGGTTCATGGAAAAGCACATTTCAAGATGGTTAGAAACTGTTCTTATTGCAAGACAAATAATGATTGCACATATTTCAACAACCTGTTGCTACTTTTCTGCACAATTTCGCCACGGACGTCAACATCCACTCCACCGACATCCCTGGAGCACCCACCACGTGCTGGGGACCCAAGGGGAACAGGATATGCCTGGCCCCCATTTTCACCACCAACGTCCCCGGAGCATCCACCACGTGTTGGGGGCCCAAAGGGAAGATATGCCTGTCCCCCACCTTCACCAGACCAGCCAGGGCTTCCATTGCAGCCTCCTGGGAGATGGACTTCATACAATCGTAAGAGAGTGGGGAAGACACAGACGAGAAAGGGGATGGCCCCGGTGCTGTGGGAACATCTCAAGCACACATCCCAGAGCCTGGGATGGGGACGTGTGTCCCTAGGCCATGGATTGAAGAAGTCTGCAGAGAAGTCAGTGGGGGCTGGTGCGGGGCTGGGGTGGGAAGGGCCTTCACTCCCCACTGGGTGTGAAACAAGCCTCTTAACTGGGTTAACCCCCTAGAAAACAGAAGACATGGAGTCGGCTGCTGATCTTCCAAACACCCCATCATGGCTTCTCAATTTCATTTTCCAGACCCCACCATCCCCTAGCTAGATTTTGTCACCTGAACACATCTGCTCCATAACCACAGATGGTCCCCCATCCCCACCATCTTGATTTATTTGTTCGTTTGTTTTCTGGGTGTGTAAAATCAAATTCCTACACTCACTTTGGATTCTAGCTTCTAGAAAAGCAGCTAACTGAAGCAATGGGCATGCCACGTCACAGACGGCTGCAGCTGACCCACATTTCAGGGGCATCAGGAAGCACTGTAACCAACCAACGACTGCATGGCACGCGATCAGCAACATCAAGGACCTTCGTGAACATCACTGGAAATCAGCCAAGCGTCCGGAGCCCTTAGAGATGAGAGCCCAAAATGGCCTCGAGTGGCTGGCACAAAGGATGTCTTCCGAAAGGCCACCACCCAGCCTGCTTTGAATGCACACAGCACAGAAAACGCCTCGGTCCGCCAGGCGTGGTGGCTCATGCCTATAATCCCAGCACTTTGGGAGGCCAAGGTGGGCGGATCACGAGATCAGGAGATCAAGACCATCCTGGCTAACATGGTGAAACCTCATCTCTACTAAAAATACAAAAATTAGCTGGGTGTGGTGGCAGGCACCTGTAATCCCAGCTACTCGGGAGGCTGAGGCAGGAGAATCGCTTGAACCCGGGAGGCGGAGCTTGCAGTGAGCCGAGATCAAGCCACTACACTCCAGCCTGGGCGACAGAGCAAGATTCCATCTCCAGAAAAAAAAAAGAAAAGAAAAAAAAAAGAAAACACCTTGGTCTTCTTGTTCCAAGTGTGTCCTGATAAGAAGGAGGCGTGAAGGGAGAAGCCTGGTGGACAGAGAATATCTAAACTGACTCTCAGAGCAACATTCAAGGTCCCGGCCATCGTCATGCCCACTTTACAGGTGAGGAAGCTGAGGCTCAGAGAGGTGGGAAGAGCTGGAGAGCTGCTGAGGCAGCTGCGGTGTGGGCCTGCCTGCGGACATTAAGACAATGGGACAGCAAGGGGACAAAGCCGGGACAGTCAGCCCTCGCTGCTTCCCTGGGTCCAGAGCCATCCGTGGGATCCAAGCAAATGGCAAGAGGGCCACTCAGAGCTGCGTCTGTGGCCCCGGGACAGACCCCAAGAGTCCCTGTGGCCATGGCGGAGGTGCCCTGAGCCCTGGGAGCCTCAAGTTGCTGAGTCCTTGAGGGACAGGTGCCCCTTTCTGTCCCTCGTCCAAACCCTGGTGATGGCATTTCAGGGTCACACGGTGGGTTGAACGTTTCATGGGGGAGCTCCGCCTCCCAGCAGACTCACTTCCCTGTCTCATGTGGAAGGAGTGACAGAACTTCGGGTATCATTGGCATCTTTCGCCTCCGGATAACCCGACTCCCTGGCTTCACAGGGGAACGGCCTCAGAGCCACCAATACCAAAACAACGACTGGGAGAATGTGTTCGGGTGCCCCGTGACTGTCACCAATGTCGGGTGAGATTCTGTGGGGTGCTTCATGAAATTCCAGGGGGTGGCTGATGGCAAAGTGTCCCATGAAATCTGTAGGGCTGTGGCCGAATTCCACAGAGGGTCCCGTGAAATCCTGGGGCCTATGAAATGCAATCTGCCAGCCTCTGCCCACCTGTAGCCATGATGGGTCTGGCTGGGCACGGGAGAAACAGCAGGAGCTCAGCCCTGCACCCGCAGCTCTGGGAGCAGAGAACATGCCCTGGACGCTTCGGGGCTGAGTGGCTCCGCAGGCGGGAAAGCGCGGATCGGACCTGCAAGGAGATGCCACCCGGACTGCCACACTCACCCAGAGACAGACATGAAAAGAGAGAGGGTTGCCATCCTCATGTGCATAAAGGGCAGTGGGGAGGAAGCGGGGAGGAAAGGGGTCAGGTTGGACGGCAGGAAGCCGGATGCCAGCTCAGAGCGGGAGGCTCTGTACCATGTGGCTGGCCATACCCTGGGCTCTGTTGGCGAGGTCTGACCACGGAGGCTCTGTACCATGTGGCTGGTCATACCCTGGGCTCTGTTGGCGAGGTCTGACCACATGAGCCTCAAATTCAGGCGGGTTCTGCTCACCAGCAATATCTGCCTGCCCTTGGGCAAGTCCCTCAACCTCTCTGAGCCTCAGTTTCTTCATCTGTAGAAGAGGAAGAATAGCAGCCCCTCTCGGGTGGCAGGAGGAAGGGGAAGATGACCTGAGGGGCGGTAATGGAGACTGGGGTGGCAGCTGACTTGAAAACTGGCGCCATGAAAGAAAAGACACTGCTGTTCTCCCCGTCACAGATGAGGAAACCAAGACTCAGAGGGTCCAAGGCACTGGACTGAGGTGGCACAGCCAGAGGCAGCAAGGAGCTGGACCCGCCCCAAGCACCGTCTGACTCCAATTGCAGCCTCCCAGGCCTGCTTCTGGCACGAGTCTGTTGACGTAGGCCTTAGCCACCAGAGCCAGTGCTTCCAACCGAGCTCTCTGCAGTGACAGAAACGCTCTAGGTCTCTGCCATCCAACAGGACGGCCACAAGCCACATGTGGCCTTTGAGCCCTTGAAATGTCAGTGCAGCCGAGAAACCGAATTTCTAATTGTATTGAATTTTATTAATTTAGATTCAAGGAGCCACACGTGCTGAGCAGCCTGACTCTGGGCGTCATTGCAGGTTAATTGAGCGTCCCCCCAACGCTGGAAAGCCACCACCCCCACCCAGATCACTCAGGGGAGGCTTTTTGAAGAACCACCTTGCTGCTGGCTACACCCAGTGGCGCTGGGGGTCTCTGAGGGGCCCATGGATCCATGCTAAGGCCTGCGGTCGGGGCATCCACCTCCCAGCCTCAGCCTGCAGGAGGAGCTGTCAGCTCCAATAGACTGGCCTCGGGAGGCTACTACTGGCTCTAGGCCTCGGGCAGCTGCTGGGCTCACCCAGACGGGGTCAGCTTTGCAGAGAAGGGTCACAAGGTGAGGCAGGGTCTGTGTACCTGGAGGTCCCGGGGGGGCCCTCAAGTGCCACAGGCTGGGTCCAGGCCTAACTCTGCCCCTCCCTGACCTGGTGTCCCTGAGCAGGTCCCCATCTGCAAAAGACATAATGGGACACCTTCCCCACCTCCGTGGGCTGAGAGGACTGACTTGGATTCCTCGTGGGGAGGGAGGGCCAAGTCCCAGCCAACCTCGGGCTCTGGAGGGCAGCCCATGGTCTCCCCGTCATCACTTTGCCAGGTGGCTGCCCACTCCAGAAAGCACTGTAACTACCCTAGTCATAGCTTCCTAAACCCCCAGAAGTGAAGGTGGCAGCAGGCAGGCGGAGGCAGGGCCTCCCCACCACATGGCCCCCGTTCTCCTAAACAGCACTCTGGTGCCCAGATACTTCCAGGAAGATTAAGCTGAAAACTCCAGCGCAAGCTGCTGGAGGAGAGGGGGTTGCTGTGGCAACCGCATCTGGCCTATTCACTTGAGTTTTGGAGGTGAGGGATGGAGAACAGAAATACGGCAAAACCCCAAGCGCAAGGCCTCCTTCGATTTCACAACCAGCACGTGTGTGGGGGGGTCGAGCGGAGAGAGGCGAGTGCTTTAAAACTCGCTGAGACAATCCACTCAGGGTTTGTCTGTGGCTCTTTAATATCCAGCCACCCAGCCTGGTTCTGGCTGTTCTGTTGCCAAGAGGTGACGTCAGACGCTTGGCAGCGTGACAAGCTGGGGCCAGGCCAGGTGCGAGCTTCACAGCACCCGGTGCTTCCTGAGAGACCTCAGGCAGGGACAGGAGGGGTTTTTTAGCACCAAGGCTGGGGCGGGAGAGGAGGAGGAGCTGCTCACAAAGATGCCCTGCCCTTTCCACGGAGATCCTCCTAGTGGCTTGCAGGGAGTCTACCTCCTGGTGCCGAGCACACAGAGTCCCCCAGGAGGACACAGCACCTAAATGTTTGTGTATATTCCGTGTGTATTCCGAGTCCACTTGCACACTCCAGGAGCATTTATCTGCAAACATTCAGAGCTCCCCTACACACCAGGCTCTGTGCCAGGTGCCAAGGGCCGGGACTAAGACACATGTGACCTCATGGAATTGCCATTGGTGGGGACAGAGAAGCCAGGCGGCCCCCACAGTGCAGGGCCTGGAGTAGGGGAGGTGCAGGCTGCATGAGCACAGACGAGGAACAGCTCATCTCCTCTCAAGGATGGAGGGGAAAAACCAGGGAGGCTTCCTGGAGGAGGTGGCATCCAAGCTGAACTCTGAGGAATGCCTCAGCCTCATGAAGGAGCAGCACAAGGCTCCTGAAGCAAGGGCCTGACCAATGTTCAGCCCAGTCCATCGGGGACGCAGGAACAGCACAGGTGGTCAGGGCCTGTTCTGGGGGCCTCCTTGGCAGAAGGAGGTTGGGGTTAAGCCCAAGCACAGCCGGAGCTCCCTGGAGGGTGCATGGCGGTGGTGCAGTGCCCATCCTGCATGTCCAAACCATTGTGGCTGCCAGGTGGGGTCCAGGTGTCTGGGGCTGGGCCTGGAGCTGAGGCCAGGTGGAGGCTGCAGCTGAGATGCAGGAGGACACAGAGGCAGGCACTCAGGTGGCCTCGGCAGGAGGGGGCAGTCCTGTTGGGTGCTCTGGCCTTGGCCCTTGAAAGCCAGTGAACTGGAGGATGAGGCCTGTGGGGCAGCAGGAGAGCCATGGATCTGCTCCTGGGGAAGGGGCAGGGTCAGGGGCTGGCACAGGGACCTGGGAAAAGAGACCTCGAGCTGGGCCTTTGGATGCAGTGCCAGAGGGGAACTGGGATGCCTGTTTCAGGTTCAGGCTGGGTAGGGAGCACATGGGCAGGTGGGTGCCCTGAGGACAAGAGCCCTGGGCAGTCCTGGAAAAAATCAGAGTGACCTGCAGGATGCTTCCTGCCGCACGCCGTGTTAACATGCAAATGGAGACTGTTTTCACTGCACATATTTCGCAGTCTAATTTCATAAACCGTATATTCATCAGAGAACATCATGGAACATATCGGAAAGTCCAAAGAGAAGGTACATGCCCACAATCCCACTCCGAGAGCAAGTGACAGGTGACGTCTGCAAGCACAGCGTTCTAGCTCTTCCCGTGCATAGATGCACTTTTCTTTTCATCAGCTTGCGACCATGCGTTCCAGTGTTTCAAAGGCTGTTTTTAAAATAAATACAGTCTATCTTCCAGGCACCTGCCTGGCACTTTGTAGGTTATCAGTAAACATTTGATGAATAAATGAAGGCAGGAACAGTTTCTCCTGGTGAATGCTCTTCTACAAAACCGAGTTTGCACCGTCGTCAGCGGCTGCCTCATGCCTCGCTCTGTGCATGAGCTGCCCTCTCAGCCCCTCCTCTGCTGTGGGGCGTTCATGCCATTTCTGGGTTTTTCACTCTTTCAGACGCTGCTCAGCGGATGTCCTGGTGGTTATGCCTTTTTCCACGTCTCAGAGGATTGATCAAAGGACGGTTACTTTGTTAGAGCAGCTGACACATTTATGACATTACTCTCAGAAAAGCCTGCACCGGATTCATCCCAGGGTGGGACGCCCGTGCCGGAGCCCACACTCTTGCAGCACTCAGCTCCGTAGCTGTCTCCAAACTGCTTTGCTGAAGAAGGTGATTCTTTACAGTTTAAGTCTATGCTTCTCAAATCCTCTGTGGCAAAGACTGGTTACTGAAGCTTTTCCAATCTACCTCAGACCAATACTAGTAAAATGAAGTAAAATATATATATATTAGTTTAAAAAAAACACACACACATTTTAAGCCATCATGTTTTAGTATGAGATTCAACAGACACAATTATCCTGTCAAATTGCTATAGAGTTCCTCAATTTTTGGATATTTTTATCATAAACTTTTACTCGATCATTCCTGGACCAGTTCTGGCCCGAGGTTGCACGTTGGGTGGGATGGTTGAAATAATTCCCCCACTGAAAATAATCCCCCACTGAAAATAATTCACCCACTGGCCATCTATTATTAATAATGTGGACAACCTGTGCGTCGGAACAGCGATTTCACTTGCATTTCCAATCCCGCAGGTCAGCAGGAAGGAACACATTCTTCTCATTGGAAGAAGATGGAATCAAGCCCAGGCTGCCAGGGCTGTGGCTGGGACCCTGTGTGAGCCCAGAGGCCACGGGATGGGACAGATCCCAGTCCTCCAACTCCCGGCAGGTATCTGAGGCTCTGCCACCGTTTTCCAACATTGAGGGGCTGTGCTGCCCTGTGGAATGAGGACAGTGTCCAAGTTAATGAGGCTTCGTGGCAAATGCCCAGCCCCCGTCAGGAGGCCTTCATTCTTTGCCCTCAAATTGTGGGGGTGGGGGGCTGGATTGGACCAGAACAGTCTGTGCTGTGCTCTGGCTGGGGCTTGGACAGAGAAGCCTGCCTCCCTGGGGATGCCCTTTAGGCAGGGCTGAAGGCATAGCGCAGAGGGCTCCTCCTGGTCCCTGGGTGCCCATTTCTGGCCCCAGCTGCCTCCCCTGATGGCCATGGGTACTAGGATGAAATCCTTGCACCAGGGCAGCCCCGGCCTGCAGTCACCCCTTTCTGGGATGAAAGCAAGGCAAGGTGCCTGGGCTGGAGCTCGGGGGCAGGTGGTGCTGGGGACCTCAGGTGGTTGTGATTTCACCTCTGGGTCCCCAGGCACACAGGTGCACACGCATCCCACACACACAGGCATGTGCACACGTGACACGCGTCCCCAGGCACACACGTGCACACGCATCCCCCACACAGGCATGTGCACACGTGACACGCGTCCCCAGGCACACACGTGCACATGCATCCCCCCACACACAGGCATGTGCACACGTGACACGGGTCCCCAGGCACACAGGTGCACACGCATCCCCCCACACACAGGCATGTGCACACGTGACACGGGTCCCCAGGCACACAGGTGCACACGCATCCCCCCACACACAGGCATGTGCACACGTGACACGCGTCCCCAGGCACACAGGTGCACACGCATCCCCCACACAGGCATGTGCACACGTGACACGGGTCCCCAGGCACACAGGTGCACACGCATCCCCCAACACACAGGCATGTGCACACGTCACACGGGTCCCCAGGCACACAGGTGCACATGCATCCCCCCACACACAGGCATGTGCACACGTCACACGGGTCCCCAGGCACACAGGTGCACACGCATCCCCACACACACAGGCATGTGCACACGTGACACGGGTCCCCAGGCACACAGGTGCACACGCATCCCCACACACACAGGCATGTGCACACGTGACACGCGTCCCCAGGCACACACGTGCACACGCATCCCCCCCACACAGGTATGTGCACACGTGACATGCGTCCCTAGGCACATAGGTGCACACGCATCCCCCACACAGGCATGTGCACACGTGACACGCGTCCCCAGGCACACAGGTGCACACGCATCCCCCCACACACAGGCATGTGCACACGTCACACGGGTCCCCAGGCACACAGGTGCACACGCATCCCCACACACACAGGCATGTGCACACGTGACATGCGTCCCCAGGCACACAGGTGCACACGCATCCCCCCCCACACAGGCATGTGCACACGTGACACGGGTCCCCAGGCATACAGGTGCACACGCATCCCCCCACACACAGGCATGTGCACACGTGACACGGGTCCCCAGGCACACAGGTGCACACGCATCCCCCCACACACAGGCATGTGCACACGTGACATGGGTCCCCAGGCACACAGGTGCACACGCATCCCCCCACACACAGGCATGTGCACACGTGACATGCGTCCCCAGGCACACACGTGCACACACATCCCCACACACACAGGCATGTGCACACGTGACACGCGTCCCCAGGCACACACGTGCACACACATCCCCCACACAGGCATGTGCACACGTGACACGCATCCCCAGGCACACACGTACACACGCATCCCACACACAGGCATGTGCACATGTGACACGCGTCCCCAGGCACACAGGTGCACACACATCCCCCACACACACAGGCATGTGCACACGTGACACGCGTCCCCAGGCACACACGTGCACACACATCCCCCACACAGGCATGTGCACACGTGACACGCGTCCCCAGGCACACAGGTGCACATGCATCCCCCCACACACAGGCATGTGCACACGTGACATGGGTCCCCAGGCACACAGGTGCACACGCATCCCCACACACACA
This sequence comes from Homo sapiens, assembly GCF_000001405.40. Lineage (NCBI taxonomy): Eukaryota > Metazoa > Chordata > Mammalia > Primates > Hominidae > Homo > Homo sapiens. The sequence goes on from NC_000009.12 coordinate 135,286,625, forward strand.
GGCATGTGCACACGTGACACGTGCACAGCCTGCGACTGCCCCATTGGCAGCCCCTGCCCCGCACTGTCCCAACACGGTTCCCCCATGAGGACTGTGGTTACATGCTCCCCATTTTATAGACAGGGAAACTGAGGCTCACAAAGCTAGCCAGCCAGCCCGCGTGGGGCGTGCCCATGGATTCTGGGCCCCTGGCTGCACACGCGCCTCACACCTCTCCAGATAGGGCTCCTCCTCCCCAAACGAACCCCCATCCTCCCCCAGGCCTCCCTCCCCTTCTTTTGTTTCCTCTTCTCCTCCAGAATCTTCTTTGTTTTAGCCAATGTCTCTGGAACCAGTACACTTGGCTATTGGCAGAGCAAAGGAGGCAGAGGCCGGACAGGAGGGTGCCCTGCAGCGCTCCAGCCCCCCAGAGCAGCTCCGGCCCAAGGGGCCCAAGGAGCAGCCGAGGACCTGGGGCCCAGCACTGCCTCCTGGGCCTGTCTCCTCATTCCTGAGTGTGAGGGGAGCTGGGTACTCACGGAGGCTCCTCGCAGCTCTGCCACTGTGCAATGCCAGGACCCCAGAGGGCACCTGTGGGGGGAGAGGACATGTGGGGATGGGCCTGGGAACAAGGTCAGTGGACCCCCCCCACCACCCAAGGGTCAGGTGGACAAGGGGCTCTCCATCTGCCAGCGTTCCTGGTGAGAAGGAGTTCTGTGGAGAGCTCAGGCAGCATCTGTCTCTCCCCCTCCTTCTCCTCATACTGTGTCTCTCTCTGTCTCTCTGTCAGTCTCTCTGTGTCTCTATCTCGGTCTCTGTTGCTCTCTCTCTGTTGCTCTCTCTATCTCTCTCTGTCTCTGTCTGTCTCTGTCTCTCTATCTCTGTCTCTGTCGCTCTCTCTGTATCTCTCTGTCTCTATCTATCTCTGTCCCTCTGCCTCTCTGTCTGTCCCTCTGTCTCTCTGTCTCTCTGTCTGTCTGTCTCTCTCTCTCTCTCTCTCTGTCTCTCTCTCTGTCTTCCAGCCTGTTTGAGACATCACCCACCAAGCGGCCTGGGAGGGAGACCTCCCCTTTTCTCCAGAGGCAAGCCGCAGGGCCCTAACTGGAAGGGCTGGCCCAGGTCGCCATCATCCCCCGCAGTCTGCAGAGGGAAACGAAGGCCCAGACCTCCCCGGAGCCACCCTGAGGAGTCTCACAGACAACTCCTCCCTGACATGCAGGCTCAGGGCTCATGCGGGCAAGGGGTCCGTGGCAGGCAGGCAGGAGGAGCTGGTAACAGGCACCACTTTCGTTTTCTGAGCGGCCGCTGCAGGCCCGGCCCCCGTGTATCCTGCATCTCATTTTACTTCAGAAACCCCTGGGAGCCGCAGACTGGGAGGAAGTCCCCAAGCTCGGATCCCACCTGGGACCATATCCTGCCACGTATGGAACCCCTTCAGCTGCCTCACAGGAGGACAAACAACCCAAGGAGAAGTGAGCAGAAGACTCAGACAGACACTTTACAAAGGTCTAAGAGCGGTCAACGCGCATACGAGGAAATGCACGGCCTCCTCGGGGACCAGGGAGTGCACATGAAGCCGCCTCTGCTCCCCAGCACGCCCGCCAGCACGGCTGACGCTCAAGGCCTGACCACGCCAAGTGTGCGCAGGGAACAACCAGAACGCTCGGAACACAGAATGACCATTTTGGAAAGCAGGTTGTGGCTTCTTACCAACTGGGACACAGTTCCCACAGGACCTAGTGATGCCGCTCCCAGGCATTTACCCGGGAGGAACGCACACAGGTCCCCGCGGAGCCTGCGTGGGAATGCCCGTCGCAGGTGTATTCATTACAGCCAAAACCCGGGTGAGGAGTGCCTCTAATAGGAGAATGGCCATACATGCTGCGGGCTGCGCAAGAGGACACAGAGGCGATCCAGAGCCCAGCAGCGGTTAGGGACGGAGCAGTCAGGGAAGACCCAAGGGTAGAACCTAGCTGTCAGTGGAGTCCTGCCTTCAACATCCAATCAGCAACCATAATGAAGAGTGGCGGTCCCATTCCGCTATCCTGGCTCAGTGATAGGATTTCAACCCCCTGCCAGGCCTGGCCCGCAGCTGCCCTGCAAGTCGCTGGAGGGATCCACGCTGAGATTGGCTTCCAAAAGTAGGATGGTGCCTGGAGCGACCAGGGTACTGACACCATCTTCTCGAGTCCTGAGCTTCCATTATTCTAGGCCTATCAGGCTAATTCCTACTTGCTGGGAACATCACAGGCCTCAACGAGTCTGTTGGATCATGAGAAATGAGTGCCTTGAATGAGTGCATATCCGTATTGACTCCGTAGCTGTGCTCTGTGACTGGAGCAAACGCCCATCAGTTTCATAAATAGCTGGCGCTCTGTGAGCCTGGACCTTCTGGGCCCAGTTTTCTGTCTGTAAAATGGACAGTTTGACGCAGGTGATCTCCAAGGGTCCTCCCTTCCAGTCTGCTCTCCAGGACCCCTCAGACCTCAGCGACGCTCCTCGTTATACACAGATCCGGGGGCTCCTGATCACGCGAGCACAGACAGGCCCCGCCGTTGCTGATGCAAAGGCACCCCTCCTGGACTGTTTACCACCCTCGGATCAGGCTAATTGAATGCACTCCGCCAGTGACCCGAAATGACTTTGCTTCGGAATGAAGAGCCTCATGAAAACCCTGTTGCTGTGTTTAATCTGGAATTAAACTGTTTGATGTTCGAGGTCTGATGTGAGCACTTCAGAAAGATTGATTGTTTTCCTTGATGAGGCCGTGATGACTAATTGTTCCGTGTTGTGTTATAAATGGGGCAGGAGAGAAAGTTTGTTGAGGAAATAGCACCATCCTGTTTACTCCCAAGGTAGGCATTGATTCGCCGAAATCTATGCCACAGAAGAGAGGGGATGGAGACCGCACCGTGGTTTTCCCAGCCCTTCCTGAAACTAGAAACCACATCCACACTTCCATCCAACTTCACCAAACTGGGTGAGAAGGCTGTGCTGTGTCTGCTCTGGAGTTCCCCGCCTCTCTGCTCCAAATGCGCTCTTCGGGTGCCCTCGGAGATGAATAGGGGTTCCTGGACGCTCATCTCCTTGAAAAGGAGTGCGGTGTTAAACTTCATCAGCAGAAGGCTTTCAGAGGAGGGAGAAGCTCTCCTGAGGCCTCTGTGTTGGCCAGGGGCTGCAGATGGGTGGGAGGACACCGGGGGAGCCCAGCCCAGCCACAGGCCCGAACACAGTCCCCCTGAGACCTTCTGGCCTCAGCCTGGCCATAACCCTCTTGGCATGGAAACCAGAGCCCCTCTCGGCTGAATCAACCACACCTTCCCTAAGGAGGTCTGAGTGCCTCCAGGTTTCTCCTCCCCTGGGCCCTAGGTGACCATCTAGAGTTTCCTTATAGTTTACAGTTTTTCTTGTATCATCATTAATAATTCTTTATGTTCAACTCCCCTGTTTAACCTACAGTGTGGTTTCTATCTCCTAATAAAAGCCAGGTTGCTACAAAAACAATCAGCAAAGATTTCTTGGGAATTTATCATGAGCTCAGTCCACATTAGGTGGGACAACAACTCGCCCAAGAATGAGAGATCATGTCAGTCCAGCAGTACCTTTGCCAGCATCCGCTGTGCATGAGCTGCTATTTAAGGCACGTAGAGATAAGCAAAGCAAGCATGGCACCCTCGGCCAAGGACCTTCTGTTTCCACAGAGCTGGGGAAGCCAACCCGTGGAAACCAAGCCCTCCGAGAGAGCGCTATAGGCAGGATGATTCCTGCCACAGGACTCTGCCATCCCAGCGTGGGCTCCTCACAGCTGCACCTCCAGACAAGTCCTGGACTTGAAGGCTGCACCGTGGTTATCCCAGCCCTTCCTGAAACTAGAAACCACATCCACACTTGCATCCAACTTCACCAAACTGGGTGAGAAGGCTGTGTCTGCTCTGGAGTTCCCCGCCTCTCTGCTCCGAATGCGCTCTTTGGATGCGCTGGGGATAAACAGGGGTTCCTGGACGCTTGGGCTAAGATAATGTCAATCATGAATATTCTGTTTACTCAGGAAGAGAGGGGAATGACTAGAAGGGCAGCCATGACCATTTGGGAGAGACAGTATCGTCCCGGGCAAGGAGTCCTGCCAGCTGAGCAGAAATCCCCAGATGCAAATCCCAGATGGGATAACAGTAACCCCGGGGACCGGGTGGGGTGACAGTAACCCCGGGGACTGGGCCCAAATGCAGGACCTGAGGAAACTAATAATTAGAGGGATTTAAAAATTCCACTCCTAGAACACAAAATGTCTCAAAAGCATTTGAGATTCAACAAGAAAAAGAGGAAACTCCCTCTGCGTTTCTGCAGAGGGTCAGGGTTCAAATGAGAAAATATTCAGGATTAGACCCAGAGGACCCAGTAGGGCAAGGCCTTTTAAAGGCTAATTTCGTAACTAAAAGCTGGCCTGATACTACTAAGAAACTGCAAAAGATTGACGGATGGGATGAAAAACTTATTAAGGAGTTACTGAGGGACGCTCAGAAGGTTTTTGTAAGAAGAAAGAAAAGAGAAACTAGGAAAGGGAGAAAGAGAAAAAAGTAAGAAGGGAAATCGGAAAGAGAAAGGGGAGGAAATGGCAAATGTAGAGAGCCAAAGCTGTCCGTCTCGCAGTTGGACAGAGGGGAGCCACGGCATGGCTCACGCTGCTGCCCAGAGAGAGAAAGAGTTCATCTGCTGGCCCCGAAGGCAAGGGAGAGCCGCCGTGCAGCTGCAGGTATAGGGCGGCGGGAGCCGCAGAGCCGAAGCAGATGGCAGCCGAGATAAAGGTGGACAGTGTGAGAGAGCTAATGCGAGTAAGCTGTTGCTTCACATGGTGGGCGCGCTGGTACCCAGAGAGAGAGAAAGAGGGAGAAACTGAGTGTGAGAGATAAAGGAAGAAGGGGATAAAAGAGAGAAAGAGAGAGAAGAAAATGAGCGAGAGAGAGACTGGAAAAGAAAGAGATCAAAGAGGGACACACAAGGTGGGACTCGGGAGAGAGATAATGTAAAAGGGGGAAGAATACAAGAGGAAAAGAGAGAGGCCATTAAAAAAACGGGGGACAGAGACAAAAGTGCAAGTAAGCAGTAGCTGCCATGGCCCTGCTGGTAGAGGAGTGTCAGAAGCTGACCTTTGGTGGGGCCCTGGTAGTGAACACAGGTCAGGAATGTATTCAGTCAAAGAGCTGGGAGATGGTTGACTGATTCCCAACTTTTAAAATATGAAACCATATTTCTAAAAAAAAAAGATAATTTTGTCTTAACAACAGATAGTTGCTTAAATCCAGCCAGTTTCTTATGGAAAGGAAAGAAGAATGAGGAGACATCAAACCATAACTGTTTGGCTGTCATAGCATAGCAAACTAAAGTGAGACCAGGCCTTAGAGAACCTGCATGATGGGATGAGGCTGTCTGCGGATGGGTCATCCCGAGTGATAGATGGTAAAAGACACAATGGCTATGCTGTCGTTAATGAAAACTAACAATCTTTATATGAAAAACGTAAATTACCCAATAACTGATCAGCCCAAACCTGGAAGTTGTATGCTCTTAACCAGGCCCTAAAGCTCCTAGAAGGCCAAGAAGGCACTATATATACTGATTGCAAATATGCCTATGGAGTGGTGCACACCTCTGGAAAGATCTGGACGGAGTGGGGCCTAATAAATAGCAGCGGGAAAGAATTGGTACATGGGGAACAGGTCAAACGTTTTAGGAAGCCTCCTGCTTCCAGCAGAGGTAGCCATAGTTCATGTAAATGGCCATCAGAGAGGAAACACTGCAGAAGCTGTAGGGAACAGGTTTGTGGATGAAGCTGCTATGCAAGCCTCCCTGGAGGAAGGAGTTAGAGTGTTTAGCCTAATCCCAGATATCCTTAAGGTGATATTAAGACCCTAATTTTCTAGGGAGGAGGAGGAAAAGTTGGGCAAGATAGGGCCACTCAAACTAAGAATGGGAGGTGGGAGAGAAATGATAAGCACACTGATGTCCGCAGTGCATCAGGGGAGTCACTGGGGTCCCCCGGCCACGTGTGATGCAACACTCGAGAATTATGGGTGTGTAGGGATTTCTACCCTTGGCTAAACAAGTGTGTGGGGGTTATGTGACCTGCCAGAGAATAAACAAAAAGGTAGTTAGAAAACAGACTACCGGAGGAAGACATCCTGGGTTAAGTCCATTTCGAAGCATTCAAGTAGATTTTACAGAAATGCCCCAAATAGGGAGACTGAAGTATCTCCTGGTAATGGGAGACCACCTCTCCGGCTGGGTGGAGGCCTTCCCCCGCCCAAATGCCACCACGAGGCATGCGGTCAAAATAATCTTAGAACAAATCATACCCAGATTTGGCCTCGTTAAATAAATATAAATTCAGACAATGGAAGCCACTTTACCTCAGGGGTGCTAAGGGGAATTATGGAAGGTTTACACATTAAATGGGATTACCACACCCCTTGGCATCCTCCCTCCTCTGGAAAAGTAGAAAGAATAAATAAGACTCTCTAAAAGCATATTTCTAAACTAATCTTAGAAACTAAAATGCCTGTGAGCAAATGACTCCCAGTAGCAACTTCTTAGGATTAGGACAGCCCCAAGGAAAGATTTGGGATTGTCCCCTTACCAGTTACTATATGGATTCCCATATTTAGCTGGGACTAATGATCTTCTTACTATGGAAAACGAAGACCAATTTTTAAGAAATTATATACTGGCAGGCCGGGTGCGGTGGCTCATGCCTGTAATCCCAGCACTTTGGGAGGCCGGCGGGTGGGGGGATCACGAGGTCAGGAGATCAAGACCATCCTGGCTAACACGGTGAAACCCTGTCTCTACTAAAAATACAAAAAAAAAAAAAAAAAAATTAGAGGCGTGGTGGCGGGCACCTGTAGTCCCAGCTACTCAGGAGGCTGAGGCAGGAGAATGGCGTGAACCCGGGAGGTGGAGCTTGCAGTGAGCCGAGATGGCACCACTGCACTCCAGCCTGGGCGACAGAGCGAGACTCTGTCTCAAAATAAATAATAAATAAATATAAAATACTGGCATATTCTCCACCCTGTCATCCATTAGGGTGAAAGGACTCCTGGGTCTCTTGAGTTCATGGGTCACCACTTCCAGCCTGGCAACTCGGTGCTAATTAAGACTTGGAAAGAAGACAAGCTCCGCCCAAGCTGGGAAGGTCCCTATCAAGCTCTCCTGACGACTGAGACAGCTGTACAAACAGCTGGATGGGGGTGGACACATGACACTCGGGTCAAGAGACTGGTAAAAAGAATCCCCGGAAGGAAGGGAAAGGGGGAATGGGAAGTGTGTAGATCACCTAAGGAACTCTGAAGCTAACTCTAAGGAAAACCTAGAAGGAAGCTATGAGCAGGCTCTGTCATTGCAGGTGGATATGGTTAGGATCAATCCTAACACGAAGGGTGAAAGGAGACCTCGGTATTGGATAGGGCCCAGCACTAGGGGTAGAAAGTAAGGAATATCCAATCAAACTAATAGTCAATGTAACTAAGACCTCGCCCGCCCCCCAGACCATAAAGTTCAATGCCTGCCAAATCTTACATTATGGGAATTTAGGCAACCAAAGGCAGCAGTCATAAGCAAACAAATATCTAGGTCCTGAAACAGGTCGCTATTGGGGAAAGCCCTGTGCTAGCTGGAATAAGGTCTAATGGACCACTCAATTTCGAGACTGGGTGAGTCACTCTTCCAAAACAAACCCTTAAAGAATAAAATACATTTGTATAAAAGCTCCAAGCCACCCAATTGTAGAAATTTAGCATTCAATCCTACATGAAGTACCATAAACAACCCAGCTACCCTAGACCGGGAACCCGGGAGGTATGGATCAGGAATAGATATCTCAGGAAGGGATCCCGTGGAACAATTAGCTCTTAGGCATGTTACCAATTCCACCCCAAGCCCACCCAGGATTACTATAACCCCTGGTCCCACTACTTCCTTCAACCCACCAGACAACGACCCTAAGTGAGTAAAAATAATAAAGATAACTGACTTAAGGCCAACTTTAGAAATCGAGACTGGATATGGGGATGTAAATGCCTGAGTTGAATGGGTCAAATTTTCAGTACTAGCTCTTTTTTTTTTTTTTTGAGATGGAATCTCACTCTGTTGCCCAGGCTGGAGTGCAGTGGCACAATCTCGGCTCACTGCAACCTCCACCTCCCGGGTTTAAGTGATTCTCCTGCCTCAGCCTCCCAAGTAGCTGGGATTGTAGGCACATACCACCACGCCTGGCTAATTTTTTTTTTTTGTATTTTTAGTAGAGACTGAGTTTCACCATGTTGGCCTCGAATTCCTGACCTCAGGCGATCCTCCCGCCTTGGCCTCCCACACTGCTGGGATTACAGGCATGAGTCACCGCGCCGGGCCTCCTACTAGCTCTTAATAAGAGCGACTGTTACGCATGATCTGCTGGGTGGCCTCAGGCACAGGTGGTTCCGTTTCCCCTAGGTTGGGAAACCAGTCCCAAAGGAATGCATTGCATGTTGGCTCTATACCAGGACAGGGATGCATGGGGAAATGAGACTTGCAAAAGTCTTATCATTGCTCTTTCCTGCCTTGCAGAGATCAGACCCTAGAGCAATTCCCTCGTTCTCCACAGGGAATATGAACCACCCCTCTTGCCTCTCTAGGTAGGCGGCAGAGTTCAATAAGTCCATGGGAGAACTCTCAACCTGTACCCACATCCTAAATATTACCAGTGAGTCCAACAAAGGCAACGACTCGGCTCTTCATAACCCCGGGCTGATGTCTGGTGGTATTGTGGGAAGAGGAGCCTCCATGACCTGTTACCGTCCAACTGGACCAGGACTTGTGCCTTAGCTCTATTAGCCATTCCATTCACCCTGGCATTCCATAAGATCTCTGAGAATCCACACAGCCACTAAAGTTGGAAAGATCTAACAAATTATTTTAATCCCAACTTTTATATGAACTCAATAGGAGTCCCTAAAAGAATACCTAATAAATTTAAGAACCAAAGGACACAAAAATCAATGTGTAAATGGGACCAATAGGGTTAAAAAGAAAACGAGGAGGGAATTGAAAGAAATCATGTCTATAGTGGTCCATTTCCAAGACAAAGGGCCTTGAATGGGTTTAGGTCAGCAAGCTACCGAAGAAACAGGATATACTAGGCCCCTGCTTGGATAGCCAACACCTGCTTGTCACCAGCCAACCCCTTAGTTGTTCTCACCCGAACCAAAGAAGTTTAGTCTAAAAGGAAAGTTTACTAGTCTGCAAAATAGCTCACTTTGTCTGTTCTTATCAGCCTGCCCAGCTACTTAAGTCATAAGTCAAATACTTGAAGAGCCCCTGAGGTGACTAGGATTGCAATGCATTGTGGGTTGCAGCAAAATGCAGCAAGACCACCCTAAAGAAGACACCTAAAGCCCCTGCCCAACAACCAACAGGCGACATCCAGGAAGATTGTGACCCCACAGTACTCAGCCTATGAGGAACCGGGCAAGGGGCCCGTGCGCTAGGGAATAAATTACTTGTTGAAACTGTGGTGGGTGTGCCTGCTCATCAGACACCTGATCTTGCAAAATCATCATTAAAAGTCTCACTTTTGCTGTTCTCCGGGTCTCTGAGTCCACGTTTCGGGTTTGGACGGGTGAGTTTGTTTCTCACAAAAATAAAAGCTGCATACTGCCATACATATCATCAAAGATTGTGACAGTTGTCAGGGAGGAAAAATTCATCCACCCTCTTAGGTTTGGTACCTGGGGAGCTGCAAATTGACTGGTAAAAGAAAGATGAACAGAAAAGAATACAAATTGCATGAACAGTTAGCACAGAGTTCGCAGAAAAGAAGTGAAATTCAGAGAAGCAGTAAGATCCAGGGCCTTATATGCCATTTTAGCAAAGGAAAAGGGGTTCCATCTTCTAGCGGGTGATACATCTGGGAAAGAGAGTAGGAAATATTGGGGGGAACTAATGGAGGTTAAGGATTATTTTACTGAGACCCGTTTCTGCAGACTCATCTAGGGCCGACTGCATCTCCAGTGATAAAAGGTCTCCTTATCCTGGTGCAGGAGAGGGGGCCACCTTCCCAAAGCAAGGTGTGTGTCCTGATTTTAGGCAGAAAGAGGGAGGGCACAGAACTCTTCCTGTACCTGCAGACCCTTAACTACTTTCAGCTCGAGATCATCCTCATGCCAAATGGCATATTTTGGGGTGCCTCAGGCTGATCCCCTCAGGGTCCAGAGAGGGAGTTTACCCTGAAGGCCACATCAACAGGAGGTGAGGCAGGGCGGTCTTCAGAGTTTTTACTGCTGAATTCAGTCAGGAGTTCAGCTGCACCTGTGTCCCTGGCTGTGTCTGTCTGGAATAGCAGAAAAGCAGGGTCAACCTGAAGGTCAGACGATAGGAATTGATTAAATAAACCGGGGGGGGGGGCATGCAAGTGGGGAGCCACTCTGCCGCCTGATAAATGTGGCTGCCTAGACTCAATGGCAAGAAGCCAAGGTTACAGCCTGAAAAGTGAAACGGCAGCCCCTGGTCCCCCGCCACCCCGTCCCCCACCACTCCTGGGCTGCCTGAGACAGCCAGCACGGGAGGCTGCCAGGCGGCTGCCTGTGCTGTGGGCCCCGAGAGGCTGGAGGCTTGGAGCTGCCTCCCTAGTGCTTATTGGAAGCACCTGCCATTAACTTGCTAGTTTCTTTTTTTTCAGGGCACTATTGGCGCCCCCAGGATGCTGACAGGCAGGCAGGGGTCCTGTGGCATTCACTGTCTCTTGAGAACCTTGCAAAACATTGCAAACCCCATCATTGAGAGCAAGTTCCCACTCCAAAAGCAGTGAACTGAAATCTCAAGTTTAAGCCCCACCTCCAGGCCTCCTCGAGGTTACCCAGGCACCAGGCCAGAACCCGCAGGACCCGTGAGATGCTGGGTCGAGACCCCCTGGGCTCCGACAGAGGAACTGCCTCAGGTCAAGGGTGTTCCTTTCACACAAGAGAAGTCAAAACTCCGGGTGTGAAATCTGCAAATACCTCTGTGTTTTCCTCTTTTCCAGGGCATGGCCTCAGGTGAAACTCACACAGTCTTCTGGAAGCATGCCTGGGTTTTAGAGTACCCTGTTCCCTCCCAATACAGGCGTGAGGAGAGCAACACTCTCCGTCTCTAGCCCCTGGACTAGAACCTGGATCTGCTGACACCATTGGGGCCTGTCAGACACCTGCCAATCCTGACGTTGGATGAGAAAAGGCTGCTAAGACCACGGGGTCCCACCGGTGGAGACAGCCATGCCCACAGGTGGGAAGGGGCTTGCCAAGGCTACCAAGCAGATAGCAACGGCCGGGAGCCAGCGCAGTGCTGGCCTGGGTCCTGCACCTGCACATATAGTCACTCAGTAAACGTTGGCTGCATGAGTGAGTGAGTGAGTGAGTCTGGCTTTTCCATCTAGCACAAGGGAGGAAAATCTTTCCTCTACCCTCGGAGGTTCTGTGGCTGAGCCTGAGAATTAAACTGGCAAAAAGATTAACAGGAGAAGAGCGTACACGTTTGATTGATTTTTACAGGCACGCAGGACTCATATCAGAAAAATGAAGATGTGAAGAGGCAGTTAGGACCCTGGGCATGTAAACTTTTTTTTTTTTTTTTTAATTTACTCTTGAGACAGGGTCTCGCTCTGTCTTGCCCAGGCTGAAGTGCAGTGGCGCAATCTTGGCTCACTGCAGCCTCCACCTCCTGGGTTCAAGTGATTCTCCTGTCTCAGCCTCCCGAGTAGCTGGGATTACAGGCATCCGCCACCACGCCCGGCTTATGTTGTATTTTTAGTAGAGACAGGGTTTCACCATGTTGACCAGGCTGGTCTCGAACTCCTGACCTCAGGTGATCCACCCGCTTTAACCTTCCAAAGTGCTGGGATTACAGGCATGAGCCACCGCGCCCGGCCCGTATAAACTTTTTAAACAAAGAAGCAGTCAGTTTGTGGAGAAGAGGTTTGGGCTAAAGGCAGAAAGCTGTGGGTGCGTGACTGGGGGAGGCTAATGAAGGGAGGGCCGTGTCCACAGCTTTGTCTGTGCAAATCCACTTCTGTGTAGACTCCTGGTCTACACAACATGTTCCTCTCTTCCTGGCACAGGAAGGGCACCTTTCTCATAGGAGATTTTGTGACCTGTTTTAGGTAGAAAGAGGGAGGCCAGAGAGCCTGCCCTGCATGTGGCGCTCCTCCTCAGGTGCCTTTGGTTGGAACTTTTCTGTCTGCCCAAGCGGCGTGCTTTGGGGCAGTGTGTTTTGAAATCCTTCACTGGTACCACCATCTTATGGGGCGAAAGTTCGGGAGGACTTGGCCGGGCAGTTCCCACAGGGGGTTCTGTCAGGGCTTGGCAGGGCCGCCGTCTAGAGGCTCCACGGAGCTGAGCCCGTCCACGATCCCTGGGGAAAATCCACGTGGCTCCCAGGCTGGCCATCTGAGGACAGTGGGACTTCTTATGGGGCAGAGTGAGTGTCCCCAAAGTGGGGGAAGCTGCAGGGCCTCCGGAACGAGCCTATGTGTTCACCACATCCGTTGGTGACAGCAAGTCACAGGTCAGAGCGTGGGGAAGACGCAGACCCTGCCTCTCAATGGGGACAGGTCAGCCTAGAAGAGCCTCTGGCCCTGCCACCTGCCTGCCCCATAGTCTGTTTTGTTTTCTTCACAGCATTTATTCAGATTGAAAGTGAGTGAAGGAGTTCAGGACACACCACCCCAGAAGATGCTGCTTGGCGCGTTGATTAGCTGAACAACGGCAGATGCAGAGAACAGCGCTCCTGAGGGCCCCTCCCCTGCCCAGAGACGGAGCCTCCGAGAGCAGGAGAATCTCATCAACCAGGAGGATGAGCCCAGGCTCCCAGGAGAAAAGGCTAGTGGTCGACGCCACACCCAGAAAGTCTTGTTCACAGACGATCACCTGTTCCGAGGGCCCATTCATCTTTCCCAAAGGTCATTTCCTGCCCCCCAAGTTGCCTATATCCCCACCCCTCCTCAATGAAGCCGGGGTGTTTGCAGCACTCGCTTTTCTTTCCTGTGATGCCATGTGCAAGTGACACCTTGAGAACATTTTCTGCTATTCATCAGCCCATGGTCGGCTGTGGAGCCCTCAGAGGGTGGCAGAAGTGTCTCTCCACCCCATGCCAGCTGCACTACCGTGTCTGTGCCACCTCCCCAGGCAGAGCCCACATGGCGAGGCCAGCCCTGCACGGAGGGGGCACTCAGCACACGTGGCGAGAGCGTGACTGGTTAGTGAGCACAGCACCTTCGAGGCCAAAGGCACAGCATGAGAGGCAGGGTGGGTGCCTCTGCCCCTCAGAGACAGTTCCCGTGAGGCAGGGCAGGCACCTGTGCCCCTCAGAGACAGCTCCCATGAGGCAGGGCGGGCACCTGTGCCCTTCAGAGACAGCTCCCATGAGGCAGGACGGGCACCTGTGCCCTTCAGAGACAGCTCCCATGAGGCAGGGCGGGCACCTGTGCCCTTCAGAGACAGCTCCTCTGAGGCAGGGCGGGCACCTGTGCTGCTCAAGGACAGCTCCTCTGATGCCCAGGCTGCTGGGTCTTGTGGGATGTATAGGGGTCCGCCAGGCAGAGGAGAATGGTTCTTGTAGAGCGCTCCAGGCTCTCTCTCCCCACCCAGCTCCAGAAGGAGCAAGAGCCGGAGCAAACAAAGCTCCAGCCTCCTGGGCTGGTTGATGTGGGCTCAGTGCAGAGAAGGGGAGGACATCATTCATTCAGTCAGTCATTCATTCACCCACTCGCCCAGTGAGTGCCAAGCACCCTTGGGCACTCAGCACCATGCTGGCAGCGGGACAGTCAATGGGAGCGAGGCAGACGTCCCTGCCTGGATCATCAGGAACGAGTCCCACGGGGCGGCTGTGAGGTAGGAGGAGGCGGTGTGCCAGGGATGAGGATGTCTGCGAAGGGAAGGCTCTCTCTGGCTGACCCTGAATGAAAGGCATGTGGAGGGGGAGGGGACAAGGTGGGTGCCAGGGGACGTTCCTGCGGAGGGAGCACCCGCAGAAAAGCCCCAGAATCAGGGCAGGGCATCTTCCCTGAAAGCTGGGGCTCCTCCCTGTCCCAGAGACCTGCTGTCCCCACTCACAGTCCCCCCACTGACTGCAACGGGTGAGGCTCACCCTGGCGTGGGGCCCAATGCTTAGGAAGATGCCCAGATGGAGGGCTTGGGGCTGGGCGCCCTGGGTGAGGGGAGGCTGGGAGAAGCATTTCCTGGCTGGAATTGGCACCACCCGCAGGTGTGGGCAGACGCTCAAGGCGGAGGCTCCACCCATGCCTGGTTTCTTTCCTTTCTCCCTCTCCCTGTGTCTCCAGGTGTCTGCCACCTCCTCAGGGAGCCATGGGGCGTGAGCTAGATCAGGGCCCTGCGTCTCGAAGGAGGAGGAGAATCAGCTGAGTGAGCAGCTAATCCACCCAGCCTCCAGCTGTCTCAAACAGCAGCCCCCAGTCAGAATGGGAGACTCTGCCTCAAGTCAAAAGTCCCAAAGAAGCCCACACTCCACCCTGGCTGGTGTGTATAAAGTAAAAATCCAAAATCCGGGTCCCTGAGCAAAGTTGCCAGCTAGAGTCCCCCTGTGGAAGGCAAGAAATCAACGAGACTTCCTGGTCACTCTGCACCGTGGGGCAGCTTCTTCAACTCTGTGCAGCTAGAGGTGAGAGAGTCCCAGGGGCGGGTCCTCGAGCTCAAACTGCCCCTCTCCCCCTCCACCGCCTCCTGCACCTGCCCCTGCCCCTGACCTGAGCCCCTGAGATCAGTCACCACCTCAGACCCTGAGGCAGGTTGGCAGGGGTGACTTCCTGGAGCCGGGTATGTCCCATCAGAAAACACTGCTTTGGGGAACTCTCCAGGGTTCAGAGATCTCCCAGCTCAACGCAATGCCCACCTTCTTGGGCTCCCACATGGGACTGCCCCGGGAGGCCCTGTGAGGTCGTGGCGCTGCACGGCCGTGGGCATAGAGACCTGCATTCTGGTTCTTTCCTGGGTAAAGCAGGGAAGTGACCTCTAGTCTCCCGGGACGATAGGAGGCGGAGGGGGGCGGTACAGGGCACGGCGGGTACTGGATGTGTTGGTTGAATGAAAAGTCGAGGTGAGGAGTGAGGCCACTGACTGTGTGAATTCTCAGGGCCGCTCACGACAGGCAGAATTCCCGAATCAGGCTTCTCGGACCCTGACGACACCACAGGAGCTCACGGCCTGTTGGGCGGGAGCGTGGGGCCTGTTGGTCACTGTTGGGCGGGAGCGTGGGGCCGGCTCACTATGCCTCGCTGGGTTGGAAGATATGCACACCAGCTGCCGTCTCAAACACGTCCGGGGAGCCCGACCAGCTGCACGTGGAATCCACCAGGCCTCCTGCTCCTCCCCACAGGACTGCTTCGGTGGGAGCCTCACCTGCTGGCCCCTGTGCTCCCCTCAGACACGGAGCAGGTGGCAGGCCTGGCACTCCTTCCTCTCTGGGGGCAGAGGCAGGGTCCAGGTTCCCCCACTCCACGCAGAACTGGGTGGTCAGGGTCTCCCCGGGGAGCACTGAGGAGGGGCCCTCACCCTCCTGGGGGCTCAGGGCAAGGTCTCCAGATAAGTCAGCTCTCAGTGGAGACCCCGCCCATCAGCAGCATTAGCCTGAATCAAAATAGTCGGTCCCTCAATGAAGGCAATGGCATCTCAGAGCCAGCAAAGGCAGCCGCCAACATCTTCATTTCTCGTGATTGTGAACGTCAATCCTGTCCCCTCCCCTCCACTCCCTGTCGGACGTGGTTGTCCTGAAGCCTTGGCAAGCCGGCCGCCCACTCTGCTGCCACCCAGAGCAGAGGAACACCTGGAATCCCTGCTCAGACTCCGGACTCAGGGGCCTCCTCTCCTCTCTTCTCTACATCTGTGCCTGGTGGGCAAGCACCCTCAGCGGGAACACAACATCCCTCAGCCACAGATGAGCAAATGTCCCAAAGATAGGAGGGCAGGGGGCTCTGGCAAGGCAGCTGGGCTCCCCTCACACCAGTCCTGGAGCTGGCACTTGGGGTCTGCAGGGGCCATTCCTTGTGGGGACTGGGCTGGACCTGCTGCTAGGAGCCCGACACCCCAGCAATGAATGAAAAGCTGTACAAATGGAGCACCCTGTTGCCTGGCCATTGCACTTCACGAACGTGTGTCCTGAGGATCTAATGCTACAGGGACCCAAAGATGTTCATCTCAGCAGTGACCGAGTGAAAGCCCTGAAGCTGCTTATGCAGGGGCTGATGACGCTGATTAGGACTCAGCACCCGAAGAAGCCCTCACCCAGCTGACGTGGCTCCACCACCTCAGCTGTCCCCAGGGAAAGGTGCCCCGAACGGTGCTCCCAGACAAGCAGGTCGCAGACACACACAGAAGCCGGGAAGGTTGGCGTGAACCAGGAAGGATGATGAGATGCTAACTGATGCCCTCATCTAGATCATGTTTTACTTCCTAATCTTCCAAGAGTGGGCGTGTCGTACTCGAGGGAAAAGAAGTAGGATGTTCCCGGACACACACTCACTCTCAGATGCCCCCCGCTCCAGCAAGTTCTCATGGTGCCGGGAGCTGGACCGGTGGGGCTCCAAGCCATGTCTGGCCCTCACGGCAGGGAGCGCCCTGGCCTTCTGCAGCTCTAGCCTGGGGAGTGGGACCATTTCCCCTCCATCCAAGGCTGTTTTGAGGGTCAGGTGAGGACGGACTGGGGAAAGGATATTACCGACTGCAAATTGCTGTTTAAAAGGATATAACTATTACTGTTGCCTTTGTCTGCAGAACACAAAGTGAAACAGAAACCACAGCCCTGCCTGTCTGGATACAATCAGCTCTGCACCTAAAATCTCAGCCCCTCCCACCTCCTCACTCTTCCCACGCACATGCCCAGACACTCAGGATCCAACTCTGTGTTTTAGCCTAAATGGGCTGAAATTTCCTGATTGGCCCTGGCTCCCCTCACATGAATTTATTGGAAGTCAATTGCTAATAACTTTCCAATTATATATTTTAAAATCCCCAGTCCCTCAGACAGCCCACATGAGATTGAATGGGAGGTGGGAGGTGTGTTAGGCGGCGGCTACTCACCTTTCCCCATGCAGCCTCTTTCTAACCACACCTGTGCCCAGTCCTCCCAATATTTCCCTGCATCTATTGTGTCCCCTGCCAACACCTTAGGGGCACACAGGCATGCACGCACACACACACACACACACACCCCTCCAAATCCCATGAACACAACAAATCGTCTCCTATACACCCTTGTGTGGAATTAGCACAGCCTGACATTTGGAAGGCTGGATGGATGGATAAATGGAGGGTGGATGGAAGGATGGATGGTTGGTAAGATGGAAGAAAATGGATTAGATGGATGAGTGAATGGTTGGATGGTGGGTGGGTAGATAAATGAAGGGTAGATGGATGAGTGGATGAATGGATGGTAGGTGGATAGGTGGATGGATGGATGGATGGATGGATGGATGGATGAATGGATAGACAGATGATGGAGGGTTGGTGGATGGATGGTGGATTAGTGGATGGATGGATGGATGGATGGATGGATGGATGGATGGTAGATGAGTGGACAGATGGATGGATGTTGGTTGAGTGGATGGATGGATGATGGAGGGTGAGTGGATGGATGGATGGCAGATGGATGGATGGATGGTGGATGAGTGGATAGATGATGATGGAGGGTGGGTGGACAGATGGATGGATGGATGGTGGATGAGTGGATAGATGGATGATGGAGGGTAGGTGGATGGATGGATGGATGGTGGATGAGTGGATAGATGAATGATGGAGGGTGGGTGGATGGATGGATGGTAGATGAATGGATAGATGGATGATGGAGGGTGGGTGGATGGATGGATGGATGGATGGTGGTTGAGTGGATGGATGGATGATGGAGGGTGGGTGGATGGATGGATGGATGGTGGATGAGTGGATGGATGGATGATGGAGGGTGAGTGGAGGGATGGAGGGCTGATGGATGGATGGATGGTGGATGAGTGGATAGATGGATGGATGGATGGTGGATGAGTGGATAGATGGATGATGGAGGGTGTGTGGATGGGTGGATGGATGGTGGATGAGTGGATGGATGGATGACAGAAAGTGGATTGCGTGCACTAGACATATTCTGTCCTAGGCCTTCTCAAAGAGTATGTTGTCTGCAGGGTTAGAAGCCTTCAAAATTCCTCACAACAAGAACTAGACGACAGTTAGGGCACTGCCTCATCAGCCTTTGCCTTTGGCCACAGGAGCAGCAGTAGGTTTCTTATCCTGACATCTCTGTTATCTCCTTTTGAGTCAGAGATGCCCCCGGCAATTACAGAAGACCCCCCTTGCTGTTGTGTACCCATCAAAACAGATGGTCTGGGCAAGCCAAGTGGAAAGGCCTGTTTGAGGGCTCACAGCTCTGCTCTCATGGGCTATGATGGCTGGGCCTTCAGGTGCAAACCCTGCATTGTGAGAGGCCACCAAGGGCCAGTGCCAGAGGCTCTTCCTGGGAGAATGGCGTGCAGACCCTTGAGCTACCCATTCCCCACTGTCACAGCTGCTTTTCAGCGGGGTTGGGAGGAAGAACTGGTGTTCCCCAAGCTTTGGTGGGCCAAGGAAGCAAGGACCTGCCCCTTAGGACCTTGGGCCCATCTCCCCTCTTTTACTGTGTGCACTGGTGAATTTCGTGCCATCTTGGAACCATTATTTCCCCCTGGAAGCTCATCTCCGACTGGCTGCTAGGAGAAAGTGTGGTCCCATAAGCAAATATGTGCTTTACATTCAGGTGCATTTTTGTCTTGTTTTTTGAGCCCCCCAAATGTGCAGCAGCGTCTTCTCTTTGGAGAAGCCAAAAGCTCTTTCTCCTCAATCCGTGAATTCTGGGCCCGCTTTGAGAGGAGCTGATTAAAGCAGGAGCCAGAGGAAGTCTGAGAGTGCGGCTGTCTCACGAGGAGCAGCCCAGAGGCCCCACCGGGAGTGGCCTCCTTCCCAGAGGCTCTCCCAGGCTCCACGGGGGTCTTTTACTCAGCTCCGAAAGTCAGTGCATCTTGGAATTTCTTTTAAACAACTTAGATCCTGGCCCGTGGCAAAGAAAGGCAAGCTTTCCTTCCCCATGGCTCCTCAGGCCCCTCCTGCTCCTTGGCAGCCTGGCTCAGCTTTCTGGATTTGCAGAATGTTGAATGGACAGGACCAGAATGGGTCTGAGCGGGAGAGTAGCGAGAGGGAGAAGGGGAACCCATTCCTGAGCCCCATTTCCATGGATCTAGGCTCCATCCTCAGCACGTGGCCCCTAGGGGCACAGGTGACTTGGGGGAGCCTCCATCTCAGGAGAAGCTCTAGAGCCCTCTGCCCTTTCGGCCACTGGACAGTCCACTCCGACAGACAGAGGGACAGACCGGCTGGCCAGCATCCAGGTGGCCTAAGGTGAGTGGGGTCCTAACAGGGCCCTCCCTGTGATGCTGGGCTTCTGTTGAGATCCGTGTTCTTTCTCTTCCTCCCTCCCTCCCTCCCTTACCCCCTCTCTCCCTTCTTCCCTCCCTCCCCTTCCTCCCTCCCTTCTTCCCTCCCTCCCTCCCTTCCTCCCTCCCTTCTTCCCTCTCTCCCTTCCCCCTCCCTCCCTTCCTCCCTCCCTCCCTTCCCCCTCCCTTCCTCCTTTCCTTTCCTCCTCCCTCCCTTCCTTTCTTCCTCCCTTCCTTCCTTTCTTTCCTTCTTTTCTTCCTTTCCTTCCTTCTTTCCTTCCTTTTTTGGAACTTGTAATTTTATTTATTTGGAATTTTTTGATAGAATTCCAAGCTTACAGAAAAGTTACCAGAATAACACAAGGAACTCCCATATACGTTTTTGCTGCATTGATTTCAGTATTTGTTCTATCTCTTTCTCTCTCTCTCTCTCTCTCTCTCTCTCTCTCTCTCTCTCTCAACAAGTATCTATGATTTTCCTCTGAACCATTTGAAAGTAACTCAATGCCTCTCTACCCCTGGCCCCAAAACACTTTTGTGCATATTTCTCAGGACAAGGAGATTTTCTTCCATAACCACTCACACAGTTAGGGAAATCAGGGGATCTTACGTTCTCGTCAAATCCACAGCCATGTCAGACATCTGCCGTGGTCGCAATAATGTCCTTCATGGCTTTGGTTTCCTTTGAGTCCGGGATCCAGTTTTGGATCCCACACTGCATTTGGTGGCCATGGCTCCTAAATCCTCTTAGTCTGGGCAGCCCTCGCTGTGTCTTTGTCTTTTGTGTGACATTTGGCATTTCTGAGGAGCACAGGCCAGTTCAGTTCCTCCGCAGAATGTCCGTCCCTCGGTCTTGGCCGTTGCGCCCTCACAACCAAACATGGGTTCTGCATTTCAGGCAGGAAAATCCCAGCAGTGACGTCGTGTCCTTGTGGGCGGTCTCACTGGGAGGCTGACTGTGTCCCTCTGTCCCAACCCTGAGATCCCCTGGATTGGATCCCCAACCAGACCCCAACTCTCAGTTCAGTTCCCACCTTCCCTCCCTGCAGGTAACCAGTCCCATGGCTTCTGATTTATCCCCAGGGGTTTTCCTTCCTCCTCTTCCTCCCCCAGCTCCTCCTTCTCTTCTTCCTTCTTTTCTTCCTCTCCTTTCAAAAATAACTAAATACATACATGCACGCTTTCTTAGTTCTCTTCCATTACTACCCAAACGTAGCAACACACAGAAGCACACACACACTTCAGTTTGCAGGCTTTCACTCCCTTCCTCTCATGGAGCTCTTCTCCCCCTTTGCTAAGCTGTGTAGAGTGCTGTGTACATGCACAGAGTTTATTCACGTTCCCCTACGTGTGCGCATTTCGATGGATATTGCAGATATGAAAAACCCTGTGAATAAGCACGTTAGCGTTGTCAGAGGCATTACCCCAGGGTAAATTCCTAGAGGCAGGATTGCTGGTCGGGGCCAGCACCAAGCAGCTGTGTTCAGTGCTGAATACCCTCTGCCAGGATGAGATCATTTCAACTTCCCACCAGCTACATGTTGCCAACTTCGTAAGATCTGCCAATCAAATGGGTGCTAATGGCAGCTCCCTGAGTTTAATGTTACATTTCACAAAAATCCTTTGGACAGCTTTTCATTCTTATTTTGTCCTTCCTAATAAGGTCACTTGGCCTCACTTGGAGCCTCTTCATAGAATAAGGAACCTCACACACCTCTTCATAGAATAAGGAGCCTCACCCATATTTCTTTTTCTTTCTTTCTTTCTTTTTTTTTTTTTTTTTTTTTGAGACAGAGTCTTGCTCTGTCACCCAGACTGGAGTATAGTGGCGCGATCTCAGCTCACTGCAACCTCCATCTCGCAGGTTCAAGTGATTTTCCTGCCTCAGCCTACTGAGTAGCTGGGACTACAGGTGCATGCCACCACGCCCGGCTAATTTTTGTATTTTAAGTAGAGACAGGGTTTCACCATGTTTGCCAGGCTGGTCTGAAACTCCTGACCTCAAGTGATCCGCCCGCCTCAGCCTCCCAAAGGGCTGGGATTACAGGCATGAGCCATCGCTCGTGCCCGGCCCCTCACATGTGTTTCATAGCAACAGTGGCAACACTTACTGGGCCCCGAGGGCAAGGCCTTGTGCAGGGCACTTTGCAAACATGATCTCATTTGCTTATTTCATTTTTGTTTTCTTTGAGACAGAGTCTCGCTCTGTCACCCAGGATGGAGTGCAGTGGTGCAGTCTTGTCTCACTGCAACCTCTGCCTCCCGGGTTCAAGCAATTCTCCTGCCTCAGCCTCTCGAGTAGCTGGGATTACAGGTGTGTGCCACTGCACCCGGCTACTTTTTTTTTTTTTTTTCGTAGAGACAGGGTTTCACCATGTTGGTCAGGCTGGTCTTGAACTCCTGATCTCAAGCAATCCACCTGCCTCGGCCTCCCAAAGTGCTGGGATTGCAGGTGTGAGCCACTGCATCCAGCCAGTTGTTTCATTTTACAGACAAGGGCTGAGAGCCCAGCGCAGAGCCAGGAGAACCCAGGGCCGTCTGACTCGGAAGCAGCGCTCCTACAAATACCCTCCCCTACCAGGTGTCCAGACCCTTCTCCTAGAGGAGGCACTGGAGCTGAGAGGCTCCCTAAAGAGCAGGCTGGTGCCAGCAGCTTTTCCTAATTGCATGGCTTATGTCCCAGGTTAATCCAAGGTGCTGGGATCCACGGCTGCCTCATCAGGGACCCCGGCCCTCTGCTCTCCTACAAAGCCCCTGACAACGCTTTCGAATATGAAATGTTTCCAGTATTCAAGAATTAACACAGGAGGCACCCATGCACCCACCACCCAGATTTGACAGATGCTAACATTTTGCCGTATGTTCCAGAACTGCCTCTCTTAGGAAATAAATGAAGCAGAAGACACAGCTGAGCCTCCGGCAGCACCTGCCGCTTCCTTCCTCCTCCGCGCTCTCCGAAGGAACGGCTCTCCTGGATTTGTATTTCTCATTCCTGCGAGTGCTTTACATTCTCCCTGCGTGTGTGAGAACAGTGCCCAGTGTCACCTGCTCTGGGAGCTTTGCCGTGTGCATAGGTGGCCTTGTGGTGACTCTGTCCTCAGCAGCCTGCTGCGTTCACGAGGGAGTGTCCTGTTGGGCCTGGGGCCCTCACTCACTCATTCCCACCACTGTCCAGTGGCTGTCCACAAACAGACCACCACTCCCTTGTCCCTTCTGTTTCTAGGACAAGGAGGCTGTGCCCAGCGATTCGTGGTCATGACAGTGAAGGCCTGGGTGGACAGCCTTGAGCAGCTCTGCCTGTGGGACGGCTCTGCTCGTGGAATGGCTCTGCCCAGGGGACAGCTCTGCCTCTGGGTGGGGTCTGCCCGGGGGACAGCTCTGCCCGGGGGACAGCTCTGCCTGAGAGCTTGCCCGCAGGTGGGAAAGGGCCCAGCTGGGAATGAACGCACTTCAGCTCCACTAGTTCCACCAAACTGCTCTCGGAGAGTGTTGTGCCGAGGCACCCTCCCCAGCAGTGCGTGCCACATCCTTGGATGACATCCAAGCTTCTTCGGCCCACCTGAAGACATCCCTGTTGTTCCCACCCGCCTTGCCCTTCTCTGAGCCCGCCATCTCCGCACATCCCTTTGGGTCACACTGGCTTCTTCAAGCACTTTCTGTTCTACTCGGGATTCCAGCAGGGACACAAACTAGGCAACTGAGGATGATTGACAATGCTGGAGGGAAGGGCATGGGGAAAGAACATGGAGGAGTGCAGCCCTCCAGCATGACCGCTCCAGAACTGGAGGGCAGGGAGGGTGTGATGGGGCGCCGTCCTGCAGAGGGACACAGCCTGCCTGCATCCAGCGCATCCAGCCGCGGGGACAAAGCCACACACTGGCCCAGGCTGGGTGACCCTTGGGGGCTGTTGATGGGCCCTTTGCCCTGAAGCAAGAGGCGCAGGGGGCCCAAGAGAAGTGTGTGCTGCAGACCAGTGCCCCGGGACCCAGGGCAGGGAGGAAGAGCTGCAGCGGGAACTGGTGGGGGAACGGAAGACCCCCCCAGCAGCCATCTTTTGTCGGGGAGCACGGGCCAGAGGCTCCTGCACCAGGTCCTGGCTGTGGCCATGGGCTAAACCTTTCTGAGTCTCAGCTTTTTCAAAGATAAACACAGCCAGACATCAGTTGAATTGGTGGAAACAGATTTTATTCCATAATTGCCAACGGTGGTGGGAGCAGCGCTTGGTTCTGATTCGTGCGCAGAGGTGATTGTGCCTTCTAAAGGGAGGCTGGGAGTGGCGCAGAGCTCAGTAGACTCAAAGGAGGGGAAACTGGCAAAGGGCCCGTGGGTGTGAGTGTAATGGGGCAGTGCTATCTGTGTCTGGCAATTCTCCGGGTGAGACTGGGAGCCAGAGGCACATCCTTCCTGGTCAGGACGTAGAGGTGTGGCCCCCCAGGTCCTGGAGTTTGCAGGAGACACAGGCACAAGCAGGAGTCCCGTGCAGTAAAAGTTCTAAGAAAAGGTAGCCGGCTGCTGACCAGAACACACAACAAATTCTCCCGCAGCACTGAGATCTCAGGCAAAAAGTGTTACTGGAGATAAAAAGGACCGTATCTGCAACAGAATGTTAATTCCCCAAGAAGCAATGACAATTCTGCACTTGTACGATGGGCACACACTCCATGAAGTGAGAACAGACAAAACTACAAGGAGAAAGAGACTAACCCTCCAGCGAGGGGGAGACATTATCACACCTCTCTCGTCGTTGACAGATCAAGCACATCAAAAAATCAGTGGGGACCCCGAAGGTTTCCATAACACAATTAACAAGCACAATCTAATGGACAGTTAAAACTAGCACCTGAAACTTCAGAGTACACACATCTTTTCCAGCACAACAAGAAATGCTTTTTAAAAATTGATGACACACTGAGCTAGAAACAAGTCTCAAGAAATAGAAGAGATTTAAAAACACGCAGACCACAGTCTCCGAGCACAAAGCAATTAGACTACAATCAGTGACAAAAGAGAAGCTAGAAAATGCTATGTTGGGAAATCAAGAAAATTCTAAATAACTCATCACTTGAGAAGGCATCAAAATGGAAATTAGAACATATTTAGTACTGAAAGGTAATAAAAATATGTATGTCAAAACTGAGAAATCCAGCTAAAATGATATGTACAAGGAAATTTGTAGTGCTAAACAATTATTTTAGAAAAGAAGAAAAGCTAAAAATGTGTGAACTAAGCATCTATCTAAAAAATTAGCAAGAAAACAAAAAACTAAAATAAATGTAGCAGAAATTAAATGTTAAATAAAATAGAAAAACAGTCACCAGAGAGCATCAACAAAACCAAAACCAGTTCATAGAAAAGACTAATAATATTGACATATCTTTGGCACTATTAATCAATAATAAAAGAAGATATAGAACAAATTAACATATAAAAGCATAATTAAATATGCAACCATGCTGGGCACAGTGGCTCATGCCTGTAATCTCAGCACTTTGGGAGGCCAAGGCGAGTGGATCATTTGAGGTCAGGAGTTCAAGACCAGCCTGGCCAATGTGGTGAAACCCCATCTCTACTAAAAATACTAAAGTTAGCCAGGCATGGTGGTGCACACCTGTAATCCCAGCTACTTGGGAGGCTGAGGCAGGAGAATTGCTTGAACCCCAGAGGTGGAAGTTGCACTGAGCTGAGATTGCATCACTGCACTCCAACCTAGGTGACAGAGCAAGACTCTGTGTCAAAAAAAAAAAAAGCAACCATGACTAAACAGTTAATAAGATAATATAATACCAATCAATAAATAGAAGCTTTATGCAATATATTTAAAATTTTAGACAAATATTGATGAATACCTAGGGGGAAATACGCCATTCAAAACTGACTCAATAATAAGTAGAAAACCTAAATAGTCCTATAGCCAAGGAATTGAAATAATAATTTAACATCTTCTCCCAAAAAACCCCACTAGGCCTATACAATTTTATCCATCAGTTCCATGGAATATTAAACAAACAATAATTGGAGTCTTGAAAAATCTGTTTCAAAGACTAGGAAGACAAGAGACATGCCACGTTTAATCAAAGAGACAAGTTTAATCTTGACACCCAACCTGACAGAGGCAGTACAAGAATGAAATTTGTAGTGCTAAAAAATTATTTTAGAAAAAAAGAAAAGCTAAAAATGTGTGAACTAAGGATCAGGTCTCATCCTTGAACATGCTTGAAAATCCTCAACAAGCCCTTAGCAAACTAAATCCAGCAATGTATAAAAAGGACAACACATCACATCCAAGTTGACTCCAGGAATGCAAGGCTGGTTTAACTTTAGAAAATAAATTAATGTTATTGACAACGTTAATAAATTAAAGCAGAAAATCAAATTATCACCTGTTTGATGTTTAGTAAACACCTCAAAGTGTTTCATAAAATTAAACATCCAAACTTCTGCTTATAGCTAGATCATTAGCTTGTGGCTGACCAATCATCCCAGGAAGAACAAAAAAATCTGGTTAAAACACACAGACACAAACAACTGTTTGAAAGCATTGAAGAGCTGTATAAGAAGCCGTACCTGAGGGACTGAGATGCTAGGGAAAAGGGAGTTGCACAGCAGTAAGTCTGGCCATCTGATCGCCTTCCTCCTCAAAGCATTTGGCCAGTGCATAAGCTGCATGGCCACAGAGAAGGAGAAACCAAGAAAGAAGCAGATACTAAAATGATAACTATGTCTGCAGAACTTTTGAAAGTCTCAACAATGCTGGGAAAATACAATTGGGGTTCACAGACGAGTAAGGTGGAGAATCCCTGGGGAAAGCCTAGGGGAAGATAACTGGGAGCAAGAGGGGGAATCAAGAATCTTCTGGGTGCAGTGGCTTATGCCTGTAAT
This sequence comes from Homo sapiens, assembly GCF_000001405.40. NCBI lineage: Eukaryota > Metazoa > Chordata > Mammalia > Primates > Hominidae > Homo > Homo sapiens. The sequence continues at coordinate 135,312,945 of NC_000009.12, forward strand.
CCTAGCACTTTCAGAGGCCAAAGCAGGTGGATCACCTGAGGTCAGGAGTTCAAGACCAGCCTGGCCAACATGGTGAAACCCCATCTCTACTAAAAATACAAAAAAATCAGCTGGGTGTGGTGGTGGGCACCTATTATCCCAGCTACTCAAGAGGTTGAGACAGGACAATCACTTGAACCCAGGAGGCAGAGGTTGCAGTGAGGTGAGTTCGTGCCATTGCACTCCAGCCTAGGCAACAAGAGTGAAACTCCCTCTCAAAAAAATAAATAAATCAGGACTTTAGACACTGAAACTCAGCCTCAAAGAAGTAAAAATGATCATTAGATAAAGGTGATCTGCTCTTACTATAAATGTCCAAAAGAAACATTAAAAAAATTTTCTCCATGAATATTGCATCATTCAGAGCCTTAACAAGTTTTCATGCAAAGTAGCACTGAAACAAGTATTACCAGTCAATCCAAGAGACAGATCAAGAGGAAAAAATACACAAAAGAAAGGCTCACGGGTATTCCAGATATTAAGCTTATCAAACATGGACTTTACATAACTCTGATAAATACAATTTAAAAAAGAGATAACACAATTGAGACACCCAAGAACTAGAACATTTATAAAAATAGTCAAGTTGAAGTTCTAGTACTGAAAACTAAATAATTAAAGTTAAGAATGAGTTTGAAAGCAGAATAGACACAGCTAAGGAAAGAATTGGTGACGTGGGAAACAGGTCAATAGGAAATATTCAGACTGAAGGAAGGGTAGAAAAAACAAGATGAAAAAATATGCAAGCACAGGAGAGGCACATAAGGCACCCTGAAGAGGTGTGATATATGTCTCACAAGTGAAGGAGACAGAAAATGGAGAAAAAGCTAATTTCCCAAACTGACAAAAGACATCAAGTCACAGATCCAAAGAACCTATGATCCCCAAGCAGAATGAATAGAAAGAAAATGCATACATAGTCATCTCATATAGAAATTGCTGTAAAGACAATGAGAAAATCTTTAAAGTAGTCAGCAAAGAAAGGCACATGACCTTCAAAGGAGCAATAATAGTAACTAGGCATCTAGGAAAATAGAAGAACATTTAAAGTGCTGAAAGAAAATAACTGCCAGCCAGGAATATTGTACCTGATGAAAATACCTTTCAAAAATGCGGGCATTTACATAAGGGACAAGACATTGTTCTTCAACATAGTACCGGAAGTTATAGCCAGTAATAAGCAAAAAGAAGAAAAAATATGCAGACTTGAAAAGAATAAAATAAACCTGTCTCTATTTTCAGGTGATATGATTGTTTATGTAGAAAACCACAAAAAATCTACTAAAATATCCTAGAACTATGTGAGTTCCACAAGGTCATAGGATACAAAATCACCCACATACTTAATTCCATTTCTATATGTTAATAGTGAATATGTAAAAACCTAAATCAGGCTGGGCATGGTGGCTCACGCCTGTAATCCTAGCACTTTGGGAGGCTGAGCCAGGTAGATCACGAGGTCAGGAGATAGAGATCATCCTGGCCAACATGGTGAAACCCCATCTCTACTAAAAATACAAAAAAAAAAAAAAATTAGCCAGATGTGGTGGCATGCACCTGTAGTACCAGCTACTCAGGAGGCTGAGGCAGGAGAACCACTTGAACCCGGGAGGCAGAGGTTGCAGTGAGCTGAGATCGTGCCACTGCACTCCAGCCTGGGTGACAGAGCCAGACTGTGTCTGAAAAAAAAAAAAAAGAAAACTAAATCAAAGACATCATACCATATACAAAGAAAATGAAATGCTTACATATAAATCTAATGAAATATGGATGGAACTTATATGCAGAAAATTATAAAATGCTAATAAAAGAAATGAAAAAAAATCTAGATAAATGAAGAGATGCTGTGTGTTCACGGATTGACAGACCCAACTGAAATGTCAGTTTCAGAACTGAAAATGTCAGTTCTCCCCCAATTGATCTAAGTTTAACTTCATTTCTATCAAAATGCCAGGGAGATTTTTTGTAGATATAGACAAACTTATTCTAAAATCAGCCGGGTGCGGTGGCTCACGCTAGTAATCCCAGCACTTTGGCAGGCCAAGGTGGGCAGATCACCTGGGGTCAGGAGTTTGAGACCAGCCTGGCCAACATGGTGATATCCCATCTCTACCAAAAATACAAAAAATTAGCCGGCCTTGGTGGCACACACCTGTAATCCCAGCTACTTGGGAGGCTGAGGCACGAGAATCGCTTGAACCTGGGAGGTGGAGGTTGCAGTGAGCTGAGATCCCGCCATTGCACTCCAATCTGGGCAACAGTGTGAGACTCTGTCTGAAAAATATTAACTATATAGAGAAAGGAAAGGGCACAAGAAAAGCAAGATACAACAGGAATTAAAATCTACAAGGGAAAGCAACTTTGTAAAAGGGGAATAAAGTGGAGGAATCATTTTACCAGATATTGAGTCTTACTGTACAGGTATAGAAATCAAGACAGTGTGAGGTTTTTTGTTGTTGTTTTGTTTGTTTTTGTTGTTGTTGTTTTTGACACAGAGTCTCACTCTGTCCCCTAGACTGGAGTGCAGTGGTGGGATCTTGGCTCACTGCAACCTCCACCTCCTGAGTTCAAGAGATTCCCCTGCCTCAGCCTCCCAAGTAGCTGGAATTACAGGCACCCATCAGCGTGCCCAGCTAATTTTTGTATTTTTAATAGAAATGGGGTTTCAGCATGTTGGCCAGGCTGGTTTCAAACTCCTGACCTCAGGTGATCCACCCGCCTCAGCCTCCCAGAGTGCTGGGATTACAGGTGCGAGCCACCGCACCTGGCCGACAGTGTGGTATTGGCAGAGGGGTAGATACATAGTTCAATGGAACAGGGCAGAGAATCCAGGAGTCACCACACCAATACGCCCAACTGATTTTTGACAAAGATGCGAAAGCAATCCAACGGGCAAAAAGTAGTATTTACAACGCATGGTGCTGGAGCAATTGGACAGCAATAGAAAATGTCTCTTGCCTAAGACATTTAGATGGAAGAAAGAAGATTAGCTTAAGGCTCACAACTTTTACAAAAATTAACTCAAAATGGATCACAGGTTTAAATGTAAAATACGCAATTATAAAACTTTTGGAAAAAAATAGAAAATCGTCAGGACCTAGGGCAGAGTGTTTTAGCTGATACCAAGAGCAATTATCAAAAGGAAAACTTGATAAACTGGAGCTTATCAAAATTAAAAGCATTGGGCTTATGAGCAATGTTTTATGTCAGTTGTATTCCTGATGTTCGGCAAGGTGCCTGGCACATTGCAAAAGGCTGAATGAATAAAATAAGTAAATCAGTTAATGTTCTTTTAAAAAGAAAGAACTAATAAACATTTTTAAACATTCAATTACACTAAGATCAAAGAAATGCTAATAAAATTTTTCAATATCATATATGATTTTAAAGTAAACCTGTTAACAAACTAAATATAGCAGGGAATTTCCTTAACTTGGTGAAGGCTATTTGCAGGAGATGGATAGGAAAAGAATCATGTTAAACATGAGGTGTTAAAAGCTTTCTCTGAAACCAAGAACTAGACAAAGATGATCTCCTTTTCATCTTTCTCTTCAGTATTGACAGCAGTTTCTAGCTTGTATCATGAGGTAAGAGAAAGAAATAAACAACATAGGGTTAAAAAGAAAGAAGTAAAAGTGCCATTATTTGCAGATGATATAATTGGGTGTCCGTATTAAAAGTCCAAAAGAATATTCAGATGAATAACTGGAATTAACGAGAGAATGCAGTACAGTTATTAGATACAAAATCAATATACGAAAAACAATTGCTTTTCTTTACACTGATAGTAAGTAACATTAAATAAAGATAGAAAAGGGAAATTTTAAAGGTGTAATTTACAATGACATCAAAAATATATGTGAAAGGAAAATATCTTGGGCCTCTTCAAGCTGGAACCGCTTAGGACAAATCTGCTTCCCATTCTATCCAAAGTCGTCTTTCTGCTCAGAGATACATGCATGTTCTGATGACCTCCTTTGGAAAGACTTATCAGAAACTCAAGAGAATGCAACCATCTGTCTCTCACCTACCTGTGACCTGGAAGCCTCCAGTTGGGGGAACTTGCTTTGAGTTGCCTCTGCCTTTCTGGACTGAACTGATGTACTTTTTACATATATCGATTGATGTCTCATGTCCCCCTAAAATGTATAAAACCAAGCTGTGCCCCGGCCACCTTGGGCACGTGTTGTCAGGACCTCCTGAGGCTGTGTCATGGGTGCATCTTCAAGCTTGGCAAAATAAACTCTAAATTAACTGAGACCTGGCTCAGATTTTCAGGTTTCACATATATAATACTTAGGAAAAATGTAGCAAAATATGTGTAAAATATTTATGAAGAAAATAATAAAAGAGAAATGTTTTCTGAAAAGACAGAGAGATATATTATGCTCAAGATGTTTGTGGAGCATAACACTCAAAAACATACTTTACCAGATGCTGATGTTAATTTCCCCTGAAATGACCTACAATTTTTTCCTAATTTTATTTAAAATACCTGCATCATTTGTGTGTGTGTGTAGAGTTTGACCGTCTGTTTCTAAAATGCACATGCAATGGCAAAGGTCAAAAATGGCAAATATTCTCTTGAAGAAAACAGCATAGAGCCACCAAGAGTTATCCTAAAGCTGGCCGGACATGGTGGCTCACACCTGTAATCCCAGCACTTTGGGAGGCCGAGGCTGGCAGATCACTTCAGGTCAGGAGTTTGAGACCAGCCCTCTGGTCAACATGGTGAAACCTCGTCTCTACTAAAAATACAAAAATTAGCTAGGTATGGTGGTGCATACTTGTAGTCCCAGCTACTCAGGAGGCTGAGGCATGAGAATCGCTTGAACCCGGGAGGTGGAGGCTGCAGTGAGCCGAGATTGTGCCACTGCACTCCAGCCTGGGCCACAGAGCGAGACCCTACCTCAAAAAAAAAAAAGTTATCGTAAAGCTGTCAGATATCACCACTTCTATTCAACATTGTCCTAGAGATTCTATTCAGTTAATAAGGCAAGAGACAGAAATAAAATATGTAAAGATTTCAAAGGGTGAAATGTGATTTTCATTATTTGCAGATGATACAATTATGTATATAGAAAATAAAATTAAAAACTCTACAAACTATTTGAATTCAGCAAGATGACTGGATACAAGACCAAATGCAAAAATAAATTGTACTTCCATATAATATTAACAAATACTTTGGAAATAAAATTATTAAAAATATCGGTTAAATAACACCAAATACCAAGAATGAAAATAATTTTTAAATGGCTAAGATCGCTCCACTCAACACCGTAAAATATTGATGACAAGTGTTAGAGACTTCAGTGAATGGAGAGTTATCCTGTGTTCATGGATTCGAAGTCTCAATATTGTAAGGACATCAATTCTCCCCAAATTGATCCCAGTCAAAATCACAACATTGCTATGGAAATTGACAAGCTGATTCTAAATTTTCTATGAAACTGCAAAGAATTTAGGACAGTGGAGAGGAAGATGCGAAACCAGGCCAGGGGACTTCTGCTGCCAGACGTCAAGACACGCTACAAAGTTATAGTAGATAAGACAGCATTGCCTTGACACGAGAACAAATGAGTGGTTCCATGGAAGACAGTTGAGGGCCCAGAAACACAGGCATGCTGTTCTCATACTTAGCGACAAGTCCTCTGCAATTCAATGGGGGAAAAGAAAAACCTTTTTCAATAAATGATGCTGGATTAATTGAATATCTAAATGGGAAAGAATAAACCCTGGCCCCCTACCTCATACCCATGCAAACAAATGGACTCAAAGTGAGCCAAAAATACAGTGAGATTTCTAGAAGAAAACATCGAACATCTTCATGATCTTTGGATCACCTAAGCTTTGTTAGGCACACACAAAAAAAATCCTAAAATAAAAGTTTGAGAAATTGGACCTCATTAATATTAAGAACTTCTCTTTATCAAAAGACATCATTAAGAGAGTAGAAAGGAAACTCACATATGAGGAGAAGATATTTGTAAAACACATGTCCAAAAAAGAACTTGGAAAAGAATATATAAAGAATCCTATAAATCAATTTTAAAAAGGTAGTCAACTCAATATTTTTAAATGGGCAAAAACCAAACAGACACTTCTCAAAAGAAGACATACAAATAGCCAATTAATATATTTTAAAAGTTGCTTAACACCATTAGTCGTCCAAGAAATGCAAATTAAAACCAGCGTGAATTATTCCTACATACCTATCAGAATGGCTAAAATTAGATAATAATAAATGCTAGAAAGGTTTTAGAACAACTTGAATTCTCATATTGGAGTTGGTGGAGTGAAAAAAATGATCCAACACTTTGGAAAACTCTTCAGTGGTATTCTCTATGACGCAGCAATTCCATTCTTAGGTATTTATCCAACGGAAATAAGTGCATAGATCCACCAAAAGCCATATCCAAGAATGCCTGTGGCAGCTATATTCATAACAGCCAAAACCTGTCAGCAATCCAGATGGTTATCAACAAGTGAACCGGTAAACACAGCGGCAAATACCCACAGAGTGGAATCCTGCACCATAGTGAAAAAATATAAACACGGGGGAATCTCACAGATACAGTGCTGAATAAAACAAGCCAGATGCAAAGGTATGCATAGTGTATGTTTATATTTACATAAAATTTTAAAACTGGCTACAATTTGATAACATAAATGGAATGAACAAATTCCTTGAAAGACACAATCTACCAAACTCACACAAGGATAAATAGACAATCTGAATATACCAATATCTATTTTTTAAATTAAGGCAACAATTAACAATCTTCTAAAACAGAAAACACCAGGCCCAGAGGGCTTCAGTGATAAATTCTACCAAACATGTAAGAAAGAAATTACACCTAGAGGTTTTCTACATGTTTCAGAAAGCAGCAGCAGAGGAAATATTTCATAAGTCATTCTATGAGGCCAGCTGTGATGGTCAATTGCATGTGTCAACTTGACAGGGCTGAGGGATGCCCAGACAGTTGGTAAAACATTGTTTCTGGGTGTATTGTGAGGGTGTTTTCAGCAGGAATTAGCATTTGAATCAGTAGACTCAGTAAAGGTCTGCCCTCACCCATGTGGGCAGGAACCATCCAATCTGTTGACGGCCCAGATAGAACTAGAACAAAAAGGTGGAGGAAGGGCAACTGACTCTCTCTCTCTCTCTCTCTCTCTCTCTCTCTCTCTCTCTCTCTCTCTGCTTAGGCTGAAACATCCATCTTCTCCTGCCCTCAGACATGGGAGCACCTGGTTCTCAGGCCTTTGGACTTGGACTGAATTAAGCCACCAGCTTTCCTGGGTCTCCAGCTTGCAGACCGCAAATGGGACTTCTTGGTCTCCATAATAGTGCGAGTCAACTTCCATGATACATCTCCTCTTCTGTATACCCTAATATGCCAGCATTGCCCTCATATGCAAACCAGACAAAGAGAGCACAAGAAAACTACAGTCCAGTGTTTCTCATAAGCACAGATGTAAAAGCAGGCCAAACTCACCTGTGGCGAGAGAAGAGGAACAGTGCCTGCCTTCGGGGAGGGGGTTACTGGGAGGCGTGGGACGTGTCTGCTGGGGTGCTGGGCACCATGTCTTGACCTGGGCCTCCATGTCTTGACCTCACTGACAGATGGTCATATACATATGTAAAATTTCATCTAACTGCACATCCTGTGTGTGTTATACCTCAATAAAAGAGGAAAACATTTTTTAAAAAACCAAAAAACAACTCCTCAATGATGCGGCATTTCACTCTCATCAAATAGGCAAAAAGTGTGGCCAAGGACAGGAGAAACCCAAACTGTCACGCACTGCAGGTGGGCACACATGCTGGCATGTGTTGCTGCTTAGTGAAGGTGGGTGCCGAGTCTGTGGATCTCTGGAGACCAGTAGATCTCCCAGTTTTGAGCTTCATGGCACTTGTATCCACACAGGGCTGACGTTTATAAAACAAAACGGCAGCCTCGCTCCCACCTTCACATCTGTAGTTTTCCAGAGCCTAAGGCAGAGTGCACCCTGGGGCACCCCTCACCCCATCCTCAGCCATCCCCACTGAAAAGACGCAGGTGAGCGCCTGCCCCAGTGAGCATGGCCCCTGCCCAGCCACGGCCCCAGACACCCTGCTCCACTCCAGACTCTGCAGGTCCCGAGAGTGTGGGTGCTCAGGGTCCTGGAGCAAGAGCAGAATCCCCTCAGGTCTGCCTCGCCCAGGAGACCACAGAGGGTGGGGGCAGGAGAGCCCAGGGGGAGGCCCTGCTCACTGGGCAGTCTCCAAGAAGTGGGAAGTTCTCAGGCAGGCCAGAGAGTGCAGGGGGCAGACAGAGGTTGCTGCAAGGTTGATGTTCATTCAGGCCAGCAGTGGGAGGCTGCCCCCCATCCTTCCTCCACCACACCCCATCCCACCTCACCCAGCCCACCCAGACCCAGAGTTCCAGCTCTTTCACAGGTGTGGAGAGGAGACCTGAGGCCCATCCCTGGGACGTGAGCATCCAAGAGTCCCTGCAGCCAGGCTGGGGTAGGGAGCAGGTCCTTGGGAGTCAGGAGGGCGGATCGGTTCCATTATTGCCATCAGGTCCACTCTGCCGTGGCTCATTCTGGGGCTCCACTGCCCTGGGCTCAGCCCTGTCCAGTGAAGCACTTGTACAGGAGTCCCTTGCCTCCACCCACTCTGCCCTTCCCACCTGCCCTGGATGCCTGAGCCTGGTGAAAAATGCCCAGGCTTCTGCATGTGACTAAGGTGGATCTCCAATTTGTGGATTTCCAAGAAAGCCCCCGTGCCCTGCTGCAGCCCCCAAAGGAGGCATCTCCCAAGGGGGCATCTCGAGTGAGTACAGCCCTGAGCCTGTCTTCCTCACAGCCGCACCTCATAACACTCAAGCCATGAGCTCCTCCATCTTCCCTCTGACTTGGAAGGATTCTGTTCACCATCATTCTTGGACAAGAAGGCGGGTGCCTGGCTGTCTCTCCAGAGGGTTTCTGCAGTGTCATAATGGCAGAGATGAGGGTTATTGTTGCGTCTTCTCCATGTTCAGGCTTATGAGCATCTGTTCTGTGTGCACCACTGAGAAGGTGGTAGTAACAGGGCAAGGAGCAATGTGAGGGGTACAAAAAGAAGACAGGGACAGGGCACAAAATAAGGAGAAAATGCTGGCCTCGCTATTGGAAAGTTTTCAATCCAGTTGAAGAAACCACTATGAGGTAGCATTCACCTGCCAGGTCATATTCCTGAGTGCTGCCTGAATCCTCTCACTCCATCCTCACCAAAACCCTGGAGAGAGTAGCTGTCCCATCCTATAGGGGAGGAACAAAAGGCTCATGATATGGACACCAGGTAACATGCAGGAATCTGACAGGCCTTTAAAAATGTGGATCCTTGTCCAATGAGTTCTCTCAAAGGTGGATCTTTGAAAGAGGCCCCAGCTGTTCCTATTTTCCTGGCCCAGTTGTTTTAAACAGCAAAATTAACTTCAAAGACCTCATTTTGCTTCCCAGTGAGGTTCCTGTGGCTTTGCTGGAGACTGCGTGGATCCTGGAGAGCAAGAATATCCTGGAGCCCCCAAATCTTCCTGGTCTACTGATGTGAGGCCCACAGAATCCTGCAATGAGGAATAAGTGTTGTGCCGAATTACTGCAAAGATTAGAGACTTCAGTCCTGAGTGATCAACAAACAGACAACGCCATGCAAGTGGTTTCACAAGGGCAGGTAGTTTAGGACCACAGAGCACCCCAGGGGAGGCCGGATTAGGGAAATCGGCAATGCCACAGGATCCTCCTTAGCCAGTGGCCTGCTTTTCCCCGCTGAGTAGGTCCGAAGAGATGCTGAGCAGATGCATGTCGGTTTCACCACACACTCCATTGGCCATCCCTCAGGCTTAGAGGGACAATGCTTGGAGCCCAAGGAACTTGATACTCATTGCAACCAGGTCTGTGAGGACCACCCTTGGGGCTTCTTAACCACTCAGATGTGTCCCACCCCACTGTCTGATTCTGACTCCCTCTGGAGATTATAACATGTGCCCCTAGGTCATTCTTAGCATCAGGGAAGCTTGGGGAAAATTGATCTAAACCAACCCTCCCCCAGTCTGATGCCTGAATCCCATCCACCCAGCTCAACCCAGGTGCACATCACCTGTGGGGCCTTATAAACACTTACACAATTAAAGAAAGCCTAAATAAATAGAGAGACATACAATGTTCATGGATTGGGAGACTCAGAATAGTAGTAAAGATATCAATTATCTTCCAATTAATCTATAGATTTAGCATAATTCCTGTCAAAATACTAGTCATCTTTTTGTAGGTATGGACAAGCCTATTCTAAAATGCATAGGGAAAGATAAATGACCTAGAAAAAAACTAACTATAACTGAAAGTGGAATCTTCTGTAAGCTAAAACAATTTTGAAAAAGAAGAAGAAAGTAGGAGAGATCACTTTACCAGATATTAAGACTTACTATAGAGGTACAACAATTAAGACAGTGTGTATTAGGAGAGGGATAAATACATAGATCAATAGAACAGAATATAAAAACCAGAATTAGACCATGCAAATATGTCCAACTTATTTTTGACAAAGATGCAAAAGCAATTAAATGGAAGAAAGATAGTATTTACAACAAATGGTGCTGGAGCAGTGGAAAACCTATGGGCAAAAAGTGAAAGTCAACCTAAACCTCATGCTTTATACAAAAGTTCACTCAAAATAGATCATGGACTTCAGTGTAAACTACAAATTAAAAGATTTTTTACAAAAAAAATAGAACTTTGGACAGAGTGTTTAAAGTTGACAAAGCTTGACCCACAAAAGGAAAAAATGATAAATCGGGTCTCATCAGAATTAAAAACTTTTCTTTTGCAAAAGTTTCCATTAAGAGGATGAAAAGACAAGCTACATTCTGGGAGGAAATATTTGCAAGTCACATGTCCTACAAAGGACAAGTATCTATAAGATATAAAGAACTCTCAAAATTCAATAGAAAAAGAATTTATTTATGAAATGGGCAAGAAACATGAACAGACATTTCACCAAACGGAATATACAAATAGCAAATAGGGATATGAAAAGATGTTCAACATCATTAGCTATTAGGGAAGTGCACATTAAACAACCATAAGCTATCACAACAGACCTATCAGAATGGCTAAAATAAAAGCAAATACTAAACAATGGCAGGATGCAAAGAAACTGGATCACTCAAACCTTGCTTGGTGAGAACATGAAATGCTACAACCACTATGGAAGACAGCTTGCCAGTTGGTTGTAAAACAAAACACAGTGACCATACTCCTCAGTCATTGCACTCTTGGGCATTTATTCCAGAAAAACAAAAACATGTTTACTGAAAACCCTAACCACGGTGCTCATAGCAGCTTTATTTGTAATAGTTCCAAGCAGGAAATAAGCCAGATGCGCTTCAATAGGTGAGTGGCTACACCAATTGTGATACATCCCCACCAGCACACTGGAATCCCACAGCATAAAAAGAACAAACTATTGATACATCCCACAGCAACTGGGTTTGAAGCTCAAGGGAGCTCTCTGCTGAGTGAAAAGGGCCAATTCCAAAGGGTTCCACACTCTATGGTTCTATTTGCGTAATGTCCTTGAAATGCCAAATTACAGAGATAGAGAAGACAGCGGTGGGTGCCAGGAGTTACGGTGCAGGTGGGCACAGGAGGGAGGTGGGAAGCAGGTGTAACCATGAAGGGCACCCCGAGGGCTCCTCTTGGTGAAGGACATTCTGTGTCTTGCATGTGTCTTTGTCAGTATCCTGCTGGGACCCTGGGCTGGAGTTCTGCAAGCTGTTACCATTGGGGAGACTGGGTAAAGGGTTCAAGGGACCTCTCTACATCATGTTCACAACTGCATGTAGCTGTACAGTGATCTCAACATAAACGTTTACAATTAAAAAATAAATAAATAACGTCTGTGCTCTGATCTGGCCCAGTTGCCTCAAAATCTCTTGAATAGGGCAGGGAATTCCAGGGGATTCTGACCCTCAGACAAGGTTGAGACCCCAGAGCTGTGGAGACGGGACAGAGCACTGGCATTGATTATTTTTCCATGGGTGACTCTGAGTGTCTCCTGCCAGGCCCACAGTAGGCGCTCAGTAAAGAGGTGCGGCCACTCGGGGCAGCGGGCTCGTGGACACTCCCCATGTCACAAAGCCCTGTCTCACAGCGGCAAAGCCACCTGGGACTTTCTCCTGACAGTGTTGTCACCAAGATCCTGGAGCATCTTACCATAGTGAAACATGAGGAATGACCTAATATCCAACGATAAGAGGTGTTTACATAAATTAGGATAAGATGTTTCAATGAAATGTTACACAGACGTCAAAAATAAGGTTTGTGAAACGTACAGAATACCAGGAAGTGTTCCTGTTGAGGTTCCATGGAAATGGCAGGAGACAATTTATTTTATTTTATTTTATTTTATATTTTTTGAGACGGAGTCTCACTCTGTCACCCAGGCTGGAGTGCAGTGGCGCAATCTCAGCTCACTGCAACCTCCGCCTGGCAGGAGATAATTATATTGAAGTTACCTGGAAACGATGGCTCAGAATGGCCAACACTGGGTGTGTGCCTGGCTATGGCCATATTTGTTACGAGTGATGAGAACTACGTCGAACGTCAGCTGCTGTTGTCTCTGGTCCTTGGACTTGTGTGTGACTTTCAGATTCTCCCCCCTGCACATCTGGATTTTCATTACTTCCCTGATGCACAGGAACTTAACTATTGCGGTTGTTATAAGGGGAGAGAGAAATAAACCACATTTGACAGCCGAGAAGAACCGTCCCTGGATTGTGACAAGGTGCCTTCCCACAGCTTCTCCCCTTGGCTCCTGGGTTTGCCCTCTGGGGTCACAGAGGACACGACCGCATTCTTCCCCCCACCTACCTTCAGCGATTTGAGGATGGTAACCCGAGGCCTCTTCATCGTTCATCCATTCCCGTTTCTCATCCCACGAATGTTTATGGGGCTTAAACTTAACGCAAGACCGACCCTCATAGCAGATCTTTAAGTGTACATTACAATACCGTCAGCTGTAGGCACTGCCGCATGGCAGGTCTCTATGCAGTTTCAGTGAAATGCGATGGGTAAGCCCACCCTTTGAAATCCTTGGGGGGTGGCGGGAAGTGGGGCACCGGCACTCACTCGCCTTGTGGCCCCCCTGCGTGTGGCTGTGGGGCCGCAGCCTGCTGGCCACACCAGCTCCTCTTCCCTCCCAGGCTCCTGAGCCTGGTGTGTGTCTACCCAGAGGAAGGCATTAGCTTCTCTGCTGGGCTCCTGTGGCATACCCACATCAGTGACCTGGACACCATGAAAGGCCAGTGTGGTCCCAGCTCGCCCTTGCCCTCCTCCACCGCATGTCCACCTCCCCGCAGCCAGCCCAGGCCCTGGACACGCAGGCCCTGGACATGCAGGCCCTGGACACACAGGCTCTGGACACAGAGGCCCTGGACACACAGGCCCTGGACACAGAGACCCTGGACACGCAGGCCCTGGACATACAGGCTCTGGACAGAGGCCCTGGACACATAGGGCTGGACACACATGGCTGGACTTAGGACAAGGTGGGCCAGGCGCTCACCTCAGGGGCAAAATCGACGGAGGTGCCAACAAACACAATCATTGAGACAGATAACACTTTAAAGCAATGTATTTTAAGTCAAATTGCATGCAAACAATCCTTGATGAACCAACATTTCTAAATGAAGACAGGACCAGGAATGATCAAGAATATGGATGCGCCATGCCATAGGGGACCCTGGAGCAAAAGCCGGCATCAAAACGTGGGTGATGGGGGCTGGCCTCGGCATCGCAGGAGGTCACACCCCTGTCAGGGAATCACAGCTCCTTCCGGGTGCTTCTGCCTTCAGATCTGTTGGGCTACTGCGTCATCAGCCTGGAGTCCTCCTCGTCTTAGAGAGGAGAGACTGTGCCGAAAGGTCTCAGGGAGCTGCGCTGGACCACACAGGATGTACACCACAGGGCTGCTGTGGCTCCTGGGCTGGCTCTGCACCGCTGGTCATCCTCACTCAGAAACCCCCATTGCTGGTGCCTCAGCTTGCACCCCAGCCTCCAGTCCTGGCTGTGCCCAGACACCCAGCCCAGTGTGGCATATGTGGCTGGGATCCATATTCCAGGAGGCAGCAAGGAAGGAAACCAGCATGCTGTGTGGGTGGGTGTGTGGACTACGTTTAATTTATTAATCAGCTGAAACCCACGCGGAAGGCAGGTTTTGCGGAAGCCACGTGTGCTGCGTGGGGTCTGTCAGTTTAGCTGCTAATATAAATTTGCTCAGCTGTGACAGACACAGGGTTGTTCTGGCTGAGAGAAAAAATAAACGCCTGGCCCTTCATTTTCTTGCCGACAGAGCTAAATGCTCTCCAGGGCCCGCCTGAGGCATCGGGCAGCCACGGGCACCGCCTCTGGGAAGATTGGTGATTCTGGGGCCCAGCCTGTGTTGGAAACCTGCTCCACTCCTTTCCAGCCACTTGATCTTGGCCACCATCTCAGGAAGGGGAAAGAGCCCTGCTCACTCATGGGGTGCTAGAGATTGAAGGAGGGAGGGCTTTGAGGGGTCAGGGTCTGGGGAACGTGTAGCTGCAGCTTGTGGGATAAGCCCTTGGGTGGGCGGCTGGAGCCTCTGCCATGGCTGGCAGGAATGTAAAATGTTGCAGCCCCTTTGCAAAACAGCCTGATGGTTTTCCTTAAAAAGTTAAACACAGAGCTACTGCAGAACCCAGCACTCCCATGCCTAGGTATGTACCTAAGAGTCTTGAAAACCTATATCCATACAAGAACTTATGTCCACAGCAGCCTTATTCATAATAACCAAAAGGTACACTTAGCCCTAAGTCTATCAATAGATGAATGAAGAAGCAAAAGGCACTCTTCATACAGCGGAACATTATTCAGCTGGAAAAAGGAGTGAAGCACTGGCGCACGCCACAACATGGACGCACCTTGCAAACACGCTGATGAAAGAAGCAAAAGACCACACACTGTGTGAGTCCATTTCGACGCCATGTCCAGGAGAGGCAAATCCATCGAGGCAGAAAGTAGATGTGGGACTGCTTAGGGACAGGGGTCAGGGGAATAGGAAGGTAAAGGGTGTGGGGTTTCTCTGTGAGATGATAGAAATGTTCTACAATTGATTGTGATAAAGGTTGCACAACTCTGAATATACTAAAAATTATTGAATTGTACCCTGTAAAGTATGAACAAAGAGGCATGCAAGTTATAGCTCAAAAAAGCCATTACAAAAAAAAAAAACAACAACTTGATAGTTGACCCTGTTCACCCTGTATCTGTTGTTATTTTGGTGTTGTAGAATTTCATGAACAACTAAATGCCAAAAACAAAGCACTAAAATGTGAATAAATGTTTAAATCAATTCCTAGTTTATGTAATTAGGTTGTCACCACCTCCTCCAGGGTCAGTGAATGGGGTCAGGACTCCTGGGTTGCCACCTACTGCCCCGGGACAGCAGGGGCTCTGCTCCAGCTCTCTGAGCAGCCCCATCTGCATGTGTAAGAGGAAGGCACTGCCCCAGCTCTCCCAGGCTGCCAGGGGATGAAAATCTGTGCAGTTTAAGAAGTGGTTCAGGGTGAGAACCCACAGTTGGGGGCCAGCTGGATTCCCAGGGACCCCAGGTTCTGAGAAGACAGTGGAATGGGAGCAGGGAGACGTTTGAGGGGCTGCGTTACCCACCCTGGGAGTCGATGAGCCCCACCGTGTGCAGGTGAGACGAGGCTCTCCTGAATAGCTGAGCACTTCAGGCCTCCCCACCCACCTCTGCAGCCTCCCGGGGCCGCTGGGAAGATCTATGGTGACAAGAAGCCTGGGGGAGGCTGAGCCATCTCCGGCCTTTCTCAAGCCGTGCACAGGCACCCACCAGGATGGCGAGGGGAGCAGCCAGCCTGCGGCACATGCAGAGGAGAGCCAGGGTTGATGACGGTAATCACAGTGACAGTTACCAGCTGCAGCCAGGCCTCAGTCCCCACCCCAGCCAGCCTGCAGCACACGCAGAGGAGAGCCAGGGGTGACGACGGTAATCACAGCGACAGTTACTGGCTACAGCCAGGCCTCAGTCCCCACCTGAGAAGGACTCCCAGCCCCAACCCACCACCCCAGCCCCACCGGGCTCCCATCCTGGCACCTCCAGATTCCCTGTCTTCTGTGCCCTGCAGGAAGTCAGCTTCCTCCTCTGAGAAGCCTCTTCTGATGAGCACTACCCGGGCTGTCTTCCCCAGGCCTCACTCGTGCAGCATGGGTACCAGCCAGCCTTGTGCAAGGCACTGCTCTTGGCCTTGCCCCAACCAGAGACCCAACTGCAAGGACCCTCCAGGAATGCCCAAGCCCAGGGAGGGGGACGAGGCAGCAGCAACCAGGCAGTGAGGAGAGAGGCATGGAGCAGGGAGGCTTCCCAGAGGAAACTTCAGGCATTGATCCAAGACCTAGAAGTTGGGAGCCTTTGGGTGGGGGGTGGGGAGCAGAAGAAGGGAGGGACAGGGGCCTTGTGCTTTAGGCAGAGGGGCAGCAGCACCATGCACCCTGAGCCCAAAGAGCGCTCAAGTGGGACCGGAGGGTGTGGAGCCGCAGAGCTGGGGATGGGCACTCAGACCACCTGGGCCCAGACTTGTCCTGGAGTTTGGTCTTTAGTCCTTGAGTCAACGGACAGCACCGCGCCAGATGCCGGGGCCCCCACCCACCACAGGAGTGGTCACACTGTCTACTCTCAGCACTGAAACTTTCGGAGGCAGCACTTCTCAGGACGTAAGGGAACTCTGCAAAGTGCAACGTGGGTGCAGATGGTTTGGGGAGGGGCTTCCTTCCAAGTCAGGAGGATCAGACCCTGGACAGCGGCTTTGACTCCCGAGTCCTTTGCAGGACTTGCTCCCACCTGCTGCCTGGGAGGGGGCAGGCATCAGGCCGGTCTGCTCATCCCACGGGAGGAAGTGAGGCCTGGGGCCTGGTAGAGGCAGCGCAGAAGAAGCCCAGGTTCCAGCTGCCGCACCTGGCCCGGGGCCAGGGGCCTTCCTTCCACCCTACCTGCCTCGGGCAAACTCAACTCCAGTGTCGTAGGCCCACAGGGACCTCGCAGCAGTTTCCAACATACCCAGTCGAACAAACCTTATTTATGTTTGTTTTTCTCTTTGCAGTGGTTTCTGTCAGCACTAGTGATAGATGGGTGCATGCTGATGGATTTTTCAATCTGCTCCCCATAAAAAGATTGTATTTTGACACGTTTAATGCTTTGTTGTAGAGTGTGCAGCCCTGCTGTGAAAATTACTGAATAAATATCTACAGCCCTGCAGAGTTGAGAAGGCTGTGGTCATGAAACCCAAGGATGGTCACGCCCTTTCTCCCTGGGACTGGCAAGAGGAGGGGAGCGGCTTCCCCGGCTGCTGGGCCTAGTGCTGGATGCCCACTGAGAAAGTCCTTGGGCTCTGCGTATGGGAGCTGCATCCTCACCCTTGTCCCCTGAGCTGATCCTGCTGGAAGCCAGTGCCCACCAGCTGTTTCCTGGCTCTCGGCTCTAGGCTCTCGGGCTACTGGCTTTGGAATGAGGTGGATTAGGGCTGGAGGGGCAGACATGGAGAAGAGAATGAGTGAGAGGCCAGGCACTGTGGATCAGTCTTCAGCTCCCTGGATTTGGGGGACTTATCACCAGCCATGGGGGAGGCCTGGTTTTCGTACACCAGAGGGACAGACGGCTGCTCTGCTGTGGGAGCAAAGTCCTGAAGAACATCAGCATGCAGCCCTCCCACAGCCACACACACATACACACACACACACACACACACGTGCACATAAACACAGATACACACTCACACTCACAGATACACATGCACACACAGATACACACATGTGTGCACACAGAGATATACAGGTGGGCACACACACAGATACATAAACGTGTACACACAGACACTCACAGGTACATATGCACACACGGATACACATATGCACACACAGAGATACACATACATGCACACACACAGATATGCACTCAGACACACACAGACACAGATACACATGCACACACAGATATACACACGTACACATAAAGAGATATACACAGAGACACAGATACACACTCAGACACACATGCACACACACATATACACATACCACACACACACATTCACAGACATAACAGAGATGCACACATATGCACACACCAGGTGGCCCACCCAAGTGGGGCTACCAGATGTCAACTCACCACAAGGCCCGGGCTGGGGAGCTGAAGCTTTGGGGCCACACCTAGGACACCGTCAGGCTCAGAGGGCCGAGCAGTGACTTTGCCCACAGGGCAGACCCTGAAGGGCTGGGACGCAGGAAAGCTAACTGAGGCACATGGCAGGTGTTCTGGGGGGACAGACTCAGGTGAGAGACCTTGTTGAGCCCCACCCCTGAGAGGAGAGAGCAGAGAAAGAGATGGGGGCTCTGGCTGGGGGATGAGGCCCCACGGAAGCTGCCAGGGTGTGGCAGAAATGGCCAGGGCGGGGCAGGAGCTGAGGCTGGAGTTCATGGCCTTGCACTGGCCGTGGGCGCAGTGGCAGCTCACAGATCCTGTGAGACTCTTCCTTCTCTGGAAATGCAGAGGGCACCCAGGGAAAATGAAAAATGATGGCGACAACTCCACGCATGGCCCTGGGCTAAACACTTTACAGGGCTTATGTTTTTTAATCTTCATAGCAACCCTAAGGGGTATGTAAGCATTAGTATTACCCTCATTTTACAGATGAAAAAAACAAGACACAGAGCGGCTAAGGAACTTTCCCAAGGTCACAAAGACATTAAGTGCTGGGCCAGGGTTCAAACCTGGGCTTTGCAAACAGGAGCTCAGGCCCAGAGTCCTGTACTCTTCAGCCTCTGCCCCAGGCCCTGGAAGTCCCCCTGAGACTCAGACAACTCCCGCCTCACTGCCAACAAGAAACCCCAAGCACTGGAGGCTTGTTTTCCGCAATGAAAGCACCAGAGCAAGGGATGACAAAGGACTGCAGGCAGGTTCAGCCTAGCAGGGAACTCTCCCAGGCTAAGTTTACCCCATCAGCCACTGGGCTCTGCTCCTCCGGCCCTCCCTGGCTCCAGAGCCCGACTCCCCACCAGCCCTCCCCACCAGCTGCTCAGCAAGCCTGACAAGGGGGCTTCTGGCGTAATCCTGGTGAATAATTTATCATTCGTTCTTGAGCAAGGGGAGGAAATATAAATCTCCTGTTCTATGAGCATGGCAAGCAACGCGCCTGTGTGTGTGTGTGTGTGTGTGTGTGTGTGTGTGTGTGTGTGTCTTTAACCGCATAAACTGCTCGTCTGATCTCATCTGGAATAAATTACCCATAATGAAGGTGATGGGTTGCTTGCAAACAACACTTTGAATCCTGCTATCTCTGCTCATAACAAGGCTCTTGCCATGTAGGCTTTATCCATTATTATTTTGAGACAGTTGCTCTTGTTTTTAATACAAAGAAAAAAAAAGATCCATTTTGAGTAAACACAGTGTACAGTCTCAGGTTTGGGCATTTGGGAGAGGGGAGTATCTGTCCTAGGGACTCTCCAAGCTGCAGTGCTGGGGGCAGGAGCTGGCCTACCATGGCCACTGAAAGAGATTTGAGGGGAGACTTCACTACTTGGAGTTGCTGGGTCCAGGCAGCCCTTGGCCTCTGCTCCTAGAGGCTGCCGTGGAACCTCCATGCTCACACCTAGGGTCACACAAACACCGTGACTCTCATTTTGCAGCTGAAAGCTCCCCTGCCCTGTTTCCCATGGCTGCAGACTCCTAGAAGGAGGGAACATGGGTTCTGGTCCCCATTCTGCCAATGACCCACACTCGACCTTGGAAAGGTCCCTTTCTCCCCCAGGGTCTTAGTTTTCCCTCTATCAAGAAGGGAAAGAACTGTTTCTCCTAGGTCAGGGAGGGGCTGAAATAAGCTCACAGATAGGAACGTGCTTTGGAAGCCATGGTGCTTTCGCCCGCAGAAGGTGGATTTTCCATTTTGTGCTGGCTTCATCACCACAAATGGGAGACACAGGCATCCTCCCAACAGAGGAGTCTGGGTCACACAACTCTGACAGAGGCTGGGACCAGTGAGGCGGCAGTGCTAGGGCAGTTTCTTCAGCGCTGCCTCTCTGGCCCTGTCGTGGCTGCTGCATGCGGTCACCTACCCATCAGTGCTGCCCGGCCAGACCTAGGGCAGAAAAGGCAGGTCCCTCAAGGGTCCTGGGTCTTCAGGCAGGTCTCTGAAGGCAGAATCAGGACTGGAAGTTCTCTCAGCCTGGGACCCTGCTTTCCAGTATCCACCCCATAGTCCTGCTGAGAGGACTCAAGGAGACACCCCACAGAAGGTGCTTCACACAGTTCCTGGCCCACGGTCAGCATCAGCTTGGCCCTGATGGAAGTTGTTGTCAACAACAAATTGCTGCAAAGGTCACCTGCTTTAGGGGCCTCTTGGAGCCCACTGTTTCACACTTCTCTAACAATGGAAATTCTCACACTACCATCCAGGTGTTCAGCCCATGACAGCATTCAATAACCCTCTGTGGGATAGATGATGATGACGGTGGTGATGGTAGTGTTGGTGGTGATGATGGTGGTGATGATTGTGATGGTGGTGATGATGATGGTGATGATGGTGATGATGATGGTGGTAATGGTGGTGGTGGTGATGATGATAGTGGTAGTGGTGATGATGATGGTGATGATGATGATGAACAGTCTTCATTTAGTGGACACTTGGTATAAGCCTGACCCCAGGGCTAAGCACCTTGAATACATTACCTTGTTTAATCGTCTCATCAAGTCTTGAAGAGAAGTTACTAGCCCTCTTTCCAGATGAAGAAACTGAGTTTCACAGAGGATGAAGAGCTTGCCAATGGTCAGACAAACCCAGTTTTTTCTGACTCCAGTCTCAGGCTCTAATCTACCATGCTAGAATGCCCATCAGGCAGGAATGCCTCCAAAAAAAAACCCAAGCTACCCTGCCTACTACCATGGCCAAGCACTATTCCAAGTCCTTTATACCCATCGCACCATCTGAAATGATCGTCATAACAATTGTGTGAAATGGGTAACTTTATCACTTTTTCACAAATGAGAAAATTAAGGCCAGAGAGAGGAAGTAATTTGATTGACTGCTTAGAAAGTGGATGGATGGATGGATGAATGGATGGATGTGCATATGATCTGGATGGGTGGGTGATTGGATGGACGGATGATTGGATGGTTGGATAAATGGACACTTGGTTGGTTGGTTGGATGAATGGAGGGATAGATGATTGGATAAATGGGTGGATGATGGATGGATGGATGGAGGTGCATATGATCTGGATGGATGGGTGATTGGATGGATGGATAAATGGATGGTTGGTTGGATGAATGGAGTGATAGATGATTGGATAAATGGATGGATGATGGATGGATGGATGGAGGTGCATATGATCTGGATGGATGGGTGATTGGATGGATGGATAAAAGGATAGTTAGTTGGTTGGATGAATAGAGGAATAGATGATTGGATAAATGGATGGATGATGGGTGGATGGATGGATGAATGGACGGATAAATGGATGGATGACCACCCTTCAGGGCCCATACCTGGCTACAGATGAAGGCAGAGAAGGCCTAGTGAGTGAGGCTGATGGCACCACTGACCAGCATGCAAATGTCCCTGGGCTGGCTCTTGGTTCAGCAGGTCTGCCCTAAGAGGCTGTCATTAATGATGATGCAACTATAAAGCAGCCAAAGAGCAACCATTTCAATAAAATATGTAAATATCTGGGCAGGTGCCAGGCTACAGTTTAAGTCTCCTAATGGGAAGCATCTCTTACATGGCCATGGGAAAGTCCAGCTCACCAGGTGAACAAGTGGCACTAATGAGACTGCCGTGGGCTGTGTTTGCCTCCCCAGGAGTCAGACACAGTCCCTTAATGGCGGCAAAGTCAGAGTGGCAGGGTCCCCTTCTATAGAAACAGAAGACGTCTGTGAGCCTCGGGTTTGACTCCCCACATACCAGCCACCCTTGCGTGGTGGCTGTTAAAAGCAGTCTTGGGAGGCTTTGAATAGCTCAAAGTAACGAGGTGATTTCTATGAAAATACAAGGTTGCCTGGTTGGCCTTGTCCCATCAGGGCCGCAGCACCCAGAGCGCTCCCTGGCCTGGAACTGGCACTCACTGAATAGCCCGTGAACTGGCAGCCAGCTCCTCCTCTGTGCATCGGCCTCCCCTGGGCCGCACATCTCCAGGGCCCCCCTTGATGCTGTTGTCATCAAGATGGTCCCAGGGCCATCTCCCCTGGTCAGGGAGTGGCTCAGGACACATAAGTGCCTGCTCCACCATCATCCTCAGGGTGAGCAGGGCAGCAAAAAGAGGTCCCTTGCAGCCCAGCTGCCCAGGGCCCCAGGTTTATGAATCTGACTGAGGACTTGGGTATGGGGCAGGGAAGCACCAATTAGCCATGTGGGCCATGCCTGGCCACTGAACAGGGTGGCAGCTACTGGCTTATCCTCCTTGCTGCAAGAATTGGGCCATAGTCAGAGTTCAGTAAAGGTTGGAGTGAAGAAGTGCATGAACGAGTGACTACGTGAACAAC
Organism: Homo sapiens; assembly: GCF_000001405.40. Taxonomy (NCBI): domain Eukaryota; kingdom Metazoa; phylum Chordata; class Mammalia; order Primates; family Hominidae; genus Homo; species Homo sapiens. The sequence continues at coordinate 135,335,581 of NC_000009.12, forward strand.
TGAGCATGTTTGCTTCAGACGTTTCCTTTCTTCAAGTCAGTTACGATAGTTCTTTGTTTAGCCAGGATTTTTCTTCCTCCTCGTCTTTTGGAGCTAACATGGAAAGGAACTCCTCACCTGCAGGAGGAGCCCCAAGTCCAAATGCCTGGTGTCGACGGTGGGCAGAGGGCAGCCCCTGGTCACTTGCCCATCTCTCCCTGCCCTCAGGCCTGGCCCGGCCCTCTATGACCAAGGCAAACAGCGGCACTGATGGAGGATTGATGAGGTGCAGGGGCCAGAGCAGGTGCAGGGGTGCTGGGTGGACACACGAAGGCTGGGTGGAGGGGGGCGCTGGGTGGGTGCTGAGGCCTCCAAGAAGCTGCCATTTCTCCGGAAAGTATGTGAATTTCCATTCACTGTGCCCACAGCACCCTTCATCCCCATTTTACAGAGGAACCTAGTCAAGGACAAAGCACTCAGTGAACACCGGCAGAATAAGGCCACATTCATGGCGGCCCGCCCGTTCGCCTCAGGTAAGTTCCCCGTGAACTGACACCAGCTTTATTCCATGCATATTTGTGTGATCACCAGTTGGATTTCTGATCCCTGCTGGACTGTAACGGTCAAGAGAGCCCATGCCCTGCTCCACCCTCAAGCCCAGCCGCTGGCACGGAACCTGGCACCTAATGAATAAATGACACTTCGTGAGTAGATCATGAAAGCATCAATGAATCTTTGTAGAACTCACATCGCTAGACTCGTACGACCCTCAAGGGTAAAAACTGGGTATATTCCATCTCAAAATCACCCAAATTCGATATAGTGCTTGACACTCAATAAATGTTTAGATTCTGAATTTAATTCAAATTTCCCTGGCCAGCCTCTTAAGTGAAGGCAGAAAACATTGTTCATGGCTGAAAAAAAAAAGTTAGGAACAAATTTTAAGCAAACAAACTAAAGCTCATGGGGTAAAGCAGCTGAGAGGGGAGCATCTGGAGGGGAGGCTTTTCATAATTCATATTTTAAAACGCCAGGCTCACCATCCCTCCATGTTCTCATGTTTAATTAAAAACAGTGAAACATTAATTGAAGCATCTCCCAGCCTCCTGGCTCTGAGGCACCCAGGAAGTGAGAAACGGGTCAGAGCAACTTCATGCTGTGGAAGGGCCCTAGGCTGGGGAGAAGGAGCCGTCAGGGCAGTTCTCCCAGCCAAGACTTGGTGGGGCCTTCAGGAGATGGAAAGCTGGCCTCTCAGGGCAGACCCCCTAACGGCATCCTGTGGAAGCCCCTCCAGCCTCAGACACTGTGCACATGTATGTGCATGGGGGCACGTGTGTGCAGTGTGTGCACATGCATATGTGTGAGGGTGTGTGTGCATGTGCGAGTGTATACGTGTGTGCATGTGTGTGAGGGTGTGTGAGAGGATGCACGTGTGTGCATGTGCGTGTGTGCACATGTGAAGCTGTGTGTGTGCGTGTGCGTGTGTGTGCACATGTGTGGGGTGCATGTGTGTGAGGCTGCATGTGTGTGAGGCTGCGTGTGTGTGAGGCTGTGTGTGCATATCTATGAGAGTGAATGTGTACGTGTGTGCATGCGTGCATGACCATGTGGGATTGTGGTTGTGTGTGTTCGTTCATGTGCGTGTGTGGGCGTGGGTGGTGTGTGTGCCCAATTCCAATTCCCAACTCGAGCTGAGCTCACCTTGTAGCGCAGCCTGCACTCCTGCTGGTTGATGTCTCACCTCGGCAGGGAAAGGCCACCCAGCCAGGGAGGGCTTCATCCAGAGAAGCAGCCAAAATATAGAGCGCAGAGACTTCAGGGGTGGGTGAGTGGCTCATATGAGGAAGGCAGAGAGCGCGGCCAGGACTTAGGGCACTGGCGAGGAGGCTGAGCATCCCTGCCCTTGGCACTCAGCAGCAGCCACAGGATGCACGTGTGCCTGGGGACATGTGGTGCAGTGTGTGTAAATGTGCACGTGTGCGAGGGGAGGTGTGTGCAAGTGTATGCACATGTGTGCAGGGGGCATGCGTGTGAGGGTATATGTGCATGTGTGTGGGGGCATGTGCATGTGTGTGTGCATATGTTTGAGGGTATGTGTGTAGCAATGCTGGCTGCAGCAGGATGTGCCCGCCCTGGGCTAAGTCAGCACACTTGCCTCCCCAAGCACGGCAGGGATGAGGGTCCATGCCTCCCAGGTGCCGTGGGAGTCCGCGAGGCCCCTCCGGGACGTGCCTAGTAGGTTGCCACAGGTCCCTGCAGCTGCGTCTCCCTGCCTCCTACCTGACAAACCACGTTCCTGGAGGAATAAAAAATGACAACGCTGGGTGTGGACTCAGCTTTCATTTGTTCATTCGGCAAACACATCTCAGTGGCCCCTGTGTGTGTGCTGGGGTAGGGGAGTTAAGCAAAGAGGCCTGGGACCTGGATGGGCTCAAGCTCCAGCAGGAACGTGCACAGGACCCCAGGTTCCCACAGCTCGGCCGCCAGAGCTCCCTGGATGTCTGGGGCCCACTCGAGAGGGTCACAGAGGCTTCCGAGCGCTATGGCCTGGGCTTTGAATGATGAGAGAGAACTGGACACAGGCACAAAAAAGATAAGAGTCCAGGCCAGGCGCGGTGGCTCATGCCTGTAATCCCAGCACTTTGGGAGGCTGAGGTGGGCAGATCATGAGGTCAGGAGATCGAGACCATCCAGGCCAACATGGTGAAACCCCATCTCTACTAAAAATACAAAAATTAGCTGGGCGTGGCGGTGCATGCCTGCAGTCCCAGCTACTCAGGAGGCTGAGGCAGGAGAATTGCTTGAACCCAGGAGGTGGAGGTTGCAGTGAGCCAACATTGTGCCACTGAGCTCCAGCCTGGGGACAGAGCTAGACTCTGTCTCAAAAAGGAAAAAAAAAAAAAGAGTCCAGGACAGAGGCCACAGCAAAGGCCACAAGAAGGGGAGAAGGGGAGGCCTGAGAGGGGAACCCAGTTACTGGCAGCAACAGAGACTGGACTCAGCCAGAGAGGGCCTCACTCCTCATCCAAGGCCAACAGCGCCCAGACCCAGGTCAGCGCTCCAAAGGGAACGGTAGAATCAACCAACAGCAGCCGAGCAACGGGAGTGTGGTCAGCCTGCTCAGGCATCCCAGCAGAGGGGCCACGGGGTTCTCGAGGTCCTCTCCTCGCCCAGACCTTCCCAGCGGGGCCAGTACTGTGCACGATTCCAGATGACACCGTTGATGTCATGTCTCAGATGACAAGGCCTCCCAGAAGAATGCAGTACGCAGCCTGCACAGCTGTGCGTGGAAGTCCTGGGGCCAGCCCTGTCCCAGCCCCTGCAGCTAACCCTGGTGTGGGGAGCCCCTTGGCCACATCCACGCACCCCAACTCTGAGGAGCTCCAGGCACCACCCTTGACCTCCAAAGACGCTGTGTGTGATCGGCAAGTCCGCAAACATCCATGAGCACAGCCTGCCCACCGCAGGGTTGTTCATAAAAGTGGAAAACACCCTTCCCTTCCACAACAGGAGAACGGGCATGCAAATGATGGTACGGGCTTGCAGCAGACGCCAAGATGCTGCTGTGGAAGCTCATGCCCAACAGACGGGATGGGCACTCACTGTGCACTAGAGAGTGAGAGGCAAGGGCAGTGGGCATGCCTCATTTTTGTGAAAACGTACATTTAAGTTTATAAGGCACCTGGAAACGTCTGGAAGGCTCTGTGCCACACCTGTCATGAGATTATTTCTGGGCGGTGAGATTAGAGATGACTTTCCTCTTTTTTATCTTATTTTTTTTTATTTTAGCTTGCAGGGGCCTGGTTGGCTGGGAGCTCTCCCACACATTCCGCTCTGAGCCTCACCGAGGTGAGGACGGCATGTCCATCACACTCCAGTTGGAGAAGAAGCTCCAGGAGGCCGGCGCCGCCACAGACCACAGGCCAACAAGAAGCAGCGCCTGGATCAGCCCCAGCGCCTGGTCTGTCTCCCACCAGGGCTCCACAGAGGCTGGGAAGGCCAGGAGCAGCCCCTAGGAAGCTGAAGCCAAGCATGGTGGTGTGGGGTTGGACACTCTGTTCCCTGACATGCTTGCTGGGAGCGGAGGCCACCTGCCACCAGGCAGGGTCAGCCAGACCTGAAGCTGCCAACCTTTGTCCTGGAGAGGGGTCCTCTTAATGCCACCTGCTCTGTGTGTGTCCCAGCAGGCCCGGGTGGTCCCAATCTTCAACTCCGTCCCCGGGTCCCTATGTGTTCACCCACATGTGTAAGGCTGCATGAGACACAGGAAAGGGGACACCTCGCCAGGAGCTCCCCAGGTGCACCAACTTCTGCCCTTGAACTGCCCCCCTCCCGACAGGAAGAAGGCTGGACCACCTCACTCCCGGCTTCTGGGGTCTTCCCGGGTGAGGGCTGGCTACCAAGTACGCTACTGCAAGAGACAAGTAGCTCTTTTGCCCAGAAAATAAAGGGCTTAGAAGGGCAAATTGATTCTGGTGCTGCTTAAAGAGAAATAACCGCTTCCGCCCGGGATTTTAATTACGGAGCTCTGCAAGAGCTGTGAACTCTGTTTTTCTTCATTATTTTCGGAACTAGTTCTCCTCCTTCTCCCCCTACTTCCCACCACCACGTCCCTGTTTGCTCCTCGACCTTCTCTTGTGTTTTCCAACCCAGTGACTCAAAGCAAACCGGAGTTGCTGCTGGATGCTTTCAGGGGCTGAATTTTAGCATTCTATTAAAATTTCAATGGATGTCGTGTGAGTTGGGGAATTTCCTATCTGCAGAAACCTTTGCCTTCATTCTAGTTAAGAAAATAAAAAACAAAAAGCCTGTTCCCTGTGGCTCTGTAATCCAAACGCTATAAATTCCAAAGAATAAAGGGAGCTTGGCCCCCCCTCGAGACCCCCTTTCCCTGGCATGGCTGGCAATCAGGCCTCTAATTACGTTTCCTGTTTGCAACTGGCAAATAAAATATTTAGGCAGCCTACACTGAGTGTTCCAGGCCCGGCCCGGCCCGCAGCTGCACTGCCCCCAAACAGGAAGGCATACAGACAAAAAAATTAAATGAAACAAATGGCAGATAAATACAGGCGCGTTGTTTTAAAAATTCATAAACACTAGCCTCTGATGCAATTTATTTTGGTTAACTAGTGAAAAACCCATGTAACTTACTGAAGAGATTCGATTGAAGCATGATTTTTCAAGAAATGCCATTGAATGGCTTCTCACCATGTGTGCTGTGGCTCAGCAGGCTCCCAGAATGGGGTGTCCCCCAGGTCCCATCAGAACCTAACAAACAGACAAAGTGGCCAGCAACAGCTGCACAGGGGCTGCACGGACGGGGCGTCCGCTCTGCTGCTGACCAGATGGGCAGGCCCAATAAACAACCCCTCAGTTTCTCCATCTGTGACTCGGGAGCCATCAGCAGAAAGCTCTTGCAGGGCTGTGGGGAGCTCAGTGCACCCATGAGGGCATCACAGGCACGGTGCCCTGCACCTCAGGGGTGCCCTGGGCGGGCAAGGTCTTCTTCCAGCCTGACTGCCCCAAGAAAGGGATAGGGTGCTTTGCACAGACCCCAAATCCACAGTCCAAGCTGCGGTGTAGTTTTGCTGAGATTCTGGAAATTCCTTTCTATTTTGCAAAAAGAGGAGCCAAGGACCAGCACCAGAGGGGTGGCCCGGGGCCCAGGCACCCACCCAACTGAGCTGCGGCAGAGGGCAGCGGGCTCTCTGCAAACTGTAACAAGTTGGCTCTGTGGCCCTGTCTGTCAGAGGAGGAGGCTGTTCCCAGGAGACGTGGGCTCCACGGGAGACGCGCCGGCTGCGCTCAGCGGGGAGAGGTTGTCGCTCCAGTCCCTAGTGGAGGTCTGTTTGTGCAGGAAGCCGTCATCAGCAGAGAGGCTTTTATAGAAAGCCTCACCATTCCCCCTGCACCTAATTTGAGATGAAGGAACTCATTTGCTACGGAAGGCTCTAGAAAGTGGCTGCTGGCATGGTGGCAGGTGTGTGGGGATGGGAGAGGTGGCAAGAGGTCCAGGGACCCAGGCAGGATGGCCACTTATGGGTGTCCAGGCACCCACAGCTGACCCATGGGGCCCAAGCAAGAAGGACGCCAAGGCCACAGCGGGTGGAAGGGACCTGGTGGGAGACCCAGCTGAGGACAGCAGAGGCTGAGGACAGCAGAGGCTCAGCCCCACTTCCCCTGTGGTCCCTCACAAAGCCCCTCCCTCTTTCCAGACTCCTCCCCTCAGAACCTTCTCCGTCCGCCCACCGGCCAAGGCTCAGAGGGCTCTGGGGAAGGCGTGCGGGGTGGCAGGGCCCACCCAGGGTCCGGGTGCACCTGCAGGGCAGGCCCCGAGCTGCTCACCTCCCTGCTTTCCTCAGCCTCGAAGCAGCCAGGGCTCCTGGGCAGGGCGCCACAGCAGCCTCTATTTACCCCTCTGTAAAATGGGAAGAAAGTTCTCCCCAGGTGAGGCTGTCTCATGACTAAATCAGACACTCCAAGCTGATGCTCTGAAGCCACAGGTGTCCCTGCATCCCCATCACTAATACTGTCCTCTTTCCTACCATGGACAGGGGGCTCAGCGCCCAGGAAAAGAGCTCCACACTTTTCTAGCATCCCCTCGGGAGCTCTGGTTCCATAGAAGGGGGCTCCCAGTGTCCGATGGGGCTGAGCACAGCATGCAGCTGGGGCCCCCGTGTCCTAGGGATCCGAGAGCACACTGTTGGGCAGCAGCTCCTGGACGGGGCCCACCAGCCTTTGTGCAAACCAAGAAGGAGCTCGTCCCCTGGTACCAGGGCACCCAGCTGGCAAGCACAGGTGGCTGGACCCTGGCTCCCTCATTGGCACCTGCGGGGCCACATCGTGACCTTTGTGGGCCCCAGACACCATTCCCCCTGCACCTGATGGATCCATCGCTTTGCCCAGCCTTGGCTCTCGAGGTGACCTTCAAGGACTGCTGCAAGGACTGCCCCGCCAAGGAGCCTGGCACAGGCTGTTGGACACAACCCCAATTACTGACAGGTTCGCAAAGACACCCAAGCTGCAGGGCCTTGGCAGACGGGTAAGCAGCCTGATCTCGTCCAGAAATCTTGTCCACGTGCACCTCCCGGGAGCCCTCCTTCGGAGATGGCCGAGGCCTGATGCCCCAGAAGTCACTGTGTCCAGCTCCCACCTCTCCTGCCCCTCAACCCCTCAGTTCCTCCCTGGGAACCACCTGTCAGCTGCCCCAGCCTGGATTTGTGTTTTCACCCGGGAGTGACTCGGGGCCTCTGGTGGCCTGGGGAGATGGGGGAGCTTCCTGGGTCCAGGCACCAGCAGTCACCTCTGTCCCCAAGGAAGGCCCTGCCAAAGGGCCGGGCACCAGGTGCTCCACGTTTAGGCCAGGACTAGTTGATGGCTGCCCAGGCTCCCAATGACACATTCCCCTCCTCCGGGGTTGTCCCTGCTGGGCCTCTGTGCCAGCTGACAGCCAGAAGTCTGGTGATCGAGCCCGGTGGGGTCTCTGCCTGGGGAGGGATCCCTGGGTTTTGTCCCCATGCAGTGGGGGCTCAGGAAGTGCCCCCCAGCTTCCTCCTGCCTCTCAGCATTCCCAGCTGCCAGCACAGAGAGGCTGGGCTCAAGTCTTCTCCAAGGCCAGTGCCACCCTCCACCAGGTCCCACTGAGCCTCATGGGGCTGGTGGAGCCACCTGCCCACCTCAGCACTGCATCTCCAGCCAGGGCTGAGTGGCAGTGTGGGCACCGCGGCCCGGGACGACAGCCTGGGCTCAGAGTCAGGCTTGTGGCTTCGCCTCTCAGCTTGCGTCTCCTCCCCTGTGGGATGGGGGATTCCGTGGCACCCCCATGATGAACAGGATGCCATGGGCCTCAGCCCAGGGCAGACCTCAGTGTCCTTCCTGTGGCCGCTGCTGGAGGTGCGTGACCACAACACAGGTGTGTATCGATGTCACTTTGCGTCATGCCTGTGGGGAGGGCCCTCTCGCCCCATGGTCTCCATGGGGCCTCATCACACCTGGGAGGTAACTGGGGCATCTCAATTTTACAGATGAGTAAATGGAGGCTCAGAGCAGTTACAGGCTGAGGCTGAGACCTGGGCAGGTCTTTGTCATCTTGGAGTCCAGCACATACACAGGGCTAGCCTCCAATGGGCTAAAGGGAGCTGCCTCCTATACCTCCCTGTCCCCAGACACACACACAGAACCCCCACATATGCACAAGAGCACACGGCCACAGGAGTGTGTGCAGGTGTGTGCATGCATGCATGCGCATGCACACACATCCTTGCACAGAATGCACAAGGCACACACAGGCACAGGCGTGTGCACACACGTGTACACACACACATGCCTGCATGCATACCTCCCGGCTCCACAGAGGGGAGGGGGCATTTCCCAGGCAGGCTATGCTTCTCCAGCAGTGAGCGAACAAAATCTGTGCTCTGGGTGCCCAGAGCCCGGCAATGAGGGGATCTCACACCCTCCAGGGAGGGGACTCGTCCCCGCCACTGTGCTGACGCCTGGGTCTCCAGAGACCCTCCTGGAACTCCGCCAGGCCTTCCTGGGTTCCAGACAGGCCCGCCACGGGCATGACGCAGCGCCATCTAGCGGACAGCAGGGCTGCAGCGTGGACAGAACGGCCGGACGCCCAGTCCTGGGCTGGCGGCTGAGGAACAGCCTCACAGGGCAAGAGGGCAGGCAACACCTGCATCTTTCCGGCATAAGAACCTCAAGAAAAGCAAAGGAATATAAGCCTGTGTTCTTTGGAGCCACCGAAATCTCTGTTCTCATGGCAGTCGCTGAAAGTTTAAGGGAGCCGCCACCGCCCCAATGGGGTTGGTTTCTTTCTTCCCTGTTTTTAAAGATCTTTTAAAATGTCTAGAGAGACCCTGGGATCCAGTGCTGGACGGATGATGCAGGTTTGTGTGCATTTGGGTTCTTGCCCCACCCTCAGCCTCAGCCACAGCCACAGCATGGCTCCCTGGTGGTCTCGGGAGCAGGTGAACAGGGAGGTCCTGCTGTCGGTGCAGACCCCGCTCTCACGTCAGCCACTTTGCTGGGTAGGAATGAACTGAGACACTGCAGGGCACCCGCTAAGCCCACATCAAGCTCTAATTCCACAGTTATTTTGCAAAGAGGATAATGTTCCCCTGAGGACTCGCTGGATCATCTGCTCTCGGCCAGGGTGGCTGCAGGGCTGTGGGCAGCTGGTGCCTCTAGACAAGACATCTTCACCCCAAAACCCCAGGCCTGAAGTCCCAGGACCCCTTTCTCACCACAGTGACCACCAGGTGGCAGGTCAGGTGCAGAGGGGCCCTCTGCACCCCCAACTCTCAGGGGGATGGGACACCCACCACCCCTCAGGGCCTTCATCCCTCCTGTAAGTAGAGGCTTGCCTTTTGGATACCATGGCAGGGATCTCACATTCATGCCACACAGCAATTCGTGGGGACCTCAGAGATACGCGGGGAGGGCAAACAAGGCCCGCATCTGGAGTACAGCAGCGGGCTTGGCTGGAAGGATGTAAAGGGCACAGGCCGTCTGTCTCTACCCACAGCCCCTAGAGCCTGCAGCGTCGTGCTGCTGGTGAGAAAGACGGCGGCACCATCACATGCGAGAGACAGCTGTCTGTCGAGAGCCTGCTTGGGCTCCCAGGCTCCCTCATCGCCTGACACCCCCACGTGGGGAGGGGGCGATGACCTTTCACGTAGAGGAAGTTGAAAGCTGCTTTTTTCTTTTTGAATCTCATCTCCACTCAGGGCCACACAGAGAGGCTATTGTGTGTCACTTGCTGGGTTAGGAACAGACGGATCAGGGCTTCTATGCTGCGTCTGCCTGGTCCTGGGAGAGAGAAACTCACACAACCATCTGCCTGGAAGACCTGGGCTTCTCAGGCTAGAGGGTCTGCACATGTAGGTGTGTGTGCATGCATACATATGCCTGCGTGTGGATGTCTGTGCTTCACACAAACAAGTGTACTTGTGGGCATATGTGTGTGTGTGCCTGCATGTGCAGCTCTGGGTATGTGTGTGTGCGCATGCCCCTGAGTCTCTCTGCATGTGATGCATTTGTGCATGTGTGTGCCTGTGTGCCCGGGTCTGTGTCTATATATATGCATGCATGGATATGCATACGTATGTGCATTTCTGCACATGTGTGCGTATGCCTGTATGTGCCTGGCTATGTGCACACACATGTGAATGTCTGAGCAGCTCCAGAGGGAGGGCCACCACCCTGCATGGTGGACATTAGTTTGAGCCTGTGAGGACCAGTGTCCCCCAAAGCCCCTCAACTACAGCCCAGCCCAACCCAACCCGGAGCAGATCACAGGCCCCAGAGACATCTCCAACCCTCACACATGGTTCCCAAACCCGGGCTATCCTTCACTCTGCAGGGGCGGGCCAGCCCTGCCCACTGCCAGGGACCCGCTCCAAGGCGCCTGCAGGAGGGCTGTGGGCGACAGTGTGGGCGCCCACCAGCAGGAGGGCCTGTCATGGTCTGTGCACGAAGCTGGTGCGCTGTCTTCTCCAGGAACTCGCACCTTCGCTCCCCCTCCCCTGCCAGCCAACACTTTCAGGTTTCTGCCATAAAAGAGAAAAAAATCTCCCTCCCTCTCTACCCGCTCCGCGCCTGCTCCTTCTCCACTTTTTGCAGATCAAACAGCATGCATGGAGTCGAGCCTGCTGGCTCTGTTCCGAGCTGCACTTTGGGCATCCGTGGGCTGCCTTGCTCCTTGTGGGGTGGCTTCAAGAGCAGGTCCCAGGTGTGCCTGCAGCAGTGCCGACACCCCTGAGAACACAGCGCACCCCAGCTTTCGGCGCCAACCACACAGCCAGCAACTGGGCTTGGAAGCTTCCCTGAGGTCGACGCTGCCTGGAAATGGACTTTGCTGCCTGCATTCAGGCCAGGGGCCATGTTTGCTCCCCCATTACAAGTTGGCCTCATATTAACATGTCTGAGGACTAAGGCTGGTATTCTAGAACACGCCTTTCACTGATTGTGTTAAATAAAAGAGAAAGATGAAAAAACTCAGGAGAATTGGCGGTACCCGCTGTCCCCGTTTCTCCCCTCCCACCAGCTCCACGGCCCACTCCAATCTGGCGCCCAGGCCCGGAGCGCCTCCACCCCCAGCAGCTCCTCCTGGGCCAGGGACCAGTCTCGTCCCACGCCTCTGCAGCCCTGGGGTCACCACTGGCCACTCCCTTCAAGAAGCACACTCAGGTCTGGGCTTGGATGATGCCCCTGGTGGCCCTGGGGCCTCCCTGGCACCTCCTCCTCTGGCCTCACCCTCAGGCCAACCTGTCACACCCGGCTTCAGCTCCCACCTGCCCGAGGAGAATGCTCTCAGGCCGCCCTGCAGGCTCTGGGCCGGGGCTCTGCCTCCTCCTCCCAAAGACCCAGCGAGTCCAGACTTCACCCTCCTCCAGCTGCCATCCAGCCCCCCGGCACCCCTAGGCCCAGCTGCCCCCTCCCATCCCACCTGCTCCAATGCACCCTCCACACAGAGAGAATGTGTCACCATACATGCTTCATGGTGCCACTGTCCTGCTGGAAGTCGTCGGAGGCTGGCACTCTTCTCAGGATGTGCTGTCCTCTGCCAACCCCACCGGTCTTGCCCCCAGGTCCTGGCCTCAGCCCCTTGGGTCCTTTATTCCATGTTTACTGTACCCACTCCCACAGTCAGACACGGCTTCCGTGTTCCCTGTGCCCAGAACTCCTCCCCCAGGGGGTCAGCCCATCCCCAAGATCTCAGCCACAGTCACTTCCCCCGGGTGGGGCTCCTGACCCTGGAATCAGTCAGATGCTCCGGGACTCGCAGTTTGGGGAGTAGGGTGGTAATGCCCGTCTCCTGGTGGGCTGCCCGGTGAGCGCACTGTTGTGTCCCTGCCCCAGCACCCGGCAAGCACACCCTGGCACTCTGCAGACCCTGTCACTCAGTGAAGGAACACACCCCTCTGTGGGCCAGACCCGCCCACCAAGGTGCACGGTTCTCCTATCTCACTGTTCAGTGAGAAATGGCTGGGAGAGTATCCGGAGAGTATTCAGAGCGCAGGACAGGACAGCAGAGCACGACAGGGGTCCATGAGTACACGGCTGCTTCCAGGCCGAGTTCCTCAAGCCAGCTCTGAAGAGTTGTGACTCAGGAAGGCATCAGGCGCTTGCTCACTGCCAGGCAATGCCTCCCGGCTCCTGAAGGCCTCCTTGATTCCTTACGAGAAAGAGAGGCAGGGAAGGGGGCTAGCCTTCGGCCTGGCTTCTGCTCTGCTGGGAATGCTTTCTCCTGACGTCTTCTTGCTGTTCGAGTGTCAACCCAAACGTCACCCCTTGACAAAGACACCTGAGCCCCTGCACTTGGAAGTAGCAGCCCCCAGCCAGCAGACGGGACTCGTACACATCACCGTGTCTTACACTCTTGCCTGTCACCGCGTCCCCTTATCTTCCCCTTTAGTGTATTTACTTCCCGCCACCCTTCCCTCCGCACTAGAATGTCTGCTCCATGTAGGCAAGTAGTTTGGGTCCTGCACCAGATAGACACGCAATACATGTTTGTTGAATGACTAAAGGAAAGACAATGGTCTTTGGAGATCCTCCTTTCATGGAGGCCCTGGGCTTGGTGAGGTTAAGATCGGGTAGAATGAGGTGAGCTTCTCAAATCTCTGTGCCCCCCCCAAGCTGAGCGAGCGTCCGGCAAGGACAGGACCTGGGTTCCAGTGTGTGAGCCCCGCCCCGGTTGTCATGGGATCCTAGCGCCCTGGCCCCGGCTGGTCCTCACCAGCCCCCAGCCCAGGCCACCAGCGAGCGTCTCACGGTGGGACAGCTCCATCCTAGAGACTCTCCCGGGAGGCCTGACCCAGGAAACACACTCCAGGAGCTGCTGGTGGTGGCACAAAGCTGGGGCACGCTCAGTTTTCTCACCACCAGCCCCTGAGATGAAAAGCACAGGTGGGGAAACTGAAACCCGGCTCCCAGTCAACAAGGTGCAGGGTGCTGGTGTCTGGGCCACGTTCCCTTTAGATACACGGAGAAGCCCCTCGCTCCTCTCGGGAGGGCCTGGACGCCAGGTGGCATTTCTGCTGCTCTCCATCTGCAGCTCCTCCCACCTCCCGCCCCCCCCTCCCTGGCAGGACTCAATCTAGCAAGTTGTTCCACCTTCCCAGGGCCACCCACCCATGCCAACGCCACAGATTCCGATCGAGTCTCTGATTCACTACAGCCCAAGGATTTGCCAACAAAGTCAGAAATGAGCAGGTGGGGTGGAACAAGGTCAGAAATGGGCAGGTGGGGCGGGTGGAGATGCCAGGGACCTGCAAAGAGGGTGCTGGGCCACAGCGGGTGGCACACACTGACTCCCACCCCACACTGCACCCCGGTTCTAGACAGAGACGAAGGCAGCTGCAGCTAAAGGCATGTGCAGAGATCGGTGTGAGGGTGAGACGGAGGAAAATCGAGCTCAGGAAGCCTCCCTGTGCTCCAGCCCAGGCTCAGGCCTCATCTGCCAGCACACTCCCTGCCCTGGCTCAGGCCTAACCCTTACTGGACCCACTTCTCATATGCAAATCCCGGGGGTCTCTGGAGGAGCCCAAGGCCCAGGCCCGAGAATATCAGGATCTGGTGCTTCGGCACAGGTGCCCCACCTCGGGGGTGCTGGGACTCCAGGATCCCCTGTACTGTGGTTTGCAAAGTGCTTTTCCGGGTGGGCTCCCACTCAACCTGAAAAACCCCCTGGGAGGGTAGAGAGTCCCAGCCCCATTTTAAAGAAAAGAAACCTCAAGGAAGTCAGACTCAGCTGCGGTCTCATGAGGAAGCTGGGGTCACCGGGCCGCTGACACCCACGTTGGCCTTTCCAGGGCTCCCAGATGCCGGGCTGTGGCTCTCCGGGCTGCGGCTGCTGCTGTTCTCTGCACAAGGAAGGGGTGTGAGGGGCAGCCCGCCCTTCCCAGCTCATCAGCTCAGGGTGTGGGCAGATGTTCCTCCAGCTGTAGGCATCAGCTGCGTGGAACCGTGGGGCACTGGAACTGTGCCTTTGCTGAACAGATTTGCCCGGAGATGTCTGTGAAACTGTAAGAGTTCCCGTTAAACCTACCACGCCATAAGCAATAGTACGAGTTCATAAAAGAATGAATATGGGCCAGGCTCGGGGCTGATCAGGGCTCAGCCAAGAGCCAGGCTCAGCACTTACTGTGTGACTGGATCTGAGCTCGGTCTGGGCCTGGGACCAGGGCTCAGCCTGGAGTGGGCAGGGGCTCAGTCTGGACTTGGGGTACAAAGCAAGAGCTCCCCATCCTGGAAGTAGAGCCTCCTCCCTGCACCAGCCAGAACCCACGTGACCCTCTGTTGTGCTGGGACCTGCACAGTATTTCCAGCAGCTGCCCGACACGATCCCCCAAAAAGACATAAAGCAGAAACTGACTTTGAAATGGCCCTTTCTCCGCCGTATCTTTGGACATAAATTTAAATAAAATGGCAATTTAAATGCCTGCGACACCAACAAGGCAGCATGGGCTGTCTCTGCGGGCTGCGTGGGGAGACAGACTGCGGCCCTCAACCCATCATCCTGTGCCATGCGGGCAAGGGTCGGCGCTGGGGCAGCGGGGAGGGCAACCAGCCCTTGGCAAGCGGAAAAGACACCCCCGGGGTCTCTGCCTCTCCCTGCTGAACCCTCTGCTGGCTCGGTTCCCAGGAGGCCCGGAGGAGCACACTCTCACCTTAGGCAAAGTGCTGCTGCTGACATTAAATGGGGGAGAAGAGACAGCTCTTCTTTGAGAAGAAATCTCATTGGTAAATGTGGAAGGAATGAGGGAAACAGGGTGTCGCGGTGAGAGGACCACAGACATAAGCATGGCCACCGAGACCCACCGACGGACACACGAATCAATAAACAAACTTGAGAGAGTGTCTCGGTGAGAAGACCACAGTCATAAGCGTTGCCACCGAGACCCACCGACGGACACACAAATCAATAAACAAACTTGAGGGGACGACAGGCCTGCGTTGGCTTCGAGTGTCTCCCTTGAGGTATTTATTAATTTCAAAGAGAAAAATGGTGACTTCCCAGTGGAGAAACCCAGCAGGCACCAGTGTCCTCCATTGTCGGGGTCAGCCTCCTCAAAGACTTATCCATGTCACGCTTCCACGATGGAATGCACACAGAAGGGCCCTTCCCTTCTTCAAAATTCCTGCCAAAAGTGCAGAGCCTCCATCTTATCATTAAATACGGTCTCAGGAGCCCAAATGGAGGGAGAGTTCACAGAGCCACTGGCCCGTGCTGACCCAAAGGAAGAGACAAGGCAAGAATGGAGAGATGTCATAGGTTAGAGGCTGGGGATGCCTGATGACAAAATGCAGCATGGCATCTGGAGGTGGAGGACAGTGGGTCAGATCCTAAAACAGGAAAAGAACATTTGTTTAAAAAAAAGAAAAAAAACTGGCAAAATCCACATGGGGTCTGTAGCTCAGCTAACAGTATCACCCAGCGTTAATGTCTTGGCACTTGTATTATAGTTATGCAGGATATTCACGTCAGGAAAAGCTGAGTGCAGGGTACACGGGACATGTCTGTCCTCTTTTACAACTTTTATTTCTATTTTGAAATTATTTCAGGTTAAAAGCATCTCTTTCGCCATATTTCAGAGCTGGGACTCCAGCTGCCCTCACAGAAGCTCAGCTCTGCCACACCTGCTCTCCTCTGCTTCCTGACCCGCAAGCCCCCGGCACTCCCCAGGCACAGCCGGGTGGCCTTCTCCTTCCTAAAGCAGCAACTTTCGATGTTTTTCCAAGTGCAGGCAGCTCTTTCCTCGAGAGGAACTCTCGCAGCAGCTGGCAAAGAGAAACCCTTTCTCACTTAGTCCTGGCCCCACACAGGCTGCCCACAATGAGACCCCAGGAACAGCTGGACTCTCAGCTCCTGGACCAGCCTTCAGCAAGAGCAGGTGCCCACCCCCACCGACTGTGAGCCATGTCTCACCCTCCCCAGCCTTCCACACCCCTTGCCACGTGAGTATCCTCGGAGGGGTTGGAGGGATGGAGCCCTGTTCCCATTCCAGAGGGAGGCCACGCAGGGAGGCAGTGGGATAAAAGCCCATGGGTGAGCCCACCAGCCCCACTGTGTAGGGTAAGCAAGAGGCCTCCTCAGGAGGAGCCAGGGAAGCCAGCAGGTCTGGGGAAATGGGGCTTTTTGAAATGGGAACATGAAGTTAGAGAGGTCCTGGCAAGATGGTAGTCTTATTTAATGATTCCGTTTGCAAGCATTGGAGACACTCACATCCTTGGGCAATAGGAGTGTCTTACAAAGATAGGGAAGGGGCCCTGGGGCCCAGGACAGCTGCCAGGAGTGGCCTCTCAAGGA
This sequence comes from Homo sapiens, assembly GCF_000001405.40. NCBI lineage: Eukaryota > Metazoa > Chordata > Mammalia > Primates > Hominidae > Homo > Homo sapiens. Next base: position 135,351,881 of record NC_000009.12, read on the forward strand.
GCTGCTGTCCCAGATGCAGGTGAGACCCAGCAGCCGGCTACCACAGATGCTCCCTCCCCGACTGATGTGGCCCCTGCTGCAGCCACCCCCCTGAATATCTGCAGCTTCTGCCCCCACCACATTCTTGGTTCTGTATACGTGCCCCCATACATTGTCTACGGTGGGCAGGTTAGCCCTGCCAGGCAGTGCTGTAGCACAAGGCCAACTGATAGCCATCGCAGAGTCTGCGGGTGGCTGCCTGGGGCTCAGATGCTCACCTCTGGCCAGGATGGTAAGTCATGTGATACAGAATATGCGTAAACACCTTTATACAAAAAATAGAAATAAAAAATTGCCCACCCAAATGATTCTACTATCTCCCATCTCCCCTGATCCCTAGCCCCATGCCAAGTTTCTCTTGAGAAATTCCTCTAAAGAATTTCCCAATAGTTTCTCAGCCTACCTTTGGGGAATTCAGTCAAGGGAGGACGTCAACAAAGCCAGAAAAGAAAAATCTGCAACTCTACCCATGGGCCACATGCCACTGTGCTCTGTCCAAAAGGGCCCTCGCAGCCTCCAGGAAACAAAGAAATGGTCAGAGCTGTGAGCCTTCTACCCCCATTTGACCCCACACCCCTGTCCTCCAAGAACTGAACCCCTTTAACAAGCAATCACAGGGCCTGAGTCATTTCTACCCAATCCAGGAAGCAGCAGGAGGTATCTGTGAAACACACTGTATGACTTCACACTGTGAAATAGATTAATAAACCATTATGATAAGCAAGCTGATTATTAGCATGAGAACGAGGCTCCAGAGCTAACTGAAGCCATCCAGCAAAATGTCGGCGTCTTCTTCGGGTATGAAATATTAATTGCACCCAAGCTTGGGCTGGAAGGTAGGGGTCGGTTTGTACCTTTTCTTCTCCAGACAAACGTCAGATGGGGCCCTTCTCCTGGGACAAGGCCAGGGCCACCGCTGGGAGCCACCCCACTCCTGAAGGCAGTGGTCTTCTCCAGAGGAGGCTGGCGTTTGGTTACATATGTGACCCTTTTCTCAGTCCACTTCAAGAGAATGGAGAAATTCCTGGAGTGTCGGGGAGCTCAGCCTCTATTCTTATGGGGTCTTATCCTGGGGAGGAGGTTTAGGGCAGCCTTTTCTATTGAATTTTGCTGTGTTCCTTTGAGGCACTCATCCCAGGGGCTTTGAACCAGGCTGGAGGTGACTTGCACATTCTGCAGACCAGAGCAATGCCATTCCAGACCCCAAAAGGGGCCCTCAACTTCCTGACCCTTCTTGCTGTTCCTCCTGCAGCCCAAGGGGTCCTTCAGCCAGCTCCAGTTGTGGTGGGAGAGCTGCAGACTGCTCACGGCCTGCCCGGCCCCTGTGTCGACGGCCCCTCCCTAACCATCCGGGCATTCTTTGGAGGCCAGGCCCCTGGTGCTCTCAGGGTAAGGACAACTCCAGTGAGGTGAGAGTTCTGGGTGGGAATGCACTTCCCCAGACCTGTCCTTCCTCAAACCCGCTTCCTGCTGGGAAGGGGATAGCCCAACTGTGCAAGGGAAGACAGACGGGGCCAGGGAAGGGGATGGGTGTGAGCTTCGACTCGGCACTGGCAGCCGGAGCTGTAATTTCTAGGCTTCGTATTTATGACTTCAGCAGAGGCTGGCCTGGAGTGGTGAATCCCAGAGCTGCAACCCACAGGCAAAGCAAAAGTAGCTGGATTGCGGGTCTGGCCTTGGCAGGCCAGAGTTCCCACGCGACAGGAAGGCTGGACACAGGCCTTGCCCAACCCAGAAAGTACTGGATAGAGGGTGGAACCCCAGGGAGCAGTGAGCAGGAGGGAGGTTACTGCAGGCTTAGAGGAGGCGGTCGCAGCTCCCCTAAACCTGCGGGCACAAAGGTGACCCAAAGGAGAGGGGGCAGGTTCTGAGTCCTCCGCCATGTGGTAAATCCTAACGGCCTCTTTCTGCATTGTCGTAGCAACCACACTTTTTCAGAAGTGGCCAGCCCTCTGCTGTGTGTTAGATTTCAGGAGATATATATACCAATTTTCCAACATCAACTAAAATAAAAAAAAAAAAATCCGCTTTATACTATGGCATTTTTAAATTAAGGTGAATTAAAATTCTTCTGCTTTGAAGATTGTTTTAAGACTGCTGTGACAACCTGGAGATCATCACCAGCCTCCTGGGGTCCCATCTGACCCCAGCTGTGATGCCGTCTGCACGGCACCCTCCATCATCCCTAACGCAGACACCCCCAACTGAGCCTACAGACGAGGACACGCCTGACGCCGGCCCCAGGAGAACATACTGACCTAAAAGAGGAGGCAGAAGTGGACGCTCTCGTCTCCTGCTGTGCAGAAATGAAGGCAGCCTTTCAGCAGCCCTGCGTGGTAGCGTTCATTAAACCCCTTAAAAATACACGTGCCATCTCCACATGATGGGATTTTACCAGGCAGTAGCAGGGAACGATGTTCCAACATGTGCCTCCACGTGGGCAAACCTCAGCACAGTATGCTCAGGGGAAGGAGCCCCGCACAAAAGGCGGGTGTAGCAGGACTTCCCAAGTGCAAAGCGCTCAGAATAGGTAAACCCGCAGGTGAGAGCAGATGAGTGGCCACCAGGGCTTGGGGAGTGGGAGGCAATGAGTGCCCAGAGGTACCAGGTCTAGAAAATGTTCTAAAATTGATTGTGGTGGTAGATGTAGAACACTGAATATACTAGAAACCACTGAGCTGGCATCTACTAAGTTATCTCAATGTATTGGAAGAAGGGTGGGTGGGGAATATACTGGGATAATTGTATGGGGTGTGAATTACATTTCCATAAAACTAGTTTTTTAAAAAAACACTACAAAGGCCGGGCACCGTGGCTCACACCTGTAATCCTAGCACTTTGGGAGGCCGAGGCAGGTAGATCACCTGAGGTCAGGAGTTTGAGACCAGCCTGGCCAATATGGTAAAACGCTGTCTCCACTAATAATATAAAAATTATCCGGGCACGGGTAATCCCAGCTACTTGGAAGACTGAGGCAGGAGAACTGCTTGAACCCAGGAGGTGGAGGTTGCAGTAAGCCGAGATCTTGACACTGCACTCCAGCCTGGGCGACAGAGCAAGACTCTGTCTCAAAACAAACAAACAAACAAAACCTATAAAAATATATTTATTATGGAAAAATATATATACATACATAACCTCTGATGCAGAAATCCTACTTCTAGAAGTGTATCCTCGGGAAATAATGAAGGGTGTGCACACGTGTTTGAATACACTGGGAAGTAGACGTAAATGCCGGTGTGTGTGCTCAGTCCAGCGCCACACAGGCAGCGGCTCACACCATGGGTAGAAACGCAGTTATTGACACAACTCTGTGTCCACAGTAAACTGTTGAGTGAAATTAACAGGTTACAAACAGCAAATGTGGATACTACAAAATGCTACACCTTACATACATGGAGGAATGATCCATAAATTATAAATGGGGGTTTACTTCCAGGTAGTGAGATGGGATTTTTCTCTCTTTTTTTCAGTTTTCAGGAATGTCTCATTTTTCTATGTGGCCAGTATTATTTGTGCAATAAACAGATACAATTTATTTCTTGGAGAGGAGGGAGGGAGAACAAATCAGGAGCCCAAATTGGTTTTGCTTTGAGCAAACTGAGAGTCAGCAGGCCAGGTAGAGGACAGCCCGTGCCCAGCATCCCCAGCGCAGAGCAGACTTGCCTCAGGGGCTCCGTCGTATGTAAAGCTTAAATGACAAATCCTTCCCAGAATCCCCGGCTCCCAAGGCTGAGCCCCAGAGGGCCCCGAAGCTGGCGGAAGAGGCCGGTGCCATGCGGGGCCACATCTGGTGTCGGTTCCGCAGCCTCCCAGGGCCCCAAGACCAGGAGGTGGGCGCTGGGCCAGCTCCATTCACCTGCACATTATTTCCTGCTAATCAGCATCACTCTGCCCCGAGGGGTGCCCACCTGGGGCCCACCAGCTGCGCAGAGGAGCCACTCCCTGTTCCCAGCATGCTTGGCTGGGTTTGGGAAGACTGGGCATAAGCGGAGCTGACAGCCCCATCTGTTTCCTCCCGAGGCGCAGGAGCGCTCTGAGCAGGCCTGGTACCTATGAACACTCGGGCCCAGGCTGAGCTGGGGAGCCTCCCCCTCCCCAGCCGGAGCCCCCGGCCCACCCCCTCGCTGCTCCTGCCAAGGTGCAGGAGACCGACTGAGAGTCAGGCCCTGCCACCCAGACACCAGCCTCGGGGGCTGGACACTCTATCGGGATGGACGCTCAGACCCTTGCAAGGCAGCACTGACGGGAGCCACGGCGGAGCAATGGCCTCGATAGTGACCGGGCACTGACGGGAGCCACGGCGGAGCAACGGCCTCGATAGTGACCTGGCACTGACGGGAGCCACGGCGGAGCAACGGCCTCGATAGTGACCGGGCACGAGGTGTTTTCACAGATTCCTTTCGTTTCAACCACCAGCAGTCACATGAGCTGGGGGCTCCTGGGTGCCCCCTCTGTGGGTGAGGAAACTGAAGCTCGGCAAGATTGTCTCTCAGTTACTAATCTGCAGAGCTGGGGCCCAGCCTCAAGGCAACGTGAATCTGGAAATTGGGCTCCTAGGCTCCCTGCCAAGGGTCTTGAACGCCAGGGGAGAGCATGTCTGCATGACTTCCCACCGTGGGCTTCCAGGCTGGGACGGGGCAGTGGCACTCCTTCCCAGCAGCGGGGTGGAGGGAAGAAGCCCCGTGGGAAAGGTCCCACAGAGCAGACACGCGAGCCCAGGTGTGTCAGGAGGCTCCTGTGTGGCAGGTGGGGACCTGGATGCTGGCAGGTGGGGAGGGTCTGGGCCTGCAGGTGGGAAGGGAAGGAAGGATGGGGCCCATCCCCTCGCTGGGAATTCCCTGGAGATGCTCCTTCTTCGGGGAGAGGGTCATAGGCAAGAAGCGCCCTAGGAGATGGCCTGTAAGGACTGAGGAAGGCAACGGGACCGACAGTGCAGCTGACCTGGGAGAAGCCTGCAGCAGCCAAGGCCTCAGCTGGTCACATGGGGTTGGGGAGGTGTCTGGAGCTGAGATGGGGCCCCTCAGAGTTGTCCTGAACTGTCCTGAACAAGGGGGCCGGGCCTTTGCACCCCTGCATCAGCCAGTGGTTGGCTCAGCCTGTCCCATCCCAGCCCAGCCCTGCCCGGGGAGGGACCTAGCCCAGGGCCCAGGGTGGCTGCCAAGAGCAGACCCTGCCAGCAGCTGAGGCTGGGTCATCAGGCTAGAGGGGGATATAGTGGACCCCCAGAGCATCACAGCAGAGCCCTGAAGGGCTCAGAGCCAGCCAGGGACAGGGGCGGCCTCTATCTGCCCAGAGAAAGCCAAGGGATCCAGGCAAGACCCCCCAGAGCTCCCATCTGCTAAGAGACATGAGACAAGCCACTTCTGGTTCCCAGTGCCCTGAGAGAGCCTTCCCCATGGGCCCTCGTGGTTGTGGCTGCTGCACCCACAGGGTCCTGCATGGGCTTTGGTGCCTCCTTCCTCGGGGGCCGGGAGCTGTGGAGGAATGTGATGCAGGTGCCATGGGAGGAGCCTGGGAGACCCTCGCCCACTCCCCCACAGCAGGCAGCCACTGAGAGGAGTCCCTTGGCCTCTGCACTCCTTCCCGGCTCACAGCCCCACACAGGCACCAGGACATGTTTTCATAGGCCAAAGGTGGTACAGCAGCCTGAGGCAGCCCCCTGGGCCAGAACTTTGCTTTTTTTTTTTTTTTTTTTTTTTTGGAGACACAGTTTCACTCTGTCGCTCAGGCTTGAGTGTAGTGGTGCGATCTCGGCCCCTCCACTTCCTGGGTTCAAGCGATTCTCGTGTCTCACCCTCCTGAGTAGCTACAATTACAGACACGTGTCACCGCGCCCAGCTAAGTTTTGTATTATTAATAAAGATGGGGTTTTGCCATGTTAGCCAGGTTGGTCTCGAACTCCTGGCCTCATGTGATCCACCCACCTCGGCCTCCCAATGTGCTAGGATTACAGGAGTGAGCCACCATGCCCGGCCACTTCGCATTTTTAAAAGTAGTGCTTTTTCTCTTTATGAACATATTAGAGCTCACTGGGGGGAACCCAAACACGTCCATCCCCTCACTTCCCGTCACTTCCTGGACGTCCTCCATTCGTTTCATCCAGGAAGTGAAGCCTCTCCAAATCCCCCACCCAGAGAAAAGTTGTGGAAGCCTTGAGGCCCTCCCTCCCCGGCCTGCAGATTGTGTTACACAGTCAGAGCGCTGTGCTTGTGTGGATGGGATTTTTCATGCTGGCCTGAGTCTGCTTGTTTCACTCAGCAATATGCTGTCCATGGATGCAGATGTGCGTTTGGCCTTTCCTTCACCATTACGATTGTCAAAATGTTGTGCCGAAGCCTCTGTGCCTCGGGACAGGTCCTCTCCCCCACCGCAGCAGGAGGACCCAGCCAGGCCGGCAGAGCAGACAGGAGCCTCCACATGAGTGCTTCAACCCCACCAAGCCTAGGAGGTGGGGCTGCCGGGGGCTCTGCCGAGTTGACAGCATCGAGGACATCCGCTAAGCAAGAAAGCTCTCGGGAGCCTTCGATGGTGGGAGGGAGATCGGAGCCCAGGAACTGGAGACGGCCCAGCTGCCGTAACTTCTTGCCTCAATCAATAGCTATTTCTCCGCTCCAAATTACTTTCTTTTCCCCCAGAAACCATCAGAGGCACCTGCTGCCAATCAGCTATGACACTTTAAAGAAATGCTGTTGAAATTCCCAGACCCGGGAGGGTTGTCTGGGTCCGCTGTTTGTTCACATGTCTCCGACAATGCCAACAGAGATAGGAAGAGACAGGAGAGTGGGGCTAATGGGCTGCACTCAGCAGCTGGGCCCCGGCCACAGAGGGGCTGCCACAGGGTATGCGGGGCTACGGGGTCCCTGGAGGGGTCTCCACACGGTGGGGGAAACGCGGCCTGACTTGCTTTGGCACTGACCTTGGCCATCCCTTTGTGGACCCAACATAACTGGCCCCCAACCATGTTCGAGCCCTGTACCAGGTACAGGTCCGCAGAGGCAAAAGGGACAAGCGTCCTGCGCACTGGGAACAGGTCAGGGGAGGAGAAGGGGACAGGAGGCCACACAGAAGCAACTCATGGGGGCTAAAATAAAACACAGACGTTCCTCGACTTAAGACAGGTGCACACCCCAATAACCCCGTCATTAATTGAAAATACCCTAAGTCAAAATGCACCTCACCCACTGGGCACCCTGGCTCAGCCTCGCCTGCCTTAAACGTGCTCAGAACACGTACCTTACCCTACAGCTGGGCAACATCATCGGACACAAAGCCTCTTGTATAATAAAGTGTTGAATATCTCATATAGTATATTGAATACTGTACTGATAGTGAAAACTGGAATGGTTGTAGGGGAAGTGCTATTTCCACTGGACATGCATCCCTTTGGCATCATCGTAAAGTCAAAAAGTTGTAAGTGGAACCATCATAAGCCAGGTACTGTCTGTAAAACCATGCTAGGCACAGGGTGCTCACGGGCCACGGGGAGGCCGCCAGCTGCAGGGACACCGGGATCTCTAGTCCTCTGAGAGGGATGAGGAGCCTCAGGCAGGGTTTTCCTGGAAGTATGTTCCACCTGTTCCCAACTATAGAAGGTTAAACGGTGGCCCCAGACAGACAGGGCCATGTTCTAACCCCTGGAACTTGTGAATGGGACCTTATGGGAAAAGGGGTTTTTGCAAATGTAATAAATTAAGGATCTTTAGATGAGATCGCCCTGAATTACCTGGTTGGGCCCTAAATCCGATGACAAGTGTCCTCATAAGAGGCACACAGAGGAGAGACACTGGGAGAAGACAGAGGCCCTGTGAAGACAGAGGCAGAGCCTGGAGTGATGCGGCCACAACCCAAGGAGTGTCTGGGGCCACCCGGAGCTGGAAGCGGCAGGAAGATCCTCGCCCAGAGCCTCCCGAGGGGGTGTGGCCCTGTGACACCTGGATTCTACTGGGCCCCAGAACTGAAAGGGAATCAACTCCTGTTGCTTTAGGCCACTCAGTCTGTAGTATTTGGCCACGCAGCCCCAAGACACTCCTCCACCAGCCACAGGAAGTTGGGGAGGCAGGCAGTTAGGGTGTGGCTGAGCTGTGAGACCTGGTTTCAAATCTTGGCTCTGCAACTTACTCACTGTGCTCCTGGGCAAATTACTTCACCTCCCTGAGCCTCAGTTTCTACATCTTAAAATGAGAACAGCACTAGAATCTTCTGGGGGTCAGGGTGATCATATGAGATGACAGGTAGGTGGGGGGTTCACTGTTCCCAGGCCCTCTCCACAGAGCTTCCATCCACCTCCCATGGTGTCAGGTAGGGAGTGGCGGGGGTTGCTTTTCCCAGGCCCTACTCCACAAAGGTTCCATCCACACCCCACGGCCTCAGGTAGGTGGGGAGGAGGCACCTTTCCCAGGCCCCCTCCACAGAGCTTCCATCCACGCCCCATGGTGTCACCTGTACCTAACAGCACCAAAGGCTCCCAGGGATCCATAAAAATGAGTTTTGGGTGATTAAGGAAGCGAGCGTAATTCTCGCCCATACCAGAAGGAAGCAGAGCCATGTGAGGACACACCCAGCCTTCCAGAATGCCACTGAGGAGAGAGACACAGCTCCCAAGCCACCTCTCAGAGCACCCAGGGGAGCGTGAGACTGGCGAGAAGGCAGGGCTGGCCTGCCACACGGAAGCCCCCGACCTGGCCTCCTGGGAGAGAAGGTGGACGGGTGTTACCGGAGGAGCAGCCCCTGCTGGGCTCTGCTGAGCCCATAACCAGCATGTCACCTAGGCAGGGCAGGCCAAGTCCCTAAGCCTTTGCACAGCTTTTTTTTTTTTAAGTTTTGAAATTACAACCGCTAACTCTGATCTCTGAGCTTGGAAAGATGAATGTCCAAAGACAAGGCTGCAGGCCCTGCAGAGTGTCCCTCCCCGTGAACTGTCCACCCAGCAGCTCAGTCACACACTGACTCTACATCTGTGACTCTCAGCCTCCCTTCACCACCACAAAGGTGCTCTCTTGGAAGCTCAGAAAGAAAATTCAGGGAGGGGCAGGATCATGTTTGGCCGGATTAGCTCTGCAATACGGCGGCCAGGCACTCTTCCCACCCCCAGTCAGCCAGGGTTCCCACTCCTCACTCTCACAGCTCAGGGGCCATCATTCGTGGCAGCCGTAGTAACAATAGTAGTGATGATAATACTTGTAGGAATAGAAAAACACTTACTGAACATGCTTCTGAGAATTTCACACTCATGAACACATTGACACCTAACAATAGGTATATAAGTTCAGCACTATTGCTATTCCCAGTCTATAGGTGAGCAAACTAGAGGACAAATAAGCCTGTAACTTGCTCAAAGTCAGGACCCAGGATGCCTTCTAGGCTTTCTGGGTCTGTATCCTGTTGACACTTCCCATAGTCTGTGTTACAGCTGGATTTATACAGTAGTCAAAGCAATGCCTCTCACCCCACCAGACTCTAGGCAGAGTCTTGTTTGGTTGTGCTGGCTTCTCTGTCTCCTGGCATGTAATAGCTACTCAATTAGTGCTTGAGGAATGAATAAGTGGGTGGGTGGGTGGGTGGATGGATGGATGGATGGATGGATGGGTGGATGGAAGAAAAGAAGGAAAAAAGATGAATGGATGGGTGGATGGATGGATGGAAGAAAAGAAAAGAAGGAAGAAAGATGGATCGACAGGTGGATGGATGTATGGAAGGATGGGTGGATGGGTTGGTGTGTGAATGAATGGATGAGTGGGTGGAAGGGTAGATAGATGGGTGAGTGGATTGAAGGAAGGAAAGAAAAGAAGGAAGGAAGATAGATGGATGGATGAGTGGGTGGGTGGGTGGGTGGATATGTGAATGGATGGATGGATAGAAGGAAGGAAAGAAAAGAAGAAAGGAAGATGGATGGATGGGTGGATGTGTGGGTGAGTGGATGAATGGGTTGATGGGTAGGTGGGTGGGTGAATGGATGGAAGAGTGGGTGGGTAGGTGGATGAGTGAATGAATAGTGGGCAAATGGGTAGATGGATAGATGGATGAGTGGGTGGATGGGTGGATAGGTGAATGGATGGGTGGATGGATGGATGACTGGGTGGATGGGTGGATAGATGAATGTGTGGATGGATGAATGGGTGGATGGGTGGATGGCTGGATGGGTGGATGGATGGGTAGATGGATGAATGGATGGATGAATGGATGGATGAGTGGGTGGATGGGTGGATAGGTGAATGGATGGGTGGATGGATGGATGACTGGGTGGATGGGTGGATAGATGAATGTGTGGATGGATGAATGGGTGGATGGGTGGATGGCTGGATGGGTGGATGGATGGGTAGATGGATGAATGGATGGATGAATGGATGGATGAGTGGGTGGATGGGTAGATAGGTGAATGGATGGGTGGATGGATGGATGAGTGGGTGGATGGATGGATGAGTGGGTGGATGGGTGGATGATGCATGTGGAGTGGGTAGATGGGGGATAAATGCCTAAAGCAAAGGTGCTGATTGTCAGGGCACACACTAACACCAGAAGAGTGAAGAGAACCAAGGCTGGAGTTTGAGGTCCTGGCCTCCATCCAGTCCCTCACATCCTGTTGGGGTTCACTGCTGGGCCCACACACTATCTTTTGAGGTGTCCCTGGGCTCCAGGATCAAGCCTATGAGTCAGAGGTCTGGGTTCTCAATTCTCTCCTCATACACACCTGCATGTGCAGAGTGCAGTTTGCAGAGCATGTTTGTGTGTGCTCTTTCACTGTAGCCCCCTAGACCCCTAGATCAGCTCCTGAGCAACACTCATCAGGGAGCATCAGCCATGGCTCTCAGGGGAGAGGCTCCCCTTCCCAGGATCCCACAGGCAGTAAACAGTGGGGCTGAGAACTAAACAGACTCTCTTCCCCCAAGGGCAGGGCTCTTTCACCGACCATGAAGTGGCACAGAGGGAAGAACATGGAGCCACGAAAATGTGGATTTGATTCTCGTCCTCACCAACCACCAGCTGGGTAACCTTGGACAAGCCACTCTTCACAAAGTGTGATATAGTTTATCTGTGTCCCCACCCAAATCTCATTTTGAATTGTAGCTCCCATAATTCCCATGTGTTGTGGGAGAGACCCAGTGGGAGATCATTGAATCATGGGGGTGGGTTTTTTCCATGCTGTTCTCATGATAGTGAATAAGTCTCACAAGATCTGATGGTTTTATAAAGGGCAGTTCCCCTGCACACGCTCTCTTGCCTGCCGCCATGTAAGATGTGCCTCTGCTTCTCCTTTGCCTTTGGCAATGATTGTGAGGCTTCCCCAACCATGTGGAACTATGTGTCCATTAAACCTCTTTTTCTTTATAAATTACTCAGTCTCAGGTATGTCTTATTAGCAGCATGAGAACAGACTAATACAAAGTGTAAAGAATGATGCTGACTTGCAGGGTCCTTGGAAGGACAGGTGTGAGTGCAAGGACAACATCAGCACCTTCTGGGGTCTTAATCATTGTCAACAGTGTTACAGAATCCTGAGATCCTGCTTCATGCATTGCCATGTTCCACAGAGGCCCACGGCTTGTTCCAGGAAGCATCACACCTTGGTGGCTCAGGGCGTGGATCCCGGTTTGCAAACAGGACATGGATGGACAGATCAGTCACCAAGAGGCACAAGAGCCACCTCTGAGGCTCACCAGGCCATGATCCTGGCCAGGGGATCCACAGCCACAGCCAGAAGGCTCATCGCTCAGGTGTCTGCGAGGTGCCTGACCACACTCCCTCATTAGTGCAGCTTCTGGGTGGATGCGTGCAGCCCACAGCCTGCCAGGCATGGGCCAGCTGTGCCACATAGCAACAATGACGGTGCAAGTTCCCTGTGCTTGAGCCCGCAGGCCTCCCTCTTTCTTTTCCAAGTGGATACACATCCCTAGGGGCCAGGAGATGCTCCCTGGCTGCAGCTGCCACAGCCTCACCCAAATGTAATTAAGAGAAGGAATATGATAATGACCTTCTAATTGCCAAGAGGCTCTTGTGGGCAGTGCCTGCTCTCTCCTGCTAATTGGAGGGAGCCGCTGCCAGACACTCGAAGTCAAGACTGCCTCCATGCTGGTCCCTGGCAGCCCTGGCCGTCACTCACCTCCAGCTTCCTCCAGCAGGACTTTGGAGCGGATGAGAAGACATCCCCCAGATGCCCTCCAAGTGAGCAAAACAGGACATCAGGGATTCCGGGGTGAATGAGATGCTTGAGTTATCCTATTTCAAATTCAGTCCAAGTACCAGCTACTTCCAGGAGGCAGTGCAGACTGCACACCCAGCCCTGGGCATCGAGCCATTGACCCCGCAGAGCCTCAGTGTTCTCACCTATAAAATGGAGAAAATCTTCCCTGCCTCCCTGGAAACGGCAAGAACAAGAGGAGGCAATAAGCTGAGCGCTCAGCGAGTGCTCAGGGAAGGTTGTTCTTTCCCCTCCCGACACTTCTGGTTTTTACAGAAAAAAATGGGAGGAAGGGAGGGGTCCAAGGCACATGGCAGGTGGGGTGGGGGAGCTAGCGTTGGAACACCTGCCAGGGGCTGATGAGGGCTGTGGTGAGGCTGACACCCTGGGCCCCCCACACAGCCACACTCAGGACAGGCCTGAGCCCAGCCCTCCACGGCCCATGAATGTCTGGAGCAGGAGACTCCAGCTGGGCTGAGAACCACACTGTTTGAACTGGGTGTTCTTAACCTTAAAAAAGAACTTAAAAATAAATGAAAATGGCCAGGCACAGTGACTCATGCCTGTAATCCTAGCACTTTGGGAGGCTGAGGCAGGTGGATCGCTTGAGCTCAGGAGTTTGAGACTTGCCTAGGCAACATGATGAAACCCTGTTTGTATTCAAAACACAAAAATTAGATGGGCGTGGTGGCACACGGCTACAGTCCCAGCTACTTGGGAGGCTGAGGCAGGAGGATCACTTGAACCCAGGAGGCTTAGGCTGCAGTGAGCTAAGATGGCACCACTGCACACCAGTCTGGGTGACAAAGCAAGACCCTGTCAAAAAAAAAGAAAGAAAGAAAGAAGAAAGAAAAAGAAAAAGAAAGAAAGAAAGAAAGAAAGAAAGAAAGAAAGAAAGAAAGAAAGAAGGAAAGAAAGAAAGAGAAAGAGAAAGAGAAACAAAAAAAGGTGTAGGAATTAAAGCCTGGAGGATCCCAGTGGAGCCGGAGTGCCTGAACCCAGGCAGGTGCTCAGAGCTGAATGCCCAGTGGCCCTCAGCAGTGGGGCTCCAGGCTGCTGCAGCTGAACAGGCTCTCAGAAAGCATTTCTCCTCCCTCCAACTCCCAGAAGCCAAACATCTGTGTGGCCTCGGCTCCAGGGTTTCCAGAGGCCTAAGCCTGGGTCTCCACCCCTGAATAAAGCAGGTTTCTGACTCCTCTGAGCGTGCTCAGCTCTGACCAGCTCCAGCTTACAGGGGCTTCTCGCTGCCCGCCAGCTCCTTGGCTCATGCCTCAGACCCTCCCTGGGGCCACAGCTGAGCCCCCATGCCCTCCCGTTAGCAGGAATTGTCTCACAGTGCACCAGCCTCAGACAAGGCCACACTGGGACAGTGAAGGGAGGGACAGAACTCAGCCAGCCCAGAATGTCATCTGAGCACAGGCAAAAGCCAGGTCTCTGGGCCCATCAGAAAAGCTTCAAACCCCCCTCTCCTGGCTGGTCTGAGCCCTGCTGCCTCTTTACGGGTCACGGCTGCAGCCTCACCCTCGTCCCCTCTCCCTGCAGATAAGGTTTATTGAGATGCTTGGCCACGGGGTCAGCCTGCATCCTGACAGTACCAACCCAGAGCAAACCCCACTTTCTCAAATGCCCCCAAAAGTCACTCAACACAAGCCACATCCTATTACAAGCCCTTTCTAACCCCCTCTTGGAGAGGCCCTGTGGGTCCCCAGGGTATGCGTAGCCTGTTGCTGCCATGAGCGATAAACCGACTTGTTCTGGCACAGGTTGTCCCTGGTGGTCCTTGGCGAGAGGACATGGGCAGCACCTTCTCACACGAGCCCTTGCTGGCGTCTCTTCCAGGAATGCCCCAAACGCTCCCTGGGTGCCCCTTCCTTCACCCAGACTCACGGCTGATTCTTCCCTCTCCTGCAAACCTCCACAAGGATGGCCCTCCTCCAGGAAGCCTTCCCAAGCCTCCAGACTGGCTTCACTGTCCACATCTGTGCCCGCCCCCACGCCCCTCTGGTCTCCCCAGTGCTTGGGGCTGGCCCCCACAACATGAAACACACAAGGAAAGTTGGGGAGTGGCCTAGTCTTCAGCCTGTCCTGACCCCAAAAGCCAGCTTCATCAGCATATGAGTCTGTCCACCCCACTGAGCCCCCTGCCTGGATGGCAGCAGAAACAAAGAAAAGGTGGAATGAAAGCATTTGATGTGTGTGCATCCCTGCCCCCAACACTGTGAGGATGCTGAGGAGGGCAAGGGATGGAGCTGAGTTCCCGGACAATCCTCTTGGGGGGCCAGAGGCCTCTTGAGAGGCAGACACCAGACACCCTGCAGCAAGTACGTCCACATGGAAAGCTCCAGAAAGAAGAGAGGTTCCAGGATCCGATTTCCAGACCCTTCAGAGAATCCTCTGGACCTGGGCTTATTTTGACAATGAGAGTCTTTTGAAAACAGTTTTTGTCAAAACCAGGGGGCATTTCTTCCAAGAAGGAAAGAAGCCAGAGGGTGGCATTCAGGCAGCAGGAGGGCGGTTTGCATGGTCCTTGCGGTGGGAGGATGACCCCCTGCTGAAGGCCAGTCCACTGAGCTGGCACCTGCAGAGGGGGGCCTGGAGTGTTCACAGGCGAGCAGCCTCCAGCCAGGGCTGTAGGAGGGCAGGAAGACCTGGAGTGCATTGAGGGCCATCAATGGTCAGTCTGACCTTGACCTCTGTGCTGATGACCTCCATCTCGCTCAGGCCAAGGCCTCTTCAGAACCACACCTTCGCTGGAAACCTCCCAAGGCCACTGCCTGAGGACAGCGGGGAAGGCCATCTGATGCCCGAGGTATCTGGCCACACCCCTGCCCCGCTCCCCCTTACCGTGGTGCCCAGCAGAGGACTCCTCTGCACCCCAAGCTTGGCTGGTGGCACCAGTGGGCACAAAAGCTACTCCATCCAGGACCTTTTGTGTTTCAGAAGAGGGCCCAGCCCTGAATATCCACATGAGAAACAACGACTCCAGACACAGACCTCACATCCTTCACAAAAATTACCTCAAAATGGATCATCCACCTGAACGCAAAACATGGAACTAGAAGATAACTGAGGAAAAAATAAACGGGGGCCCTTGGGTTTGGCGATGACTTCTTAGATACAACACCAAAGGCACCATCCATGAAAGAAAAAATGGATCTGCTGGACTTCATTAAAAGTGAAACTTCTGGCGGGGCACCGTGGCTCATGCCTGTAATCCCAGCGCTTTGGGAGTCCAAGGCAGGTGGATCACTTGAGCTCAGGTCAAGGCTACAGCAAGCCACGATCACATCACTGCACTCCAGCCTGGGTCACAGGGCAAGACGCCTTCTTTAAAAGAAAAATTTGGGGACTGGGTGCGGTGGCTCACTCCTGTAATCCCAGCACTTTGGGAGGCCAAGGCGGGTGGATCACCTGAGGTCAGGAGTTCGAGACCAGCCTGGGCAACATGGCAAAACCCCATCTCTACTATAAATACAAAAAATCAGCCAGGTGTGGTGGCAGGTGTCTGTAATTTCAGCTACTTGGGAGGCTGAGGAGTGAGAATCGCTTGACCCTGGGAAGCAGAGGTTGCAGTGAGGTGAGATTGCACCACTGCACTCCAGCCTGGGTGACAGAGTGAGACTCTGTCTCAAAAAATAAAATAAAAATAAAACTTCTGCTCTAAGAAAGAATTGTAAGAGAATGAAAAGACGGGCCGGGCGCGGCGGCTCACGCCTATAATCCCAGTGCTTTGGGAGGCCGAGGCGGGCGGATCACAAGATCAGGAGATCAAGACCAGCCTGGCTAACACAGTGAAACCCCATCTCTACTAAAAAAAAAAAAAATACAAAAAAAATTAGCCGGGTGTGGTAGTGGGTGCCTGTAGTCTCAGCTACTCGGGAGGCTGAGGCAGGAGAATGGCATGAACCCAGGAGGCAGAGTTTGCAGTGAGCCTGAGATCGCACCACTGCACCCCAGCCTGGGGGACAGAGGGAGACTCCGTCTCAAAAAAATAATAATAAATTTTAAAAACTGGACAAAACGTGGTACATCCATTCAATGGAATTTCGTTCAGCCCTGAAAAGAAGTGTACTATCAAGCCACGAAAAAGACATGGAGGAAACGTCACCGCATATCGTAAGCGAAGGGAAGCCGGTGTGGAAAGACCACATGCTGTACGACATGACATTCTGGAAAAGGCCACACTGCAGACACAGTGAAAACATCCCTGGCTGCCAGGAGTTGGAGCAGGAGGGACGAATAGGAACCCGACCCAATTGTCTCAGACTTTTTTTTTTTTTTTTGATAAACATAGAAATTGACCCTTCTGGTCTTAAAGCTTAAAACTTACATTCATTTTATTTGAGTTCCTTCTTCAGGAAAGAACCCCCAGACCTCTCAAAAAGTATCAAAGAACTGAAACTCACCAGGTAACCACCTCCAGACAATGAGACCAGACCCCTTATTCATTCTGATTGCTTCTTTCCCTTTCTGAGTTCCTGTTGTCCTATACACGGTTACGTTTCTTCCTTGCTAGATAAACCCCTAGTTTTAGTCAGTCAGGGAGATGGATTTGAGACAGAGCTCCCCTCTCCTCGGCTGCAACACCCAGTTACAGCTTTCTTCCTCAGCAATACTTGTCATCTCAGTGATTGGCTTTCTGTGCAGAGAGCCGCAGGATCTAGATGTTTCCGTAACAGATATATGGGGCACGGAGGATTCTTAGGGCAGTGTTTCCGTAACAGATATATGGGGCACGGAGGATTCTTAGGGCAGTGAAACAATTCTGTATGATGCAAAAACGGTGGGGACAAGTCATTATACATTTGTCCAAACCCACAGAATGTACGACACCAGGAGTGAATTCCATTCAATTCCACTTAATTTTTCTGGAAACCCAAAACTGCTTTTTTTTTTTTTTTTTTTTTTTTTTTTTTTGGAGACAGAGTCTCACTCTGTCACCCAGGCTGGAGTACAGTGGCACGATCTTGGCTCACTGCTGCAACCTCTGACTTCCAGGTTCAGGTGATTCTCCTGCTTCCACCACCAGAGTCCTGCCTCCACCACCAGAGTAGCTGGGATTACAGGTATGCGTCTCCACGCCCGGCTAATTTTTCTGTTTTAGTAGAGATGAGATTTCACCATGTTGGCCAGGCTGGTCTCGAACTCCTGGCCTCAAGTATTTTGCCCGTCTCAGCCTTCCAAAGTGCTGGGATTACAGGCATGAGCCACCACGCCCCGCCATCAAAATTGCTTTTTAAAAGTGTGTTAAATTCAAAAAAAGAAGCTAGAGGAAAGAGGGCAGAGGGTGGCATTCAGGCAGCAGAAGGGCTGTCCTCATGGTCCTTGTGGTGAGGGGATGACCTCCTGCTGAAGGCCAGTCCACTGAGCTGGCACCCACAGAGGGGGACCTGGACTGTTTGCAGCTGAACAGCCTGTAGCCAGGGCTATCAGAAGGCAGGGAGACCTGGAGTGCATTGACAGTCACCACACAGGTTTCCAGGAACCTTCCCTCCCTTCCCTGAGTCAGCATTCATGCATACATTCCTTCCCTTATTCATTCAAAATGTTTCTGGCCAGCCTACCAGGCACCCAGCACATCAGACCTCTGATCATTTGCTCATAGACTCATTCATTCATTCACTTAATCACTGTCTCTGTCTAGGCAGAAAGCAAACATCTAGTCCTGCCAGCCCTAGACAGAATGATTTCAAACCCTAATTAGTACTGTGGGGCTTAATGAGGTTTCCTGGGATTCTCATTATCAGGGAAATCATTTCACAAAAGCTGTCCATGATACAGTGGGCAGGGGCACCTCATGCCAGTAAGGAGCCTCTTCCTGAGATGAGCAACCGAGGAAACACCAATTAAGCAAGGAAGCTGTGGAAGGGGATGCCCCGGGCTTCCCAGAGTGCAGAGCATGGATGCTTAGCTGAGGGGTGGGGCTGGAACCTGGCTGCCAAAGCAGTTCTGCCAGCAGGAGCAGGGATGGCCAGGCAGCAGCACAGGTCACTGCCCCGCATGGTCAACATGCATTGCGGATTTTAGCTTGCGTTTACGGATGGCTTCTAGCTACAAAAGACACAGTGGCGCTCAGTTGCTCACCTGTGTATTTTAAGTAACTAATTCCTATTCACACACTCATTCATTTAGCCATTCATGCAGGTTTCAGATGTTTAATGAGCATCTACTATGTGCCAAGCAGCTTCATAATAAACACACACTTATTCATAAATCCATGCATCTGTAGACTTCAGATGTTCAAATGTTCATAGATGGCTTGGGGCTTGCAGGGACAGATCTTCCAGTGTCACCAGGAGCCTCTGGGATAGGCGGGAAACGCTTCCTACAGGGGGTGGGGCGGGGGGCGCATTTGAGCTCCATGTGGGGAAGGCCCAGGGCAACTCTAAGCTGAGTGCAGAGTCCCAGGTCCCGAAAATAGTGAGGCTTCCAGGTCACGAGGTTACACCAGCATCCATGACGTCAGCAGGCCAGCGGCGGGCCCTTAGCCATGGAGGTTCAGATCGTGTGGGTTGTGGGTCCCACGGTCCCAGAGTCAGCCGGGCGCCCATTGGCTTGGCCTCAGGATGCCCAGGGACATGCCTGGTGCAGCTGGGGCAGCAGGAGCTCACTCTACCATGAAATATTCATGGCTGCTGGCAAAGCCCGGCCCTAAAATATAGTTTGCAGAAGAAAAAGAGCCATCAGGCATTTAATCATTGTGTTAATGAGGCTCTATTTGGAAGCAAACTCCATCTGACTGCGTCCTAGACAGCAAGAGTCAGGGCCCGGCCAACCTGTGTTGCCGGCCGCAGGGGCAGCCTCATCCCTGAGACACCAGTGGGAGACACGCCCGGGCAAGGCACAGGCTTGGCTCGAGGCCATGGCCAGCGGCCCTCCACTTCAGGGGAGCCCATGAGATTATAACGGCATCCTGAGGTTTGCCAAAAAGCATCCTTTTAAGCAGAAAGCAAGCAACGGCCCTGCATGGAGGCGCCACAGATCCAGTCTGGCTGAGCAGGGGCTAGACCAACTCGTTTTCCCTAAGCAGCTTCCTCGGGGGAACCACTACCCCTCCTGCCTCCAGCTCCCCCTGCTGCCCAGGCCGCCGCCACAGGTCAGTGTCCTCCAAGGTGGGATGCACCCCGTGGACACCCCCACAGGAGCTTCCCAAGCTGACTTCCCGGGCTACCCCAGCTCAGCCCTGCCTCGGCTTTTGTTCTCCTGAGGGCCCCTGTCTGAGGCAAAGGTGTCACAGCTCCACCAACGCCAGGCTCTTCCTACAGTGCCAAGGACGCCCACCTGCTTCTCAGCCGAGCCTTCCAGCCTGGGTCTACTCTTGGCCAATGGCCGGTGCCCCTCTGGAAAGGGTTGTCTCGTGCCTACATGTCCCTCTGAGTTGCTTTTCAGAAGTAATTTCCATGTAATGAGAACACAGGGAAATCTCATTATTTCAGACACCACTAATTAGGGGTTTGTGATCAGCCTGTCCAGGGCCAGCAGAAGCTGACATTTGCTTTCTCCACAGACACTGCAAATTACCATCCAGACAAGATTGCCGGGCCCTTTACAAAGCCTGAAGCAGCTCCTGCAGCCGCCGTCAGCGTCAGCAGCCGCCCTTCTTCGCCAGGTGTGCTGATTGCAAGTCTCTCTGTGCGGCAGGAGGGGACGTCTCCAAAGGGCAGGCGTCCAGTGGCAGCACCGCAGGCCTGTGGGTGTTCCACCTGCAGAGGCCCCAGAGCAGCCCACGGAGGGCCACGGTGGTATTATTCCCATTTCACAGGGAAGAAGCAAGGTCAGAGCTCTTCCCAGATGGCTCAGTGAGTACATCATAGGGACATGCCCCAGGCCACCAGGCCCCACGGCCTCCAGGGTCCTGGCAAGTCCCCCCAGGGACGGTGGGTGGAGAGGAGGGGTTGCTGGCAAAAATCAGGGCCCCTGGGGAGCAATCCTCTCCTGTGGGCTACAGGTCTTCATCAGGGATGGACTCAGTGGGTCCCAGGCTCCCTTCTCCAGCTCTGCCAAATTCCATCCCACCCGGGAGATGTGGGGTCCGAGCAAAGGGACCCTTCTCCTCTGTGAACTTAGAGGTCCATAAAGGACAACGGTCCAGGGCAGCGAGGCACGTCGGGGTGGACAGTGACGAGGGAGCCGCGGCCCAGCCATCCTGCTGTGGGGGAGACGCCCCAAGGGATGCACAGTGAGGCCTGGGCAGTGGGAGCTCCAGAAGCTACAGAGCAGGAGCCATGGCTGCATGTCCAGAGCCAGGCTTTCCATTCCCACGCTGCCCACGATGACGGAGCGGAGGACACAGAGGGAGGAGAAAACGCCCCCTGAGAAGGGGGACAGGGACGACAGAGCCTTGGAGGGAGTTCGGACAGGAGGGAGTGCCCACTGAGCGCATTTCCTGAAACTTCCAGCTCCCCCTCCCCCGAGTCTTTCCCAGGGCCAAGGCCATCCCTGGTCACGGAGCCCGCACCGCCTCCTCCCTGCAGCGCCAGGCCCATGCTGCCCGCCCTTACCCGCTCCTCCCGTCCGGCGCTTGAGAGACGTGGTGTCTGGAAAGTCTGTCCCATCCCAGGTGAGTCACAGCGAAGGGGCCATGTTGGTGGGAGGCAGGGGATCTGGGGAAAGTGGTACTGCCCCAGGAGGGGCTGCTGGGAGGGGAGGCAGGGGCGAGGCCCTGTGCAGAGGCTTCTCCCACCAGGGGAGTCCCAGAAGGGCACAGCCACGCCCTCCGATGCCACGCCTGCGCCCACAGAAGCCCCGCCTTCCTCCCAGCTGCAGGCGAGTCTGCATCCTGGGTCCCATGGGTGAGGCCCCAAGGAGCTGTGGAGGCTGCTGTGGTTGACCCCGGTGGAGCCCCACAGCCACCCTGCCCAGAGGCCTTCAGCAACTCCTCAGGGAGGAGAGGTGGGGGTGGTGTGGGGCGGGGCTGAGCTTGGTGCCCTGGGGTCCTTGGTTCTTTCCTCCTCAGGTGTCACCTGGTGCCCCTGCATAGGCCCCAGGGCCCATCAGTGCCCAGCAGCACCCAGGGACACACCCAGACATGTGGGAGCAACAGGGCCTGGGTGGAGGACTGGGGGACTGGGGTCTTGCCGGGAAGGTGCAGGGAAGGAGAGAGGGAGGCACGGGGCAGACAGGGAAGGGGCGGAAGGGTGGGGCTGGCGGGCAATGGGCACTGGAGATGGAGGCAGGCTCTGCCAGCCACGAGGGCGGGGAAGGTGAAGTGGAGTCAGCGTCCTCTGCCAGTGCCTGGAATCCTGCAACCTGGAGGCAGCCTTGCGATGAGCTCTGCTGCAGGCCTGTGGACGCGAGCCCCACTGCTTCATGGTCGCCCACTCCCTCTGTTAGAGTCTGACCTGAGTCCATTTGTACTGGCAGCTTCCACAACACCCACTGAGACCCACGCCAACGCGCCCCGCCCACGAGAACCCAGGTCACTCCCGCTTGGTGACTGCGGAAGAACTTTCCGGGTGTCACGTTGGTCCAGTCCCAGGTATAGTCCAGACCCAGTGTCTGGGAATCAGTGGGCTTCACAGGCACACACCATGGGGTGTGCACCCCAAAGCACCGCAGCTTGTCACAAGTCGGGGGACCCTGGGGTCTCCTCTCTCTCTCTCCCCCGCTCCCCAGGCTGTCCTTCTCTCAACTAAGTTTCCATCTGGATTCCAGCCCACCCCCATGCACGGGACGCAGGAGCTCTGGGTGCCCACCACTCCATGAAGGGTGATTGTGGTGATGTATTTGACCTTCTGGCAGCAATTTAATCAAATCTGGAAATCTGGGCCGGCACCTGGTTCGGGACTCATCCCCTGTTGCTAGGAAACCCAACTCCTGCGGATCCCACCCTGCTCCATCCGGAGACAGTGGGAGAGACCCTCCTGCAGCTGAGGCCAGGGCTGGGGAATGGCTGGAGATGGATGGGGACAGCAGTGGCCTTTGCACTGGCTGACTTCACAGCAGAACTCCCACGAGTGCCGAGAAACAGCGTGTAGGGGCGCTGCTCTCCCTACAAGCCCTTCCAGGCGCTGCAGGTCCGCCCCTGGCCCTCCCCCCAACTCCCCCTCCACCTCTCACACCCCCTCTACCCACCCTCTCCCTCCCCCTCCTCCACCTACTTCCACAGACTCCAATCTGTTTCTCCTGCTCCAGGTCACTTAGAAGCTTGTGGCGCATCCCTCGGTACCTCTCTCTGCCTGCGCACCATAAACACCCAGACTACAGGGCCATACCTGTCTCTTCTTGGTCTCCCCAGCATCCTGCAGATTAGTGGCCCTTCAGACACTTTGCACCCCAGTAGGGGGTGGGGAGGCTGGTGGAAAGTGAGCCCTGTGGCTCCTGGAGAAGCGGCGAGCAGCAGGCAGTGTTACACAAGGGTCCTCCCAACCCAGCTGACCTCACCAGGTCATTCATGCAAGAATGCGGGGCCAATGGGTTTCTGCCAGGCGTGCCAGGGCTGAGGGCACCCCTGGGTCCTCACAGCCCCCACTGTCCAGGGACAGCAGAGTCCTCCTTCCCTTTGCCATTTCCATGTTTCTCATTTCAATAATTCTTGCAGCCCATGTTGTGTAAATAAAATTATTCTTCCCAAAAAAATCGTTAGCAGAGCCCGACATTAATTCCCCTGCAATCTGTGTAATTAACTGCATGTAATATAGGGCATTAAAGGACCGGTTTGCTAATCACCACTCCTCCGCTCCACGCACCTAATTAAATCTCCTTCCTGTTTATCCACTTACAGGATCCTCTGCAAAGATACCAGGCACCAGGAACACTGTTGTAATAAATCTTTGCGTAATTTTAGAGGGTGCAGTCCCACTCTGTTTCATTCCCACTGCTGAGCCCCTCCTCCCTGCAGCCACGTCTCCCCATGACTCGGCTGAGCTGTGGCTCTGTGGAAAGCACTCTGTGGCCGCCTCCGGGGTGGGAGGGTGGGATGCTGTAGTGCTGAGCGAGGTGGGTTCGGGAAGGAGCGATCACAGGAGCCCGGCTCCAGCACCCTGCAGCGGCACAGCCCTCTCGGGTTCCGGTACCTTCCCCACTGCAGCCGCTTCCACTAGAGCCTTTTACATGGTCCCACTCCCATGCCTGCCTTCATGACGGGGGCTGGGTCCCTGGGCCGTTCCTCCTGGCTGTCCAGTCCCATTACACGGGGGCCGGCGAGGACGCAGGGAATGATGGTGCCCTGCCACTAATGGGCCAGCCGGTGGGCCCTACATGCCATTACAGATGTCCTTAGAAGAGTAGAAGTGGAAGCTTTGACACCAAAGAGACCACGTGAAGACACAGCAGAGACGGAAGGGGTGCCTGCAGCCACCAGGAGCTGAAAGAGGCAGGAAGGATCCTCCCGCAGAGCCTTCGGTGGGAGGGTGGCCTGCCACACCTTGATTTGGGACTTCTGGCTGGCAGAACGGGGAGAGCGTGGATTTCTGCTATTTTGAGCCTCCAGTCTGTGGCAATTTGTAACTGCAGCCCCAGGACACAAACACAGCTACTAAATCAGAATCTGAACTGGGACGAGACCCCCAGGTAATGCGACGCATGACATTTGGGAGGCTCTGGGCTAAATGCTGCCTGGAGCCCGAGTCATCTCTTGGCCCAGCAAGACCTGAGTCTGAACTCAACACTAATGAGCACACAGACCCCTTTATGTTCAAATGACCATGTGTTGCTCCTCTCCCTGCATCGGTCCTTTTAATCCTGCCACCCCACGGGAGCTGTCATACCATCACCCAGGCTGGGAAACTGAGGCTCAAAATGAAGTAACTTGTCCAAGAGCACCTCTCTAGCCAGTAGCTGGGTTGGGATTAGAACCTGGGGACTCTGGCTTATAGAACCTCTTAGCCATTGGACCAAGCCCGCTCTCCCACTGGGGCCTCTTGCTCACGGCTTTGAGGATGATAACGCCACCAATCTCGGCCCTGTGCTGTCTGCTCCGAGCACGCAGGTGGGATGGGGAAGCTGAACTTGGACGGCCAGGCTGAACTTGCTAGAAGAGACTGGGGTTCACTGTGAGAGCATGGGTGGACCTGGGTGGACCAGAGGCCATCTTTGCCCTGTGATTGTCGGATGGGATGCAGGTGGCCTGGGCACCAGAGGTGGCCGAGGGGAGGCAGCAGCACCACAGACACCCGTGGCCTGGGCCTATTTGGGGTCTGGGGACGTGTGGTCTGAGCCGGTGCTGGAGTCCTCAGCTCTCCCCAACTCTGCTTCCCTCAGCTGCCTCCTGTGGCACTGCCCAGACACTTGCCCACCTGAGGCCCAGGAGTGCTTGATTCCCGTGTCGAGGGTCAGTTCCCCTGAAGCCATGCTGGAGAGAGAGAGACGGGTGTGCCGGGGGTCTCCCAGGAGCCCTCTCAAACAGACCCCTGTGAGGGAGCACAGGAAGCTGGTCTGGGTGGGGGAGAAGCTGAGCTCTGGTGCAGTCGAAAGAGAGTACTCAGCTCATCTCCCAAGTGCGCAGAGCTACCCCGCGTCAGGGTGAGGGGCCCAAGACCTCCCAAGCCACACATCCTCCAGTCATGAGTCAACTTGAGCCAGGCTATTCTCTCCAGCCAAAGGCAGTTCTGGAGAGGGTTGGTCTGAGAGCCACCGTCGGCTGCCAGCACTCTCAGCAGGGGGAATCACATGCTTCAGTACTGCACGGGGAATCTGGCCCCGGGTCCACCCCACACACGGCCCTGATGCCAGCCCCGCTGGGATACCCCCACCCCACACTCCCTCCTTCATACTGGGAGATCCCGGTTCCTGGTCAGCAGAGGGGGCCTCGAATCCCCAGGGCGGAGGGCCAGGGCAGGTCTCGGGGTCACAGCTACTTCTCTGCCTGGATTTGGGGGTCAGTGACATTAATCACCACCGGCCCCCAAGGCCCTCCACATGCATGTCTAACCAGGCGTCTTGCCAAGCCTGTCTCTGGCAATTTCCTCCTGTTAATAACACTTCCATTCACCCCGTGCAGCAAATCCATCACCACCAGCCCCCTTGTGGCCCATATTTTTTACTTTTAATTATGATCAAATGTGGAATATTGAGTAGTTTGATGCATTTTAGGTGTCTACAGAGACTTCTTTTTAATAATGCAATTGCAGGGCTCTGATGGCTCGTAGCTGGAGTCATTACTTAAATATGTGTGCAGCCGGGGCTCCCGAGTAGGACGCTTTCCCCCAGCGAGGGGTGCTGTGCGGGGATTGGGGTGTTGGAGGCGGCACGGGAGTAATTACAAAGGCGAAAGTGTTCTCGGATCCCAGGGGTGAGCCCTGACCTCCACTAGTGTGGGAAGACTGCAGGTGGGTGCTTTCTGGCACCTTGTACCTGGATATCAAGCAACCCGCAGAGGCCACTGCGCATTCCCCCCCTCACCAGAGGGTCTCTTCCCAGGAAGAAGTGACTGGTAGCACACGGCCCCATAAACTCACCTTCTCTGACCAGGACACAGCCAGGGCGGAGGGGACTCAGGGTCAGGTGCGGGTCTGAGCCTCCCTCTGTCCTCCCTGAGATGAGGCGTCCTGTGGTCGGTGAGGGGCTGAATTGGATAGGCCCCACGTTGGTGGCAGTCTTCAGCCCGCCGGCCGCAGGTGCACTGTTCTGATGACCAGGCCGAGGGGGCTCGTCCAGAACATGGACTGGGATGGTTAATCTGGGGTTGGGGGTCTTCCTAGCTCTGGAGGAGATTCTTGGGGGATGCAGAAGTCAGAAGGTCATGTGGGGGTGCAAGGGTGTGACCTGTCAGAGCATCACCTCGGCTGAGATGACCCAGCCTCAGCGGGTCCCTTGTTCAGTCCATGGACATGGCGTGGCCATGGGAGAGGTGGGTTCCTGCAGCTGAAGGGGATCCTGATGGGCTGGGAGCCCTCGTCCTCCCTCAAGGGGGTCTCTAAGCTTCCCACAGACCACCCCTCACTCACTGGGGTCCAGTCAAAGAGCGACTTTCCAGGATCCCCAAGGGCCCCCTCCTGGAAGCTTCCGAGGATGCTGGGGGCCTCCACGGCCCCTGCCCACCTCTGTCCTTAGGGTCTCCCAATCCACCCTCCAGGCTCCATTCCCCCACCCCTAGCCAGCCCTTCTGCTGATGGGTGGCTCAGGCCCTCATCCCTGAGGGACCTTCTGGGTGGGGGTTACTGTCCCCATCCAGTTACAGTCACAGTCAGGCAAGAGAGCTGTAGGAGGTGCCCAGGGGGGTCAGCTGGCTCTACATGCATGTCCCGCCCCATGTGTGCCAGCAGCAACCCCCAATGGCTAGTGTCGGTCTCCCCAGCAAGATGTTGGCCCCCTTCTTGCCTGCTGGTGTCTGGAAAAAGGAGCCCAAAGGGCCCCAGCGACTACCATGGCTCAAAGCTGAACAGAACACTGGCTGTGTCCCTGTGAGAGTACAGCTGCTCTGGAGAACAGTATTCAACCCTGTTGAACCTGAGCCGTGGGGGTGGAAACACAGGTCCCCCAGTGGGTCGCTGGGAGTGAAGGGAGGTGCGGCCATTCCTGACTCCATCCATTGGGTCCAAGCCTGTGTGTCCCTCCCACTGGGAACACAGCACCACATCAAGGTCCTTGGGGGGTGGCACCACCTCTCATGGGTCATTGGTGTGCCCACCACTCTCCCAGGTGGTAAGCTCCAATGGGCCATATGCGATGGGAGCAGTGGCCCTGGGTAAGTGGTGCCCAGCCCAGGTCTGACGTGGCATTACATGGGGTCCCACGCCAAGCGAGCCAGCCACTCTGCATGGCCCCAGATAGTACTGCTGGCGGAGGCCCAGTAGCAGGAAAGGCAAACCCAGGCGTGGGATCCGCACCTGTCCCTGGAGAAAGCACCTCTGTCCTTCCAGGAGGAGAGCCCAGTGTAGTCATCCAGGAGCCGAGCAGCAGTGAAGCTTTGCCCGGCAGCCCTCCCAGAGGCGGCCTCCTACGGACCTGTGGCTGCGTCTCCAGACAGAGCTGCAGAGCTTCACAGACTCAGGGCCCGGCCGGCCAAGCCTTCACGCAGTCCACACATCCCTAGCCCGGGAGCCCCTGCTCAGAAGTCTCTTTACCTCCTCGGGGGAAGGCAGAGGGAGGGGAGCTGAGGACACTCAGCACCCAGGGCTTTCGCACCGCTAACACGTGTCCCTCTCTGTCCCACATCCCAAGTTCATACAATGACAGGAGCCTTTAGCTTGGGGCTCCCTTGGAAGCGAGGCAACCCCCACATCTGTGCTGATCCCCTGAATGTAGGCCTTTCTAGGTAGGAAAGTGGAATGGGGGAGGGGGGCCCAGGCTTTCTTTGCTGTGGCCTCTTGCTTATCCAATTGTAGTAAGAGAGTGCTATGGGCTAAACCGTGTTCTCTTAAATTCATAAGTTGACTCCCTGCCCCATGTGACTATTTGCGGATAAGACCTTTAAAGGGGTAACTAAGGTGAAAAGAGGTCCTGAGGCTGAGCCCTAATCCAATAGGACTGGGGTCCCCATGCCAAGAGGAAGAGACATCTGGGATGTACATGCACAGGGGAAAGGCCATGTGAGGACACAGCAAGAAGGTGGCTGTCTGCAGGCCAGACAGAGAGCCCTCACCAGAAACCACATCAGCTGACACCTTGATCTTGGACTTCCAGCCTGCAGAACTGTGAGAAGATAAGTTTCTGTTGCTTATGCCACCAGCCTGTGGTCTTGTGTCACCGCAGCCCCAGCAGACACCTGCAGTGATTAAAGCCTGGGCCATGACTCTCACCAGGGCTTGGTGCCTTCATTATCTACTCCAGTGAGCTGGCCCTCTCCAGCTCGGCCCAGCCCCTGGCAGTTCACCTGCCACCAAGTGGGCAGTTGTTCCCCAAGGAATGGAGCCATTTCCCGGGCTCAGCATGGTCTTTTTTGCTGGCAGGTTGGACACCTGGTGGCCACAGGAGCTGGGTCAGCCTGGCAGGTGGGAGCCCTCCTGTGGGGACGTGTGTAGTCTCCATCTCAGCCACCATGGTCCCTCCATCCTCATGCCCACTGTGTCAGTGCCAGGTGGCAGGTGACCAAAGCTGATGACGTCAACCAGCTGAGTCAGTTTGTCTCTGGCCGTTCAGTGGCCCCCTGTGGCTTTAACATGTGATACAGGATCTTCACTGCCTACGTCTGCCCACGCGTCTCTGTGCCAGACTCCTAGACTCCTCAGGGTGCTCCGGAGAAACACAATGAATAGGCGGTATAGACAGAGAGAGATTTATTATGAGGAATTGGTTCACACGATTATGGAGACTGAGAAGCCCAGCCATCGGCCATCGGCAAGCTGGAGGCCCGGAAGAGCCCACGGTGCAGTCCCAGCCCCAGTACAAAGGCTGAGAACCGGGGAAGTGGATGGTGTGGGCTCTAGTCAGAGTCAGAGTCCAAAGGCAGGAGAACACCAGAGTCCCAGCTGGAAGGCATCAGGCCCCAGGCAAGTCCTCCCTGGCACTGCCTTTTGTTCTATTCCGGCTCTCTATGGCCTCAATGAGGCCACCCACATTGGGGAGGTGTCTTCATCTGTTTGGACCGCTATGACAAAAATACCATAAACTGGGTGGCTTCTGGAAGACAAACATTTGTCACTGATAGTCCTGGAGGCTGGGGAGCCAAGCCCCAAAGCCCCCGCCGCCCCCAGGCCCTGGCCTTTCCCCACTGAGCGTTTGCCCTCTGTGCTGTCTTCCAAGGTGTCCCCTCGAGGGGGCCGTGGTGAGGGTGCCATCCGTGTTCAGTGTGCAGTGTGCACTCTCACGTCCATGACCCAGCTTGGGTCTGCCCTCCCTGTGTGGCCGTTCTGAAGGCCTGAGCTGAGGGAGTTGCCTGGTGCAATGGGCTGGGTGCTGCGGGTCCAGGGCCACCTACCCATGTCGCTCGATGGTGCCTCTGGGCCTGCTCATGGGTGGTCCTGGGCCCTTTCCTTCTCATGAGGGATTATTGCTAGACACATCCGGCCTTAGGACTGGGTAGGCCTGATGCCACCTATCTCCTGAAGAGATTTTCAGGCCACAGAGTCGCCTGATGTCCTGTGGTCGGGTGTTCTGTCCCTCCTAGGGCCCACTGGCATAGTAGGAGTTGTTTTCAGAGGCATTTATTTCCCTGCAGTCATAGGATGAGAACCCACATGTTCTCCCCCAAGGCCTGGCTGAAACTTTGCCCCACATCCTTTCCCACCACTGACACCTCCAACTCCACGGTGTCCTCCTGATCCCAGGGCCTGAGAAGCAGGGCTGCTAGCACTACAGAGCTTGACATGTTTTGGTCATGTCCCCACCCAAATCTCATCTCAAATTATAGCCCCCATAATTCCCACGTGTTGTGGGAGGGACCCGGTGGGAGATAACTGAATCATGGGGGCGGTTCTTTCCCGTGCTGTTCTCGTGATAGAGAATAAATCTCATGAGATTTGATGGTCTGATAATGGGGAGTTCCCCTGCACATGCTCTCTCTTGCCTGCCATCATGTAAGATGTGACTTGCTCCTCCTTGCCTTCCGCCATGATTGTGAGGCCTCCCCAGCCATGTGGAACTGTGAGTCCATTAAACCTCTTTCCTTTATAAATTACCCAGTCTTGGGAATGTCTCTATTAGCAGCATGAGAACGGACTAATACAGAGCCATTTCCTGCCCCATTCAAATCTGACAGCATCTGTGTTGCTCCCTCCATAGACGGAAGCTCCATCCCTGCCCATCGAATCTGCTGCTTCCAGAACCTGAAAACGCCCACCACACACTGTGCTTCTTTTGTGGCAGGAGGTGCAGATGCAATAATTTATCTGTGACTTTGGAGGACAAATCCCAGCACACATTTGACCACCAGACTCCTAAACATTTTCTAGTTGTGGCAGGTTCCCGATCTGCAAAGGGGCATTCTCCACCCTTGGGAGTGCATATGTCACACCAGGGCCTCCACCGTGCATGCTGCCTCCTGCTCGTCTGGCCCAACTGACATGATGTCAGCCTTGTTCTGGATCAATATGACACTCTGTGGGATGTGTATTATGTCAGAGGGCAGAAGAGTTAACATAGCCCTAGAAGAAAGTGTAAATCTATATTGTTGTCTGCTCCTGTGGAAGTGAACTCGTATCTGGGAGTGCCTCAGCAGGGGGTGCTGGCGGGCAGGCTCTGCTGGGCCCCTTTCCTCCTCCATCCGCCGCAGGGCCCCTCTCCTCCTCCATCCGCTGTAGGGCCCCTCTCCTCCTCCATCCCCCGCAGGGCACCTCTCCCCTTGGTCCCTACAGCAGTGCAGTTGGGCTTCTTGCATGGCTGCGAGAGCGAGAATTCCAAGAGGCCCAGGCAGAAGCACCGGGCACCAGCAGACCTGGCCTCGGAAGCCAGGCAGCCACACTTCCTCCATATTCTACTCATATGCTCATGGCAAGGAAGCCATGAGCGTGAAGCCGAGGAAGGCGGGTGGGGCTGAGTCCACCTCTCCGTGGGAAGACAGAGAATGTGCGGCCCTCACTAGATGACCGCAGGTAGCACAGCCAGGCCAGGGTCAGTGTATCTGTCCAGGTCACTGCTGAGTTAGGAGACCCCTCCCAAATCACAAGAGGCAGCCTGGCCATGGGCCTCCAGGCTGAGCCCCTCTCTGCCCTGGCGGCCCTCTCTTCCTGCAGGCTCATCAGTGTCCCTGCACGGCTGGGTGCCTCAGGGGTCTAAAGAGTAGTCAGTCTGTGTGTGGGGTCTCAGGGTGGGTCAGAGTGTGGCTCTGTAGACATGTCTGGGTCTGAGCTCCACACAGAGGCAGGAGGGCCCCCAACCACTCTGCAGAAACCGTGCGGAGTTCCTTCTTTTCTTTAAGGCTTGTGCTCAGGGCCACTCACAGTCCTGCTGGCGTCAGCAGCACCACCGTTCACTGCCCAGCCCAGCCTAGGCTCTCAGCACCCACATGTCTACTAGCACAGCAAGTTACACACTAACGGCCCTAAACTACGTCCCTGATTGATGGCTCTTTCCTTGAACAAAATCTGCCAGGCTCCCTGAAAACTCCTAACTTCCCTCTGCAAATCCAGCCATCACCCCTGCTAAACGACGCATGAGGGGGTGGGGGTGCCGTACCCACTTCTCGATCAGGGCTGGCAGCAGAAGGCCCCAAGCCCCTCCCACTCTTGTGTGCCCCCCGCTCTCCGACAACTTTAAAAAATAGGCAACCGACACCAGATGTAGAGCCCCAGGCAGGGTCCTCGTGGCCACGGCTGCCGGCAATTCGTGGACCCTGGAGGGGTCGGGCCTTTGCTGTCCCAGAAATGTTCACCATCGTTCGCCTTCCTCTTCTGGGAGATTGCTCTCCGGCCCCCACTATCTCCTAAACTTGGCCGCCCCTGGCCCCCAAGAGCACTGCCCATTCTTTGGTCCCATGTCCTTTTTTTTTTTTTTGAGACAGAGTCTCGCTCTGTCACCCAGGCTGGAGTGCAGTGTGGCACCATCTCGGCTCACTGCAACCTCCGCCTCCCAATTTCAAACAATTCTCCAGCCTCAGCCTCCCGAATACCTGGGATTACAGGCATGCGCCACCACGCCCGGCTAATTTTTATATTTTTAGTAGAGACAGGGTTTCCCATGTTGGCCAGGCTGGTCTCGAACTCCTGACCTCAAGTCATCCGCTTGCCTCAGCCTCCTTAAGTGCTGGGATTGCAGGCATGAGCCATCTTGCTCGGGCCCATGTCCTTCTTCTGCACTGGACGTGACCTCTTGGAGGCTGGTGGCTCCATGTGCCCCTGGAGTTGGGAATCACCATTTGAGCATTTCCTCTGAGACCCACCAGTGACAGTTTCCACGTGACCTGCACATTTAGAACCAGGATAGCTCACCCGATAGCTCACCTGTGCGGGGCTGCCTGGGGCTGGATTACTGGCTCTGCCCACACCTGCCCCCTGCACCTCCACACCTTGAAAGAGGACTTGAAGAGTCTGCTGGGAGTTTGGGAAAGTAACATGAGCTTTCCCTGAAGAAAAAGTTGCCCCCACAGCCAAGAGCAGGGAAGCAGTGCGCCTCCTGCCGCTGCAGGTCAAGGGAGGGGACCCCAGGGCTGGGGTGTCCCACCAGAGAGGGCAGCCCAAGGCAAGGAGCTGAGGCTGGACGGTTTGGGGCAGGGACACAAGCCAGCTCCTCCAGAGGGGGGCTGGGCTCTGGTCATCTTGAAAGAGACCCCTCCCATGAGGACCACTTGGAGTGACCAAGTGATCCAGGAGAAGGGCTGCGGCAGGTGGCCAGCCAGGAGGCTTCCCCCCGTCCAGGAAGCCACAGGCAAGAGAGCCTCAGAGATGGGGTCTCCCGCACCCGCACGAGGACCCTGCCTCAGTCCTTTTATGCGGCTCTAACAGAATGCCTGAGGCTGGGTAATTTACAGAGCAGAGGTGTGTTTCTCCCAGTTCTGGGGGCTGGGAGGCCAAAGTCCAGCCTCCAGCAGGCTCGGCATGCAGTGAGGGTGCTCTCCCTCTCCACACTCGCCCTGGGGATGATGTTTCCAGCACACGGATGTAGGGGGACACACCTGGGCATGGCAACCCCCCAGGAGCCGGCCACGCCCAGCAGCACCCGCACAGACACCTAGGCTCCCTCCCTGGGGACCCTTCCGCCCCTGCCTCTCCCTGACTCTGCTGAGGTGGGGGCAGGGTGGACATGGTTAGGGGGGCTGGAGAACAAGCTGACCAGGCCCCCCAGCCCCTCCCCACCTGAAGGGCCCTCCTGCGGGAAGGCAGGGCTTGACCTGGGCGAGTATGTGCAGACGGTCCCAGGGTTGGGAGGAGGACGAGGAGTGTGTGCTGAATGGGGACAGAGCATCAGTTTGGGAAGATGGAGAAGTTCTGGAGAAGGAGGCGGTCACGGCTGCACAGCCATGTGAATGTGCTTAGTGCTGCCGAGCTGCGCACTTGGTCAGGAATGGCTAGGAATGGTTAGGAATGGTTAGGAATGGTTAGGAATGGTTAGGAATGGCTAGGAATGGTTAGGAATGGCTAGGAATGGCTAGGAATGGCTAGGAATGGCTAGGAATGGTTAGGAATGGTTAGGAATGGCTAGGAATGGTTAGGAATGGCTAGGAATGGCTAGGAATGGTTAGGAATGGCTAGGAATGGCTAGGAATGGTTAGGAATGGCTAGGAATGGCTAGGAATGGCTAGGAATGGTTAGGAATGGCTAGGAATGGTTAGGAATGGTTAGGAATGGCTAGGAATGGTTAGGAATGGCTAGGAATGGTTACAAATGGCTAGGAATGGCTAGGAATGGCTAGGAATGGCTAGGAATGGTTAGGTGCACCTGTGGTCCCAGCTACTCAGGAGGCCGAGGCAGGCGGATCACATGAGCCCAGGAGGTCAAGGCTGCAGTGAGCCAAGATCCTGCCACTGCACTCCAGCCTGGGCGGCAGAGCAAGACCTTGTCTCAAAAAAAAAGAAATGGTTAGTATGGTGAATTATGTTGTGTCTTTTGCCACAGTAACGTGTTTATTTTTATCAGAACTTCTCTGCAGAGCATACACTGAGCGAGAGCAGCGCTCCTCTGCACAGGCCAGCACTGGCCACCGTGCACCCTCGTTCCATTTGTTTGCTCCTACGGTTTCCACATGAACAGAAGCCACACACATCATAAACCAGCAAAGCCACGCTGGCCAGGTGCTCCACGGGATGGGAAGGGGTACAGGTGACCAGATGGCTCGATGGACTCAGAGGCGGACATTGGGAGCGAGGTGGGGGCTGACCCCACTTTGGCCCACAGGTCAGTCTCAGGCTGGGGTCAGGTCTACCGTGTGCGACCTGGTGTGTGACTAAGCACTTGGAGAAGAAGCCAAAAAGATGATTTCTGGGGTGAGAGAGGATGGCAAGGGGCAATGAACAGGCGGAGTCTCGAGCTCTCTGTATGGCCCTCCACCCTCCCCGTGCCCACCCTGCGTCTGAGGGCTGAGCTGCAGTTCAGTGCAGCAGAACCAGCAAATCACTCCTGGTTGGTTGAGCCAGTGGGCTCCCAGGCCATTCATAAATGATGAGTGGTTGCCACAGCAACAGCCCCGGCCCATATTTCATCTCCTGGCAAGCTCTAGCAACGCTGCAGAAAACCAGACTGAAAAGGAAGGGGCCTCAGCCTCCCCACTCCGTGGTGGCAAGACCCACAGGGATCTGAGTGTGGGGCCCACATGGCCCAGGTGAGACCAGGGTTTGGTGGGAAGAGAGGGCTGGTTTGGGACAAGAAGAGTGGCTGTCAGCACAGTTTGGAGACTGAAGGTGGCCAAATTTCACTCTGGGCTTTGACCTGGTACAATGTGTGTTCCATTGCCCGTGTCCTGTGACCCCCTCCAAGCCTTAGTTTCTTCATCTATAAAATGGACAGAGAATTGTACCTGCCCCAGTGGGTTTTTTGAAAATGGAAAGTGATTGTGGCCGGGCATGGTGGCTCATGCCTGTAATCCCAGCACTTTGGGAGGCCAAGGTGGGTGGATCACGAGGTCAGGAGATGGAGACCATCCTGGCTAACATGGTGAAACCCCGTCTCTACTAAAAATACAAAAAATTAGCCAGGTGTGGTGGCGGACACCTGTAGTCCCAGCTACTCGGGAGGCTGAGGCAGGAAAATGGCGTGAACCCGGGAGGTGGAGCTTGCAGTGAGCCAAGATAGCGTCACTGTACTCTAGCCTGGGCGACAGAGCAAGACTCCATCTCAAAAAAAAAAAAAAAAAGAGAAAGAAAAAAAAAGAAAGTTATGGAATATGTAAAGTGAAGGCACCTGGAGTCATTCAGTAAATGTTACTTAATGTCATGACTGTTTGTAAAAACATGTAAATTATAAGAAAAAACATATTTTTTCTTTTACCCACATATTACCATTTCTGCTGGTCTTATTCTGTCTGGAGTAAGATCTGTTCCTATAAGAATAGGGTATTTTTGTTTTTTGTTTTGTTTTGTTTGAGACAGAATCTCACTCTGTCACCCAGGCTAGAGTACAGTGGCACAATCTCAGCTTACTGCAACCTCTGCGTGGTTCAAGCGATTCTCCTGCCTCAGCCAGCCAAGTATCTGGGATTATAGGCACCCACCACCGTGCCCGACCAATTTTTGTATTTTTAGTAGAGACGGGGTTTTGCAATATTGGCCAGGCTGGTCTCGAACTCCTGACCTCAGGTGATCCACCCGTCTCGGCCTCCCAAAGTGCTGGGATTACAGGTGTGAGCCACTGCACTCGGCCAAGAATAGGTCTTAAATATAAGAATACAAGAAGTGTTTTGGGCCAGGCGCAGTGGCTCACGCCCGTAATCCCAGCACTTTGGGAGACCAAGGTGGGTGGATCACCTAAGGCCAGGAATTCGATACCAGCCTGACCAACATGGAGAAACCCCATCTCTACTAAAAAAATACAAAAATTACCTGGGCGTGGTGGTGCGCATCTGTAATCCCAGCTGCTCGGGAGGCTGAGACAGGAGAATCGCTTGAACCCGAGAGGTGGAGGTTGCAGTGAGTCAAGATCAGGCCACTGCACTCCAGTCTGGGCAACAAAGCAAGACTCCATCTCAAACAACAACAATAATAATAATTTTAAAAAGAAAGGCGTTTTGATGGGGCGTGGATTCTAGATTGGCAGTTCTGTTTTGTGTTTCTTTCTGTGTGTTGAAGATCTTGCCCCTCCGTCCCCTTGCTTGTCTTGGTTGGGAAACCTGCTGCTGTCCTTGTTCCTCGGAATGTCACACGTCCTTTTCCTGTGACTCTTCTTAAAACTTTCTCTGTATCATTGGTTTTGGCAATTTGATGATCACGTGTTTTTGCAGGTTTTTTCATTCTTCTTGTGCTTGGGGTTCGCTGAGCTTCCCAGATCCCCAGGTCTGTGGTTTTTATCAAATCTGGAAATTCATCAGCCATTATTTTTGCAGATGTTTTATGCGCTCCTCTCTTCTCTCTCAGGGACCGCAGTGGAGCAGATCTTCGGCTGCTCCAACTCCGATGCACCGTTCAAATGTTTGAGGGTTTTTCTCTCCACGTTTCATTTGTAAACCAAAAATAAAATTCTAAGGCCCCCCAACCATCTGAATGGACTGCCTTCTTGGCCAGGACACTCTAAAATTTAACCTGAAAGACTGGTTCAGGCCTTGACCCTGGACGGGAAGTAGTGGTTGGGCTTTTGCCTCATTACACCCTCCAGCACAATCAATACAGACCTTAAGTCAGATAAAAAGCATTTAGGAGGCCGGGCACGGTGGCTCACCCATGTTATCCCAGCACGTTGGGAGGCTGAGGTGGACGGATCACCTGAGGTCAGGAGTTTGAGTCCAGCCCGGCCAACATGGTGAAACACCTTCTCTACTTAAAAAATACAAAAATTAACTGGGCGTGGTGGTGTGCACCTGTAATCCCAGCTACTTGGGAAGCTGAGGCAGGAGAACTGTTTGAACCCGGGAGGCGGAGGTTGCAGTGAGCTGAGATTGCACCATTGCACTCTAGCCTGGCAACAAGAGTGAAATTCCATCTCAAAAAAAAAAAAAAAAAGTGTTTAGGATCTATTCCCTCTGACACCTTTTTGCAAACTCACAAACCAATCTGCATGCACTCCCATTCTGAATCCATAAAAGGAGGCCTCATCTGCGAGATCAAACTTTGGTCTCTGCAACCTGTTATCATAGCCCAGATAACCCAGACATTCCTCTCTATAGATAGTAACTCTTCCAACCAATTGCCAGTCAGAAAATTTTTTAATCTACCTATCACTTGTAAGCACCGCCCTTTGAGTTGTCCCGCCTTTCCGGGCTGAACCAATGTGTTACCTTGTGTCTTTAAGAGCTGTGTCTCACATATTGAGTCTGGATTTGGGAGACGAGGGGATCACAGAGGCTTTGGGGCAGGTTCCCACCAAGACCATCATGTCTGAGTTCGACGTATGGGAACACGTAGCCACCAGAGCTGGCCCAAGCCCATGTCACCCCAGCAGCATCCCCATCTCCATTCTAAGGGGAGATGAGGACAACATGAAAACAGGGTGCCTCTCACGTCTCACACCCACCAGCTCTCGTCTTACAGCCTCAGCCTCATTGCTTACCACAGGACGGGCTAGTCCTCGCCTCCTGGTGCTCCTGAGAGTGTGGGTGCTACAGGCCCGCAGAGGCTCTTTGTGAGCTGGGGAAGGAGCAGTGGTCAGGCAAGCCCAGAGCTCAGGGGCTCCAGACCCATCAGGAGGATGGAGCCCCACAGGGGAGCTGGAAATGCCTCCTGAGCTCCAGCCACCCTGCCAATCAGGGACCAGGAGGCAGGTGTGGGAGCCCCAGAGAGAAGGAAGGGGAAAGTCTTCCCAGGCCCTGGGGCCTTGCAATTTGTACCTACTTCCTTCTCACTGTCATTACTGCATGCAGAATGACATGCAGGAGCTGGAGACCTGGAAGGATTAGGCCCAGCCTGGACTCTCCCGGGGTCCTGGCTGGCTCTACCTTCCTGCTGGGCCCGTGGCACTGGGCACCGTGGCGCCTTTTCTGGACAAGGGGCCTGGCAGCCTCTCTTTGGTACTCATCTTCTCTTGTCTCCTAGGCTTCCCTGAGACCCAGGAGAGACAAACCAAGCCACCGATCCACAGCCAATGGGCCTCTGTAATAAAAAAGGTACCAAGAGTCCATGAAATGTTTAAACACCGCGTTTAACTACTAACCAGTGAGGCAGAAGCCAGTACCTTCTGAGAAAGGATTTTCCAGATACTTTACAGATCAAAGCCATAGAATAAAATAAATATGACCAGAGAGGGCTGTGAGGAACAAGGAGTTCTGTCAAAGAAAGAGCTCATATGAAGAAGGAGGGGGGAAGAGCTGGAGGGGGCTGCTGGGAGCACGTCCACCCTGTGCCCCTTGCAGACGCTCCCCACAGCCCATGCAATCTTGGAGGGCGGAAAGGCCCCCGGGGGCCTCTTCTCCCCCACAGCTGGTCATAACCGTGTCCCGCCACTGACAGGCAGGGTTGTTCACGTCTTCAATTCCCAAATAAAAAAACTGAGATCCTGAGAGCTGCATGTGTCCGAGGTCCTCCAGGGTGGTATAGACAGGCCTGAGCCTGTGTGACTCCAAGCCCTGCTCCCCACTCAGCCCCGGGATTTTCCAGGGCGGTGGCCTCATCCTCCCTCAGTGGATTCAACCAAACACTCGTTGTCACAGCTGTTTGTCCAAATTCATGGCCCCTGAGTTTCTAGAAAAGCAGAGTACACACTGACCACAGAGTCGGTCTGATGCTGCCCTCCTCCTCCAGGAAGAAGCTCCAGAGGTGAGCTACGGACAGCCGTCCCCTGGGACCGTGGTTCCCAGGCAGGGCTGGGGCCCTGGCTGCTGCCTCCAGCCCCGGCAGCCGCATGGGCCTGCTGTTGTCTTCCTGAAGTTCTTAGCCTTTGGATGACAGGCCCACATTTCCACTGGGCACTGGACCCTGCTGGTTGTGCAGCTGGCCTCAGTCCCAGGACAGGAAAAGTTTCCCTGAGCCCCCTGCACCAACCCACACCCAACAAGGTGTCTCGTGGAAGGATTTTGCATCCTATTCTCACCACAAGGGCAGGACAAGAAATGAGGAAGGAGGTGGGCAGAGAGGCGGTGACCCACGGAGGGATGAGGTGGGGGAGAAACAGGGCAGTGCCTGGAGGGCCCTTGCTCCAGGGAAGGATGGGGCGCCACCAGTCTGGGGGGCAGGAGATACGGAAGATGGGACCTGTGAAGGCTCTGACCAGCCCGGATGGCATCAGGGCCCCTGGGGCTGAGCTCAGTGGTAGAGACCAGAGGACAGCATGCAGGTGCTCCTAACTAAGCTAGTGTGCACCAGACATGGTGTTGGGTGCAGGGGATGTGGAGAGGAGCCAAAGGAGGGGGCAGCCATGGGGGCAGGGTGGGGGTTCTCCAGGAAGGTGGAGCTGGCTGTGCCTTAAAGGGAAGGCAGGTGAGGGCACTAGGGCACAACCATGGCCAGAGGCGGCCACACCCAGCGTGCTCCATGGATTGTGCAGCTGGAACAGGTGTGTTGGGGGGTTGGGGGTCCCAAGAGGCAAGGCCAACAACCCGGGGTCTCAAATGCCAGCCTGAGCCATGGGGAATGTTCCAGCTTTGTGGCCACCATCGGCAGTTTTAGGCTGGAGAGGATGAAGGCAGGATGCTAGGGGCTTCGGCGTGGCAGTCGGGAGGGTGGGAATGTGGGGATCGAGCCAGGGGTCCTGCAGGATGTCAGGAGCTCATGCAGAGGATGAGGGAGAAGGTGGCAGCCCCGGGGGCCCACTGGACTAACCAACTCTCCAGCACTGTAGCTTGAACAGGTAACTTCCTCCTGGACGCCATGAAGTGCTCTGCCCAGTGTGGTGTGATCCAGAGGTAGGGGGACCCCTGCCCCTCAAAGAACCCCGTCAAAGTGGCTCAACCCTGATTCTGAGTTCCCGGGAAGCCTCAGGCCACATGGGTGTCTGAGCCCCACTTCTGTATGTGCCACTGGCACTGTACACAACATCGTACCCCAAGAGACAGACATCCACGCGACGCCCACTCCACACAACAAAGAGCATCGCCACGGACACCTGCGCCAGCTCCGCTCCTCCAGGCGGCTGCGCGAGGCTTCCCAAAGCAGGCACTCCTGCCTCGGGGCGCCGGGCAGACCCCGGGATGCCTGTGCTCTCGTTTCCCCAGGACTTCTTTATGCAACCTGAGTCTACCCCACGGTCTGCCACAGTCCAGTTCAAAGACCTACAGTCCAACCGCCGAAATGCACTCATCAAAGAAATCCTGGTCTTTATCTAGGCTTCTTTAAAAACACGAATCTACTTGATTCGTGGAGCACAGAGACTCCACAAAGTGCTTGGACTTTTCTGTTTCTTCTTGCACACCCCACATACGTTCCAGAGTCCCCTGCCCTCTGAAGCCACCAAAATCTCCCTCCCCGAGCCTGAGTCCCCGCCGCCCGCTCTCTCAGCCCCTTGGGCATTCGGCCTTGTGTGGTTTTGTGGCCTCTGTGCCTACATCCAGGTGCTTCGTGACACGAGTCCGAGAGACCAGCCCCACGCCAGCCTCTGGCATCCTGCCTCCTCCCCACCTCTCCTGCCCTCTCCCCACACCCCCTCACCCACCAGCAGCCAGACTACCAAGCCCAAAACTCCCCACAGAGGGCCATCCTGGGAGGGAAGGCTGGGGGTGCATGTGTTGGGAAATCTTGTCCCCAACGCATTGGAGGGTGTTGATTTTCCATTGTCCCACAGGGTCCCACTGTTCATGGCCAGTTCTCTGGCCCTGCCCTATCTCCTCTCAGGTACCCCTTAGAAATGGGACGATTCCATCCTGGAACAGCAAGACCACACGGGCCAGGAGTTCCAGCCTGGGAACAAGAGGAGCCTGGCCAGTGGAGGGGCCAGGAGTGGGCCACAGGGAGGACCTGTGGCCAACACAGCCTCCCTTCACGTCCCTCCACAAGGAAGGGGGAGAGCGGGATGCCGCCCTCCACCCCACGAGCTCTTCAGTAGGGAGGAGGGAGGTGTCCATGTGCTGGTGAGGCCTGGCTGGCCCCACTGCCCCAGCACCAGTGGGGTGAGCCTGTCCCGCCGCCCACCCACAGAGGCAGCATCCACAAGTTGGAGCCACATGGGCATAGCCAGGTCCTCGCCCAGGTCAACCAGACCCGGCCAGGGCAGTTAGGCCGGTGACTAATGGCCTTCCCTGCCGAGGCCCTTTGTGCTTCCTAGCTTTTCTAATGCAGCTGTGAGCCTGAGCCTCTAATTATCACCTTCAGTGATCTGCCAGGTCAGGCTGCCCTCCACGGAAGCTCCCAACTGCTCTGCTCTCATCCTGCCAGAGGCCAGAGCAGGAGCTTCTAAGAGCACAGACCTCCAGCGGTCAGGAGAAGCGAGGAAAAGAAGTGAGATAGCTTGAGTCAGGAGTCACCAGGTGCCCTGGGCATGGCCTGTCCTGCCTGACTCCCCAGCTCGGCAAAGTCCCCTTCTCCTCCCAGATGCCCGAGACCCTGTCTCCTGGTCCCCCTTCCCACCCAACCCCTCATCAGCCAGAAAAGGGGCCAGACCACAAAGGGGCCTCCCATGGCCCCTCCTGCCCACTGCTCTGGGACTGGCTGGGCCCCCTTCCAGCCCCCACACCCAACCTGGCCCCCGAGACTGTGCCCACCTTGCCTGCCTCAAGCCCTTAGGATGCCTGTCCCCCGTCTCCATCTGAATGCCTCCTGTGGAGTCTCTGATTTCAGCTGAGAAGCCGCCTACCCCCATGACTTGCCTGCACTCCAAGGGCACCCCACAGCCTCCGGGGCTCCCCCGTCTTTGTGGGGACCACCCTGCAGTGCAACTGTCCCATTTCTTCTCTGTCACCCACCCACTGTGAGCAGCAGTAGGTCAGCAGAGGGTCTGCTGTGCTCATAGCTATAGAGGGGCACCTACCTCTACCCCCAATGCCTGGGACACTTGGGCTGTCACAGAGGAGGGGGAGCTGCTGCCTCAAGTGGGCAGAGGCCGGGGATGCTCTTCAACCCCCAACAATGCACGGGCCGGCCCCTCACAAACAATGATGGTCCAGCCCCAAAGGGCAAGAGTGCCTCCGAGGAGACACCCAAGGCTGACTCCCCACAGGCACAGGGCCCGGCCCACGGTGGGACCTCAAGAGTGTGTACAGAGAACAACTGAGCCTCCAGCTTGTTAGCAGGTGCTCTGTTGAATGCCTTCCCAAAGCCGGGAGGGATGACATGTATCTTAACACACACACACACACACACACACACACACACACACACACACACACACACGAGCACTGTTTGCCAAAGTAAACAGCCTGGCAGGAGACACCATCGCTGCCTCCAGGGCACTGCCTTCCACCGTTCTGCCCAGGCCCACACCCCATGTGCTTAATCCCAGCCCAGTGTGGGTGGAAAGCACCCCCACAGGACACCAGTGCTTTCAACTCCGGAGCCCTGTGCCCTCCCACTGCACCGTCCCTGCTCCCTCGGAGGAGGGGTTGAAGCACACAGAACTTGAGGCCCCGTCCCAGCCCTGCCCCTGCAGGCTCTGCCATGTACACTCACTGAAACCTAGGCCCCAGTCTTCACTTCCAGGAGGCAGCAAGGGGCCCTGCCTTGCCCGTCCCAGGATGGACGGTCACAGGAACTGAACAAAACACTGGAGAAGCACCTCCCGAACTGTAAGGTGCTGTGCCCCTAGGAGGAGCGTCCCAGGTCCCACTGACCTCACCAGGCCACCCCTTCATCAGGATACCAGCCTGCTGGGCGCCTTGTGGGGCAGGAGCCCAAGGCCCACATGTGCATCTGCCCACTGTGCAGGGAGCATGACAGCCCACAGGCTCCAGCGTGTTCAGGGAAGGGAAGGAACCAGGCAGATGGCTCGTGGGCAGGCTGGCAGCACCACCCCCATATGGGCGGTCAACAAGGACATTTGTGCTGTCTCCTCCTCCCGTATCAAAAGACACCATGGGCAGAGCTAGTTTCACCCAGGAGACAAGGCCTCCAATATCTTGGCTTTGCTGTCTGTCCTCCAGGAAGCCCCACCCCTCCACATGACACAACCTCCTTGACCCTCTTAGCACTCAGTGCTGCTGTCAGCCAACCCTTCTCCATGTGGACGGATGCAGCCACTTTGCTTGTCTTTCACCCCAGCAGACTGTGGCTCTGTGAGGGCAGAAACTAGACCTGGCTCTTTCCCTTTGAATCTTTTCCTCCCAGCCCCCAGCTCTAGACTGGTGTGTTTGAGTTATTCCAGGGAAACATGTGCAGAAGGAGGGGATGCAATTGTGGATGGGTGGGTGGATGGATGGATGGATGGATAGAAAGGTGGGTGGATGCATGTATGCATGCACAAGTGAATGGATGCTTAGATGGATGGGTGGATGGATGGATGGATGGATGGATGGATGGATGGATGGATGGAAGGGTGGGTGGATGGATGGGTGGTGGATGGAAGGGTGGATGGATGAGTGG
Organism: Homo sapiens; assembly: GCF_000001405.40. Classification (NCBI taxonomy): domain Eukaryota; kingdom Metazoa; phylum Chordata; class Mammalia; order Primates; family Hominidae; genus Homo; species Homo sapiens. Next base: position 135,394,936 of record NC_000009.12, read on the forward strand.
ATGGATGGATAGAAAGGTGAGTGGATGCATGTATGCATGCAGAAGTGAATGGATGCTTGGATGGATGGAAGGGTGGGTGAATGAGGGGGTGGATGGGTGGTGGATGGATGGATGGATGGATGGTGGATGAATGGTGGATGGGTGGATGGAAGGGTGGATGGATGAGTGGGTGAAAGGGTAGATGGATGAGCAGTGGAAGGACAGACAGAAAGGTGGGTGGATGCATGTTTGCATGCACAAGTTAATGGATGCTTAGATTGATGCATGGATGGGTGGTGGATGGATGGATAGAAAGGTGGGTGGATGCGTGTACGCATGCACAGGTGAATGGATGGATGCATGGATGGGTGTGTGGATGGATGGGATGGAGAAGGGGTGAATGGACAGGTGGATGGTTGCTCAGAACATAAGCAGAGGGACTGTGTACTGTGCAGAGGAGCAAGAGGTACACAGAGGCAGGGTCTGGGCCTGGAGCCAAGACGGGAGGCCTAAGGACAACAAGCCCAGAGAAGCAAGACATGCGCCAAGCAGAGCCAAGAGCCAGGAGTAATTAAGCCTGCGTGCACAGCCCTGGAGCCCCAGCAGCCCTGTCTTCATTAAGATGCTGACCAGGGAAATCTCATCAGAGATAGAAATTCTGGCTTGAGCTGCTTCCAGCCCTGGCCCTGTCACCTTCCCCATAAAGTGTCTCCTAATTTGGCCAGAGCCCTGGGGCAACCCTGCCTGCAGAAAATCTCCAGGGTTGAAAAACCCCCTGAGCCCAGAGCAGGGTGGTGTTCCTGCCTGGTGTGACTCACTTGACCCTCTGAGGCCTCCACTTGTCCTCTCCCTTCACCAAGTAAAACTCAAGGACCCAAATGCCATTAATTCCAAAAATGTCCATCTCAGGGCTGCTCAGAGCCACCTTTGGCAGGCTTGGCCATCACCATAGCCCTGGCCACCTGGAGTTGGCAGGCTCCAGGACACATCACATGCCCCCACAAACCCTGCTCATTGAGCCCCACACAAGGCTGTTAGGCCTCCATCTCCTCAATTAAATGGATGGAGAAACTGAGGCTCAATGAGATAAGGAAACTGCCTTGGCCAAGAGTGCACAGCCCAGAGTGGCTGAGCCGACCCCAGACTCGGGCCTGCTGCAGGCAGCTGGGCAAGCTCCCTTTCACAAACGCAGTGACCTTGGGGTTACCTGCTGAGGCTTAACACACTGACCTGGGGGAACTTGAGTGTCCACCTGATGAAATTGGACACTCCCAGTCTCAGACCCTGAATGTGCCTGGGATCTGGGAGGTGGGAGAGGATCGGGGAGGTGGGAGAGAACGTTGAGGACCTGCCAGCACTCTGAGCCCACCCCCAGAAGCCTGTGGACACCTGGGACACACGGACTCCCCTAACACAGGGGTCCCCAAACCCCAGGCCACAGACAGGTACTGCTCCATGGGCTGTTAGGAACCAGCCCACACAGCAGGAGGTGAGTGGCGGCTGAGCGAGCATGACTGCCTGAGCTCCACTCCTGTCAGATCCACAGCAGCATTAGATTCTCGTGGGAGCAAGAACCCTATTGTGAACCATGCATGCAAGGGATGTAGGCTGTGCGTTCCTGATGAAAATCTAATGCCTGATGATCTGAGGTGAAACAAGCTCATCCCGAAATCACCCTCACCCTGTCCATGGAAAAATTGTCTTCCATGAAACCCATCCCTGGTGCCATAAATGTTGGGGACAGCTGCCTTAACATTCGCACACCTGGAAAGCAGGTGTGGTCATCACATTTTACAGGACAGGGCGCCACCAGAGGGGTGTCAGCACCTGGCAGAGAGTGAGACATAGACAGTGTCTGCAGGACTGAGGCTGGGAGGCACAAACCACCCCTCCCAACGCTCACCGCACTAGGAGTCAGAAGGGCTTCGCACCTGTCTCAGCTTGGATGCACTGTGTGACCCTAGGCAAGTCCCTTCCCCTCTCTGGACTGCATCCTCACCTTCTCACAGCAGGTGGAGTGCAGACCAGCCTCCCCAAGGCCCCTTAGAGCTCCGAGGGTGCAGAATTCTGTTCCTGGGCTGCCACGCATCTCCCCAAGGCCCATCCACTTCTGGAACTCTGAGCACCAGCCTGGGGTCCACAGGGACCACCCCCAGGACCCCCGTGTGCTCAGGAAGAACCAGGGCCTGTTTGTGGGAAAGGACCGTGAGATGCAGCCAGCAGATGATTTCTGTGCTTCGTGACCCAGTTTCTCCGGGGGGATTTCTGTGTCAAGTTGGAACAAATTAAAATTCATTTGTCTTCCTTTCGGGAGGAGAGCAGCCCAGCGGGGAAGTGCAGCGTGGCCTCTCCCAGTGCGCCCAGTGCCAAGGCAGTCTGCAGGAAGTGGCACACTGCTGGCGCAGGGACAGGGCAGGTACACAGGGCAGAGGCCGTGCCCATCCCAAGCCTGTGCCCTGAGCCAGAGCCCTGCTCCCAGCCCCTCCCAGAGAGGATCGTCCTCACTCGGTCCGCTGCAATGATGCCCCTGCATGAAAGAAGCTCCCTGCTCCCTCAGAGTGCCTCACCTGGGAGCCTCCTCTGGGCCTGGTGGAGCCCACAACCCAGCGAGGACCTGGCACAGTTGGCAATGTGAGTGGTGGCCCACGACGCAACTTGTGATTGTGGTTGTGGTGGAGTAACAACACCTCGTCCACACCTGCCCGTGGAATGCTGCAGGCCAGGCGCTGGGTCACACTCTTCACGCGGATTATCTCGTGTGACACCTGGCCCACACCCGTCCGTGGAATGCTGCAGGCCAGGCGCTCGGTTACACTCTTCACGCGGATTATCTCGTGTGACACCTGGCCCACACCCGCCTGTGGAATGCTCCAAGCCAGGCGCTGGGTTACACTCTTCACATGGATCATCTCGTGTGACACCTGGCCCCCACCCGCCTGTTGAATGCTGCAGGCCATGCGCTGGGTTACACTCTTCATGCGGATTATCTCATGTGACACCTGGCCCACACCCGTCCGTGGAATGCTGCAGGCCAGGCGCTGGGTCACACTCTTCACACGGATTATCTCGTGTGACACCTGGCCCACACCCGTCCGTGGAATGCTGCAGGCCAGGCGCTGGGTTACACTCTTCACGCGGATTATCTCGTGTGACACCTGGCCCACACCCATCTGTGGAATGCTGCAGGCCAGGCGCTGGATTACACTCTTCACGTGGATTATCTCGTGTGATTCTCACAGCAAATACATTATCATCCACATTCAGATAGGGATACTGAGGCACAGCACGGCAGACCACACCAGGAGCCGTAGAGGGGTTTTGTTTGTTCAAGAAATATTTTTGTGCACCTGCAACCAACTGTCCTGGGCTGGGGGCTGTAGTCAGATGGACAAGGCAGATGGTCCCCTGGGGCCAGGCTGTGCCGGGGGACAGGCAACCCAGGATGTGTACAAGTAGCTCCATGATTACAGTGGGGCCACAGTGGGAAATCCTGGGCGCTGGCAAAGCAGACGAGCCAGGGTCAAAGACAAGATCCCTGCACCCCATCCCGGACAGGCCAGGCTGTCTCGTCTGTCATGGAATGCGCCCCCACCACCGAGGATGGGGTCCTGGAGCCAGTCCTCAAAGGCAGGAGAGTGGATGTCGAGAGAAGGGAAGCCCACGGAGGCCAGGTGCAGCTGCTGGGAGAGGAGCTGTAGGTGGGGGACGCCTGCATGGAGGGACAGCCCCAAAGGCTCCCGTCTACAGCAGCCATGACTCTCACAACTTAGGACCCGGGGCACCCAGGGTCATCTTTACGAACTCACTCAGCCCACATTTCACTGAGGCCGACCTTGTGCCAGGCACCCTGCCAGGCAGGAAGGAGGTGCAGGACGTTGCTCAGAGCCCCCAGCGGCCACCCAGGCAGAGGAATGCGTGGGGATCTCGGGGAGCCCTGAGGAAGGGTACATCCTGTCCACAGCAAGGCCATAGGGTGGGGCCGGGTAGGGAAGCCACACTAGGCAGCTCTGGGTAGGCAGGAGCCATCCAGGCCGGGTGAGCGGGGACCACACTGGGGGTCCTGGGCCCGGGGAGCTGTGGGCTCTGGTGGAGACGGATGTGGTCAGAGTGAGGAGTTAGGGAGAGCACCTACTGCCTGAGGGAGCCGGAAGGGGACCATTTCAGGGTCCAGGCTAGAGTTGGGGGCAACATTGAGCAACGAGGGTGGAAAGAGGAGATGAGGCATACAGAGGGAGCAGCCGGGCCACCAGCTGTGGACGTGAGGGGCAGCAGCGCCCCCAGGCCAGCGTAGGGGCTCTGGGAGGAGAGATTTCCAGAGGAAGATGGGAGTTTTGGTCCCGCTGTGTGTGGGAGCCACTCGGGTGGCTCTGCAGGGGCGGGGCAAGATGCTAGGGTCTGAGGGTGGGTCTGGGAGAACAGCGAGCCTGGCAGAGCCATGGGAGACCAGGAGGGGCCTGCACAGCCTCAAAGTGCCAGCACCTGCCCTTGAGCCCAAGGCGATGGCCAGGGGGACTGAGGTTGGCCTTGGGCCTGTGTGGGCCCCGTGCCTTGCCCAGCTCCCAGCTCAGTCATGCAGCGTATGCTAGCAGTGCCTGTGTCCAGGCTTGGCGTGCAGATGCCCAGGGCACCCTGAGGGGGGCCCCAAGCTGCAGCAGGAGGCACAGATATCACACGGCTGTGCATGCAGGGTAGAGCGGACAGTGCGGGCATGTCCCCCCACCACAGACCAGGAAGCCACCAGGAGCAAGGCACAGGTCTATGCAGGCATGATGTGTGTCCTTGTCCCCAGCAGCATGGTCGGGCACAGAGCTGGGCACACTGGCCTGCTCAGGAGCATATGGCCGGTGGGGGCCTTGCCAGAGCTGGGTCCAGATGATGGGGCTGGAAGGACTTGCAGCCAGCAGGCTGGGGCCCCAAAGCAAGGATGGCCTGCACCACTGTGGGCTGGGAAGGGGGTGCTCTGGAAGCCCATGGAGGGAAGTGGGGGGGTCAGAGGAGGGGTGGGATCTTCCCTGTCATTGCCTGGACGTGACAGAGCAGGAGGCTGAGCAGCTGAGGAAGGGAAGAAGATAGGGTGGGTGGGGTCTGAGAGGGAGGAAGGGGCCCCAGGTGCCTGCAGACAGGGATGGAAAAGAGGGTGGGGTGAGACAAGCTCTGCTCCCCAGGGCATCGAGCTGGTGCAGAAGAAAGACCCCCAGGAAAGAGCCCTCGATGCCAGCTCCCCGGGTCCTGCTCCTCCAGCCTTCCCCCATCCATCCTCATGTCCGAGTTCCCATCCACCCACTCACAACTCTGACTTTCATGGTGAAGCCTCAGGATGCTCCTCTGAGTCCAGAAGAGCCCCCTCCCTGCATCCGCCTGGCTCATTTCCTCCTTCCTGCAGGAACATCACCCAGCAGAGCGGCTCCATCATCCGTGTAAAATAACCCCCAACCCAACCTGGCACCCCATCCCCAGCCTGCCTCAGTTTCCCTCCCAATCCTGCTCCTGCCCTTCCTGCATTTGTCATTCTCTCCCAGCGTGGACGTGAAAGAAGCCTCCGAGGGTGGGGACTCTTTCTCCCATGTTCTCTGCTGCCTGCCTGGACCTGCCACCCAACACTGGACAGGTACTTTTGGAAGGAAAGAATGAGTTACAGAAAGTGCCTCTCGTGGGGTCCGGGGTGGGGCAGTGGATAAATAAGCTTTCTCGTAAAAATACTGCTGTGAATCCTGCTTGGCGAGAGGCAGCCCACAGATGACGAAGAGGCAGCCCACAGATGCCTGCCTTGTGGATGCAAAGGGAGGCCGGCAGTTTTGCTGAGAAATGTTAGGAAAAGGTCCAACTGCTCCACCAGCGACTGAGGCAGGCCCAGCAAGACTGAGGATATGGATGTGAGTCTGATTACAGGCGACAAGTGGGGTCGCTCAGTGGATGCCAATGGCAGGGGGTGGTTCCAATGGACTTTGTCTAATTTCCTTTTTTTTTTTTTTTTTTTTTTTTTTTTTTGAGACAGAGTCTTTCTCTCTTGCCCTGGCTGGAGTGCAGTGGTGCATTCTCGGCTCACTGCAACCTCCACCTCCCAGGTTCAAGCAATTCTCCCAGGTTCAGCCTCCGAGTAGCTGGGATTACAGGCGCCCGCCACCACACCTGGCTAATTTTTGTATTTTTAGTAGAGACGGGGTTTTGCCATGTTGGCCAGGCTGGTCTCGAACTCCTGACCTCAAGTGATCCACCCACCTCAGCCTCCCAAAGTGCTGGGATTACAGGTGTGAGCCACCGCGCCCGACCTTAATTTCCTTATTTTTCACAGTAAAGGAGACGCACAATTCTGCCTTACTGTGCATCAGACAATCATGGGGTCACTTTTGACTCACTGAGGGATGGAAACTGGAAGGGGGTGAGTCGGGGCTGAGACACATGTTCCAGAAGAAATGCCCTTCTCTGCAGAAAGAGTGGGACCCTCGGGCTGTGTCGGGAAGACAGAGAGAGGAAAGCAGGTAGCTGTGCGGCCAATGAGCCAGTGGTCCCGGCAGCCCAGGGCGGCAGCAGCGGAGGGTGGCTCAGCTGCCCTTGGACACAGGATGTTTTTGGGGTTTCGTAGACTGACGCTGATGCCACTGATTCCATGCCTGGCGCTGCACTAAACTCTTCCAGTGCCAACGTGCTTCATCCTTTGCGATGACCCTATGGGGTGGGAACCGCCGCTACCCCATTCTGCAGACAAGGAAACAGAGAGAGTGGAGAAACTCTCCCTAGGTCACACAGCCTGTAAGTGGCAGGGCCAGGATTTGAGCCCAGAGAGTTCGGTCCCAGGGTCCACACCCTGAGCCATCACACTCCACATGGGTGTCCACCTGGCCTTGGCCAGAGGAAGGAGAAGACCCGAGCCAGCAACTCAAAAGGGTTCACTAATAAAAGTGATGAGACCAGGCGCAGTAGCTCACGCCTGTAATCCCAGCACTTTGGGAGGCTGAGGCGGGCAGATCACCTGAGGTCAGGAGATGGAGACCAGCCTGGCCAACATGGTGAAACGCCATCTCTACTAAAAAATCAAAAAAATTAGCCGAGTGTGGTGGCACATGCCTGTAATCCCAGCTACTCAGGAGGCTGAGGCAGGAGAATCGCTTAAACCTGTGAGGCGGAGGCTGCAGTGAGCTGAGATGGTGCCCTTGCACTCCAGCCTGGGCAACAAGAGCAAAACCCCACCTCAAAAACAAAAAGTGATGCTGCACCTGCTCCACACTGAGCCCAAGGGTGCAAAGTGCCCCCCTCTGATGACCCCTAACCATGATCCGCCTCACCCCCAGCTCTGCCTGGTCTCACCCCAGGACTTTTGCACTGCCATGGCCTCGGCCTGGGCCGCTGGCCCCAGATCTTCACGTGGCTGATCCCTGTGGTCATGACAGTGCCCTCCCCGGGAGCATGTGCCCAGCTGGCATGGCCAGCTCCCCCTTCCCTCCTGGAATTCTCTGCCTGATGTCTTCTCGGGGTTGCCTTAAGTTCCCTTTGCCCACCCTGCCTGCAGTTAGACGGTAAACTGTGTGGCAGGGTTCATGTCTGTCTTGTTCTCCACGGTCCCCAGAGCCTAGCATGTGGACTGGGGATGGGAGGATACCACGCCTTGCCAGTCTCCTCCTGTGGCTGGTGCACCTGCTGCTGCTACACCCTCTGTGCCACACGGTGGGTCCGAGCACGTCCTCTGAGCCAGGCGCTCCCTCGCCATGGGGAGTGCCTCTGGTTGCGCATTGCCTGTTGCACGTTGCAGGTTGCACATGGTAACTCCTGGGCTCACAGCAGCATCCCTAATCGACCTCTGTCTCCCACTCAAATGAGAATGCCCGTGTTTCTGACTCTGTGTTTGCCTTTAAGGAAATGGAACAGGGACACTCCTGGGCCCTGGAGCCGGCTGTGCTCTCTGGAAGGGGAGCAGCCAGGCATCAGGCCCACCCTCTCCCACCCTCCGTGCCTCCTCCAGCCTCCATCAGCCCTCAACACCGGCCACCGAGGGCCCTGGGGCCAGGGTGGAGACACATCATCTCTATTATTAATAATCAAATTTCCCCTGGATCCGTGCTCGCTCATTCCCAGGCCAACGACTGGGTGCTTTTGGCCCCATTCCTCCCTTAGTCCCCTCATCGCCTCCGAGATTAGACACAGTGGCCTGGCACACAGAAGCCGCTGCAGAGGGACTGAGGCTGCGGAACTCACACCCGGAGCCTGCGGCAGCCATGGCAGCAAATCTGGCCTTGGGGCCTCCAAGGGTCGGGTGCCCCTGGGCTCTTGCTGCTGGCTTCTTCGAGCCATGTTTTCTGTGCCCGGCCCCTCCTTCCCCTCCCGGCCACGTGCTGCCTGGGTGGCTCTAGGGAGCTGGCTGCTGCCCTCACGGAGACAAACAGTGATGATGTCACTGGGGAGACAGAGATGCCCACCGGCTACTTCACCTGTCGCTCCTACCAGGGGCTCTTCTGCAGACCGCTGTCCAGGCCGGCTCAGCCCCAGGCCTGCAGCACTTGGTCTTGATGACAGGACAGCCCTGGCCTCCCAGCCACGCCCCACTGCCTGCCACGGCCAGGGACCCCAGCACACTCTTGGCTGGACCCAGGGAACTGAGACAGAAGTGAGGCTGCCAGGAGCACCCCTGGAGGTGGCTGTAGCAAGAATCTGCCTGCAGCACGTGGGGACACCAGGGTCCCACACTCACCTCCCAACCCTCGCCCACAGGCACTAGCAGGCCCCCAACTCGGGGGCCCCACTCTGGGAGGACTGCGACCCTGACCAGTCCCTGAAGAAGAGACCTCAACTTCAGGCCAGCATGAGATGCCTCATCCCCAGGCTCTCTGGTTCTTGGTGCGTATCTTCAGTCTCCTTCCAGCAGCTTCTGAGACACAGCCATCCTGGGATTCGTCGTGGAAAGAGGGCTGGTCAAGGGCGGGGTCTGGCCTGGAGCTAGGGAAGAAGTTATAGGAAGGTGTGGCCAACGTGGGCCCAAGGTGCCACCTGGGGTAGGGAGGAGACGGCCCCACCCCTCTCCTCCTGCCCTGAGGGAGGGTCAGCCTGCTCGGTGTGGACCAGCTCCTGGGCGGGTGGGGATTGACATTGGCTTTGAGGCTGCTGCGTTGGAGAGCCCTGTGGTCTGGGGCTCCTGGAGCTTGGACAGAGACACACCTGGCGTTTGGCCAAGTGTGGAATTGGATTTGTTTCTGCCTTTATCAGTTAGCAAGGCAGTTGGTTATGGAGTGGGGGCTCCCTGGGGGCTGCATGGAGCAGCTGTAGCCGACAGCTGGATATGGCTTTTCTGGGTACCAGAGAACTGGAAAAACTGGACATTGGCCCAACCTGGGCAAAGGCCAACCTTGGGTACCTGTGTGAATCCTGGCAAGGGCTGGTGGCCTCTGGACTTCTGGGCCAGCCCCTGGAATCCATCCAGCTGCCTATGGGTCAGGACACTGCCCAGCAGCCTCTGGGATGGTGGCCTTTGGAGGTGGCAGGACTTGTGGCCAGGAATGGCCTGTGGCCTGAGACTTATACCAGGGCAGAGTCAGACCCCTCTGGGGGACAACGAGATTTCCTTACCGCGTGCGTCAGTCTCCCCAGAAAAACACAACCAGAAGGATGTGGACACACAGAGAAAGAGGCTTCCGAGAGGGAGCTGGCTCCTGTGATCACGGCGGCTGGCCGGTCCCAAGGTTTGTAGCCAGCAGGCAGGAGGCCCAGGCAGGAGGCCCAGGCAGGAGGCCCAGGCAGGCTGATGTGTATTTGCAGCCCGAATCCAAAGGCCAGCAGGCTCAAGATCCAGGAGGAGCCAACACCCTCCACTCCCTGGGGATTTGTGTCCTCAAGAGCTTCCCTTCTGCAGGGGTTGGTCCTGTCCGACTCCAAAATCCATGCTGTGTGGCCTTGGATTCCACTTCTCCCGGCCTGGCCCCAGCCTAAGCCCAGGCCTGGACCTGTGAGAGTCCCCATCTCAAACTCAGGCCAGCGAGGGCTGAGATGTGACCTCTGACTCCTGGTAACTTCTCAAAAACCTGTGGAAGAGGGCGGTGGCAGCAGGGATTCAAACGACAGTGATCAGCTGATGGACGGGAGGGGCGCCGCGCAGGAAGCACGCTAGGACCCGCCTCTGGGAACACTTGCCACTCCTCCTACCCCTTGTCCCCCAGGAAGACGAGCTCATCCACCACACGCCAGGAGTGGGGACCTGCCATGACGGACAAACATCTCCCAGAGATGAAGGGTGGGTGGGACACCAGGTGGCATTTCCGGAAGGGCCCCTTCAGGGGTCTGCCCACAGAATATCCCCCAGTCCAGATGAATCTGAGGACCACCCCATGCTCAGCCCCTCTCAGCATCTCCCAGTGCTCAGGAAGGCACAGTGCGTGGGAAGCCTCTCTCCGAGAAGGATGATAAACGTCATCTGAAATCGGAGTTCCGGGCCGGGCACAGTGGCTCACGCCTGTCATCTCAGCACTTTGGGAGGCTGAGGCGGGCGGATCACCTGAAGTCGGGAGATCGAGACCATCCTGGCCAACATGGTGAAACCCTGTCTCTACTAAAATACAAAAAATTAGCCGGGCATGGTGGCAGATGCCTGTAATCCCAGCTACTCGGGAACCTGAGGCAGGAGAATCGCTTGAACCCGGGAGGCGGAGGTTGCAGTGAGCTGAGATCGCGCCACTGAACTCCAGCCTGGCGACAGAGAAAGACTCCATCTCAAAAAAAAAAAAAAGAAAGAAAGAAAAGAAATCAGCATTCCCGACATTACTTGACTGGAATTCTTTTTCCTCATGTCACATGTATTATCATCCCACAGAATGAGTATTCCAAGGGGCACATCCAGGAAATTCTGCCAAAATCTGCCTCCAAGCCAGTCACAGACCTGACCTTTGCGTGCTGAGATGTCCTGTGACATCCTTGTTCCCTCCCCGCACCCCCGCCCCACGTTCAGCCCAGGAAAGAACCAAGTTCTGACACTTCCAACTCAGCATCTACTTTCTCGGGCAGCCTCTTTGGGTCAGGAAATCGTTAAACCAACGAAGCTGCTTGCACCCTGTCCACAAACAGGTCAAAACCAGAGGCCCTACAAAGTGGACTTTCCATAACACCAGCGGCTGGCAGCCTTCCATCAAGCTAGTGCCAGGAGGGAGAAACTGGGAATGATTGTCTCTTAGACTGAATGGGGCCTGAGAAATTCCATGAAAACCATTTTAAACTTGAACTTCACCCAAAGTTTCCTGCATGGTCATTCCTGTCGCATAAGCTGGTGCTTAGAAAACGCCTGGAGCTGGAGGAAGCAGGTAGGGATCACCAGCTCACGTGTGGCCACAGCCAGCCCTGTCCCCGCACCTGGCATACACAGCTGTGGGCCCTGAGTTACATCCTGGGAAAGAAAGACATCACGGGGCAACCAGGCAGTGGGACGGTTGCTATTTCCTTCTATATTGCCCTGTGCCGAATTCTTCTCTCTAAGCAGGTGTTAGGTTTGCCAGGGATGGAGTCAGGGGTCTCCATTTGCTATCTGGACTTAGGGGCTCTGAAGCAGATGAAGCAGACCCCAGGGCCCACGACACACCCGCATCACTCCTTCACACATGGCCGCTTGATTATACTTATGAATTTGTCTGTGCACTCATTTGTGTATCATTAATAAAATGGGCCAGGCACACTGGCTCAAGCCCTGTAATCCCAACACTTTGGGAAGCCAAGGAGGGAGGATCCCTTGAGCCCAGGAGTTCAAGACCAACCTGGGCAACATAGCAAGACCCCATCTCTACAAAAAAAAATGGAAAAATAAAAATTAGCCAGAAGTGGTGGTGCACGTCTGTTGTCCCAGCTAGTTGGGAGGCTGAAGTGGGAGAATCTTTTGAGCCCAGGAGGTCAAGGCTACAGTGAGCAGTGATTGCACCACTGTACTCCATCCTGGGCAACAGAGCAAGACCCTGTCTCAAATAGTAATTAATAATAATAATAAAATGAATACCCCTATGCCCCAAACCCAAGAATGAAAGCATTAACTGTGCATTCTCTCCTATCCCATCCTCCTGCCTTCCCCACCACCCCAGAGCAAACACAAGCCTGAATTCCATGCTTATTGGATTCCTTTGACTTTCATTTTATTGCATTTAAATGTGTACTTAAGTCCCACATTGTTTCATTTCAGTTGTTTTTCTACTGATCCTGCTGTATGTTGCATTTGGAGCTTGACTTTTCTGCTGTCACAGACTTGAACTCCAGAGCATCTGTGCCCACAGCACATCCATGCTGTGTACTACTCTGCAGCGTGAATACACCTGCCCACCTTCTACCGGCGTACTTTGGGGCATCTCTGGCATTTGCACAATCTGTGTCCTGGGGTACGTTGGGCTTTGGAGCCTGTGGATGTTGAACTTTACAAATGAGCCTAATTTTTTCCAAAACAACTGCTCAAATTTACCCTTCATATATAACAGGAGGTCCTAAAGACCCCAGTCCCATCCATCACTCAGTGTGACTGTGGGATCTAAGATGAAGTTGCCCTGCACCTGGAGACCCAGGTGAACTTTACAAATGAGCCCAAATTTTTCCAAAGCAACTGCTCAAATTTACCCTTCATACAGAACAGGAAGTCCTAAAGACTCCACTCCCATCCATCACTCAGTGTGACTGTCGGATCTAAGATGGAGTTGCCCTGCACCTGGAGACCCACAGTGGGGTCTCCTCATTTGGCTTCCTGATCCCTGCCAAGGCTGAGCCCCTCTGGGGTGCTATCAGGCATCCAGCTTCTCTCTTATGTGAGATGCCTGCTCATTTATTTCGCCATTTGCTACTGGGTTGTATGTCATTTTCTCACTGATCTGCAAATGCTCTTTATATATGCAGGCTACTAATCCTTTGTCAATTATTAATATTTATGATGAGAATACTTTCTCTCAGTTCATAGCTTGTCTTTTTGTTCTTTTGAATTTGTCTCCAGTGAATAGAACTTCTTAATTTCAATATCTTCACGTTGAAACATCTCCCTTTTATAGTTAGAGATTATGTATTTTATTTTTAAAATCTTACCCACCCTCACCCAGCAGTTCAGTAGAGGATGGGACACTAAGAGAGAAAAGCAAGAATCCTACAGACCATGAGCATCATGGCAGGGAGTGGGCTGGGGAGATCCTGAGATGCTCCAGAGTCAAGTGAGTGCGCTGAGCACTGAAGGAGCTTGGACCTCGTCCTCTGGGCTAAGAGCAGGTGGCTCAGGAGAAGTTCACATAGAGCAAGGTGTCCAATGCCCCAGCAGGAGAACAGTGTCAGGGAGAGGCCCTTCCAATGCATTGCGAAAACCCCCACTCATTGCAAAAAAACCCCACTGAAAGCAAAAGGAATATTTGCTTCCGAGAATCATGAAAGGCCCCAGCCAGTGCAATTGGCTGCCTGGCCACTTCCACCTCTGTCCTCCTGGCCATTCTGGGGTTCAGGCTGATGCTCCTCAAGGCTACAAAACAACTGCCACAGCCCCAGGAATCCCACCCAGACCCAGCAATGCCCAGCAAAAGAAGGAGAGACTCTTCCTGGAATCTCTTTGAAAAACAAGAAAGCCTTCCCTAGAAGCTGCTGTTATCAACTGGCTTCAGACCCCTCCCGCAGAACCGCCTCACATGCCGTGCCTAAACCAGCTCCAAGCTGGGAAGGTAAGACTCCAAGGTGCGCTGGATTCATCCGCTTGGGGGTCACTAACCCTGGGAATGAAGATCCACTCACACCCCAAGTTTGTTACCAAGGAAGAGGGGTTGTGGTGACTGAGTGTAGGTGCCACCCGTGTCTGCCACCAGAAGCTGAGCTGAGTGAATGCCTGGGTCTGGTGGCTTTCTCCACCACCACTGCCGAGTCCCGTACGTCCTGTGCAACACAGGGAAGAGGAAGGGTGATAGTTCACAGGCACCAGCACTTTTACAGGTGTTCATTCATTACACCATTCTCCATCTGAGGAAACTGGGACCCAGAGAGGTTGAGCAACGTAGTCAAAGTCACACAGCTGATAAGTCATAGAACTGATATTCAAGGCCCAGCTCTGCAGCCCCAGACATTGTGCTATGCCACCTAAACCAGCCAGAAGAACATCCTGGGAAGGGTGCAAAGGAAGCTGGCGGTGGGCCAGCAGGTGTGAAGGGGCCCAGGGCTGGGAGGAAGATGAAGACACAAAGTGACCCGAGTGGGGCTGCTGCCCCGGGGCCCTCTGCCTTCTCCAGCATATGGGGCAACGGATGAATAACATCTCAGCAGAGGCCCTGAGGACTGAGGACTGACCTGCCACTATGTCAAGACCTGAAGTCCCCAGGGCCCCCAGGATCTGCCCACCCCAGGAGAAGGGGGAAGGGGGACAGGGGAAGAATCCATGTCTCCCAAAAGTGGGCCAAGAAACGTCCTAAAGTGACTGAATCATCATGAATAGGCAAGATGACGTTTTCCACCATCCATGGACATGGTGGCTTGAGAGTCTGGTCCATCCGCAGGGAGATGAAAGGGCTTCCCTTGCCCCCTTGACATCCACACCTGCTCCCTGCATGAGGCCCAGTGCCTGCCGAGGGCTCTCGTGCCCCCAAGGGGATTCCAGCTGCCATCGCCATTGCTCGTGGGACTGCGGGTGGAACGGGTGGGTTCATGGAGACACCTGGGAAGAGCTTCGCAGGGTTTGTTCAAATGGTGGAGTGTGTGAGCTCCTCACCACTGAGCCCGAGGGGCAGGCGTCCGGCTCTTGCTTCCTCCCAGGCCCACTTCCTGACCTGTGGCGGGAAGGGCCCTGACAGAGGGATGCCGAGGGTCTATGTCTCCCACATATGATGGGAGCAGGGCGCACAGGCACAGGCCGGGGCTGACAGACAGAGTGGCTGGCACAGCCACAGTCGCATGGTTCTGAGCAGGGCAGGAGGCCCAGGACTGAGCCAAGCACAGACACCCACCCTCAGACCCCATGGCCGTCCAGCCCTGCCCCGGCTGTTTAGGCTGAGCGGCCACCCCGAGGCCCACCACCCATAAGTAAGTCTCTGCCCCTTCCAGACTGACTGACCAACTCCCACACTGCAGGGCACGAGGCTTGGCTTCCCAGGGAGCTGCCAAAGCAGGGAGTCAATTCCCGCGGGGTGAGTTCTGACCCACAGGACACAGGACCGAGCAGAGGGCAGACTGCCCCGCCTCTCTGGGACGGATGGTTCCAGGGGTTCCAGGCCGTGTGGGGACGCCTGCTGAGCCACCACCTCTATCCCACACACACACTGGCCTCCCCACCCCGCTGCTTCACTCCCTTCCCCCTCACTCTCACTCTCCTGGGACCACACTTCTGGTTCTGGGCTGAATCTAGGTTGGCACCCTGTCCCCCAGCAGCTCAGAATGTGGCTGCGTTTGGGGACAGGATTTTTACAGAGGTCATTAAGGTACAATGAGGTGATTTTGGGTGGGCCCTAATCCCACAGGACTGGGGAGCTCATAACAAGAAGAGATGAAGACACAGACACTCAGAGGAATGATCTTGTGAGGACACAGGAGGAAGACAGCCTCCGCAAGCCAAGGTGAGGAGACTCCAGAGAAACCAGCCCTGCCCACCAGCACCTTGATTCGGGACTTCCAGCCTCCAGGACTGCAAGAATAAATGTGTGTTGTTTGAGCCCCAGCCTGGGGTTATTTTGGTGTGGCCGCCCGAGCTGACTCACAGCCCCCAGTGAGACCCCAACTCCAGCTGTTCCCTAAGAAACCCAGGCTCCCCGAGTGGCACCCACAAAGCCCCAGGCATTGCCCTCCTCGCTGCAGCAGCTCTGGAAAACCCTGTGGATCCAGGAAGAGGCAGGCCCTTCAGAGCCCAGGGTCTCCCTTCCCTCCCCTGGAGAGCAGCAGGTCCCAAGGGTCTCGAAATCTAGCTTCTGAGGTGACCGAGGACTGAAAGGGATGATGTGGTGAAGGCTGAGCCCAGGTCTGGCACATCTTAGGTGGGCAACAGATTTTAGCTAAAATTATTCTTATTATCAGTATTAATGTCTCTCTGTTCCTCACCTGGGTCTTCTCCTAGACTGAAAGCCTACCCAGGGCAGGGCGAACCTCAGGAAGCTTGTAAGTCCAGAGCCAAGCTCACTGGGTGCACCACAGCCCGGGCTGCAGCTGCGGCAGGCCCTGCCTGCAGCCGCCTGTGGCCTCCATGGACAGACGGCCCTGGTGACCCCCACCTGAAAACCAAACTGAAACCTGGAGGAGGGGCTGCCCGGTGCACCGATTTCAAGGAGCAGTTCCAGAGTCGGCCTCTGGTCACCAGGGGTTGGTGCGTTCCTTCCTTCCCCAAGACACCCATGTGGGAGGTCAGGTGGGAGTCAGGGAATCAGGGAAATACTGTGGGACCCCAAGCCAGCTGAGCCCTGGGAGCACCAACGGGAAACGCCAACGAGTGCTGAGCCCTCCCGGCACGATCCAGGAAACCCTCTCAGCTCCACCAGGCGGTGAAACACCACCTCTGCGAATCTGCGTTCCGGGGCCTGGGGCTGTCCAGCGGAAACACAGCTCAGCCACATTTAAGGAGGCAAAAAAAAAAAAAAAGCAGCGGAAATTCATCCTGGTAATGTATTTTTGTTAAACCCAATATACTCAAATATAAAGAATTATTAATGAGATTTTTTTGCATTTGTTTTTCTACTAAGTCTTCAAAATAGGACCTGGTCTTTATACCAGAACACCACATCCCAGGGCAGACCAGCCCCATTTCCAGTGGCAATACCCCTCCCACACAGGGTGGATCGATAAAAATAAGAAAACTGTGAAAGCACTTTTTTTTTTTGACAGGGTCTCATTCTGTCACCCAGGCTGGGGTGCAGTGGCACACTCACAGCTCACTGCAGCCTCCACTTCCCAAGCTCGGGTGATCTTCCCACCTCAGCCTCCCAAGTAGCTGGGACTGCAGGTCTTCGCCATCACACCCGGCTTGCCTATTTATTTATTTATTTATTTATTTATTTATTTAATTTATTTATTTATTGAGATGTGGATCTCACTATGTTGCCCAGGCTGGTCTCAAACTCCTGGACACAAGTGACCCTCCCTCCTTGGCCTCCCAAAGCGCTGGGATTACAGGTGTGAGCCACCGCGTCTGGCCTGACAGAACTTTTTTTTTTTTTTTTTTGAGATGGAGTCTTGCTCTGTCCCCCAGGCTGGAGTGCAATGGCACAATCTCAGCTCACTGCAACCTCTGCCTCCTGGGTTCAGGCGAGTCTCCTGCCTCATCCTCTCGAGTAGCTGGGATTACAGGTGCCCGCCACCACGCCCGACTAATTTTTGTATTTTTAGTAGAGACGGGTTTTCATCATGTTGGCCAGCATGGTCTCGAACTCCTGACCTCAAGTGATGCACTCACCTCGGCCTCCCAAAGTGCTGGGATTACAGGCGTGAGGCACCGTGCCTGGCCTCTGAATGCACTTTTTTCCAAAAAGAAGCCATAGGTCAGCGCAGATGTTCTCACTCATTGGTGGGAATTGAACAATGAGAACACATGGACACAGGGAGGGGAACATCACACTCCGGGGCCTGTTGTGGGGTGGGGGGAGAGGGGAGGGATAACATTAGGAGATATACCTAATGCTAAATGACGAGTTAATGGGTGCAGCACACCAGCATGGCACATGTATACATATGTAACAAACCTGCACGTTGTACACATGTACCCTAGAACTTGAAGTATAATAATAATAAAATTAAAAAAAGAAAGAACGGGGAAGCTTCCAGGCCTTCGCGAGCCCAGCGCAGCCTCCCGGGCCGGGCGAGGGGTTTGCGGCTGATTCTCCGCGCGTCTCAGCCTGACCCACCGGCTCCCCGCCGCTCCGGGAAGCGCGCGCTCGCCCCCTGCTGGACGCTCGCGGCCCTGCGCCCAGCGCGTTCGGTGGAGGGACCCTGGCACCCAGCGGGCGGAGCCGGCATTTCTGCAGGAAGGAGCCAGGTGGACGCCGGAAAACCCAGGCACCAAGATGAAAACACGTAATACACCTGGTGTTCAGATCCGAAGTAATGCAGGAATATCCGCGGGGCACAAAGTGTCAGATGCTAAAAGCAGCTCTGAATGGTGGGGTGGGGTCCTTCTCGGCTGTGGGGAAACTGAGGTAATTTGACTGACTCAGCTGCCCGAGGTTCTTTCTGGAAGATTCTTTCTCAGTCAGCGCAGACTGCCACAACAAAACGCCACAGACCAGGGCCTTAAACATTCAGTTCTGACCGTTCTGGAGGCCGGGAGGTCCTAGATGAAGGGGCCAGCTGGTTCCAGGTCTGGTGAGACCCACGATTGCAGACTCACGGCTGCCCCACTGCGTCCTCACGCAGCCTTTCCCGGGATGCGCAGGGGGAGAGCTCTGGCCTCCCCTCCTCTTCCGAGAAGGTCATTAACGCTGTCAGATCGGGGCCCACCCTTACAACCTCACTGAGCTGCATCACCTCCAAAGGCCCTGTCTCCAAATAGCCACACAGGGTCTGGGAGCCAAGGTCTGAACCCGGGGACATAATTCACTCCACAGCACAGGGACCTAAATACATGAAGCCACTGGCGCAGACCTGGTGGTGCAGTCGCTGGAGAGGTGGCTGGTTCCCCAGAACCCCCGCTAGAGCTGCCCGGCAGCCTCCAACCCCACGCAGGTCGGGAGGTCTGCGGCCCGGCTCCCACGCTGCACCGGGACTGCCTGCCTGATCCGAGAGGCCCCTGCGTTGCACAGCAGGCTTCACTGCCTCTCTTAGGGGACAGGCCACAGGGCCACCCGGCGTGGCCACCTCCAGCCCACAGGGTCCAGCCGGATTCGGGGATGACAGTGACCCCTCCCCACGGAGGGCCTTCTGCTTCCAGAAGAAGGGTCCTTGAAGAGGCCCTTGCAGGGCCTCTAAGCTCACGGATGCTTTATCCCCACGACTCCCCATAGAGGGGCCTGCGGTCACCCAGGGGCCAACAGGAGCCATGGGCAGCCTCTGTCCACACCCAGCTGAGGCCCTGCCCCATGGGTTGGAAGATGGACGGGAATCATTGGTTCCTTCCGGCACGTCCATCCACACAAAACTGATTCCTTTGGAGATTTTGCAAAAGGTTCTAGTCTTTCCTCAAAAAAGTGCGCCGGGGGTTGTGGTGAGGATTCTGTTCCTCTTTCTCTTTTAAACAAGGCAGAGACGTCCCCCTTCATAGCCATCCCCTACGCTGACCAGTGGTTTCTCATTAAAAAATGAAAAGTGCTTTCCCCAAAGAACTGAAAACAGGCATTCCAGCAAAAACCTGCACACACATGTTCCTGGCAGCATTGTTCACAATGCCCCTGCAAATGTCCATCCACAGAGCAATGTGGTCACAGCGTGTGGTCCATCCATACAGTGGGATATTACTCAGCCAGAAAAGAAAGGAAATTCTGGGCCATGAAAACATTACGCTAAGTGGAAGAGGCCGGTTACAAGAGGACACACGTGGTGTGATTCCTTTTCCACGACATGTGAGGAGTGAACAAATCCACGGAGACAGAGGGAACAGAGCTTCCCGGGGCTGTGGGGGCCAGGAGTGGGGAGCCACTGCCTCATAGGGACGGGGCTTCGGCCTGGAGGCCTGAAAACGTCCTGAAACTAGCTGGAGGTCGTGGTTACGCAACACCATGAATGTCTAAACACCCCCAAGCTGTGCACCTGAAAATGATTCATCCAATCATCCACTTTAAATACGTGCGGTTCTCAGACATCGGTTCTACCTCAATAAAGTGGTCTGTAAAAACAGTTAATTTTATGTTATGTGGACTTTACCCCAATTTTTTAAAACAGTGCTTCCATCCCTTGCAGGGCTCTGTCTAGCAAGGACCCAGCTGTGAAGCTTGTGGTGGCTTTTAGGGGAGCTCCAGGTTACTTGGGGGTCTTTGAATCCCAACACCCATCCTAGTGTCCACAGCTGATCCCTCTCGCCCCCCAGACACAAAGGAAAAAGGTGTGCGAAGCCAGGGGCGGTGGCTCATGCCTGTAATCCCAGCACTTTGGGAGGCCAAGGCAGGCAGATCACCTAAGGTCAGGAGTTCGAGACCAGCCTGGGCAACATGGTGAAACCCCATCTCTACTAAAAATACAAAAAGCTAGCTGGGCGTGGGGGCACACACCTGTAATCCCAGCTACACAGGAGGCTAAGGCAAGAGAATTGCTTGAACCTGGGAGGCAGATGTTGCAGTGAGTCGAGATCGCACCACTGCACTCCAGCCTGGGCGACAGAGTGAGACTGCATCTCAAAAACAAACAAAAACAAATTCAGCCTGGGCAACACAGCGAGACCTCACCTCTAAAAACGATAACATGGCCCCAAGTCCTTGCCCCTCTTCCCATCAAGACGTGGGGTCTCTACCCCCCACCCCCACTGCCCCTCTTCCCATCAAGACGTGGGGTCTGTACCCCCTACCCACACTGACCCTCTTCCCATCGAGAGGTGGGGTCTCCACCCCTTACCCACACTGACCCTCTTCCCATTGAGAGGTGGGGTCTCCACCCCTTACCCACACTGACCCTCTTCCCATTGAGAGGTGGGGTCTCTACCCCTTACCCACACTGACCCTCTTCCCATTGAGAGGTGGGGTCTCTACCCCTTACCCACACTGACCCTCTTCCCATTGAGAGGTGGGGTCTCTACCCCTTACCCACACTGACCCTCTTCCCATTGAGAGGTGGGGTCTCTACCCCTTACCCCCACTGCCAAACCTGGACCAGCTGTGACTGCTTTCAATGGCAGGCAGTGGCAGTGAGGCCAGGTGTGTTTGGAGACTGGACAGCACAGGCCAGTGGCCTCACCTGACACTCCGACTCAAGAAGCTCCCTTTCCGAGCCTGGTCATCATGCTGGGAGAAACCCAAGCCACACAGGAGGCCACGAGCTCGTGCTTTGGTGGACAGTCACCACTGAGCCCGGCTCAGCGCACATATGTGATGGTCCAGCTTCAAGTCCCCTTAGTGTTGGCACCGTCCCATTTGACCCCAGACAACATGGAACAGAATCAAAGCCACTCCATTGCGTCCTGCGTGAATTCCTGACCTCCAGCTCCGCCAGCATAATGAAATAGTGGCTGCTTCATCTTACCCAATTCAGCTTGGGGTGGTTTGTTACACAGAAGCCAATATTTGACTTTATTTGACTGATGGCTGTCCAAAAGCTTACAATTTGAACAGCCTGACATGGATGCTGTTTTCTGCCTAAAAACTCATATTTTGCAAACTACTGAGTGCAAGTTTACTTTAATGACCTGTGAGCTTGGCCGTGTAAAGACTTGCTGAAAGCCAGCCGTATTATCAGAAAGCACGGAGCCAGTTTGCAAGCTCTCGTATTGCTCAGAACTCTTTCAGTGGTAAGGGGCAGAGATGGGACCCACGCTAGCTACCAGCAGAAAGGAAGCTACCGGCAGGGTGGTACCTCGGGCTGGCTCCAGAGACACATGCACGCACACATGCATGCACAGGCACACACATATGTGCACACACACATACATACACGGGAAGCATTCTATTGCTATATGGTGAAACTTGTGGTCATTTTATTTCCTCATGAGCTGCAATTGTGGGTTTATCAGATGTTTCTGCCACTTTCCTTCTCTCTCTCTTCCTCTCTCTCTCTCTCTGCTATCATTTGAATAAACATATCGCTCCAGAATTCATATACTGAAATGTAATGGATTAAGAGATGGGGCCTTGGGCAGGTGACTGAGTCATGAGGGCCTCCCTCACGGATGGGATTAGTGCCCTTATAAAAGGGCTGGAGGAAACTAGCTAGGCCACTTTTGCCCTCCCGCCCCTTCCACTAAGTGAGGCCAGAACGTAGCAACCAGACACCATCTTGGAAGCAGAGAGCATTCTCATCAGTCGCCAGACCTGCTGGTGCTGTGATCTTGAACTTCCAACCTCCAGAATTGTAAGCAATGTATTTGTGCTGTTTATAAATTACCCAGTCTAAGGGATTTTGTTAGCAGCATAAACAGACCAAGACACTCTCTCTCAGTTTCTTGGCTCTCTCTCCGTTGGCCTCATTTTCTCCTGCAAATGAACCTCGTCCATTTGGCCAGCAGGAGGGAGGATGTGGCTGCAGGCCACCAGGCTAACAGCCCCTCAGGTCAACAACACCCCCATGGAACCTCTTCCTCTCTTCAGCGTGTGTCATACGTGTACACACATGCATACACACATACAGGAAGCACTCTATCTTTACATAGTGAAGCTTGTGGTCATCATTTTATTTCCTCGTGAGCTGCAATGGTAAGAATTCCCTGAAAATTCCCCCACTGGCAGGCCACAGCGTGCTTAAACAACATCAAATCCAACGCATCTCACTGTATCACTGAACTATAGTTAGAGGTTTTGTTTTGAAAATTAGTTGACAACTTCAGCGCTTTTGTCATTTTTATGTTCACCAGCACAAAGATGAGCTTTTAGGTGCTCAGGAAGGGCAAGCCAGGTGACCGTCTTCCATGCAGCAGGGACTCTACTTAAATTCAGTGTTTTTCCAAAGCCCCTTTCTACTCCAAAAGCACCCATCTTATAATCAATATGCTGGGAGCACTCAGTTTCTCTCCCTGCATGACCAAGTTAATCAACAGCAGAGGCTGCATTAATCAGCTTTGTTGCAGTAACAAACACGCCCAGAACGTGCCCCAGTGCTGGCATCTCAGGTGGGCTCAGGTGGGCTGCAGATCAGCCACTTGTTTGCTCATTCCTGGAGCAGCAGGAATTCCTGGACCATTCCAGTCCCTACTGGAGACATGCTGGTGGCAAAGTCTTCCTTACCAAGCTTAAACAAGTGTCATGAAGTCTTTTTTCTTTAACACTGGCCTCTGGTAGCCTCTGCTCAGATGGGCTTTTGTCCTGGCATCCCCTTGACATTGGCCAAAGCTGGTCTCAGACCAAGCCCAGCAATGGGATCTCGGCATGTGCCTCCAGGAAGAACTGCAAACTGAATGTCGATGATTCGAATGCATAACCCCTGCGGGGCTAGAGGACACACAGATGCACACAGTTCACCGCAGACCCTCTCAGGGGCCACCCAGACCAGCCGTGTTGGGAAGGACGCTGTTGGAAAGGCTTCCTCCTGGGCTGTGGTTTGAGCCTCTCTGAGGTGTCTCCTGCTCTCTCCAGAATGGAATGGAAGGGAGGTGGGTCTCAGATTTCTGAAGAGCAGCTGCCTAAGCCTGGAGTTTCAGGTGATTGAGTGTGTTGGTGGGTGGGGGGTAGTGAGGAAAGCAAAGGAAAGAAATAAGCTCTTGGCTTGGACTTGAAGGGCTGCCTGGCGCTGTCCTGCTTCGGGGCTGAGGGGAGGAGCTGAGGCAGGTGAAGGCCTTGGTGGCCCTGGACCCATCAGAACCCAACAGCTCTCCATGGCAGCACCCGCCCCAGCCAGACCATGAGCCTTGGCTGAGATCTTGCTTCTGGGAATGAGGTCAGGCCCTGCTGTTCAGGGGGGGCCCCCAAGGCTGCTCCTGCCTCCCGCCTAATTCAGCCCTATTTCTTAGAGGGCTCACCGTGACTCAAACACCCCAGCAAGCAAGACACTCACGTTCCCTCCTTCCTTGACCTGCACCGCCAGCCTCTCTCAAGAGAAATGGCCGCCAGTGGATCCAGGGTCCCCAAGGTGTTTGTTTCTGGAAATTTCCACGGTGGCCAGGCCTCTAAACATGAGGTCAAGATGCCACCTGTCCTGGCTCGTCTCTCATTGCGTTTCCCTGTGTATGAAGCGACCTTCCTTTGATCCAGAGCACAAAAATGCATGGAATATTCTGCAAGGACCACAGGGAGACTTTTAGTTTCCAAATGTCAGCTGGAAAATAACAATATGGGAGGTAGGATAAAAAATCCATTGCTGGCCGGATGTAGAGGCTCACGCCTGTAATCCCAGCACTTTGGGAGGCCGATGTGGGTGAATCACTGGAGGTCAGGAGTTTGAGACCAGCCTGGCCAACACGGTGAAACCCCGTCTCTACTAAAAATTAAAAAATTGGCTGGATGTGGTGGCACGAGCCTGTAATCCCAGCTACTCGGGAGGCTGGGGCAGGAGAATTGCTTGAACCCAGGAGACAGAGGTTGCAGTGAGCTGAGATCAGGCCATTGCACTCCAGCCTGGGTGACAGGAGTGAAACTCCATCTCAAAAAAAAAAAAAAAAGGGAAAGAAAAGAAAAAGAAAGAAAGAAAATCCATTGCCCAGACCGGGCATCAGATTGCTGGCAAGGTGAGATCATCAGACACCCAGGGGCACCACACCTTCCATTCCTTCCTGCCTAAGATGAGCAAGCCCTCAGAGCTGTCCCCGTGAGGGGCCTGGTCCTAGCCTGCCAATCCCGGGAGGGGTCACACACCACCCCTGTGGGGGATGGGCTGAAAACACAGCAAGGACCACCCACCACTGCCCTCTCCCTCCTTCTGAGCTCATCACACCCTCCTGGAGACTCTGGTGCCCTTGGGGTCACTCCAAGCCAAGGTGTTGGGGAGCAGGTTACAGAACCCCCCAGCCCTCACCACCCTCCACTGCACAGCAAGACCAAGACCCAGCCTGGGGAGCCACGCTCTCCATCCCTCCCTTCCCCAGCAGGCAGCACAACTCAAATCTAATTCAGGCAAGGAGGGGCTGTCCAGGGCAAGAACATGCTTCCAAAGGAAACCTCCCTGGTGCACAGAGACACACACCAGTGAGCACACGTGCACACGCCCATGCATGCACAACATGCATGCACATACACATGCATGCACACCCCACACACACCTGGCTTGTGACCTTCCACACTTCCAGCCCGGCTGCCTTCCTCTCTCCTCTCCCCACCTCAGCCCCGGCTCCCTACTGGGCATCAAGGAGTTTGACAACCCAGGCAGATGGGCTGACAACTCCTCCGTCACCTTCTAAGACACATTCTGTGAGGAAGGCAGGTGGGTTTTGTTTTGTTTTTTTTTTGTTTTTTTTTTTCGAGACAGAGTCTCTCTCTGTCACCCAGGCTGGAGTGCAGTGGCACAGTCTCTGCTCACTGCAACCTCCACCTCCCAGGTTCAAGTGATTCTCCTGCCTCAGCCTCTCGAGTAGCTGGGACTACAGGCGCCTGCCACCACGCCTGGCTAATTTTTTGTATTTTTAGTAGAGACGGGGTTTCACCATGTTGGCCAGGATGGTCTCGATCTCTTGACCTCGTGATCCACCCGCCTTGGCCTCCCAAAGTGCTGGGATTACAGGCCTGAGCCACCGCACCTGTCCAGCAGGTGGGTTTCTTAAAAAGATGTCGAATAAGGGAAAATATTTGCAATGAAATGTAAAAATTGCTACTCCAAAGAACATTTTTAATTATTGCTTTGAAGCTGGGAAGTGTCTTGGGAGGATGTGAAATTTGGGAGATTCGTTTCCTTTATTTCTTGGTGCAGTTATTGGGTACCCCCTCATCCTCGGCTTGCTCTGGCTGGGCCCCCCAGGCTGATCCTCGGGCTTTCTGGGGCACCCTGGCTGAAAACAACATAAAACCTCAAGCGCCAAGCCGTCTCTAGCTGGGAAAAGAAAAAGATGCTGTAACTCAGCTGGACATTGCTGCTAAGCCCCCCACTCTCTCCCCGAAGCCAGCATTCCCTCCTGTATTTATTCCACAAATGTTTATTGAGCATCTTCTATGTGCCAGACACATGCATCCACCAACTGAGACTCACTTTCAGGTCAGAACGTTTAAACCAATTAATTCTCTGCTTGTCTTAAATCAATCACCACAGAAAAGGCCTGAATTACAGGCTGTACTAATCTCAGTGGGTCTCGGTGGGAGGTCTTCCCTTGATAATAAACATATTTTTACACAACATAGAAAACCTATTTTTTCCCCCTCCCAAAACTCAGATTCCCATTTCCCTGGTCCTGAAAGATTAATTTGAAGCAAGGTCTCCCACTGGCAGCACTGCTGACATTGGTGCTGGGTAATTTGTCCTGGGGGCTGTCTGAGCCCTGTAGGACCGTCAGAGGCATTTGAACCAGAGTGACTCCTCCATCTTGAACAGGGGCTGGGTAAAATAAGGCTGAGACCTGCTGGGCTGCACTCCCGGGAGGCTAGGCTTTCTTTTTTTTTTTTTTTCTGAGATGGAGTCTCAGCCCAGGCTGGAGTGCAGTGGCGCAATCTCGGCTGACTGCAACCTCTGCCTCCTGGGTTCACGCCATTCTCCTGCCTCAGCCTCCTGAGTAGCTGGGACTACAGGCACCTGCCACCACGCCTGGCTATTTTGTGTGTGTGTGTGTGTGTGTGTGTGTGTGTGTGTGTATTTTTAGTAGAGGCGGGGTTTTACAGTGTTAGCCAGGATGGTCTCAATCTCCTGACCTCGTGATCCGCCTGCCTCGGCCTCCCAAAGTGCTGGGATTACAGGCGTGAGCCACCGCACCCGGCCCCAGGAGGCTAGGCATTCTTAGTCACGGGATGAGATAGGAGATCGGCACAAGATACAGGTCACAAAGACCCTGCTGATACAACAGGATGCAGTAGAGAAGCCGACCAACACCCACCAAAACCAAGATGGCGATGAAAGTGCCCCCTGGTGGTCCTCACTGCTCGTTATATGCTAACTATAATACATTAGCACGATAGCAGACACTCCCACCCAGGCCATGACAGTTTACAGATGCCATGGCAACGTCGGGAAGTTACCCTATATGGTCTGATAAGGGCAGGAACCCTCAGTTCAGGGAAATCTCCACCCCTTTCCTGGAAAACTCATGAATAACTCACCTCTTGTTTATCATAGAATCAAGAAATACCATCAAATAGCCAACCAGCATTCCATGCTGCTGTTCTGCTATGGAGTGGCCATTCTTTTATTCCTTTAACTTTCCCTTTTTTTTTTTTGACAGAGTCTTGCTCTGTCGCCCAGGCTGGAGTACAGTGGTGTGATCCCACTGCACCCTCCGACTCCTGGGTTCAAGTGATTCTCCTGCCTCAGCCTCCCGAGTAGCTAGGATTACAGGCACGTGCCACCATGCCCGGCTAATTTTGTATTTTTAGTAGAGACAGGGTTTCTCCATGTTGACCAGGCTGGTCTCAAACTCCTGATCTCAGGTGATCTGCCCGCCTCGGCCTCCCAAAGTGCTGGGATTACAGGTGTGAGCCACTGCACCCAGCCTATTCCTTTACTTTCTTAATAAACTTGCTTTCACTTTACTCTATGGACTCTCCCCAAATTCTTTCTTTCATGAGGTCCAAGAACCATTTATCGGGGTCTGGATCAGGACCCCTTTCTAGTAGTAAGACATTTATCCGCATGACTGGCACCCACCCACCAGATGCCAACAGCCCCTCAGGGTGACAACCACAGATATCCCCAGCCATTGCCACCTGTGCCCTGGGGGCAAGGTCAGCTCGTCGAGAGCCACTGATTTAGAGGGACTCAGTTTCCTAGGGGTTGGCTGTCTGCTGAGCCTGCTTAGAGAAACGAACGGTCTCATGCATAGGCTGTGGGAGAGGTCTTCGCAAATCACTTGACCAGGAGCGTTTTCTTCAGGGAAAAGCCCCGTGGAAGACGACAGTTTTACCAGGAAATTTCCTAATGGCGAATCTTGACAGTCTTCCTCCCCTCCCCATTCATGCCTCACGCTCTCCACAGTTATTAGAAATGCTATTGCAGCTTTCTGTCTTTGACTAGGCTTTGTCATTCCTGACACGTTCTCAGCGGCCTCTTCCACTAAACACGGTTGGAGTGAATTTTCTGAGGGAAATTATAAGGGAAGCCTTTCATCTGGGATCTCACAGGGAAGGGACGTTCCCACCACACAGTCGCAGAAACGACAAACAACTTCCCTAATTGATTCAAAAAGAGAAGGCCCTGGAGGCTGCCTGGGAGCGGGGCTTCCTCTCTGAAATGCTGCCCAGCTTGGCATTTCTTATTTCTGTGAGTTCTTCCTGTCCCTAAGGGCTGGTGCCCAGCTCTGGCCTGGAGGAGTCGGCTCACACCCACCCAGCCCAGAGCCAGGACCCAGGCTTCTCGGAGGGTAAATGACCCTCGCAGCCTTTCCTCCTATGAAGGAGCAGAAAGGAAAAATGATTATTTTCCATGCAAGGCTGTTATACAAACAAGTGTCATACCAAGCCGCAGACAATGAAAGAGTAAAGTGCCCAGTTCTTTTTCTTTCAAAGGAAAATCTGGTGAAATTCATCCTATTAAAACCACCTTTGCAGGCCAGGCACAGTGGCTCAACACCTGTAATCCCAGCACTTTGGGAGGCCGAGGTGGGCAGATCACTTGAGGTCAGGAGTTCAAGACAAGCCTAACCAACATGGCAAAATCCCATCTCTATTAAAAATACAAAAAAAATCAGCTGGGCATGATGGCACGCGCCTGTAATCCCAAGTACTTGGGAGGCTGAGGCACGAGAATCCCTTGAACAGGGGAGGCGGAAGTTGCAGTGAGCCAAGATCGCACTACTGCACCCCAGCCTGGGTGAAAGAGCCAGACTCCGTCTCAAAAAAAAAAAAAAAAACCACACATCTTTGCAAAACTTATAACAGTGTAACCTCCAAACTGCCCTTAGTCATTCTTGGGTATGGTCCATGCTAACTTTGGGAGACATTTAGCTCATAGTTTAAATGATAACAGCCCCTCCCCCAAACTCAACTGCCCTTGTGAAGCTAAAGAAAGACCACCAGCTTAGGAGGATGAGAGGGGCCCGCATTCTGCTAAGGTGTAGACATAAATGATTATCAGCCATTGTCCCAGAACTCGTAAGATTTGCGACTTCCCCAATTACTCCTGCACATAACATCATTGGGGAACTTAAGATTGGCCTTTTGAGATGTCTTTTCATGCTTTCCCATCTCTGTCCACTGACAGTCCCACTCTGACCTTGAGTCAAGAGTCCTAGCTCTTGACTCAGCTGGTCCTGTGTCTTCACCCAGAAGTGAACTCAGCGCCAAAGGACTGTTTTCCATACCCTGTGACTGTATCCCCAGCCAATCAGTGGCACCCATTCCCTGGCCCACCAAATTCTCCTTGAAAAACGCTAGCCTCCAAATTTTAAGGGAGGCTGATTTGAGTAATAGTAAAACTCCGGTCTCCCATTCGGCTGGCTCTACACGCATTAAACTCTTTCTCTATTGCAATCCCGCTGTCGTGATAAATCGGCTCTATCTGGGCAGCAGGCAAAATGAACCCATTGAGCGATTACAGTCAGTTTATTCCACCAAAGAACTTGTTTAAATTATTTGAACTTAATAAATCATCACTATATGCACTTTTTTTCCCTCCAGCTTTATTGAGGGATAGTTGAGAAGTAAAAACATGTATATATTCAGCGGGACATGATGGCTTAAGCCTGTAATCCTAGCACTTTGGGAGGCCAAGGTGGGCTGATCACCTGAGGTCAGGAGTTTGCAACCAGCCTGGCCAACATGATGAAACCCCATCTCTACTAAAAATACAAAAATTAGCTGGGTGTGGTGGCGGACGTTTGTAATCCCAGCTACTCGGGAGGCTGAGACAGGAGAATCGCTTGAACCCAGGAGACGGAGGTTGCAGTGAGCCGAGATTGCGCCACTTCACTCCAGCCTGAGTGACAGAGCAAGACCCTGTCTCACCAAAAAAAAAAAAAAAAGTGTATATATTCAAGGTGTGCAATGTGATGATTTGATCCAGTATACACTGTGAAATGATGACCACAATGAAATGAATACATCCATCGCTACACCTAGTTACCATTCATGTGTGCAGGGGGGGCGGAGGGTATTAAGAGGGTTGAGGATATTTAAGAACTACTCTCTTAGAACATTTCAAGTGTAAACCAAAAATAAAATTCTAACCCTAACCCCACCCATCTGAATGAGTTCCTCCGCTCTGCCAAGGGCATTCCAGAGCCAACCTGAAAAACTCACTCCAGCCGCAATGGAAGGGTCGAACACGCCCCATGCTACCCTCCAGCATCAACATCAGCACAGACCGTAAGTCTGATAAGAAGCACTTATAATCTATTCTCTCTGAAGCTACTTGGAGGCTTCATCTGCATGATAAAACCTTGGTCTCTACAACCCCTTATCATAACCCAGACATTTTCATTTTCTATCGCCAATCAGAAAACTTTTAAATCTTCCTATGACCTGGAAGCCATCCCCCACCCCCCGCCCCCCAGCCTCCCACTTCAAGTTGTCCCACCCTTCTATGTTTTTTTGTTTTTTGTTTTTGAGACAGTCTCACTCTGTCACCCAGGCTGGAGTGCAATGGCGTGATCTCGGCTTGTGCAACCTCCGCCTCCCTGTTCAAGCGATTCTCCTGTCTCAGCCTCCCGAGTAGCTGGGATTACAGGCGCGCGCCATCAGGCCCGGCTAATTTTTATATTTTTAGTACAGACGGGGTTTCACCATGTTGGCCAGGCTGGTCTCGAACTCCTGACCTCAGGAGATCCACCCACCTCGGCCTCCCAAAGTGCTGGGATTACAGGCGTGAGCCACCACGCCCGGCCTGTCCCACCCTTCTAGATGAAACCAATGTAAATCTTACATGTATTGACCCCTAACGTGTATAAAAGCAAGCTGGTACCCCAACGACGTTGGGCACATGTCTTCAGGACCTCCTGAGTCTGTGTCACAAGTGTGTCCTTCACCTTGGTGAAATAAACTTTCTACATTGATTGAGCTCTGTCTCAGATACTTTGGGGTTCACACAAGTATACAACACTTTGCCAGTAACCATGGCCCCATCGGTTAGCTCCCTGGCACGTGCTCAACTTAGAACTGAAACTTGGTACCTTTGGCCAACATCTCCCCACTTCTGCCACCCAAAATATGTACTTTTTTAAAAGTTAAAATGCTACAACAGACAATCCTAAAACCAAGATGACCCCTAAAATTTCTTTCAGGAGAAATGACCGTTGGCTTTAGCTAAAAAAATAAATAAATAAATAAACCTGGGCCCAGCATGGTGGCTCATGCCTGTAATCCCAGCACTTTGGGAGGCCAAGGTGGGCAGATCACTTGAGGTCAGTAGTTCGAGACCAGCCTGGCCAACATGGAGAAACCCTGTCTCTACTAAAAATACAAAAATTCACTGGGCATGGTGGTGCGCGCCTGTGATCCCAGCTACTCAGGAGGCTGAGGCAGGAGAATCACTTGAATCCTGGAGGAGAAAGTTGCAGTGAGCTGAGATCACACCATTGCACTCCAGCCTGGGCGACAAGAGCGAGACTCCATCTCAAAAAAAACCTGAACAATCACCTAAAGGATCATTTAAAAAAAAAAAAAAAAAAAAAGCCTTTAATATTTACCTGAAAAGCATGAGTGTGGGCCTTCTGCTATGAATATGGCTTTGTAAATCAGAATTTGTATCACCTAGAAATCAGATATTAATAAAACAATAAAGGGAAATTTTTAACTCTATTTATAGTGGATACTACGTGTCAGAGGTGTTTGAACCAGAGCAACTCCATCTTGAATAGGGGCTGGGTAAAACAGAGCTCAGACCTACTGGGCTGCATTCCCAGGAGGTTAGGCGTTCTTAGTCACAGGATGGGATGGGAGGTCAGCACAAGATACAGGTCACAAACACCTTACTGATAAAATGAGATGCAATAAAGAAGCCGGCCAAAACCCAGCAAAACCAAGACAGCGATGAGAGTGGCCTCTGTTCGTCCTCATTGCTCACTCTACGCTAATTATAATGCATTAGCATGCTGAAAGACACTCCCACCCACACCATGACAGTTTACAAATGCCATGGCAACATTAGGAAGTTACTCTATGTGGTCTAAAATGGGGAGGAACCCTCAGTTCTGGGAATTGGCCACCCCTTTCCCAGAAAACTCTGGAATAATCCACCCCTTGTTTAGC
This sequence comes from Homo sapiens, assembly GCF_000001405.40. Classification (NCBI taxonomy): domain Eukaryota; kingdom Metazoa; phylum Chordata; class Mammalia; order Primates; family Hominidae; genus Homo; species Homo sapiens. Next base: position 135,426,675 of record NC_000009.12, read on the forward strand.
ATAAGATAGAGCATAGCCATTCTCCTGCCTCAGCCTCCCAAGTAGCTGGAACTACAAGTGCCCCCCACCACACCCGGCTGATTTTTTTTTTTTTTTTTTTTGTATTTTTAGTAGAGACAGGGTTTCACCGTGTTAGCTGGGATGGTCTCGATCTCCTGACCTCATGATCCGCCCGCCTTGGCTTCCCAAAGTGCTGGGATTACAAGCGTGAGCCACTGTGCCCGGCCATGACCTGATAGTTTAAAGTGTGAAACTCTAGCTGGGCGTGATAGCAGTCACCTGTAGTTCCAGCTACTTGGGAGGCTGATGCAGGAGAATCACTTGAACCTGGGAGGCAGAAGTTACAGTGAGCCGAGATTATGCCACTGCCCACCAGCCTGGGCGAAAGAGTGAGACTCTATCTCAAAAAATAAAAATTTTTAAAAAAAGTGTGAAAAATCATTTTTAAAGTGTTGAAAAAGCATTTAACTCTATGATAAAGACCATAAAACAGAAACACAAAACCTCAGGGGAAAAATGGCAAGGGAGAAAATGTGAGCTGGCAAAATTCAGGGAAAAATTGAAAAATAAATGAACATCACAGAAATAAAGATGAAAAACAAGAGACGGAATCCTGAAGAAAATACAGAGAGGCTTATATGAGGACAGAAATTAGGGAAAAAATTAAATAAGATTAGTGACAGCTACTAAAAGGATAAAAAAGTAAGATACAGACATGTGAGACAAAGAAGATCCAATGCCTGCGTTACAGGAGTCCATAAGAAAGAAAAACGAGACAATGGAGCGGACACATTTTAAAGATCTAATTAAAGAACGATTTAAAAAAAGAATCTTTGGAGACAATCAGGCAAAATGATGGAGTCCTTTTTTTTTTTTTTTTTTTAAATGGCGCAATCTCGGCTCACTACAACCTCCGCCTCACAGATTGAAGCAATTCTCTGGCCTCAGCCTCCCGAGTAGCTGGGATTACAGGCATGTGCCACCACACCAGGCTAATTTTTATATTTTTAGTATAGACAGGGTTTCACCATGTTGGCCAGGCTGGTCTCGAACTCCTGACCTCAGGTTATCCACCCACCTCAGCCTCCCAAAGTGCTGGCATTACAGGCGTGAGCCACCATGCCCGGCCCAAGTCTCTTAATATAAAAAAGAAAAAATAGGCTAGCCTTAGATCCTGCACAGCTACCAACAGAGAGAAACAGCCTCAGGAAAGAACTGTGGCTCTGTGATGCTTATGCAGTCAACTTTCTTAAACTCTAAAAGCTGGAAATAAACAGTTTTGAGCATGAATTTAGAGACAAAATACTTTTGAGAACTCTGGGAATGTGGCTTCCATGGGCCCTTCTTGAAGAAACAACTGAAAGATAAATTGCAAACTACCAAGAGATGCCTGGGAAACTTGAAAAAATATTGATGATGAGCATTGAAGATATTAATTGCAGAACTCACTGGCAAAAATGAAGTAAATGTTATAGGCCATGAGCGTGTGGAAATTTGGAGGAAAATAGGGAAAGATAGGGGAAGGTAGAGTAAGTTGCTGCCTCATCACAGAAACTTGGAATCAATGAATGTTCTTCCAAAATATCTGATAATAACAGTATAAGACAATTTAACAATTCAAATACTAAGAAGTTTGATGCTGTTGACTAAAGTCAGGTGGTAAAAGAAAAGAGAAGGAGGCCAGGTGTGGTGGCTCATGCCTGTAATCCCAGCACTTTGGGAGACGAGGCAGATGGATCACCAGGTCAGGAGATTGAGACCATCCTGGCTAACATGGTGAAAACCCGTCTCTACTAAAAATACAAAAAATTAGCCAGGCGTGGTGGTGGGCACCTGTGGTCCCAGCTGCTGGGGAGGCTGAGGCAGGAGAATGGCATGAACCCGGGAGGCGGAGCTTGTAGTGAGCCGAGATGGTGCCAGTGCACTCCAGCCTGGGCGACAGAGCAAGACTCTGTCTCAAAAAAAAAAAAAAAAGAAAAAAAAGAAAAGAAAAGAGGAGGAAATATGCTAATTTTATTCTTGATCCCAGTAAGCTACTAATACTGTCTAAAGAAATAGAAGGCATAAAAATATACGTTTATTTAAATTTTTTATATTTTATTATAATAAAGGTTATTATGTTAGGTTGTATTAATAAAGTTGAACACTAGTACAAAACCATAAACCCTCCTAAATAGGAGAATAATTGAACATTTTTTTAAAAAAGGCAAAACAAAGACATCACATTGTGGAAGACATTTTTAAACAACTAAGAGAAAACAAAATATAAAAGAATGTGAAAAACCTAGAAAAAATATCTGTCATATCACTAAATGTAAATGAGCTTCCTGAAAAACATTATGCTAAGTGAGATAAGTCACAGAAAGGCAAATACTGTATGATTATCCCTTGTACATGAAATCTCAGAAAGTCAAACTCATAGAAATTGAGAGTAGAACGGTGATTGTGGGGCCTGGGGGGTTAGAGGAACTAGGGTAGTATTCATGAAGGGGTCCAAACTTTCAGATATAAGAGGAACACATTCTGGGGATCTAATTACAGAATGGGTGGTGATGGAAGTATTAATTAACTTCATTATGACAATCATTACACGTATGTCAAATCATGTTGCACACCTTAAATATATACATTTTTGTCAATTACATATTTTTAAATAAAAAAGCTAAAAACTGTAAAATGTGCTTAACTCGTCTACTAAAAGAAACTGATATTCAGATTATATCAAAAAGCAAAATCTGACTGCTGTACACAAGAACTACACCTAAGAAAGTTACTTGAAAAGATTGAAAACAGTCACTGGTCTATCAGGACATGGGAGAAAAAAGCAACTAAAATTAGATGTTAAAGGAGAGGAAGAGCAATTATGCTAATTTTATCATTGCTCACGGTTTCCTACTAGTACATATCCTGTAAAGAAAAAAAGGACTAAATGTAATATATATGATAACGGCAACACTAAACACAAAAATCCTAACCTTCCTAAATAACAAAGCTAAACATGATCTCAAATGGAGGAGGAAAGAATAAAGAAAAATAAAAATGGAAATAGGTAGGCAAATATAAATGAACAGTGAATGTATAAAAAGAAAAAATGGAAACTATGGAAGAGAATGTAAAATTCATGGAGGACAAAGTGAGAAAATCTAATGCACATTTCACTGGGGTCCCAGAAGAAGAGGAGAGAGAGAGTGGGGTAGCAATATTTGAAGAGATCATAGTTGAGAAATTTGCAAAACTGATGAAAGTTACTAGTTCATAGATTCAAGAAGACTCATAAATCTGAAGGAGAATAAAAAATAAATCTATAACTAGAATTTTCTATAGGGTAACCTCTTTTAAAAAACTCTACAATAAAAAAATCTTAAGCAGCCAAAGAAATAAACAATAGTTTATCTACAAACCTCAGAATATTGCTGAGTTCTGACAAGAAACAAAGAAGCCAGAATACAATGAAATGATATATTGGAAGGGCTAAAAGAATATAATAGCCAATCGGCCAGTCACAGTGGCTCACGCCTATAATCCTAGCACTTTAAGAGGCTGAGATGGGTGAATCATCTGAGGTCAGGAGTTCGAGACCAGCCTGGTCAACATGATGAAACTCCATCTCTAGTAAAAACACAAAAATTACCCAGGCATGGTGGTGGGAGCCTGTAATCCCAGTTACTTGGGAGGCTGAGGCAGGAGAATTGCTTGAACCCAGGAGGCAGAGGTTGCAATGAGCCGAGACCGCGCCACTTCACTCCAGTCTGGCTGAAAGAGCAAAACTCCATCTCAAAATACAAAAAAAGAATATAATAGCCAATCTAGAATTATCAGGTTGATTGCAGGATGGGAAAACTATATACTCCGTACAGAAAAAATATAAGCATAAGTGTACTGAGAAATGGAAAGTAACAGAATGGGAACAGATAGCATCCAAACACTAACCAAATGAAAGCTGGCTATGTTAATATTAGAAAAATAAACTTTAAAGCAAAAAGCATGACTGGCAATAAAGAGAAACACTTCAAATTGATAAAATAATCAATGTATCGGTTGGATACAGTGATTTATGCCTGTAATCCCAGCACTTTGGGAGGCCGAGGTGGGTGGATCACCTGAGGTGAGGAGTTCGAGACCAGCCTGGGCAACATGGTGAAGCCCCGTCCCTACTAAAAATACAAAATTAGCCAAGCATGGTGGTGCATGCCTGTAGTCCAAGCTACATGGGAGGCTGAGGCAGGAGAATCGCTTGACCTCAGGAGGCAGAGATTGCAGTGAGCCAAGATTGCACCACTGCATTCCAGCCTGGGAGACAGAGTGAGACTCCATCTCAAAAACAAACAAACAAAAAAACCCACTGAATTGAGTCATATACTTGCAACAGATGAATTTTATGGGATATAAATTATTCCTTAATAAAGCTGTTTAAGAGAGAGAGGCACAATGCACAAATAGCCAATAACGGCAATAAAAGTGGCAAGACCACAGACCCTACACACACACGGCAGCTGTGAAAATGGTGTGGAGTGCAGCTCCATGCCAATATGTTTGAAAATAACATTTAACAGACAAATTCTAAGAAAAATACAACTTACCGGGCCAGGCGCAGTGGCTCACGCCTGTAATCCCAGCACTTTGGGAGGCTGAGGTGGGCAGATCACAAGGTCAGGAGATCGAGACCAGTCTGGCAAACATGATGAAACCCTGTCTCTACTAAAAATACAAAAAGTTAGCCGGGCGTGGTGGTGCGGGCCTGTACTCCCAGTTACTCAGGAGGCTGAGGCAGGAGAATCGCTTGAACCCAGAAGGCGGAGGCTGAAGTGAGCCGAGATCATGCCACTGCACTCCAGCCTGGGCGACAGAGTGAGATAATGTCTCAATTAAAAAAAAAAAAAGAAAGAAAGAAAACAAAAATATAACTTACCAAAATGGATGCGAATACAGTTCCTAAGTATTCCTGTAACTATTTAACTATTTAAGTCCAGCCCAGTAAGTAATACATACAAGGAATAATATGACAATCAAATGTATTCCAGGAATTTCAAGTTGTTGACATTTGAAGATACATCAGTGTCACTCACAACAATGAAAAAATAAAGATGTTTACAGGTACAATATGCTGAAATTTTAAAAAATAAATAAATGTAAATATCTTTAAAGATGAAAAAATCATTTGAACATCTTAATCGTGAAGAAATTCAACATGTATTCTATAAAATTCAGAATCTATTCATGATTTTTAAGAGTTTGTAGCAACCTACAAACTACAAACTAGGAATAAGATGGAACTAGAAATAAGTAATACAGCAAACACCTCACTTGGTGAAATTCTGGAGAACAGAAATGAGACATGAAAGTCTGCTGCCATCATTTCTGATTAACACTGTACTTCCTAGTTAATGCAGTAAAGTCAGGCAAAGGAAAAAAATGTTAACCACCAAGGAAAGCATAGGAGAAAATCTTAATGGCTGTATTAGTCCGTTTTCATGCTGCTGATAAAGATAAAGACATACCCAAGACTGGGTAATTTTTTTTTTTTTAAGACAGAGTTTTGCTCTTGTTGCCCAGGCTGGAGTGCAATGGCACGATCTCACGACAACGTCCGCCTCCCGGGTTCAGGCGATTCTCCTGCCTCAGCCTCCCAAGTAGCTGGGATTACAGACATGTGCCACCACACCCAGCTAATTTTGTATTTTTAGTAGAGACAGGGTCTCTCCATGTTGGTCAGGCTGGTTGCAAACTCCCGACCACAGGTGATCCGCCCGCCTCGGCCTCCCAAAGTGCTGGGATTACCGGCGTGAGCCACCATACCTGGCCCAAGACTGGGTAATTTATAAAGAAAAAGAGGTTTAATGGACTCACAGTTCCACGTGGCTGGGGAGGCCTCACAATCATGGCAGAAGGCAAAAGTCACATCTTTCATGGCAGCAGGCAAGAGAGAACGAGAACCAAGCAAAAGGGGAAGCCCCTTATAAAATCACCAGATCTCATGAGACTTATTCTCTATCACGAGAACACTATGGGGGAAACTGCTCCCATGATTCAATTATCTCCCACCAGGTCCCTCCCACAACATGTGGGAATTATGGCAGCTACAATTCAAGATGAGATTTGGGTGGGGACACAGCCAAACCATATTAATGGCCTTGGGTCAGGCAAAGATTTCTTAGGTACGACTCAAAAGCATGAATCAGAAAAGAAAAACACTATAAAGTATACTTTATTGAAAATTAAAAATGTCTGCTGTGCTAGCACCACTATTAAGAAAATGAAAAGATAAGCCACAGACTGAGAAAAAAAAGTTTGCAACACACATATCTGATAAAAGGCATGAATCCAGAATATGAAAGAATTCCAGAGTAAGAAAACAAATTTTTTTCTAATTTTAAAATTGGGAGAAAAATATGAATAGACACTTCACTAAAGAAGATACACAGATGGCCAGGCAGGGTGGCTCACGCCTGTAATCCCAGCACTTTGGGAGGCTGAGGTGGGTGGATCACAAGGTCAGGAGATCGAGACCATCCTGGCTAACATGGTGAAACCCTGTCTCTTAGTACTAAATATCCAAAAGAAAAAAATTAGCCAGGCGTGGTGGCGGGCGCCTGTAGTCCCAGCTACTAGGGAGGCTGAGGAAGGAGAATGGCATGAACCCAGGAGGCGGAGCTTGCAGTGAGCCGAGATCACACCACTGCACTTCAGCCTGGGAGACAGAGTGAGACTCCGTCTCAAAAAAAAAAAAAAGAAAGAAGATACACAGATGACATATGAACACCCAAATGATAATGAACATCACTTGTCATTAGGGGAATGTAAATTAAAACCATATGAGATATCACCACATACCACTTTAAATAACTAAAATTAACACACACCCTGACAATGTGGAGAGCAGATGAGGATATGGAGAAACTGAAACTCTCGTTCATTCCTGGTAGGAATGCAAAATGGTACCGCTGCTTTGGAAAACAATTTGGCAATTTCACGTAAAGTTACCACATGAGCCAGGGCTTTCACCCCTTGGTGTTTACCCAAGAGTAAAGGAAATACCTGTCCATAGAAAGACACCATTTTTGGCAGCGTGGTTTGTAACAGCCAAAACCTGGAAACAATCCAAATATCCATCAGCTGGTGAGTGGATAAACCAACTATTGTACATCCGACGGAACACAAGCCAACCATTCAAAGGTACAAACTTCTGATAAATGCAGACACGTGGATGACTTTTTAATGTACTATGCTAAGTGAAAGAAGCCAGACCCAAATGACTACATAATTGCTCCAAATTAGTATGCCCATCAACTTCTGAATGGATAATGGAGCTAGTGATTGAGTAACTGAAACAGTGTGATTTGAAAACAGAGTATGGAAGCCAGAACCAGATCTTTGCATAAATGGACACTTGATTTATAACAAAAGTGCTACTGCAGGTCACTGAGGAATGAATGGTTTCCTCAATTCATGGTTCTGGGACAATTAAATTTTTTTTTTTTTTTTTGAGGCAGAGTTTCCTTCTTGTTGCCCACGCTGGAGTGCAGTGGCAAGATCTCAGCTCACTGAAACCTCCACCTCCCGGGTTCTAAGCAATTCTGCCTCAGCCTCCTGAGTAGCTGGGATGTCAGGCGCCCACCACCACACCCAGCTAATTTTGGTACTTTTAGTAGAGATGGGGTTTCACCATATTGGCCAGGCTGGTCTCGAACTCCTGACCTCAGATGATCCACCCACCTCAGACTCCCAAAGTGCTGGGATTACAGGCCTGAGCCACCGCGACCGGCCAGACATTCATAATTTTTAAAACATACATAATACCTACTTCACCTTATGCACAAAAGCTAGTCCCACATGGACTATAAAGCTAAACAGGAGAAGAAAACAATAACAATTTTTAAAAGTAATGTAAGGAAACAACCTTATAACCTCAGAGCAGGCAAAGGAAAAAAAATGTTAACCACCAAGAAAAAATATTGAAATGTTTAACCACGTTAAAACTAGGAGCTTCCCCAGGACAGTCCAACACATAAAAAACCGATCCATGGGCCAGGCACGGTGGCTCACATCTGTAATCCCAGCACTTTGGGAGGCTGAGGCGGGTGGATCACGAGGTCAGGAGATCGAGACCATCCTGGTTAACACAGTGAAACCCTGTCTCTACTAAAAATACAAAACTTAGCCGGGCATGGTGGTGGGCACCTGTAATCCCAGCTACTCAGGAGGCTGAGGCAGGAGAATGGCGTGAACCCGGGAGGTGGAGATTGCAGTGAGCCAAGATCACGCCACTGCACTGCAGCCTGGATGACAGAGGAAGACTCCATCTCAAAAAAAAAAAAAAAAAGAACTGATCCAATGTATAAACCATATCAACAAAATGAAGGGAGAAACCACATGATCCTCTCAATAGATGAAAAAAATAAAAAAGCATTTGACAAAATCCAACACATTTTTGTGAAAAAAACAAACAAAAAACCCTCTCACAAACTAGCAAGAGCAGAAAATTACCTCACATAATAAAAGCCATATATGAAAATCCCACGGTGAACAGTACACTCAATGGTGAAAGACTAAAAGTTTTAGCTCCTCTAAGATCAGGAACGAGACAAGGATGCCTGCTTTTGCCACTCCCATTCAACATAGTTCTGGAAGCTCCAGCCAGAGCAATTAGGCTAGAAGAAGAAATAAAACGTATCCTATCCAAATTGAAAAGGAAGAAGTAACTAAACTATCTCTGTTCACAGCCGATATAATGTATGTAGAAAACTCCAAGGATGGGCCAGTGTGGTGGCTCATGCCTGTAATCCCAGCTACTCGGAAGGCTGAGGCCAGAAAATTGCTTGAACCCGGGAGGTGGAGGCTGCAGTGAGCCAAGATCTCACCACTACACTCCAGCCTGGGCGACAGAGCGAGACTCCATCTCAAAAAAAAAAAAAAAAGAAAGAAAGAAAACTCCAAGGATTCCACATACACACAGTATACATGAATTCAGCAAAATTTCAGGATACAAAGTCAGCACATAAAAATCAGTTTCATTTATGTACACTAACAAAGAACAACCAGAAAAGGAAATTATGAAAACAATTCCATCCACAATAGCATCAGAAAGAATGAAATTTTTAGGAATTAACCAAGAAGGTGAAAGCCTTGTACAAAGAAAATTAAAAAAAAAAAATTGTTGAAAGAAATAAGAAAACATAAACAAACAAAAACACACCCTGTGTTAACAGATTGGAAGTTGTAATATTGTTAAGATGTCAATACTACCCTAAGTGATCTATAGATTCAATGCAATTCCTATCAAAATCCCAATGATGTTTTTGGCCGAAAGAGGAAAACTCATTCTAAAATTCATATGGAATCTCAAGGGACCCCAAATAGCCAAAACAATCTTCAAAAAGACAAACAAAGCTGAAGGACCCACACTTTCTGATTTCAAAACTCACTACAGAGTTGCAGTCATCAAAAGAGTGCGGTACTGGCATAAAGACATATAGACCAAAGGAATGGAATAGAGAACCCAGAAATAAACACTTGCATACATGGTCAAATGATTTCTGAGAGAGTGCCAAGACCATTCAATGTGGAAACAATGATCTTTTCAACAAATGGTGCTGGGAAAACCAGATAATCACATGCAAAAGAATAAAGTTGGGCCCTTTCCTTACACCATATAGAAAAATTAACTCAAAATGGACCAAAGACCTAAATGTAAGACCTAAAACTATAAAACACAGAGCAAATGCTTCAAAACATTGGATTTGGTGATGATTTCTTGGATGACAGTAAAGACACAGGCAACAGAAGAAAAAATAGACCACTTAGACTTCATGAAAATTTAAAATTTTTATGCATCAAAAGTCACTACCAACAAAATTAAAAGGCAACCTACAGAATGGATGAAAATATTTGAAAATCATGTATCTAATAAGGGATTAATATCTAGAATATATAGGGAACTCCTAAGATTTAACAACAACAAAAAAAAACACAATTGTAGTGGCTTACACCTGTAATCTCAGAACTTTGGGAGGCTGAGGCGGGCGGATCACCTGAGGTCAGGAATTCCAGACAAGCCTGGGCAACATGGTGAAACCCCATCTCTACTAAAAATACAAAGATTAGCTGGACGTGGTGGTGGGCACCTGTAATCCCAGCTACTACTAGGGAGGCTGAGGCAGGAGAATCGCTTGAACCCAAGAGGTGGAGGTTGCAGTGAGCCGAGATTGCACCACTGTACTCCAGCCTGGTGACAGAATGAGACTCCATCTCAAAACACAAAACAAACAAAAAAAACCACAAGTAAAAAATGGGAAGGACTTGAACAGATATTATTCCAAAGAAGATATACAAGTGGACAATAAGTGCATGAAAAGGCACTCAACAGCACTAGTCATTAGGGAAAAGTGTATCAAAACTACAATTACATACCACTGTAACAGGACGAGCTGCAGACAAAACTCCTCGGATGCTGGATTAAAGAAGGAAGAGGTTTTTTTATTTGGCCGGGAGCATTGACAGACTCGCGTCTTAAGAGCAGAGCTCCCCAAAGACAGAGTTCCTGGCCCTTTTAAAGGCTTATAACTCTAAGGGGTTCCATGCGAAAAGGTCGTGATGGATTGAAAGCACATGTGGTTAGAGTGGGCGGGCGGAGGGGGCGGTGTGGGGGGGATGGTTAATCTTTTAACCTCAGGCTGGGTCATCAGTGGCACTGGCTGGTCTTGGCACTGACTTCATTCCTGCTGTTTTACAACTTTTTCTTCCTCCTCCTCTTCAGAGACAGGAGACAGTAAGAGAAATGGCTTATCTCCTCATTCCCCTCTTTGAGAACCTCACTCACTAGTGGAAGTTCTCACTCTCATCTACATTACCCAGATCTTCCTGCCAGTCCAGTTCCATTGACTCCTAGAGTTACATACTCTCCTCTTTTCCAATGGGGATTAAGTAGTTCTAATGGGTTATAGCACACATCAGTCTGGTCACTTCCTGGGCTGCATACCTTGTACTGGGTGGCATTATACACACAAGTCCCTTTTAAACAAAGACTGTTTTAACTTTTTGCCCTACCTCAGTCTGAGGAAGGTCAGTTGAAGTCCTTACTGTACAAGTCCAAAATTTATGAAAAATGAGTTCCACGATGAGCTTCCTCATGCTTCAGCCATGCGTGGACCAGTCAGCTTCCGGGTGTGACTGGAGCAGGGCTTGTCGTCTTCTTCAGGGTCACTCTGCAAGGGTTGTCCAGGCTTGGTCTTGCCTCCCAGGTTTCAGGCGCTGCAGGTTTTACACGGCTGCGGTGGATCCAGGCTGGGATTCCCTCTACCTTCACAGCGGTGGGAGTGGTCAGGATGACAGTCTGGGGTCCTTTCCACCGTGGGCACAAAGAGGCTACGTTCCAGTCCTTGATCCATACTCGATCTCCTGGGGAGAAAGGGTGAACTGGGGAGAATAAGCTAACAGGGCATCTCTTATTTACCCAGGCTGAGATTGTTTGTGTAATTTTTCCTAAAGCATGTAGCTGTCGCTGTAACTCAGTCTCACCTAACTCTCCTGGAAGTCCCCACGATAAGGGAGAGGGTCCATGATTAATATTTCATAAGGGGAATATCCTGTTCTTTTAGAAGAGGTACACCTAATTTTAAATAATACCATAGGGAGAGCCTGTATCCATTTTAATCCTGTTTCTTGACGTACTTTCCCTAAACTATTTTTGATAGTCCGATTCATCCGCTCCACCTTTCCGGAACTCTGAGGCCGGTAGGCGGCATGCAGTTTCCATGTGATCCCCAATACCTTTGCCATCTTCTGTACCAAGTCAGCCACAAACGCAGGCCCGTTATCTGAGCCGATCCATAAGGGCAGTCCAAATCTAGGAATCAGATCTTGAAGAAGCACACGGGTTACTTCACGAGGTTTCTCAGTTCGTGTTGGATAAGCCTCCACCCACCCAGAGTGGGTACACACGAGAACTAGTAAATACTTGTTACCTCCACACTTTGGCATTTCTGTGAAGTCCACCTGGAGATCTATCAAAGGGGGCTGCTCCGTAAGTTTGTATGCCGGGTGGAATGGCTGGACCTCGCCTCGCATGATGCTGTTGGCAGGTAACACACTGCTGCATCACCGTTTTGGCAAGGGCTGACAAATGCGAGATGTAGAAATACCGGCCTAACAACTTTTCCAGTGACTCCTGACCTCGATGGGTGGTTTCCTGCACAGCCAGTACAACTGCAGCTCCTCGCAGCTGTGGTGCAGCTACTCTCCCATCTGGTAACCGAATCCATCCTTCCTCCATCACTTGTCCTCCCTCTACCTGGAGAAAGTCCTTTTCATCTTTAGAAGAAGTAGGTACAAGATCAGGTGCTTGAGGGAGCAGAGGCGCTGTGACTGATGCCCAGAAGGGGGCAGATGCTGCTTTTTGAGCCTCTGAGTCACTGCGGGGATTCCCCAAACCCACCAAGGTGGAAGCTCGCTGGTGTCCTCTGCAATGCATAACTGCCACCTTGTGGGGTTTCCATATTGTTTCTAATCATTGCAAGATTTCTTGTTGATATTTTATGTCTTTTCCCCCAGAGTTCAATAGGCCCTTTTCTTTATATAATGCACCATGCACTTGAAGGGTTAAAAAGGCATACCGAGAATCACTGTAAATGTTGACAGTCTCACCCTCCCTGAGCTCTAAGGCCCGAATGAAAGCAATGAGTTCAGCTTTCTGGGCTGAAGTGCCCTGGGGCAATGATCTGGCTTCAACAACGGTGTCCAGGGTTACCACTGCATACCCTGCACATCTCTCTCCTTGTGGGTTGATGAAGCTGCTCCCGTCCACGTATAGTTCCCAGTCTACTGATGCCCAAGGCCAGTCCCGGAGGTCAGGTCTGCTAGAGTCAATTGAATCTAACACTTCTACACAATCATGCTCGACAGGGCTCTCTGATACCGGTGTAACGCCCAAACTCGTTTTTACTAACCCTGTTTTTAGACTCCCCCTTTTCCTTTAATCACGCAGCATTGTTGCCACCTGAATGGACTCTCCCTTAGCTAAGAGAACCAGACAGACTCCATCTTGGCTCTTTCATTGGCAGCCCCTTCCTCAAGGACTTAACTTGTGCAAGCTGACTCCCAGCACATCCAAGAATGCAATTAACTGATAAGATACTGTGGCAAGCTATATCCGCAGTCCCCCAGAATTCATCTGATTGATAATGCCCAAAGCCCCGCATCTATCACCTTGTAATAGTCTTAAAGCCCCTGCACCTGGAACTGTTTACTTTCCTGTAACCATTTATCCTTTTAACTTTTTGACTACTTAACTTCTGTAAAATTGTTTTAACCAGACCCCCCTACTCCCCTTCCTAAACCAGGGTATAAAAATTAATCAAGTCCCTTCCTCGGGGCCGAGAGAATTTTGAGCGTTAGCTTTCTCTCGGTCACCAGCTAATAAAGGACTCTTAACTCGTCTCAAAGTGTGGCGTTAGGACTCTTAACTCGTCTCAAAGTGTGGCGTTTTTCTAATTCACTCGGGTACAACACCGGGAGCAAAGTGGCAGGGTTCAAGATGTTACAAACTTCAGTGGTTATACGGGGATTTTCACAGAGAAAACTTTGGTACTTGGTGAGTGTGGCATTCGTTAGCCAATGATGTCCTTTAGTATTCATTAAAGTCACCACAGCACGGGAGGCCTTTATGTTCAGGTGTTGCCCAAGAGTCAGCTTATTTGCTTCTTGTACTAGCAGGGCAGTTGCTGCCAAGGCCCTCAAACACGGGGGCCATCCTTTAGGAACCCCATCTAGTTGTTTAGAGAGGTAGGCCACCGGCCTCGGCCAGGGCCCCACAGTTTGGGTTAAAACTCCACGTGCCACCTTTTCTCTCTCTGACACATACAATGTAAAAGGTTTTGTCAGATCGGGCAGCCCCAGGGCTGGGGCTGACGTACGTTTTTTCTTTAAGTCAGGCTTGCTGTTGTTGGGATCCCCATTCAAAAGGTTCCCGGTCCCCGCCCCCTTTGTGACCTCATACAAATGCTTGGCTAATACTGCAAAGTTTGGGATCCACAGTCTACAAAACCCCACAGGTCCTAAGAATTCTCTCACCTGCCTTCTGCTCTTAAGCTCCGCTAGATGGCAAATAACCTGCTTTCTTTCTGATCCCAGGCTGCGCTCCCCCTGTCGGACAGTAAATCCCAGTAACATATCTGCTGTCAGCAGATCTGAGCTTTTTTCTTGGACACCTTATACCCACGGTCCTCCAGGTGCCGGAGTAGGGCAGCCGTTCCCTTGGCGCACCCAACTGCCATGGGGTGTCCCAGCAAAAGGTCATCAACATACTGGAGCAATACGCAGCCTAGGTCTCTGGTGGGAAACTTCTGGAGGTCTCGAGCCAACGCCTCCCCGAAGATGGTGGGGGAGTTCTTAAACCCTTGGGGAAGCCGGGTCCAAGTGTACTGAGTAGTGACACCTCACTGCGGATCTTCCCACTGAAAGGCAAACAGCTTCTGGCTCTCAAGGGCTAATCTGATACTAAAGAAAGCGTCTTTTAGGTCCAAGCAGGTGAACCAGCTGTCCTCAGCTGGCAGCAACCCCAACAATGTGGACGGGTTAGGTACTGTTGGATGGAAAGTCACTGTAGCTTGATTAACCAAGCACAAATCCCGTACCGGCCTGTAGTCCTTGGTCCCTGGCTTGGGAACAGGCAGGAGGGGAGTGTTCCATGGAGACTGACAAGGAACTATAATTCCAAAAGTTCTTAGGTGTTTGAGGCGAACCTGGATACCTTTAAGAGCTTCTCTGGGGACTGGGGACTGTTTTTGCCTAACCGGCTGGGCCCCAGGCTTAACTTCCATATTCAGGGGCTTGGTTGACTGCCAATCCTGGAGGGTTGTCTTCCGCCCACACTCTTGGCCACCGCTTAGCCAAAGCTGGTCTTATCTCTTGGCCCGGCTCAGTTAAGAAAAGTCTCTATTCCTCCTCTCAGGGGACCATAAGGGTCATAACGACTCCCGTTCCGGGTAACTTTAGCAGCAAAGAGCCATGCTCTGTAAAAGAGACAGTGGCTCTCAGCTTGCTAAGCAAGTCCCTTCCCAACAAGGGCAAGGGACAGTCAGGCATGTACAGAAACTGACGAATCACTGTATGTCCTCCTACAGCACAAGTCCGAGGCAAGCAGAAAGCTTGCTTTGCTGAAACCCCCATGGCTCCGATGATGTCAATAGTCTTTTTGGATAAGGGGGCAACTGGGGCGGTTACTACCGAATGTTCAGCAACGGTATCTACAAGAATATCAATGTCTTTACCCCCGACTGTCATGCTGACCATAGGCTCTTTCGGGGCACTTGAGCCCGGTCCCCCTGAGTCCAATAACCCTTCTGCCAGGTTGAGCAGGGCCCCTTCCTCCTCGTCTGGGGCCTCCTGCTCTGAGTCACCTTGTTTTCTTTTTAGCTGAGGGCATTTGTTCTTCCAATATCCTATTTCTTTACAATAAGCACACTGGTTACTCTGCAAGCTCTGACAACCAAGTTGAGTTTTTTCCCAGGGCCCCCTTCCCTGGCCTCTTTGGGGGGACCCCTCTGATTGCTGCAGCTAACAGGTCGGCCTTTCGCCAGGCCTGACGTTCATTCTCTTTGCGGTTTTCCTTACGGCTTACTGCATCCCTGTTTACAAACACCTGGTTAGCTATTTCTAGTAACTGATGTGTTCATCCCTGCAAACCCAGTCTGTTTCTGCAGTTTTCTTCTAATGTCTTCTGCGCTTTAACTAAAGCCATTTGAATCATGCGCTGATTTTCACGGCTATCGGGATCAAAGGGAGTATACATGCGATAGGCCTCACACAGTCTCTCAGAGAATTGTGCTGGACTTTCTTCTTTTCCCTGAATGACCTCAGAGACCTTGTTAACGTTTGTGGTCTTCTGAGCTCCCCTCTTTAACCCTTCCAAGACAGCTTCCCTGTCTCCCTTTAGCCTTTGCATATCCTCTCTTTCATTTGGGCCCCACTGGGGGTCGGTTCCTGGTAACTGGGTCCTTACATACTCTTGGGGGTTTTGATAATCAGCTGGTGCATGTTCCTCTAGCCACTTAGTTGCTGCTTGGAGCACTCTCCACCTTACATCTGCATTAAAGAGGAACATGAGCAGCTGGTGGCAATCAGCCCAAGTGGGGTTATGGGTCTGCATAATAGTTGGGAGCAAATCAATTTGAGCTTGTGGCTTTTCGGTATAGGACGGGGTATTGTTTTTCCAGTTGAGAAGGTCGGCAGAGGTGAAGGGCTGGTACACAAAAACACGCCTCTCCACCATGTGACCATCCTCATCTCTCCCAGTATACTGCTGCTCTCTCAGGTGCATTTGTATCCCAGTTTTGGGTCTTAAACGAGCTGCCAAGGGAGGGGTTTCTCCCGAGGCTTCACCTCCTCTCTTGTCTATTCTGGGTGGCCTAGGGATATGCTTGTCTTGCAGAGGTGCAAGCACTGTGGGCTCAAGACTGGGGAGCCTCTCTCCCTGGTAAGGGGAGGGCACCACTGGGATCACTGGTGCCATCTCCTGCAATGGATCTTCTGATGTTGGGTCAAACAGAACTTCAGGAGTTGATTTCCCTGGGCGGGTGGAGCGGGATCCTTCCTTGGCTATCTGTCCCTTTGCTACTAGCATTGCTGCTGCCTGCCCTCTTAGCCACTGTGGGGGGTCTAGCACCAGCTGTAACCAAGTGTCTATGTATGGGAACTGGTCTAGGTATCCTTTACCGGTTACCTTGTGCCACACCTTAGAAACAAGGGAACTGTCCAGGCTTCCTTCTGATGGCCAACCCACTTCTAATGTTGGCCAATCTATTTCACACAAAGTTCTAAGTTTCCCTGGTGTCATAGTAACCCCATAGTCTCCATTAAATCCTTCCTTGAAATTTTTCAACATAGTTCCTAGCGGAGTGGGCTTACTTTGTGTCTGACCCGTTTCCTCGAGACAAAACACCACGCTCACACCACACGCACACCACAGAACAAAGAACAGGTAAAAAAGGCACACACACACTTTCTCAGTTTACACCAGACCAGAATCAAAACCAAAACTGGAGTATCCAGAAATCCAAGCCAGGTCAAAACCAAAACCAAAGTATCAAGCAATCCAAGTCAAGTCAAAAACAAGAACCAAAGTGCCGGTACAGGCACACCATGGGTGATCAAGCCACACTTCCACTCAAATGGAGTGGGCAAGTTCCAAAGACCAGTCTTACCAAGTTTCAGATGTCCAGACCAGATGTTCAGTGCCAGTTCCTTCCCGGTGTTCAGCCATTGCGTTGAACCTCCACCGGGGCCTGCCACGCGCTGCTCTGACGAGGCGTTCCACCGGGGCAATTTCCTACGTGGGAGCGCTCTCAGGATCCGCGTTGCTGGAGCTGGTCGGAGTCCCCCGCAGGGATGCTCCACAGGGCAGGCCTAAGCGGCCTAAAGGGCTGCCTCAACGGTCCGTTAATCACCTCGTTTCCCAGTCAGGGAACCAAGAAATGTAACAGGACCAGCGGCAGACAAAACTCCTCAGACACCGGATTAAAGAAGGAAGAGGTTTTTTCATTCGGCCGGGAGCATTGGCCGACTGGTGTCTTAAGAGCCCAGCTCCCCGAAGACAGAGTTCCTGGCCCTTTTAAGGGCTAAGTGGTTCCACGTGAAAGGGTCGTGATGGATTGAGAGCACCTGTGGTTAGAGTGGGGGGGGCGGGGCTTAATCTTTTAACCTCAGGCCGGGTCATCAGTGGCACAAGCTGGTCTTGCCACTGACTTCATTCCTGTTGTTTTTCAACTTTTACTTCCTCCTCTTTTTCAGAGACAGGAGACAGTAAGAGAAATGGCTTCTCGCCTCACCACCTCACACCCATTAGGATGGCTACTGCTAAAAAAAAAAAGTGTTGGTGAAGCTGTAAAGAAATTGAAACATTTGCAGGGCCGTACACGGTGGCTGACACCGGTAATTCTAGAACTTTGGGAGGTCAAGACGGGAAATCACTTGAGCCCAAGAGTTTGAGACCAGCCTGGGCAACATAGCAAGACTCTATCTCTACAAAAAAAATACGAAAATTAGCCAGGCATGGTGGTGTGTGCCTGTGGTCCCAGCTACTCGGGAGACTGAGGTGGGAGGATCGCTTGAGCCTTGGAGGTGGAGGTGGCCCCACTGCACTCCAGCCTGGGGGACAGAGCCAGACCCTGTCTCAAAACAAACAAACAAAAACTCATTTGCGTACTGTTGATGAGAATATAAAATGGTACAGCTGCTTGGGGAAATACTATGACATTTCCTCACAAAAGCAAAAAAAGAATAACCAAATGGTCCAGGAATTCTTCTGGGCATATACGCAAAAGAATTGAAAGCAGGGTCTCTAAGAAATATTTTCATACCCGTGTTCCTAACAGCATTATTCACAATCACTGAAACAGAAGCAACCCAAGTGTCCACCCACAGGTGAACGGACAAGCAAAATGTGGTATATACGAACCACGGAATATTATTCAGCCTTAAAAAGGAACACAATTCTAGCTGGGTGCAGTGGCTCATGCCTGTAATCCCAGCACTTTGGGAGGCCAAGATGGGTGGATCACGAGGTCAGGAGATCAAGACCATCCTGGCTAACACGGTGAAACCCCATCTCTACTAAAAATACAACAAATTCGCCGGGCGTGGTGGCGGGCGCCTGTAGTCCCAGCTACTCCGGAGGCTGAGGCAGGAGAATGGGGTGAACCCAGGAGGTGGAGCTTGCAGTGAGCCGAGATCACGCCACTGCACTCTAGCCTGGGCGACAGAGCAAGACTCCGTCAAAAAAAAAAAAAAAAAAGGAACGCAATTCTGACACATGCTACAGGGCGGACGGATCTTAAGGACACTGTGCTAAGCGACACAAACCAGTCACATAAAGGCAGATGCTTTAGGATTCTACTTACGTGAGGGGCCTAGAGCAGTCCAATTCATGGTGACAGAGTGGAAAGGTGGTTGCAGGAGCTGGAAGGGGATCGTGGGAGGTTGTTGAATGAGTGTACAGCTTCAGCTTTACAAGGTGGAAAGAGTTCTGAAGATGCTTGGTGGCAATGGCCGCACAGTATTATAAATTTACTTAATGCAACTAAGCTTTACACTTAAAAAGGGTTAAGATGGTAAATTTTATGTTATGTCTGTTTTACCACAATTTTTTGTTTGTTTGTTTGAGAAGGAGTCTTGCTTTGTCATCCAGACCGGAGTGCAGTGGCGCGATCTCAGCTCACTGCAACCTCCACCTCCTGGGTTCAAGCATTTATCCTGCCTCAGCCTCCTGGGTTGCTGGGATTACAGGCGTGGGTCACCACGCCGGGCTAATTTTTGTATTTTTAGTAGAGATGGGGTTTCGCCATGTTGGCCAGGCTGGTCTCGAACTCCTGACCTCAAATGATTAGCCCACCTCGGCCTCTCAAAGTGCTGGGATTACAGGCACGAGCCACCATGCCCAGCCTATTTTACCACAGCTTTCAAAATGGGAAGAAGATAAGAGATTCTATTCATCAAAAGATTCCAGGAAGAAAAGGAAAAGGCAAGTTAGAAAGTGGAATAAAATATTTGTAATATATGTAACCAAAAATAGCCATTTTCAGTCATTTCCATTTTATTATTTAAAGAAATTTTATGAAGCAGCAAGAAAAATGATCATTAACACAATAGGAAAAATAGACAAGAGGCCTGACCCAGCACTTCACCAAAGAGTGTATTTAGCCATTCCAGACGGGGGAGGCGGGGAAACAGGTGAATAGGAAGGGCTGTCTGGGGTGGGGGGAGGGGAGGGGAAACAGGTAAAGAGGAAGGGCTGGCTGGGGTGGGGGGAGGGGGAGAAACAGGTGAAGAGGAAGGGCTGTCTGGGGTGCAGGGAGGGGAAACAGGTGAAGAGGAAGGGCTGTCTGGGGTGCAGGGAGGGGAAACAGGTGAAGAGGAAGGGCTGGCAGGGGTCTGGGGAGGAGAGGGGAAACAGGTGAAGAGGAAGGGCTGGCAGGGGTGGGGGGAGAGGGGGAAAACAGGTGAAGAGGAAGGGCTGGCAGGGGTGGGGGGAGGGGGAGGGGAAACAGGTGAAGAGGAAGGGCTGGCAGGGGTGGGGGGAGTAGGGGGGAAACAGGTGAAGAGGAAGGGCTGGCTGGGGTGGGGGGAGATGGGGGAAACAGGTGAAGAGGAAGGGCTGGCCGGGATCAGGGGAGAGGGGGGAAACAGGTGAAGAGGAAGGGCTGGCAGGGGTGGGGGGAGGGGGAGGGGAAACAGGTGAAGAGGAAGGGCTGGCTGGGGTGGGGGGAGAGGGGGAAAACAGGTGAAGAGGAAGGGCTGGCAGGGGTGGGGGGAGGGGGAGGGGAAACAGGTGAAGAGGAAGGGCTGGCAGGGGTGGGGGGAGTAGGGGGGAAACAGGTGAAGAGGAAGGGCTGGCTGGGGTGGGGGGAGATGGGGGAAACAGGTGAAGAGGAAGGGCTGGCCGGGATCAGGGGAGAGGGGGGAAACAGGTGAAGAGGAAGGGCTGGCAGGGGTGGGGGGAGGGGGAGGGGAAACAGGTGAAGAGGAAGGGCTGGCTGGGGTGGGGGGAGACGGGGGAAACAGGTGAAGAGGAAGGGCTGGCCGTGGCAGGGGGACAGGGGGTGGGCTGTGCAGTCGGAGGGGACAGAACACACCAGAGAGCAGGCATCCTCCACCTGTCGGGGAACTGTGCCGTCCGGGCCATCCTCCACCTGTCGGGGAACTGTGCCGCCCGGGCCTGTCCTGCCTGGCCGCAGGTACCCTGCATAAGGCTGCTCTGCACACCCCAGATGATTTTATAGCCAATGGAAAGAGTGGGGAAAGTATGGAACGACTTCAAATACAGGTGTCAGAATCGCTTCAGTCACAAGGGAGGAAGCCATAGGGAAAATATAGACATGAAAGCCAAGGGCGGTTTGTCTGTCAAAGAGAAAAGCATCCACACAGGGAGACTCAGCTCAGCCACAAAGCAGTCCCTTAAGAGAAAAAACATTTTCCCTTACAACTGGGATTAAGCCCTTCCAAGAGTTCTTCAAGGAGACACCAAAATGGTGCCACCAAAATCTCTCAGATTATTGAAACAAGCACTGAAAGAGGACAATGATTCTTGTGTTACCCCAGGAACAAGACTTCATGAAGAGATTCCTACTCTCCACATGGTCCACAGGTGGGAGGAACAAACATTCCTGTTCCACAAAGACCCAGAATTCACTGGATACTGATAAAATGTTTACTAGAGGCCGGCGCAGTGGCTCATGCCCATAATCCCGGCGCGGTGGCTCACACCTGTAATCCCGACGTGGTGGCTCACACATGTAATCCCAGCACTTCGCAAGGCCAGGTGGGGGGATCACTTGAGCTCAGGAGTTCATGACCAGCCTGAGCAACATAGTGAGATGCCGTCTGCAAAAATACAAAAATTAGGCCAGGTGTGGTGGCTCACACCTGTAAACCCAGCACTTTGGGAGGCTGAGGCGGGTGGATTACCTGAGGTCGGGAGGTCAAAACCAGCCTGACCAACATGGAGAAGCCCTGTCTCTACTAAAAATACAAAATTAGCTGGGTGTGGTGGCACATGCCTATAATCCCAGCTACTCAGGAGGCTGAGGCAGAAGAATCGCTTGAACCCAGGAGGCGGAGGTTGCAGTGAGCCGAGATCACATCATTGCACTCCAGCCTGGGCAACAAGAGTGAAACTCTGTCTCAAAAAAAGGAAAAAAAAATTAGCCGGGCATGGTGGGTGCATACCTGTAGTCCTAGCTACTTGGGAGGTTGAGGCAGGAGGATAGCTTGAGCCCAGAAGCAGAGGTTGCAGTGAGCTCAGGTTTAGCCCCAAAATGGCATCTGACTAAACAGCATACAGCTCCTGTGAGCCCACATTCAACATTTCTGACACATTTGATCCATCTTTGGTTTCTACAGAAGACAAAGAAGATAGGCTTAGAGGGAGAAGATGGCTTGGTATTGAAGAAGGGATAGATCCCCCTCCCAATGTACAAATAAATACATTTGAAGCTACTGCACAGGTTAATCCCTTAAAGAAACTGGGGCCAAGGTTAGCTCTTGGAGTTGCTGAAATAAGTGGGGACAGTTCTGCAATTCCACAAGCTGACTGTGACTCAGAAGAGAATCCAAGCGCCCTGTGTTTGCAGTCACGGAGGCAGAAGTAGCATCAGTATCTGGAGACAGCCTTGCCCATGTTAGCAGACGGGGAGCTTGGAAAGTCCACACACAGACTGATTGCACACACTGCCTCATGCCCGCTTTGCTTCAGATTACAGGGAATCGCTGTGACGGGGGAGTGAGGGACTGTTAGGAAGCAGAAGCCCTTCTGGAAAGGAAACTCGAAGGCCCTTTTTTGCTCAGGGACTCTGTGCAAGAGGACACCTCCTCTCTGTGAGCTTCCGCCGCTGCACCCGGTCCCTTTATGCACAGATTGAGCAGTGGGATCACAGCGTGTGTTTTGATGGCCATGGCCCATGTGTATTTCACTCCTCCGCTGTAACAGGTCTTTTATTTTTATTTTTATTTTTTTGTTGTTGTTGTTGTTTCTTTTTGTTATCGTTTTTGTTTTTGAGAGGGAGTCTTCCTCTGTCACCTAGGCTGGAGTGCAGTGGCGCGATCTTGGCTCACTGCAACCTCTGCCTCCTGTAACAGATCTTTTAGAACATGATCAAAATCCCAGTTCCTGCTTGTTTTTGTTTGTGACAGAGTCTCACTCTGTCACTCAGGCTGGAGTGCAATAGCATGATCTCTGCTCAGTGCAACCTCCACCTCCCAGGTTCAAGTGATTCTCCTGCCTCAGCCTGCCAACAGGCGTGTGCCACCATGCCCAGTTAATTTTTTTTTTTTTTTTTTTTTTTTTTTTTAGTAGAGACGGGGTTTCACCATGTTGGCCAGGCTGGTCTCAAGCTCCTGACCTCAGGCGATCCACCTGCCTCAGCCCCTCAAAGTGCTGGGATGACAGGCGTGAGCAACTGCGTCTGGCCTCATTCATGTTTTTTGAACCACTGCTTACTGTATCTCTAAACAGGACCTTTCCTTTCAGCCTGCGGCATCTGTCTGCAGGAGTCTGCAGGTGCACTGCGTATGATGCAATCAGTGGGCTCCCTTTATCATCAACGTGGCAGAATTTTTTAAAGGACTATCATTATAGGCCAGGCACGGTGGTTCACGCCTGTAATCCCAGCACTTTGGGAGGCCAAGGGGGGGTGGATCACGAGGTCAGGAGTTCGAGACAAGCCTGACCAACATGGTAAACCCCGTCTCTACTAAAAATACAAAAAATTAACTGGGTGTGGTGGTGCGGGCCTGTAACCCCAGTTACTCAGGAGGCCGAGGCAGGAGAATTGCTTGAACCTGGGAGAAGGAGGTTGCAGTGGGCCGAGATGGCGCCACTGCACTCCAGCCCGGGTCACAGAGCGAGACTCCGTCTTGAGAAAAAAAAAAGGGGTATCATTATAAACAAAAAGTTAGGTTTTGCTAACTAGAAAGAGAACCAGTCAGGGCAAAGCAAACTGTCCTGTCCCCAAAGGGTGTTAACTCAGTTCACTTTTGTGTGCATCAGACAGTGCCCCAGAACAAGCACACACATCACTGCTGGGTTTTTTCATGCCATCTTTGACCTTAGTGCTGGTATCTGTTAGGTGCGACCTGCTGTTATTTATCCAGATGAACGTGGTGCCTGGTGGAGCAACAGGAGACACCGCTCCAGGTGTTCAGTAAGCCTACCAAAACATGTGGCCGATGTAGCTAACAGATGGGTTTGTAATGGCTGTAGTCATTGAGTGAGGCAGGTCAGGGGCATCTGCTCTGACGAATTCAATTTCTTACTGAAGAACAAATAATTAATATTGGATGAGTATTGCAACTGTCTGACTAATGCCTAAAATTATTTTTTCTAAGAGTTTTTCTATCATCTTCCAAAAGTACTGACGTTTGAAGTTACTATAAGTCAAGCTTTATAAGTCAAAAAAAAAAAAATGAAAGACTGCCTTCCTTTTAGGAAAAGAAATGCAGTTTTCTGGCCACGAGGGCATAGTGCAGTTCACTTAAGTGTTGATGTATTTTATAGTCAGATTCTTTCTCTTCTCCAAAAGCTACTGTTAGGTAAACCAGCTTTTCTAAATAGTCATTCTTAAAATTTCATACTTATAAAGTTAGTAGTAGAATTTCGTCTAAAGGTCCTAGGTATTAATATTTTTAATGAGTGTTTTAACTTAAAACAGGTATGTGGAATCGCTTCTGCAATATAGTCTTTTTTTCTTTTTTTCTTTTTTTTTTTTTTTTTTTGAGATGGAATCTCATTCTGTCACCCAGGCTGGAGTGCAGGAGCATGATCTCAGCTCACCGCAGCCTTCACTTTCTGGGTTCAAGCAATCCTCATGCCTCAGCCTCCCAAGTAGCTGGGATTACAGGTGCCTGCCGCCACACTGGGCTAATTTTTGTACTTTTAGTAGAAACGGGGTTTCACCATGTTGGCCAGGGGGGTCTCGAACTCCTGACCTCAAGTGCCTCGGCCTCCCAAAGTGCTGGGATTACAAGGGTGAGCCACCGTGTCCGGCCTCTGCAATATACTCTGGCATGTAATTTTTTAAAGTTGATGTGCAGTCTAATCATTGTTTCATGAAAGTTGGATCTTTCCCTATGCCCATGACGATTTCACGAACCATGAAGAACACGAGACTAGAAGATGCCCCATCAAGACAGACAATAATAACTGCAATGGTTGCTGATGTTGAGTTTATTGTTAAACTGTAATTAATAATTTGGATAGCAGTAGTTACCTCTTTGTTGTAAATTCTTATAGCTGAGGCCGGGCACAGTGGCTCATGCCTGTAATCCCAGCACTTTGGGAGGCCAAGGTGGGCGGATCATGAGGTCAGGGGATCAAGACCATCCTGGCTAACACAGTGAAACCCTGTCTCTACTAAAAATACAAAAAAATTAGCCAGGCGTGGTGGTGGGCGCCTGTAGTCCCAGCTACTCGGGAGGCTGAGGCAGGAGAATGGTGTGAACCTGGGAGGCGGAGCTCGCAGTGAGCTGAGAACGCACCACTGCACTCCAGCCTGGGCGACAAAGTGAGACTCCGTCTCAAAAAAAAAAAAAAAAAAAAATTCTCATAGCTGAACTGCTTAAGTATAATGTATCGAATTTCAGGGCAGTTCATTCTCAATGGAAAATCTGAAACCTAAATTGCAAATTTAAAAGGTGCTGTACAACCATTGTATCTGTAAACGACTTTACTTAGCAACTTTTTGTCACCTGGAATACTATGTAATACTATTTGAGTGGGCTCTTTTGGAAGTTACATCAGGTTCTAGTGTCTGCTTCTTAGAATCTGAACTGAATGTGTACAGTTCTGTCCTAGACATTTTGCACTAAAGCAGCCTAATCCGTCCTTGCATCTTTTTGTTAATGTGCTCTGTGCCACTGCGGACTGCTTCCTGGTTTCCTTCCATGCTGCTGCAGAATGTCATTTTACACTCCCATGGCTATCGCCAAGGCTACAGGGAATATATACATTCGAGACAGAGTCTCGCTCTGTTGCCCAGGCTGGAATGCAGTGGTGCAATCTCGGCTCACTGCAACCTTTGCCTCCTGGGTTCAAGCAATTCTCCTGCCTCAGCCTCCTGAGTAGCTGGGATTATAGGTGCATGCCACCACGCCCAGCTAATTTTTGTATTTTTAGTAGAGACAGGGTTTCACCATGTTGGCCAGGCTGGTCTCGAACTCCTGATCTTGTGATCCGCCTGCCTCGGCCTCCCAAAGTGCTGGGATTACAGGCATGAGCCACCGGGCCCAGCCAGAAAAGCTGTATTTGTATGCAACACTAACCCTTGGACTGTGAATGTATGTTTCTTCTTGCTGTGCCTTGTTACAGCTGCTTTTTTGTGCTAATAAAGTATGTTTGGTGTTCTCCTTGTTTTTTGTTGTTGTTGTTGTTTTTGTTGTTGTTTGTTTGTTTTTTTAAGAGTATATTTAAATGAGAAACAACCACATTAAAAAATGCTTCTTTGGTAATCACAGAAGTGAAAATTAAAGCTATAATGAAATAACACCTCACATCCATCAGACCAGCTGAAAACAAAAAGACTAACAATGATAAACCTTGGCAAAAATACAGGACAGCTTGGACACCCATGCCCTGCCGGTAGGAGCGTGAACAGCACAATCTCTTTGGAAAACTCGCAGTGCCTTCTAACGACAGTGAAGAAACGCCCACCCTATGACCCCCTAATTCTACTCCTATATATACTCCTATATATAATATACACTCCTATGTATATACCCAAAAGACATGTGTGCACATGTTTACTGGGAGACAGGCATGAGAATGTTCACAGCTGCCTTATTCATAATTGTCAATCAAGAACGGATAACTTGTGATGTTCATAAAATGGGATTTGACAAAATTCAACAACCAGTCCTTAAAACCAGAACAAAACAAAAACGTGGATAAAAAGAATAGTTGGATACTTCATATCTATCTCTGTCCAAACCCCAGCATCATGCTTAATGGAAAACACTAGAGAATTTTCCACTAAAGGCAGGGACAACTGTAATCCTAGTGCTTTGGGAGGCCAAGGTGGACGGATCACTTAAGGTCAGGAGTTTGAGACCAGCCTGGCCAATACTGTGAAACCCTGTCTCTACTAACAATACAAAAATTAGCTGGAAATCACTTGAACCCGGGAGGCAGAGGTTGCAGTGAATGGAGATCATGCCACTGCACTCCAGACTGGGCAACAGAGCAAGACTTTGTCTCAAATAAATAAATAAATAGTCAGAGACAAAATGGGTTGCCGAGAGTCATAGGTTGGTTTTTCCAAAATTAGACCTAAGACTAGGACTGGAATGGGAGAAATGTATTTGAGGATGATTCCAGGAAGCACAAGTGTGAGAATGGAGAAGGTGAGACAAGGGAATGGAAAAAACAAGACAAGTGATATTTTTTTTTTTGAGACAGAGTCTCACTCTGTCTCCCAGGCTGGAGTGCAGTGGTGCAATTTTGGCTCACTGCAAGCTCTGCCTCCCGGGTTCATGCCATTCTCCTGCCTCAGGCTCCCGAGTAGCTGGGACTACAGGTGCACACCACCACGCCCGGCTAATTTTTTTGTATTTTTAGTAAAGACGGGGTTTCACCATGTTAGCCAGGATGGTCTCGATCTCCTGACCTTGTGATCCACCAGCCTCAGCCTCCCAAAGTGCTGGGATTACAAGCATGAGCCACCATGCCCAGCCGACACGTGATTTATAAGTAGGACAGGGCTGCAGCCCACTGTTCTCTGAGCTCTGCCCTCAGAGGAGTCCTTCATTTCCATAAGGAAAGGCCCCTGTGGGCAGCTGATTTGCTTTCTCACTCTAGTTCTTCCACAGTGAAAGTGAGGCACCCAGAAGCCCTTGTGCAACTTGAACTATCTCCGTTTGCACTGTGGGGCTTTCACCAATAGAATTCCCTTTAAAACTCTGTGAATTACTTATGAATGCGAGGCAAGTCCTCTTCATCCAACAGCGTCATGCCCACAGATCTTTTTTAGACAGTCCTTTCTTCGACTTGGGTGGGATGTGACGGTGCTATGGGACAACACCCTTAAGATTCTTAGAAGTTTGTTTGTTTCCCTGGGAGGCTGTACTGGCCACTGCCTGAAGTCTTTCTGAGGTTTTAACAAAGGACTTAAGCTACACGTTTGATTTGATCTTTACCCGGTGACCACTTCTTTGAAACAGTTTTATTCCAGTCCAGCAATCTGGGCTCCTCTCTACTTCCTCTAGATTTCTCTTGCAAACTGGATGGTTGTCATTTCAACTCACCTCTCTCTCTCTCTCTCTGGATCTCACACAGTGAAATGAAACTACCTGTCAATTTCAACATTCTACTGAGAAATCTTCTTGGTGGGATCCCACAAGTTTGTCAGGTGCATTTTCTATCTTGTAAGTTACAGCAGATAACATTTGGCCAGATGTTGGGCTACCATGTAACACCATTTTTCCACTAGCTATAGCATTTTTTACACCTTTCCAGACTCCACTAACAGTTTTCCATTTTCTCAGCCCTTGCTAATAGTTTCCTTGCCACTTTTCCATTTTCTGCCCACTGTTTGGTCCCAAACCTATGGCACATGGTTTAGGTTTTTGTACAGCAGCACCCCACTTCTGGATTCCAATTTCTGTTTCAGTCAGCTTTTGCTGCATGACAAACACCCCCAAAACTAGTGGCTTAAAGCAACGGCCATTTCATTTGTCATCATTCTCTCGGTCAACAGCTTGGGCTGTGCTCAGCTGGGCCATTCTTCTGCTGGTCTCAGCTGCTCTCCTGCATCTGTGGTCGGTTGGTGAGTTGGCTAGTGGCTGGGTGATCAAGGTGAGGACCTCCACTAGGACAGCTCACTGCCATCCTGGAGGTTTGTCATTCTCAGCCCATCCCACAACCCTGAGCACAGCCGATTACAGCAGATACCTGACCCAAGGACACAAACCCACAAGTCGGTGTGTCAGCTGTGACTTGGGAGCCCAGCTCAGAAAGGTGACCCTAGCCAGACTCCTTGGAACTGAGCTCAAGCATTAGACACAGAGCTGCTGTTGTGGAGGTCCCTGTAGCCAAGCATCTGGGGTATAGCAAAGGCTGGTAGCTGTGTTCTGCCATGCTGGCTGTGGGCCCTCGAGAGAAGCTGGTCACCTGGAGCAGAGGCCTGGGAGGCTGCCCAGAGAGGCGGCAAGATCCACCTTAGGATAAAAGCTCCTGCCAACCTCTGCTCCCTGTGCTGCACAGCCAGCCCCCGGGTTCCCTCAAACAGCAAACTCCCCGTCATTTGAGTCTGGGTGGACAGCTTCTCCTTCATGCTCCCAGACCAGCGAGCCCCCCGGTCCACTTCCACCCAGGTCTCTCTCCTGCCTGCCCGCCCTCTCCATACCCAACTGGGACACCTCCACTTCTCCCGAATGACCACGGTCCCCAGCCTCCCAACTGTCTTGTAGTTGTTCCCGTCGCCACAAACTTAAAGTCCACGGCGGCCAGCTGGCCTTTCTAGACACAAACAAGAACATGTCGCTTCTTCCCAAAGTACTCCCCAGTCACAGCCCCTCTGAAGCAGCTCCCCTCCCGCTGGAGTTCCCGGCTCTGATGAGGAGTCCACGTCCGTCCTTTCCCACTCTGCATCCTCCCAGCTCCCCGGCCTCTGACCTCTAGTTGGGATCCACTCATGGGGGCCCTGGCAGGAGATCAGAGGGTGGGAAGGAGGAAGCTGGTGGTTCCTCCCCATCCTTGCAGAGCCTGGCGCACATTTCCTCCCCTCGCCCCTCAGAGGAGATGCTCCCAGCTCGCGTTCTTAACCCGGCCCCATCACTTGGTAAATTGTCCCTCGTTAAATCAACTTATAAACACATGCCTGAGAATTTAAAGCTGCTATTGTTATTTTGTATCAAAGGAATAAAAGTGGAATTTTTTAGGAATAAAAATGCGATTTTGAGGAAATCAATTGTAAGGCATAAAAATGTGATGTGGGGAAAACACTTCTTATGCATCTTCGTCCTCCCTTCTCCTCCTCCCCACGTCGCTAACATGACTTCAGGTCTACTTATCTGTCAGCACTGGAACCCCTGGGGTCCTTGGGGCTGGGACAATCAGGACCAAGAAGGCAGGACCAAGAGGCCTGGCTGTGCAGATGGTCAACTGGCTGAAGGATGGAGACAGAGGTGAAAGCAGGGATGGAGGTGAGGGGAGGGATGGAGGTGAGAGGAGGGACGGAGGTCGGGGAGGGATGGAGGGGAGGGGAGAGATGAGGGGAGAGATGGAGTTACAGGGTGGGGGATTGGGCCACCTCCACCAGGAGAAGGTGTTTCAGAAAGGCGAAGCCGCCCTCCCCAGGATCATCCATGAAAATCCCAACAGGGGCACTGAAGCCTGCAGTAGTCCTCAGAATGTTCACAGCTTCCTCCAGGATGTGAGAAATGTCGGTGCACTTACCACTCCACCATGTCTACCAGAGAAGAGAGGACCGCGGTCACCTGCTTGTGCTGCTCCCGCGGCGCCTCTCCTGCGGGCTTCGCCTGTAGTGGTAGTGGGAGAGAAATGGGTGGAGAGAAGGTCGTGGTTTGGGGTTTTCAGAGCAGTTTAAAGAAAACAGTCTGTCATCTGAAGCTGAAAAGCCAGTGCGGTAATATCTGATTGTCACTGGGTATTGTCTGGCCTAGGAATGAAAGTGACTGGGCAGAAAAGGCCTTTTTAGCGCCATCTGTCTCCTGGAGTCCTGGTCGCTCACTGTGCTTTACCAAAAAAAAACAATTAATTAGTTCATAGGCTGGCGAGGAGTCTCCTCTGGTTTGGGGCCAAGAAGCCACCTGCCCCACTGGGCTCTGTCTTTTTCCTGGAACCCTTCCTGCTTCTTTGTTCAGCCTCCCACGGGACAGCGAACTTCAGTGGCAGCGCTGGTCTTGCTGACCCACCCTCCCGACTTGGACAGGGCCTGCCTGGCATGGCAGGTGCTGTGAAGGAAGCCACAGGATGGAAACCCTGATGCTCTGCAGACAGAAACAGCTGCCGGGCTTGGGGACCTGGCTGGATGTCTTCCCCCTGTGCCTCTGTTTCTCCATCTGTATAGTGGGATGGCTGGCAGGGCCCAGGCCCCTCCCACCATCCATTCCAGGGCTGCTGCTCTCTGAAAATACATCCAAGAGCACAGGTACCTGGACGTGGTATTCCTGGATGGTTCTCAGCACGTGTTCCAGCAGGGCAAGAAGGGCCCAATCCAAGAGACTGCAGCAGCCCTGGAAAGCCAGTGTTTACAGTGGATAAGGACCACAAAAGAACAAGAAGGAACATCCCTCCAGGTGGGCTGGTCTACCAGGCTTCATGGGGAAGGGTCTCAGAGGTCCTGTTTGAGGCAACCTGGGCTGGGGGCAGGGGGAGGTACACCAGGGGAGGGAAAGGAAGAAGCCATGGTGAAGGCTTTTCTGATGGGTTTGGTGACTGGGGATGAGGGGTGGGTGGCAGGTAGAGGAGCCAGGGTCCCTGGTAGGCAGGACAGGAGGTGCCCAGTCACAACTTTGGGGACCATGGGGCTGGAGGAAAAGGAGGCAAAGAAGCAGTTGGGGCGGGAAGAAGCAGCTCAGCTAAGGCCCGGAGGGGTGCAGAGGCTCGGGGAGAGCCAGCCCTCTGATGGCAGGCCCTACTGCAACAGGAGCCGTATGAGTGCCACTGAGACTGGGAAGGGCAGAGAGTGAAGGATGCCACTGATAGAAGGTCTACTGTCTATGAGGTCCCCATAACCTCGGTGGTGGAGACATGGCCTCCACTGTGCCTGTAGGGAAACTGAGGCAATTTCCCAGGGTTCCTCAGCCACTGTAAGACATGGCCAGGACTTTTTTTTCTTTTTCTTTTTCTTTTTTCTTTCTTTTTTGAGGCAGAGTCTTGCTCTGTCTCCCAGGCTGGAGTACAATGGCGTGATCTCGGCTCACTGAAACCTTCGCCTCTCGGGTTCAAGCGATTCTCCTGCCTCAGCCTCCCGAGTAGCTGGGACTACAGGGAGCTGCCCGCCACCATGCCTGACTAATTTTTTGTATTTTTAGTAGAGACCAGGTTTCACTGTGTTAGCCAGGATGGTCTCGAACTCCTGACCTCGTGATCCGCCCACCTCGGCCTCCCAAAGTGCTGGGATTACAGGCGTGCGCCATCGCGCCCGGCCCAGGACTTTTTTTTAATGTCACTTTTATTTGAAGTTCAGGGGTACACGTGCAGGTTTATTGCATAGGTAAACTTGTGTCATGGGGGACTGTTGTAGATTATTTCATCATCCAGGTATTAAGCCTAGTACCCCCTCATTATTTTTCTTGATCCTCTCCTTCCTCCCACCCTCTACCCTTTGATGGGCCCCAGTGTGTGTGTCTTCCTCTCTATGCGTCCATGTGTTCTCATCATTCAGGTTCCCCTTATAAGTGAGAACATGCAGTATTTGGTTTTCTGTTCCTGCATTAGTTTGCTAAGGATAATGTCTTCCAGCTCCACCCATGTTCCTGCAAAGGACACGGTCTCATTATTTTTTATGGCTGCATAGTATTCCATGGTGTATATGTACCACATTTTCTTTATCCAGTCTGTCACTGATGGGCATTTAGGTTGATTCCATGTCTTTGCTATTGTGAATAGTGCTGCAATGAACATACACACATGCATGTGTCTTTATGGTACAACAATTTCTATTCCTTCGGGTAGATAACGAGTAACGGGATTGCTGGGTTCAATAGTATTTCCGTCTTTAGGTCTTTGAGGAATCACCACACTGTCTTCCACAATGGTTAAACTAATTTACACTCCCACAGATAGTGTATAAGTGTTCCTTTTTCTCCACAACCTTGCTAGCATCTGTTATTTTCTGACTTTTTTTTTTTTTTTTTTTGAGACAGAATCTTGCTCTGTCGCCCAGACTAGAGTGCAGTGGCCGATCTCAGCTCACTGCAACCTCCGCCTCCCGGGTTCGAGCGATTCTCCTGCCTCAGCCTCTTGAGTAGCTGGGATTACACATGCACACCACCACACCCAGCTAATTTTTGTATTTTTAGCAGAGACACGGTTTTGCCACATTGGCCTGGCTAGTCTCAAACTCCTGACCTCCAGTGATCTGCCCGCCTCAGTGCTGGGATTACAGGAGTGAGCCACTGCGCCCAGCCCATTTTCTGATTTTTTAATAAGAGCCATTCTGACTGGTGTGAAATGATATCTCATCATGGTTTTGACTGACATTTTTCCTTCCTTCCTTCCTTCCTTCCTTCCCTCCCTCCCTCCTTCCCTCCCTCCCTTCTTTCTCTTTCTTTCTTTCTCTCTCTTTCTTTTTCTTAGACAGACTTTTTCTCCTGTTGCCCAGGCTGGAGTGCAATGGCATGATCTCAGCTCACCACAACCTCTGCCTCCCAGGTTCAAGCGATTCTCCTGCCTCAGCCTCCTGAGTAGCTGGGATTACAGGCATGCACCACCACGCTGGGCTACTTTTGTATTTTTAGTGGAGACGGGGTTTCTCCATGTTGGTCAGGCTGGTCTCGAACTCCCGACCTCAGGTGATCCTCCCACCTCGGCCTCCCAAAGTGCTGGGATTATAGGCATAAGCCACTGCGCCCAGCTGACTGGCATTTCTTTAATGATCAATGATATTGAACTCTTTTTCATATGCTTGTTGACTGCATGTATGTCTTAAGACATGTATGTATGTATGTATGTCAGCCAACAAACATAAAAACAAGCAATGTCTCCCATTGTTTGTTTTTGTCAGCTCTGTCGAAGATCAGGTAGTTGTAGGTATGCAGCATGGCTGGGATTTGAACTCAGACCTGGCTGGCTGGGAAGCCCAGGCCAGTCCCAGGAACATCCTTGCCCTGCATCCCTACAACCGGGCTCTGTCCTGGGTGTCTTTCCCTCTCTCCTTAGAGGCCAAAATGCAGGACCTCCCAGCTCCAAGGGAGCCCCTGGGAAGGAGGGACCCCAACATCTTTCTCCAGGTGCCCATTCAAGGCTCCACGCCCAAAGGAGACCCCTAGGCCTGCCCCAGCCCCGACGGCAGAAGGCTTGGTGCTACCCCTGGGGCAGGGGGCCTTGAAGACTTCCCTGGCGATCAGCTTAGGACACTGCCTGCCACCTCCAGGTGTGGTCCAGGTGCAGGGAGACAGGTGGGGTGACGTCCCCAGTGCCCCCCTGGATGTGGCAATAAACAACCCACCTCCTTCTCCACTAGTGGGACCACCACCTACCCTGAGCCAGATCCAGACCCCAGGGGCCCCCTTTACCCTTCTTTTCCCACCCCGCATCCAACCACTCAACAAGTCTGGTCAACTCTCCACGGAAATAAATCCCAACTCTGACCCCACGCTGTCAACCTGCTTCCACTCTGCCCTGTGGTCTGCGATCCCCACAAGAACCTGAGAAATGGTTTTTGCTTTCTCAGAGTCAGGTTATGAAGGTCTAATTACACACGGAGTAAAACTGACCAGTTCAGAAGTAAAGCTCCACGTGCTTTGCATTGTGCGCTGTGTGTGGCCACCCCACAGTCGTGATTAGAGCATTTTCATCACCTCAAAACTTCTGACCTGCTGCTTTTTAATCAAACTCCTCCTTACCCTCCCAGCCCCAGTTCCGAACACCCACTGATCTGCTTTCTGTTCTTAGAGTTTTGCAAGTTATAGGATTTTGTATAAATAGAACCACACAGTTTATTCTCTGCTCCTTTCAGCTAGGGTCATGTTTCTGAGATTCTCCCATGCTGTGTGTGTCTGTACTTAATTCCTCTTCTGAGTTGAGGCTGTTTCACTGAATGGAAATACGACCGTCTTTTGGACCCATTCTGCAGTTTATAGACATCGGGGTTGTTTTCTGTCTGGGGCTCTAATGAATAAAGCCCCTCTGAGCATCGGCGTGGAAGGTTTTGTGAAGATGTGTTATTTTAAATGCTCTTAGGTGAATATGTAGGAGTAGAATCCCTGGGTCACATGATGAGTGTATGTTTAACTTTATAAGAAACTGCTAAACTGTTCTCGGGATTGCCTGCCCCAGGATTGTCCATTTCCACCAGCGGTGTACGAGCATTGCCACAGCTCCGCAGCTTCCTCGACGCTCAGCATGGCTGACGTTTCCAATTTCAACGACTCTGGTATGTGAGTAGTGGCACTCACTGTGGTTTACAGGATTCTCTCAAAACCTAAATCTAACTGTGACACTCCCGTCTGCAAACTCTCCCACATCAGGGACAATTTGAACAACAAACTAAAGAATGATAGTAAATAAATTATAATCCATAAATAATAGTCCACGAGTCCACACTTACGTACACACATACACACACACATAAGAAGGGTTAGCCGGGTGCAGTGGTTCACGCCTGTAATCCCAGCACTTTGGAAGGCCGAGGCGGTTGGATCACCTGAGGTCGGGAGTTCGAGACCAGCCTGATCAACATGGAGAAACCCCGTCTCTACTAAAAATACAAAATTAGCCAGGCGTGGTGGCGCATGCCTATAATCCCAGTTACTCAGGAGGCTGAGGCAGGAGAATTGCTTGAAACCAGGAGGTGGAGGTTGCAGTGAACCGAGATCACACCATTGCATTCCAGCCTGGGCAACAAGAGCAAAACTCCATCTCAAAAAAAAGGGAGAGAGGAAAGTCTTATTTACATAGAATGCCAACTGATAACTGTAGGAGAAAAGATGGTGTTGGAAAAACCATTTGGCAAGTATCATAGTAATAATGTTTTCAGGCAAGACTCATCATTGGATCTAAAACTAGTGAAAAAATAATGAAAGAATGAAAATAACAGATATAAATGTGATTGAATGTGAACATTTGGGTAATCTGGGTTAAGGAGAGAAGGGAAATATTTGTACTATGTCTGCACCCTTTCTGTGTGCCTGAAATTATTTTGAAATAATGGGTTTGTAAAATCCCCCAGCCCTGCCTCGCCTCACTGGAGCACCTGCCCGCGCTGCAGTGGCCGAGTCCCACCGCACTGACTCCTTGTTCACCTGCAGCTCTGGGAGGGCACGGCTGAGCCCTCCCTTTTTCTGCATTCCCAAGGCTGGCTCCTAGACGGCTCCAAACCGTTTCCAGGGTTCGCTTTTGTTTTCTGTTGGCATCTGCTGTCGTCTGACTCTAACTCTCTGCCAGGTGCTGGGCCAATCCCACACTCAGGAGCCTCGACTCAGGTGAACATCAGGTGAGCACGCAGCGTTCTGTGGCTGTCATTTCCATATGAGCCATGAAGGAAGAGTCCCAGCCAGGTGGAGAGTGGCGGGAAGGAGAAGGCTTCTCCCAGACAGGACCTCACAGATACCCAAGCCCACAGTGAAGCCACATTCCTGCAGCCCCAGTCCCCTTCTCTGCTCCTCAGAGAGACCCAGGTGCCTTCTCTGCAGGCACTCCACACTGTCACACACTGCTGGAGAAGGCCTGTGGAGACCTTGGCCGACCCCACGTGTTCCAGATTGGAGAAACTGAGGGCCAGGGTGCAGAAAGGTCTTGCCCAGGGCCTACAGCAAGTGCAGCTAGAGTGAACAACCGCATCCCCCCGGCTCCAGCCCAGGGACTTCACTTATTTACTTATTTATTTTTCAAATAACAGCTTTATTGAGATATGTTTCACACACCATACAATTCACCCATTTAAAGTGTACAATTCAATAACTTATATATTCACCAAGTTGCACAACTATCACCACAGTCCATTTTAAGACAATTTCATCACCACAAAGAAGAATCTTTTAACCATCACCTCCCCAGGCCCCTCACCTTCCCATTCCCAGCCTCCGGCAGCCAATAATATCCTCTCTGTCTCTACAGAGTTCCCTCTTCTGGACATTTCACAGAGACGATTGGCTTCTTTTGCTTATTTTCATTTGGTTTTTAAAAGAGGGCTAAAACTTAAAGTATAATAATAATAAAATAAAAAACGAACAAAAAAAAAGAGGGCTCCGGCTCTGCCATGGTCCCTCTGGGGTCTCCTGGGTGGAGGTGGAGAAGGTCCCCTCTGAGTTGCACATCCCCTTCCAGGGGCCCCACCCAGAGCACCAGGTCTTAATTTCAGTTTAGGGCAGAGGGGAGCTGGCGCCTCTGGGATGTCTCCTCCAATGACTCATAACTATTGCTCATCAGCTCCACCTTGGAAGTCCCTGCAGGGGACAGGATGGCTTAAAGAAATGGGAGCTTAGTCCAGCCTGGTTCCACAGGACAGAATGGTCATGACTTAGGAACTTTGTAATGACACTGAGGACATCTGCAATTCTGGTGAAAATGGTGCAGGTTTTGCCTGAGGAGTCAGCTGATCAGACACAGGGCACCACGTGCCAATGCACAGCTGCTGCTGGGTCCCAGGGAGCTCAGGGCTCAGGCGGGATCAGCCTGATTGCTTGTGATCTAAAGTAAGGAAATTTCACCCTCTTAGATGTCAGACCTTTTTGACTTTTTCTTCTTTACTTTTACTACTTTTAAAGAAAATCCAAATTATTTCCCAACTTAGTCAACATGTAAATATGTCCCAATTTTGTGAACTGTAAGTCACAATTTTGTGGCTAGTGGCCATGACTCTGAATGTGAAGGGCACTGTGGTTGTGGGCACGGGCTTGGAGTGAGCACACCTGTTCACTTTGACTTTATGTCCTTTTTAAGAGGAGGGGGCTTCCCAGATGGTTTGTGATGACATTTCCAATATTTAAGACTCCTCTTGAGTCCACCAGCCTGCCCCAGACTTTGACTCTGGTGGGCACTCCCAGCTGGCTTCCTTTTGCAGACTTTTCCACTGGCTGCGAGTATGGGATGGGAGGGGCAGGTGCACACACTGGACTCCAGGTATGCAGCCAAATTATCTATCAGGTCTCAGTGTAGAATAGAAACATTTTGGGCATGAGACTGTAGTCAAATATCTCAGCCTTGAGAAGAATTTTAAAGTTTTTCTTCCTTTCCCTCCTAGTCTCAGAATGCAGCCTTGAAACATACTTTAAACCTGTTTCCCTCCCTTTCCCACCAGCCACAGTGCTCACTTATCTCATTCTGTGCCTGCTTAGAAATGCCAGGGGCTCATTTTTAAATAAACCAGGCATAGAACCCAGCTGTGGAATCCTCCTGTCTAGGGGAGTTATGAACAATGAGTCCACCACCACCAGACCAAGGTCAAGATGATGCCAACTAGACCTCCGGATGGGCAATTACTCAAGACACCTGCACCACTGCCCTACTCCCACATGTCTCCCACACCGAGTTCTCCTTCCTAAAGCCCTTCACGCAGTCCAAAAAGCTGAGATGGTTCCTTAGAGCCTTGAGCCTGGCCACTCTCCCACCTGCTAGCATCTGAATAAAAGTTGCTTTCCTTTCACCACACCTCGCTTCTCCTGCGGCAAGCAGCCAAACTTGAGTCAGTTACAAGACATCTCTACCTCCCCTGATCCCACAGCTACAGGAGGACGCGCACCAGAAGGGAAATGTGGCCGGCCACAGTAGCTCACGCCTGTAATCCCAGCACTTTGGGAGGCCGGGGCGGGCAGATCACTTGAGGTCAGGAGTTCGAGACCAGCCTGGCCAACATGGTGAAACCTCATCTCAACTAAAAATACAAAAATTAGCCGGGCGTGGTGGTGCACACCTGTAATCTTAGCTACTCAGGAAGCTAAGGCACAAGAATCTCTTGAACCCAGGAGGTGGAAGATGCAATCAGCCAAGATCGTGCCACTAGTGAGCCTCTGTCTAAAAAAAAAAAGAAAGAAAATGTTAACCAAGAAATGGGAAGGCAGTGGGGGTGGGAAACTGGGGAACCCACTCGGGGGGAACAAGGGGGCCCTGTGGGGGCAGTAGGCCCCTCTCTGACATCTCTTCACTCCCTCTGCACCCCGCAGGCCCCTGCGGCCTGTGGGCCTCACCCCACACGTTTCCAGCTCCAGGCTGGTTTAGCTGGTTTATCTCTCTTTCTCCTTCTCTGTGCTTCCATTTGGATCATTTCTCTCAGTCAATCTCAGCATTGGTCCCTGAGTCTTTCCTCAGCTGTATCCAGGGGCTTTTATGCGAAGTGCACTCCAGCGAATCTGCGATTCCGATGCGGCCTGTCCATCCTTTCCCGAGGGCTCCATTGCCGGGTCAAAGCCTCCATCTTCTCATTCGTTTTATCCACCTTTTCCACTACCCTTGGTGCTTTGCCCAAAGCAAACAGTAAACAGGTCACTGCAGCAACCACCGTCTGGCCGGGGGAAGGTCCCTGGGGTGGAAGCCTCAGCCATGACATCAGACAGCCCAGCCAGCAAGTGACCCAGACCAGCAGGAGCACGGGGTGACGGGCTCTAGAATGAGAGTCGGCCGTGGCGCCAAGGCCACGGTGGTGGTGGTGGGAACTGGCATGTGTGCCACCAGCCCTCCCAGAAATTGTCACTTGAAGAATCAGCGACAGGACGGGATGGACTCCACGCAGGGCAGGAGGGAATGAGAGATGCTGCCGTACCCCAGAGGTCACCTCAGACGGTTTCGTCTCTACCCCTGGCTTCCCGTGTCCCGCGGGAGGACATTCACCTGCTGCCGGAGCTGCCGGACCTGGCAGGGGCTCACGGCCCAGGGGCGGACATCAGCTACTGAGGAATGGGAGTCGATGGGCGATCCCGGCTCCCTCAGCCCTCAGAGGGAAGTTCCGAGGCACGTTCCCCACGGCCCCCAGGAGCCTGAGCCCAGCTGCCCATGGCCGTCACCCTTCCACTGGCTTTCCTCCCCAGATGTCTCACACCCTTCCCTCACTGGGCCTCCTGGGGTCCCTGGTCCCCAGGTCCTCATCTCAGGGCCTAGGGGGGTCCCAGCAGTAAGTGCTAAATAACCCACTGCAGGAAATATGACTGCTTCTCTCTGGGAGAAAGGAGATGGAGGCAGGTCTCCTGCAAACTGTGGGTGCAACGTTGCCTTTAGAAGGTCAAATCCGTGCAAAGCGCCTGCAGTGGGGAAAGCAGTGGATGCACCCACCCCCCGGGGAGGCAGAAGAGGGAGAATGTGAGGGATGAGCTCTTGAAGGTAGGTGGGTGGGCTATGGGGGTTTCCGGCTCCATTCAAACCATACTAGGAAACCATCAGAGACTTTTTTTTTTTTTTTTAGCTTAATGAAATCTTTTTTTTTTTCTTTTTTTTTTTTTTGAGACAGAGTATCACTTTGTCGCCAGGCTAGAGTGCAGTGGCGCGATCTCCATTCACTGCAACCTCTGCCTCCCTGGTTCAAGCGATTCTCCTGCCTAAGCCTCCCAAGTAGCTGGGATTACAGGCACGCGCCACCACGCCCAGCTAATTTTTGTATTTTTAGTACAGACAGGGTTTCACCATGTTGGCCAGGATGGTCTCGATCTCCTGACCTTGTGATCCGCCCGCCTCAGCCTCCCAAAGTGCTGGGATTACAGGTGTGAACCACTGCGCCCGGCCTTTTTTTTTTTTTTTTTAAGACAGTGTCTTGCTCTATTGCCCAGGCTGGAGTGCAGTGGAACAATCACAGCTCACTGCAGCCTTGACCTCCTGGGCTCAAGAGATCCTCCTGTCTCAGTCTCCAGAGTAGCTGAGATTACAGGTGCACAGCACCATGCCCTGCTGATTTTTAAATCTTCTGTAGAGATGAGGTCTCACTATGTTGCTCAGGCTGGTCTCAAACTCCTGGGCTCAAGCGATCCTCCCACTTTGGCCTCCCAAAGCCTGGTATTACAGGCATGAGCAACCGTGCCCAGCCAAGCTTCATGGACTTTGATAGGGCAGACACTTTTTGTCACCACCACGCAAGCCAAGAGCTTTGCCAGCCACTCCAGGCCCCCTCCACAGCACCCTCATGGCCACAGCCCTCTCCCAGCCCCCAAAGTCATCACCGTCCTGACAGGATCTTCTCTCCCTTGTGCTTCTCTACACTTTCATTTAGGTCAAATTATTTAATATCTCTATCTTTAAACATGACAGTTTAGTCTGAGCCACTTTTTTATCTGATGTGTCTTTTAAATCTCTTTCCCCTACAGCTTCCACGCCATCCCTTTCTTTTCCTTACAGTCGATCTGGTGAATACCTGGGGCTGTCCTCTGCCAAGTTCCCCACAGTGAGAGTGGTTGCTGGCTGCCCCTCACAGATCAACACCTCCTCCCTTGTCCAGTGGGTTTCCTGCAAGGAGGCAGCTGGAGCCAGGGGCTGGGGCCAGGGGCCCGATCACACCCAGGCCCTGCATCTCTCTTTTTTTTTTGTTTTTTTGAGACGGAGTCTCGCTCTGTCGCCCAGGCTGGAGTGCAGTGGCGTGGTCTCGGCTCACTGCAACCTCTGCCTCCCGGGTTCATGCCATTCTCCTGCCTCAGCAGCCTCCCTTAGTAGCTGGAACTACAGGCACCCACCACCACCCCTGGCTAATTTTTTTTATTTTTAGTAGAGATGGGGTTTCACCGTGTTAGCCAGGATGGTCTCGATCTCATGACCTCATGATCTGCCCGCCTCGGCCTCCCAAAGTGCTGGGATTACAGGCGTGAGCAACCGCGCCTGGCCATCCCCTGCAGCTCTTTATCAAGGGCACAGAAGCTGGATGCTCCCCCTTTTCGAGGGGTCAGTGGCTGCATTACCTACACTCATTCATTCACCAGGGGTTGCCAAATGGTGATATTCTAATTCTACCATTCTTTTTTTTTTTTTTAATTTTTTTTGAGACACAGTCTTACTCTGTCTCAGCTCACTGCAACCTCCACCTCCCAGGTTCAAGCAATTCTCCTGCCTCAGCCTCCGGAGTAGCTGGGATTACAGGTATGTGCCACCACGCCTGGCTAATTTTTGTACTTTTAGTACAGATGGGGCTTCACCATATTGGTCAGGCTGGTCTCAAACTCCTGACCTTATGATCTGCCCGCCTTGGCCTCCCAATCTTCTTTCATTTATTAGTTGGATTGCTTAAAAAAAAAAAAGACTCCCCGATATGGGCAGGAGCAATGCTGAATTTTTACTTACCTGTCTCTAGATAATGAATTGATTGTTAGCCTCCAAAGATGATCAATTTGTTTTTGTTTTTGTTTTTGTTTCAGATTACGGTGAACTCATGGACTTAAACTTCTTTATGGGTTTTGAGCCACTGCAATTATCCTCACCAAATCTCAAGCTGTCCCACCTCTGGCACGTGGGGCCTCTTCAAGTTTTCCTCATTCATATTTGTTTGTCTGTTTGTTGTTTTTGGGTGGCCAGCAGGAGAGCATCCACAGTCTGTCTCTCCAGCCAAGGAGGAAGGTGACAAGACCTCCATCAAGGTGAGATCCAGGTCGGCAGCCTCTGGTTCCCCTGCCGTTAGGCTGGAAAGTGAACCCTCTGAGCCGGCCCCTGGGGTGGGGGCACCAACTCCAGAATACACTTTAAGCCTGTCCCCGCAAATCAAGGTCTCAGGTTCCGTGTTATGCTGTCCGTCTGAGGTCTTCAATTAAGTCTCGACCCCAGTGGGTAAGAAAACTAAAAGGTATTGTCAGGGTAGAGATGAAACCGCCGTTGCAAAATTATGAGCCAGTGAAAGAGATGAACCAACTCCACTTGCTTCTAAGCTCCAAGCTGTCCTTGTGCATTCCTGGGTGTAGGCTGAACTCCCCTTGGGAGGAATTTAGTTTATATTAATAGTTTATAGTTTGATACAAAGAGAATAACAGCCCTTTCCCAAAACAAAACCCCTTCTTGCCTGGGGACTAGACTGCCTTTGTAGGACTAACAAATTAGCCACAAGATTAGAAATTACGGTTAGGTGTCATGTCGCTGGAGGCTGCAAGATTCTGACTCTCCCCAAACTGCTCCCGGAGATAAAATCACGATTGTAAAACCTAAGACCAGTGCTTGAACTATTTTGCAGATCCTGCACTTGATGGATCAGCCGGCACCACCCAGATCGATAAACTGGCTCATCTGATCTTGTGGGCCCCACCCAGGAACTGACTCAGCGCAAGAAGACAGCTATGACTCCCTATTTCATTTCCGACCAGTCAGCACTCCCGGCTCACTGGCTTCCCCCCACCCACCACGCTGTCCTTAAAAACTCTCATCCCCCAGTGCTCGGGGAGACTGATTTGAGTAACGATAAAACTCCGGTCTCCTGCACAGCCGGCTCTGCATGAATTATTCTTTCTCCACTGCAATTCCTCTGTCTTGATAAAATGGCGCTATCTACACAGCAGGCAAGGTGAACTCTTTGGGCGGTTACAGAGATTGTAATGTATCCATCACATTTTTACAAGTTTTACTAAGACAGGATAAGAATCTCAGGTTTGGAGCAGGACATTTTGAATGGAGCTTTCTCTGCCATCTGCCCGGCCATATGACCCAGGGTCTCTGGACTCCCAGGGACACAGGCAGCCCAAAGGCAGTTCTGTCTTATCTCAAGCCTAGGAAGATAAGATAATGTGCTGGGATAATCCCTGAGAAGTTTCCTTCTCCTCCAGCTTAAAGAGGTAAAAGGAAAATAAAAATCTCAGGACCCCAAACTCACTATG
Organism: Homo sapiens; assembly: GCF_000001405.40. Taxonomy (NCBI): domain Eukaryota; kingdom Metazoa; phylum Chordata; class Mammalia; order Primates; family Hominidae; genus Homo; species Homo sapiens. The sequence continues at coordinate 135,469,602 of NC_000009.12, forward strand.
CCAAAAAGAAGAGTTAAGCTTGGGAACTGGGTCACCCAAAACTACCTCCCAGTGTCTTCCTAAATAGACAGATGCAAAGACAGAAGGCCACTCCCCTCCCCAGGGGGCCCCCCTCACTGTTTGCTCACAAGGAAATACATTGTGGTCCCCAAGATCTTTTTTTTTTTTTTTTTGAGATGGGGTTTCGCTCTTGTTGCCCAGGCTGGAGTGCAGTGGCAGGGTCTGGGTTCACTGCAGCCTCCACCTCCCGGGTTCAAGTGATTCTCCTGCCTCAGCCTCCCAAGTAGCTGGGACTACAGGCGCGTGCCATCACGCCTGGCTAATTTTTGTATTTTTAGTAGAGATGGGGTTTCACCATGTTGGCCAGGCTGGTCTCGAACCCCTGACAGGTGATCTGCCTGCCTCGGCCTCCCAAAGTGCTGGGATTACAGGCAACACATCTTTTTTCTTTCTTTCTTTTCCAAGAACTTTGTCCTAAAACAGAGTTCTGCTGAATTTCACCCTGAAAATGTAAATTAACAGCTTATCTGCACAGGTATGGGACAAAGACAGGACTAGAAGTCTTCCCTCCGCTCACGGGAGACAAACGCATCTTTGACTCCCTCCTCTACTGTTCTTCCATAAAGATGCAGGTTCACTGAGCACAGGATGAATGCACAGTTTACTGTTCCTCTTCCACCTTTCCCATGTAAAACGGGGATTCAGGGAAGGCTCATCAACGCCTCAAAAGAATGCAACCGCTGGCCTCTTTTATCCACCCTCCCGTTTTTTTCTTTCCATTTTTCCCTACTGTCTGCTCTTTCCTCTTTGAATACGGAAGTTCTCAAACCCTCTTTGGAAATCGTGCAGGCCGCAGGTCCTACTGTGCTCCTTCGGACCCGCCTAGCCCGCGGAGCCCATCCTTCTCCTGAAGTTGCGGATCTGGTTTGCCGACACTTTCCCCTGGGCACGTCCTCAACCCAGGCAAAATAAACCTCTCGATAGATTGAGACTCCTCAGTCATTTTCTTTGGTGTACAAAGCACGGGCTCGTCTTCCTGTGTCCATCCCGGGGTTTCGGGGCAGCAGAGCTCCGTCTCCACAAGTGTTCAGGATCTATTCAGATGGTTCAGCCTCAGGGCCAGGCTGGGTCCTCTGCACCCCAAGCTGTGTCCTCTGTCTATGGCAATGACCCAGATAGGGCCGGTTCTCAGATGGCTCTGAAGAAATGTTTAGGGGTGTCTGGGGACTGTGCAATACCTTTCTCCACACTCAGATTACAGAGTTCTCCCTTGACCGTGGACCACTTCCTGGACACGGCTGCACACAGCTGTCACCTCCCTAAGCTGAGCCTTAAAGACCAAGGTCCCACTTTCCCAGTCTGCTCTTGATCCTTTAGAATTTTCACAAAGTTGGGCTGGGCACAGTGGCTCACACCTGTAATCCCAGCACTTTGGGAGGCCGAGGAGGGAGGATCACCTGAGGTCAGGAAACCAGCCTGGCCAACATGGGGAAACCCCGCCTCTACTAAAAATACAAAAATTAGCCTGCATGGTGGCCAGCACCTGTAATCCCAGCTACTCAGGAGGCTGATGTAGGAGAATCGCTTGAATCCTGGAGGCAGAGGTTGCAGTGAGCCAAGATCGCACCACTGCACTCCAGCCTGGGGACAGAGCAAGACTCTATCTCAAAAAAAAAAAAAAAAATTCACAAAGCAGCCCCCTCCTTTTTCAATTAAAAATATTCTGTGCTGGCCGGGTGCGATGGGTCACGCCTGCAATCCCAAGACTTTGGGAGGCTGAGGCGAGCTGATCATGAGGTCAGGAGTTCAAGACCAGCTTGGCCAACATGGTGAAACCCCGCCTCTACTAAAAATACAAAAATTACCCTGGCGTGGTGGCCAGCACCTGTAATCCCAGCTACTCAGGAGGCTGATGTAGGAGAATCACTTGAATCCTGGAGGCAGAGGTTGCAGTGAGCCAAGATCACACCACTGCACCCCAGCCTGGGGACAGAGCCAGACTCCGTCTCAAAAAAAAAAAAATTCTGTGCTGGTTTCCTTTTCTTCCTCCACGCCAGAGCCCGGAGGCTGTGGTCTACAGCTGCCGGCCATGCCCCTGCCTCCATGGAGACCTGGGATTGTGTCAGATGTCCTGCTCCAGCCTTTAAGAGCAGGAGTGGCTTTGTCACCAAGGGTATGCACGGCTTTTCCATCCCCTTTCATCCTGGGTGACACAGGCTGCAGATAATAATCACAGCCTGGGATTCGAGGGAGCCTGACTAGTCGCCGCCTCTCTCCCCCGACTCGGATGATCTGCTTCTGAGCCTGTCTTCTGTTGTGAAACTTACTCCCGAATGCCTTCACCTGATGCCGAGCAAAACGTCACAGTCTCTACCATGTTGCTATGCGGTAGCTGTAAGTAGACAGCACAGAGCACAACAATAGGTCACTTCTGCCCAACTGTTAACCAGGCAGCTGGTCACCCAGCTCAGTTACCTGCATAAAAGCCTCGGCGATCCCCGTGGCCACATTGGAAGTTCTCCTGTGGCTTCCACACTAAGAACTACATCTAGGGTTTACATCTTTTTTACTGGCCAACCTCCTTTTGCCTTTCAGGAGTGTGACTGAGCAACCTCTTTGGTTGTAACCAGAGACGCTGGTTTCAGAACGCAGGTGGAAAGGTCGGAAAGGTCAGCAGCTGCTGCCACGGAAACAAGAAGGGGTCTCCGGGCAACGGGCTTGGTCTGGAAGTGCTTTCACCTCTGTCCCCCAGCTCTCCCCTCTGGGCAATGGGCTTGGAATGGGAGTGCTTTACCTCCACACCCACAGCTGTCTCCATGCATGCACCCCCTCCGCAGGGGCCTGGCGGGGCAGCTCACCTGTGCTTTGCTCCCATCCTGGGCACTGAGGTGAGTCAGATGTGGGGGCAACCACACAGTAGCACCCCGCTCATCGGTTCCACTTGGGGCAGTGAAACAAAACACTGCTGATAAAAAACTTAAAAAGGAAAAGAGAAAAATTAAAAGCCCAGATTCCCAGGGAAACGCTGCATCTGAACTTCTGATTCAAGGGAGGAAAAAAACCCAAAGCAGCTGCCCTCGTCAGGCTGTGCCCACCCCCAATTTGTGCTCACCCTCGGTTCCTGGCCATCTCTGCAAGGGAGACCCTTGGAAATGGGGACTCCCTCCTCACTGGAGCCACCATCACAGATGGGACCTTCTGAAGGCCATAGGTGGCAAAGGGAGCCCATCCTAAGGTCCAACTTTGTGTGTGGCCACAGATAGACCCCAGGCCATCTCCCTTCCCTTTCTAACATGAGCTCGGGGTGTCATGATCCGTCAAAGCGGACCTTACCATCTCCCTTCATGACCACCAGGCTGAGAGAAAAGTGGGCAGGTGTTTCTCCCCGGGAAATACTGCTGCACTGTGGCAGGAGTGGTTTTGAAGGCTGCCTTAGGTTGAAGCTAGGCAGAGTCTTCTGGGGCACAGAGGGGCCTGGGACACCTGCCTCTTCCCGATGCTCAGCCCTCAATGCCTTCTGGCCTTGGATGGTCCTGGGCTGGTGAAAGGTACAGCTTCCATGCAGCCCTACTTTTCTGTACAGTGCCAAACTGCTACATACAAAAACAACTATAGATATATATTGCAGACAGGGTCTTGCTCTGTTGCCCAGGCTACAGCACAGTGGCACAATCACAGCTCACTGCAGCCTCAATTTCCTGGGCTCAAGCGATCCTCCCACCTCAGCCTCCCGAGTAGCTGGGTCTACAAACGTAGATATAAATATACGTATACATATTTTTTTTCCTTTTTTTTAGAGACAGAGTCTCGCTATGTTGCCCAGGCTGGTCTCAAACTTCTGGGCCCAAGCAGTCTGCCTGCCTCAGCCTTCCAAAGTGCTGAGATTACATGTGTGAGCCACTGTGCCCGGCCAGAAACTACAAATCTGTATCAAGACTTGCGGAGGCTCCTTACCCTCCCCTACCTCAGAATAAAGTGATTCAGGACATCATGAGTAGGTTTTTATACAAAAATATCAAACGTTCTGTAATGCCTTTCCAAGACTCACAGAACGTGCGGTAGAGTCCCTCTTCTTTCTGCCAAAGGAAAACTGAAATAGAATCATTTCCATGGATCTAGGGGAAATTTTTGAGACTCAAGAAAATCGTGACCTTTCTCATTTTTACTCTGCACCACGTTCATTTAACAAGAGTGCAGAAACCTCCTCGTGAGAGGTTTTACCAGAATCTGTTCCCCTCGTCACATTCACCATTGTTTTAACCTTGATTGCCAACATTCTATTTCAGAGTTGTATAGCTAAGTCTTATCAGCTTATCATTTCTGATACGGCTTCAGCAGCCTCTTCCACTGAACATGGTTGAGATAACATTTCTCAGAGAGACTTAACAAGTGAACTAACTCTTTGCCTAAGAGATGGAGAAAGTGAGCTCCTAGCAGAGTTTCTGAAGTAAAAGATTCCAGTTGCTGCTTCCCCAGGAAGGAGGGTCCTGGGGAACTTGGGGTGACACAGGGCAGCTGTCTGGGCCCCCTTCAGGGCAGGAGCACTCCATGGTCCCCGGCTGCCCAGCCCAAATGACAGTCCCGGGCTGAGGTTCCCCAGGGGCAGCCCACGTCCAATGGCCGTGCAGGGGGTTTAGAGGTGTAAATGTCCGGCCAATTTCCTTGACAGGGGCCATCTGAGGGGCTGCCATGCTCCAGGGCCCCCCGAGAATCAGCCGAAGCCTCCATCGTGGCCGTGTGACCGCTTGGCTGCCCCCTGCCCCATCCTGTCCTGGGGGTGCCCCTGGCCAAACCCTCACACATAGGTCTCTCAAGTCCATGCAGCTCCCCCGCCCTGGGCAGGCTCCTGTCCAAGAGGTCGTCTGGGTCAGAGATGCCCACTTCCTCTGGCCTTTGTCACCTCTGCCTTTTACTCTGCAAGGTTTTCCTGCCTTTGAGGAGGGGGTCACCTGTCCCGCCGCACTCCTGCTGGCCCCTCCAGGCCCTCCTGTTTGAGGAGAGGAGCAAACGTAGAAACAGTGTCTAGTAAGAATAAGGGCCCTCGCCCAATTTATTTTCTGCAGGGAATCAGAGCGAGAAAGTCATTTTCCTCCCAGATCCTGAATTGGAGGCACCCTGCTCTTGAATAAACCCAAGGTGACATGTCCTCATTTCCCACTGACGATGCACGCGGGGTCTCCTGAATAATTCTGTCTCGGGGGCTTATTTTCCGTTTCAGCTTAAAACGCTCCCTCATAAACAGATCATCATCAAGTCACGTTGTCCCCTGACATTGTAAGTAATAAACAGGGTAAAATTCACGCCAGGAAAATTCTAAGAACATAACGATCAAGAAATGAACCCAAATAAAGCCATGCAGAGTCACTTCTGGGGTAAATGGTTTCGAAAATTCTTTTGCAGAAATAGAATTTCTAAAGATTGAATCCAGTGGGCTCCCTGGACCCGGGTGGGAAGGGACTGGCCCCCTTTCTGCGGGCTCCGGGTCCGGATGGAGAGTGCCAGCTGCCCCACCTGGTGGCGGGTCTCCACGGACAGCCGAGCGTGCGCAGGGCTGTGCTCACAGTCATGAATATTCATGTCCTTCTGTTAAACAGCCTATGTCAGTCGGTTTACATACATAGGAGAGCAGTGCCTACCATTTTATTTTTTATTTTATTTATTATTCATTTATTTATTTTGAGATGGAGTTTTGCTCTTGCTGCCCAGGCTGGAGTACAATGGTGCAACCTCGGCTCACTGCAACCTCTGCCTCCTGGGCTCAAGCAATTCTCCTGCCTCAGCCTCCAAAGTAGCTGGGATTACAGGCACCCACCAACATGTCTGGCTAATCTTTTTTTTTTTTTTTTTTTTTTTTTTGTATTTTTAGTAGAGACGGGGTTTCACCACGTTGGCCAGGCTGGTCTCGAACTCCTGACCTCAACTGATCCACCCGCCTCCATCTCCCAAAGTGCTGGGATTACAGGCGTGAGACTGGTATGCTCACCGTTTTGAAAATTTAAATGGTATAAAAGAAGACAACACCAAAAGACAACACCAAAACCTCCCCTCCCCCTTGCTGGCCTTCCACTCAGGCCGCTCACACGGGTCCTGACATCTTCGTGCGTGTTCTGCCAGGTGGCACGCCAGCCCACCCTGATTCTGAAAATGCACCGGGGTGACACTTTACATCATTCTGCTGCAAGCGTTTTCCACTTTCTTATGCTCCCTGGACTCCTTCTGCACTGGGGCACACGGACCCGCCTCCCTTCCAGCAGAGGCCCAGAGGTGCAGGAGGTTCCAGGGTTCATTTCACTCTCCCCATCTGGTCACTTACGGGGGTTCTGCTTTGACAAGGTTGGAGCAGTCCTTGTTGGCGCGTGCCTGGACAAACTGCAAGTAACTTCAGGACGAAGGGCTAAGCAACACTCAAATGTGACCTGCAATTTATAGTTAACAGACACAGCAGGATGACCTCCCAACAGACACTGTGTCCTCCTGCCAGCAGGGTCTGGGGCGCCTGCATCCTTGGGTCCTCCCAGGGGACTGTGGAGCTTCCTTGTGTTGGGGGGAAATGTTGCCTTCTTTCACATGAGTTTCTTTGTTTTTGTTTTGAGACAGAGTCTCCCATCCCAGGTTCAAGCGATTCTCCTGCCTCAGCCTCCTGACAGCTGGGATTCCAGGTGTGCACCACCACACCCAGCTAATTTTTTTTTTTTTTTTTTTTTTTTTTTTAAGTAGAGACAGGGTTTCGCCATGCTGGCCAGGCTGGTCTTGAACTCCTGATCTCAGGCAATCCGCCCTCCTCGGCCTCCCAAAGTGCTGGGTTTACAGGCATGAGCCACTGAGCCCAGCCCTTGAGTTTTCTTTAATTATGACAATGTAACTAATTCTGTAAAGGAAAAGAGCAACAGAGGAACTGCTGGCTTTTCTTTATGAGCTCAGACTTTGGTCCCCAGCAGGCCCTCAGCCATCTCTCCCAGGCGGTCTCTCCACTCCACATGGAGAGTGACCTTCATGTGGTCCCACTGGACTCTTTGTGCCCTTCACAGAAGGCCAAGCAGAGGCCCAGAGGGGAGCAACAGCCACATAGGGACCCAAGAGCCCACCAGAGCCCCTCAGGTGAGACGTGCAGCCCACTGCACCTGTCCCTGCTGCCACCGCCCATCCACCCATGGACAGCAGAGCCCCGGGCTGGGCAGAAAGATGCCAGGAGTCCTCACTTCCTCCATGGCGGATAATGAAGGTGACCCTGCGTGCTGATCCCCGGAGGCACAGACTGCACAGTGAGGAGCCTGACTAGGGGGTCCCAAGGCCAAGGCCAGAGCCTCTCACAACAGGAGAGTCTGACAATGACAGACGCCCCTCCTGTTCCTCCAATGAAGGCCTCACAAGGCACTGTTGAGGCCTCCTAAGAATTTAATAAAAAAAAAAAAAAAAGCACCAACCAACCAATCTCTGAACATCGGTAGCTTCAAAAAAGGAGTACAAGTGTTCCCTGTTTTGAGAAACTATTATTACGTGCCACACACTCTGGCCCAGGAATTCCCCAAGAGCCCCAGGTCACACCCCTCCATGCCCTCCACTGTTCTCTTACTTTGGAATGCAGGGATTAAACTGGTGAATGATTATGAAATCTTAGAGTGGTAAAAGCTATTCCAGGCCTTACCCCAAAGCCAGAAACCACAAAAGAAAACTTGATTGATTTAGCTACAGAAGAACTTCAAACTTGTGTGTAGTAAAAAAATAAAAAGGCAGGACACAGTAGCTCCCATCTGTAATCCCAGCACTTTGGGAAGCCAAGGAGGGTGGATCACTCAAGCCAGGAGTTCAAGACCAGCCTGGGGAACATGGCAAAACCCCATCTCTACAAAAACATACAAAAACTAGCCAGGCGTGGTGACGTGCACCTGTAGTCCCAGCTACTGGGGAGGCTGAGGTGGGAGGATAACCTGAGCCGGGGGAGGTTGAGGCTGCAGTGCCATGATCACGCCACTACACTCCAGCCTGGGTGTACACAGAGTAAGACCCTGTCTCAAAAAAAAAAAAAAAAAAAAAAAAAGGTTGAACAAACAAAAAACCAAAATCCAAAGTCAAAAGAAAAATGACAGAAAAATAAATGCAATGTACAAGAGTATATTGTACTACTGTACAATATTCTGTGTTATTGTACTGTTGTACAATACACTTTTTTTCTGAGACAGAGTCTCGCTCTGTCACCCAGGCTGGAGTGCTGTGGCACCGTCTCGGTTCACTGCAACCTCCACCTCCTGGGTTCAAGCAATTCTCCTGCCTCAGCCTCCCGATTATCTGGGATTACAGGCACCCGCTACCACACCCGGTTAATTTTTGTATTTTTTAGTAGAGACGAGGTTTCATCATGTTAGCCAGGCTGGTCTCAAACTCCTGACTTCAGGTGATCTGCCCAACTTGGCCTCCCAAAGTGCTGGGATTACAGGGGTGAGCCGCCGCGCCCGACCATACATTGCATTTACGCTCTTGTACAGAGTAGCATACAGCACAGAGAAGAGCTAAATTCCTTACGGTAACAAGCTCTTAGAATCCCTAAGAAAAAGACACACAGCCCAACAGAAAAATAAAAAATGGGCAAAGAACACAGACAGGCAATATTCCAAATGGCCAATAATAAAATGAAAAGATGTTCAACATCACCAGCAGTCAAAGAAATTAGGATTCAAGTGATGAAAAGGGCTGTTTCGCCTATCAGACTGCCAAAGACATAACGCAATGACATATCTCAGGGCTGGCAAGAGGACAGGCAAGCGGGCATGCCCGCTCACCAGTGGGTGGACGGCAGGCTGGCCCCGCATTTCTGGAGGGCATTTTGGCAAAATGCAGCATAGTCTTTGGCCCGCCGGCCTCTTCTAGGGATTTGCCCGCAGGAAATGCTCAGAGCCGCTCTAAGGAGGCATCATGAAAGCTGTTCACCACAGCACTGTTTTAAAAACTGTGAAGCAGCATGCCAAAACCTTAACAGCCCATGTCTCTGGGAAGTCACCTTATTAATTAGATCATCTCCCCAAAGTTTGGTAATGAAAGAGTATTATTTCATGAGAAAAAAAAAATTGCTTTTTGAAAAAATTCACGAAGGCATTAAAACAATTCTTTAATGGGTTTCCTGACCCAAAACTGGCCCTCCAGCTTCCCAGGCTGGCATGACTAGAAGCACCCCTCCAAGGCAAGTCTCTGATTTTGATCCTATCAAATCTCTGACACTTTCTAGACAGGAACCGAACCCACAAATTCATCTCCCAGACACGTGTGGATCAGGGCCCAGGGGGCTTACAGAAGCAGCGCGGTGCCCCTGCGCACCATCTGCCCCTTCCACGAGTGGGCGCTGAGGGAGGATCCAGTCGGGTCTGCCCGTTCCCCGCCGCCCGGGGATGCTGAGCACACCCGGGCCACCGCCAGCCTCGGGCACACACCCTGGACCTTTTATAAAACAAAACTGGGAAGACTTTCAAGGTCACATGGTCAGTGCACAGCAGAAGCAGAAACAGCAGCGGCCTCAAGGTCCGGGGCAGTTCCTAGAAACTGTTCCCTCCCCCGAACCTGGCGGCAGGTGTGCTCGAGGAGCCGCCGCCCCGGGCAGGTCGTGCGTCCACTCCCCGCCGCAAGCTCGGGTGGGGCAGCCGCGGGGACACGCGGGGGCCGCCCCCGACCCCGGCCCAAGGCTGTGGGGCTGGAGGGGCGGGCGGGCCGGTCTCAGCCCGGAGCCCCGCGTGAACTTCGGGGAGGAACTCGGTTGGCGCCGGGGCCCCGCACGCTCCCTTCCCGCGGCTCCGAGCGCTTTCCCACGGCCACGCCCCCCGCGCCCAGAACTTCCCGGCGACCCCGCGCCCCCTGCGCGCCCCCCGGAGGTGGCCGCGGTACGGGAGGCGGGCAGCACGGGGCTCGGCCCGGCCCAAGCGCCTTCGCCCCGCACCCCGCGGAGGGGGCCGCGTCCGAACCGGGCGGGGCGGGGCGGGGGCGTCCCCGGGGCGCGGGCGCGGCGGCAGGTGGGCGCGCTCTCGCGGGCGGGGGTCCGGCCGGGCCGCGCGCCTCCCCCGGAACTCGGCCGTGCCATTCCCATGATGCCCAGCCACGGGCACGGCTTCCGGAGTGCGGCCGCCGCCGCCACCGTCCGGTAGGTCGCGGGGAGGGGGCGGCTTGGGGGGGTCGCCCCGCCCCCCGCCCCGCCCCTCCCCTCCCGCGCTTCCCACGGCGCGGCCCGGGCGCGGGGCGGCGGCAGCGGCGGCGCGCGGGGAGGCGGGGAGGCGGGGGGCCCGGCCGGACGCCCCTGCGCCCCCTCCCCGCGCCCCGGCCGAGGGCGGAGCGCGCTGGCCCTGCAGCCTCCGGCCCGCCCCCGGCCCGCCGCCTCCCCCGGGACGTGGGACGCGGGCGCAGGCGGGGTCCGCGCGGCGGGCGGCGGGGGACGGGCGGAGGTGAGCGGGTGCAGGGCCGGGGCCGGGGGGCTCGGGGGCTGGGAAGCTGGGGGGTCGGGGACAGGAGGGCCAGCCAGGCCGGGGCCGGCGCGCCGTGCAGGCCGCGGCGGGCGGGCGGCGGGGGCTCCCCGAGGCAGGCGGACGGGGATCGGCGCCGGGGCTGCTCCGTTCCCCGGGCGGGGATCCTGTCTCTGGCCTCCGTGCGACTCTCGGCCCGCGCGCCCCGCGCTCCTGGAGCCCCAGGTGAGGCGCAGGTGAGGGCCCGCGGTGGGGAGCTTTGGCCCGGCCCGGGGCGGCCGCTGCCCTCCGAGAATGGCCGCGGCCCGGCCGGCCTGGAGACTGCGGTTCACGCCCTGCGCCAGGCGGAGCTTCCGGGAGGGTGGCCGCTCTCCCGGGCCCCAAGCTCGCTAGTCCTCGGATCCCAGAAACATAACTCCGGGGGTGCAGACCTGCTTGGAGGCCCGGCCTCTTCCCTGGGAGGCGTTCACTCCCGCCGGGCCGAGGACCAGGTCGCCGATCCCAGCGGCTAGGGTGAGCGCGCCCTCGGGGAGGGGAGCTCCCTTGGGGGACCCTGCCCAGCCCGCAGGCCGTGAGTAGCCCAAGCTTGGGAGTCAGGGGAGGTCGGGCCGGGGCAGCCGGGAGGGGCTCACCTTGCCTTCAGTTCCCAAGCACAGGAAATGGCGGTGCAGCTTTGCTGGGGGACGCTTGTAGTGAGGTTGTAAAATTGCAGCTTCTGGAAGGCTGGGAGCTGAATTCTAGCCCACGCCCACTTCTGGGTGGCTGGAGCGGGTCCTCCTGCTGCCCCGCCCGCTCCTGCACCGGGGCTCCTCTCCCTGGCCTGCAGACCCTGGCCTCCCTACCCTGGGGGGAAACCCCACCTGGGAGGTAAGACCGCTGGCTGAGCTGCTTTTCGGCCAACCGAGAAATGTAGAGTATTTGGGGGCGTTTCTCACAGGTGGGCAGACTGTTAGGATGGCGAGGGCCCAGTGTGGGTGCTTTGGTTCTCTCCAGAAGGTTGATGTCTGGACCGAGAAGGTACCCGAGTGTTCTCCACCGCTTCCTAAAATCTGACACCGTGTGGCCTTGGGGTGCAGGTGCTGGGTGTCCCCACAGCCACCCTCAAGACCGTATCCTGAGGCAGCAATTTGACAAAGCCTGCACCTCTGGCTTGGGCCCACACCTATCTCTAAGGACTGATTAGGGGGCTTTTCTTGTTTTTTTTTTTTTTTTTTTTTTAGAGCCAGAGTCTCGCTTTGTCGCCCAGGCTGGAGTGCAATGGCTGATCTCGGCTCACTGTAATCTCCGCCTCCCTGGTTCAAGCGATTCTCGTGCCTCAGCCCCTGGAGTAGCTGGAACTACAGACGTGGGCTCCCACGCCCAGCTAATTTATGTGTTTTTAGTAGAGATGGGGTTTCGCCATGTTGGCCAGGCTGGTCTCGAACTCCTGGCCTCAAGTGATCCACCTGCCTCCACCTCCCAGAGTGCTGGGATTACAGGTGTGAGCCACTATCCCCGACCCAGGGGGCTTTTCAAGAATGATTCATCTCGCATAATGTTTTAAAGCCACAAGCTGTCCTGGGGAGACGACCCCCCTCGATTTTTTTTTTTCTTTCTGAGATGGAGTCTCGTTCTGTCTCCTAGGCTGGAGTGCAGTGGCGCGATCTCGGCTCACTGCAACCTCTGCCTCCTGGGTTCAAGCAATTCTCCTGTCTCAGCCTCCCCAGTAGCTGGGATTACGGGCACACGCCACCACGCCCAGCTAATTTTTGTATTTTTAGCAGAGGAGGGGTTTCACCATATTGGCCAGGCTGGTCTCAAACTCCTGACCTCAGGTGATCCACCTGCCTCAGCCTCCCAAAGTGCTGGGATTACAGGCGTCAGCCACTGCACCTGGCCAGATTTTTTAATACCATTCTTGAACTAGGTGATTTGACAACTTAGAAAACTGTTCACTGGGTGTCCAGGCCTTCTCTGCAACCAGTCAGAAGCTGTAAATGTGGCTAGTGGAGAACAGACTATTTCCCCAGGAAAACTCCCCTCCCCGACCTTGTCATCTAGTGTAAAGACACTGACTTGGGCCGGTTTTCTTAAGGTAGTATTTAAGGTAGTATTCTTAAGGTAGTATTGCTGTTTAAGGAGTCAATAGTCTTAATTTAGACGCTCCTCAGCCCAAGGCTAATGCAAATGTTTTGTCATTTATGTCATTTTGCAGAGGCAATTTGAATAACACCTACAGTAAGGCAGGCGTGGGTTTGCTAGCCAGTGAAAGAGCTCCTCTCGCATTGTTGGTCCCCCAGTGCTCTGTGTCAGTGGGGAATCTCTCCAGAAGGTGACTTTATGGGGGATGTCATGGGCTGCAGTGGGTGGCCAGAATTTGAGAACTAGCAGATAACGTCACATACGTGCCCCATCCCCATCACTTCAGCCAGCATCAGATCTGCTGTCCAGGATAGCTATACATTACTTGTGGTTAAATGTATTTGTCTTAATACATTAAGTTAAATATATTTGTACTTGTGGTTAAATGTCTTAGAGTAAGTTCCTTCAAAAGTTAATTTTGAGCCCTTAAGTTAATGATATTTCTTTCCAAAAAAAAAAAATTTATCAACTGTAGCTTCAGCCTGTAATTAGATGCCTCTGATTCTCTTTGATTCTGGTAGTCAAAAGTCTATTGAAAAAGCAGAGAGAGAATGCCTCGGTGTGTAAGTGGAGTGATGAGGACCTGATCTCTGGGCCGTGTGGGAACACTGGCTGCCATTTCATCACAGTCAACCTGGACTCACAGAATTTCAAGTAATTTCAAGTAATTCTTGTATTTTAGTTTCCCTTGTAGGGCACAAATTGGTGCTAGCAAATGACTTACTTCTGAATCTGTCTCACCCCCTGGTTAATTGCTGGTTACCCCTTTTGGGCTCACCTGTGTGTAGGTGGCCAGGCTCACCTTTTGTTTCTTTTTCTTTCTTTCTTTTTTTTTTTTTTTTTTTTGAGATGGAGTCTCATTCTGTCGCCCAGACTGGAGTGCAGTGGCATGATCTCAGCTCACTGCAAACTCTACCTCCTGGGTTCGAGCAATTCTCCTGCCTCAGCCTCCCAAGTAGCTGGGATTACAGGCATGCGCCACCATGCCCGGCTAATTTTTGTGTTTTTTTAGTAGAGATGGAGTTTCACTATATTGGTCAGGCTGATCTTGAGCTCCTGACCTCAGGTGATCCACCCGCCTCGGCCTTCCAAAGTGCTGGATTACAGGCGTGAGCCACCACACCTGGCCACAGCCTCACGTTTTTGTGAAAAGATGGTGGCATGTAAATACCCAATTATGTGCTTGTCAGGAAGGAAGCGCCTGGTTAACCGGAGAAAGCTCCTGGTAAAGAAGAATCCATAACAGAGGCAAAACATACTGGCCAGTTTTCGCCCACTGCTGAGGTCCTGAGGGCAGCCACAGCCTCTGAGCCAAGGGGAGTTCAGTGTCCATAAGCCTTGGAGGCTTGCTTGCACAAGAACCGCTTTGCACTGCAATTTTGGGGTAGGCAGGTGGGTATCAGAGCAATGTGTTAAGAATGAATAGCTGCGCAGTATCCCTGGTATTGTTCTAAGTGACTGCCATCCACCTGAGCTTCCTCCCTGCAGTGGCAATCCCCAGGCCATTCGTGAGCAGGTCTTCAAAGTGTCCCAAGCTCAGCCCAGCACTTGTGCTGAGGCAGCCACCTTTGGTCTGAAATCTGGCAGCGCAGGATGAGAAGGGGGACATCACTGTGTTCAGGGTGACTTCTGTGCTAGTTAGCTAAGAATAACAATGCAGTCCCATGCGACCACCTGGCAAATTTACATTTGACATTTAACATAGAGAGGGTTTAGTAAAAGCAGCCCTTCAAGATGTTTGGGGAAATAATTTCTGAGTGGCTCACATCATACAACTTTCCGTTCCAGGAGCTTGTCGGTTGGGTCAAGAATGAACCTACGCATGACGGCGTGCTGATCCTGGGTTTCTAGTCATCCTTTTTAAGCTGCAAAGAAGCATTTGCAGACGTTGTCTCATGGGTACCGCTTGCCAACTTTGGAGGTAAATAAAACCTCTCCCCTCTTACAGAGAAGGTGGAAGCCCGGAGTGAGAAGGGAAGAGCGGGGAGGTGATGACCGTGCGTGCCCCGGGCGGCACCGTGGAGGGTGGTTGGAAACATTTTCTTACTGAATCTTCCCAGCAGCCCCGGGCTGGAGCAGGTAAATTGTTCCTTTCCCAGCTGAGGAATCCGAGGCCCCAGGAGCATGAGTAAGTCGTGCAAGGACACCCAGCTAGCTGGACGTTGGGCTCCACCCAACTCTCTCCACTCTGTGAGCCCGACATGCTGTTCCTCTGGGGCCTCGCTTGGTGTTGGCAGCTATCGCTGTTTGTAGCTGCATCATGCCCATGTGCTTTCTTTCCGCCCAGGATGTGAAGCCGGTAGAGAAATAAAGCATCGCCCCTCTGCGCGCCCCTCCCCGTCTGCTAGAATGTTTCTCATGAACGCTTCTCCAGTGGTTGCTCTCCAGTCCAAATGGGAGGCCTTTGGCCCGCCAGGGAGCTGTAGGTTCCCCAGGTGCTTCTCGGAGGCTGACGAGGGCGTGGAGAGCGCGTCGGTGAGCGCCCGGGTGCAGATGCTTATCAGCACTCTGCAGCGCGACGGGGCTGCTCGGGGCACCAGCGATGAGCGCGCCGCACAGAGGGGCCACAGGGCAGAGGGATGCCACGACGCCAGGCCGGCTGCCAAGCCCACCGTGCACAAGGAGCCACCCGCGTTGGCTGTCTGTGGTCTCGTTGCTGACTTTGACCCCATGGGGGAGGAGGAAACTACAGACTTTGGCCCGTTGGTGCTAGATTCAGACAGTGATGATTCCGTGGACAGGGACATTGAGGAGGCCATCCAGGAGTACCTGAAGGCAAAGAGTGGAGCCGCACAGCCCGGGGCCGGCGGGGCCCAGCCAGGTGCAGCCCAGCCTTCCAGGGCCGCAGGCGGAGGCAGTAGATGTAAGCCGGAACCGGCTCACGGCAGTGCCCCGACTGCCCTGTGTCCCCCAAAACTTGTACCTGGATCAGGTGGTGGCCCCGGCAGCCAGGTGGGATCCAGCAAGGACCAGGGCTCCGCCTCCCCGGTCAGTGTGAGCAGCGATGACTCCTTCGAGCAGAGCATCAGGGCGGAAATAGAACAGTTTCTGAATGAGAAGAGACAGCATGAGACCCAAAAATGTGATGGGTCAGTGGAGAAGAAACCAGACACAAATGAAAATTCCGCCAAGTCACTCTTGAAATCCCACCAAGAGCCGCCTACAAAGGTGGTGCATCGGCAGGGCCTGCTGGGCGTCCAGAAGGAGTTTGCCTTCCGCAAACCTCCCCGGTTAGCGAAGATGAACGTCCAGCCCAGAAGCCTCAGGTCCAAGGTCACAACCACGCAGGAGAACGAGGGCAGCACGAAGCCGGCAACCCCCTGCCGCCCTTCAGAAGCAGCACAGAATAAAGGTGGGATCAAAAGGAGCGCCAGCGCTGCAAGGAGGGGAAAGCGAGTCATGAGTGCGGCACAGGCGTCCGAGGCGTCCGACTCCAGCAGCGACGATGGCATTGAGGAGGCCATCCAGCTGTACCAGCTGCAGAAAACACGCAAGGAGGCCGACGGGGACCTGCCCCAGAGGGTCCAACTCCGAGAGGAGAGAGCGCCTGACCCTCCCGCACACAGCACAAGCAGTGCCACAAAAAGTGCCTTGCCCGAGACCCACAGGAAAACACCCAGCAAGAAGAAGCTAGTGGCCACCAAGACCATGGACCCTGGTCCAGGGGGCCTGGACACTGACCATGCCCCCAAGCTCCTGAAGGAAACCAAAGCTCCACCTCCAGCGAGCCCTGCTTCCAGGAGTGAGTTTGTGGAACGGTCCTCGTGCCGGGCGGACACATCTGCTGAGCTGATGTGTGCAGAAGCAATCCTGGACATCTCCAAGACGATCCTGCCGGCCCCTGTAGAGGGCAGTGACGGGTCCCTGTCCGCAAGCCCACTCTTCTACTCCCCGAACGTGCCTTCCCGCTCTGACGGCGACAGTAGCTCCGTGGACAGCGATGACAGCATCGAGCAGGAAATCCGGACATTTTTGGCCCTAAAGGCGCAGTCAGGGAGTTTGCTGGCCAGAGGTGAGAGCTGCCCGCAGGCTGCCCAGGGTCCACTTTTGCCGCCTGGCCTCAACAGCCAGACCGGCGGCCACAAGACCCCTCTCTCTAAAACACCAGACCCACTGCTGGGCTGCAAAAGGAAGCGTAGAGGTGGTGGCCATGTGAGGCCATCCACGCCCAAGAAAATGCAGGAGGTGGTGAAAGACGGTAGCCAGGATGCCGACCACAGCCAGGGGAGAGCTGAGCCCGGCCATGAGAGGCGAGACCTGCCCATCCAGGGCAAAGCCAGTGAGGCCCTGGGAGGGGAGGGCACCGCCAGGGGCCCTGGCGACACTCGCATGTCACAGGGCCAGGGTAAGACAGACGAGGCAAGGCGCCTAGACGAGAAAGAGAGCTCTGAAGACAAAAGCAGCTCCCTGGACAGTGACGAGGACCTGGACACAGCCATCAAGGACTTGTTAAGGTCCAAGCGAAAGCTCAAGAAGAGGTGCAGGGAGCCCAGGGCTGCGTGCAGGAAGAAGGTCAGGTTCAGCACAGCCCAGACGCACTTCTTGGAGCAGCTGGGCGGGCTCCGGAGAGACTGGAAAGACAGGGGCCCGCCAGTGCTGAAGAGCTGCCTCTCCAAGTCCAAGAGAGACAGTGGCGAGGGTCCTGGGAAGAAACCCCCCAGTGTCTTTGGCAGCACGGCAGAGAGGATGAGGCAGGAGGGTGCCGCGAGCCAGGACGCGGCCCTGGCCTTCCGGGTGAGGAGACCCGCCTCCGCCTCTGCCTCCGAAGGGAATCCATTCCCCAGGGAGTCCCAGGGCCCAGCTCCCAGCCCCGGCTCCCTGTCTGATGACAGCAGTTCAGTGGACAGCAACGACAGCATCGAACTGGAGATTAGGAAGTTTTTGGCGGAAAAGGCCAAGGAGTCAGTGAGCAGTTCAGAAGTTCAGGCAGAGGGCCCCACCGCTCTTGGGACAGGGGGCCCAGCCAGGCCAGAGGTGCTGTGCAGGAAGGAGCCTGCCCCACCGCCTGGCGTGTGCACACGCAGCCAGAGGGCCAGGGGGGTCCCACATCTGGCCGAAGGGCTTCGAGGCACAGAGAGCGCAGGAGCACAGGGCACAGCTGGTCTGTTCAGCCAGGGCGGGAAGGGGCTCCCTGCTGCTCCTGCCCGAGGGGATCCGGTGCCGCCCAGGAGCACCAGCGGCGGTGTCTCCGCCAAGGGGCTCTCAGTGAGCAGGAGAAATGTTTACGTTCACAAAGACCAGAGCCCACGAGGGGCTGAGCCTGCTGCCAAAAGTGCTTTTGGTCAGCTGCCCAGCTGTGCCACAGCGGGCACCGAGGCAGGAGGCGCCAGAGGAACCTTTCACATGGGCTGCGGGAGCCCGAGCTTCCTGACCCCCAGCCCGGGAGCGGAGAGGGACGCTGGAGCCCAGGCCGACCGCACACCGCCCTGGAGCGACTTCGCCCACCAGAGTCGGCTGCCCAGCCCGTGGGTGCTGCGCTCCGAAGGCAGAGATGCAGTGTGGAGGGGGGGCGTCGGGAGCGAGAGAGACAAGGGGTCCGAGGGCCCCGCCCGGGGCCTGCCCAGCCTGCCCCTTGCGGGCTTCTCGCCGCTGCTGTCCACCCAGCTCTTCCACTTTGGAAAGGGTGTCTCCTGGGGGGGCAGGCAGGCTGGCCTCTTCAGCCCCCACCTGGGGCTGCCTCTGCAGGGCCCCTCCTTCTCGGCCTTCAGGGAGGCCCAGGCCGGACCCAGCCCTGTCTTTGGAAGCCCACACTTGCTGGCAAAGAAGGACGGCGGCCCCTGGCCAACCAGGAAGGCACAGGCAGGGCTGAGTTTGCATGACAGGAGGAGCTCGGGCTCGGAGGAAAGCATTTTAGACCTGAGGTATCGACGAAGGGTCAACAGGGATGACCAGGAGCAGGACGCCTTGGGCAGTGACGCCAGTGACTTCAGCGACACCTCCACGGAGGACAGTGGCGGCAGCTCAGTAGTGAAGGTCTAAGCCCTCGAGCTGTGGGTTCGCGTCCTGGGTTGCGTGCATTCGTGGAAAGCGGCGTAGCCGTGCGTGTGTGTGATGGTTCCGTGGCTGCAAGGAAGGGAAACAGTCTATTATACATAGCCCTGTATATATGTACACCAACATGAAACTTTTATTTAACAGACGTGTCCTGGTAAATATGATTTTTGTAGCTTTTTGTAAATTATTTAAAGTGATGTAAAAGATATTTTTGGAAAATACTGTTGTTCAATTTTGTAGGGTGTTCCTAACTGCAGTTTTCTGTGTTCTGCATACAAGTCTTAGCTTAGGAAACATTTGGTTCTTACCATCACAGCCAGGTTCACAGAGGCTCTGATGCTTTTTGGTTGATTGCTGGTGAGAATGGCCGGCGGTGGCTGCAGTGGTAGCCTGAGGAAGGCCAAGCTGCCCTCCCTGGGAATCACTCAGATGCCCCAAGATGTCCGTTGGGAAGCTCCCAGGACAGCACTTTTTATACAGAGGACACCGCCTCGGCCCCACGTCCTTAGAGGCCAGAGCACATCTGAAAACTGCAATCACAGCCGTCCGCTGGAAAAACGTTTCGAAGCACAGTGGCCAGCGAGCGAGCACGTGGCTACTCCCTGTTGCATGTCAAATCCACACAGATGTCAGCGGCAGCTGCTCGGCAGCCCAGCCCTGGGCCTGGGTGGGTTCATGTCCAATCTTGTTCGATCACTAGATGATTCTAACATCGAAATAAACCTCTTTTTATATGGCGTTACTGTTCTTTTTAAATCATGGTTCTTAAAGATAACACACGTGCACTTAAAATGTCCTTTTCTCTGGCCGGGCGCGGTGACTCACACCTGTAATCCCAGAACTTTGGGAGGCTGAGGCGGGCGGATCACCTGAGGTCAGGAGTTCGAGACCAGCCTGGCCAACATGGCAAAACCTCGTCTCTACTAAAACTACAAAAATTAGCCAGGCATGGTGGCGGATGCCTGTAATCCCAGCTACTCAGGAGACTGAGGAAGGAGAATCACTTGAACCCAAGAGGCGGAGGTGGCAGTGAGCTGAGATCGTGCCATTGCACTCCAGCCTGGGTGACAAGAGTGAAACTCCATCTCAAAAAACAAAACAAAACAAATTTCTTTTCTTGCACACACCAATAAGCACTGCTTTGAACTTTGGTCCCCAGACACCCAGGGCAGAGATGACGTGCAAAACCCAGTCCTGGGGATAAGCGTTCTCCATACCTGCCCTCCAGAAACAGGAGCCCCGTCAGAGGTGTGCCCGAACACCAACGTCAGCCCTTTGGGTGGCTTTCTGTGGGCGCCTCCCAGGACAGAATGCACAGGGCCCTCTCCTGCACTGTGGCGTGGTTAAAGGTGGCGGCCTCAGGTCCTTGGTGTTGGTGCCCTGTGATGCTGCCCTGGTATTCTGTGCCTTCTGCTCTGAGGCCACCGCAGTGTCCGTGGCTACTACAGAGACAGAAGCAGTGCTGGGCACTGATGGGCCGTGACATTTACATTGTAATTGTCCAGCAAACTTTGATGAGTCACTGGAGCTTCCCAGGTCAGCCTCGTGGCTTAGCTGCCATGCGGGGTTTCTTTGGAGCTGAATCTTGTTGGTATTCGAACATGCGAGTGGCTTGTCTACACACTGTGCACCCCTGGGTTTTAGCAAGAATTCACTCTTGTATCCAGATGCAGGCATGTGCCACCTGCCATCCACAGATGCAACGTCTGCTGGGTCAGAAGCCGTGATGAGGGTCCCTGTGGTTGCTGTTCCTGTCCAGCCCCGTCTTTTGTGTGTGATATCTTCGTTGTGGCATATTGCTTCACTTAAGTGCTTCCAGGAGAAACAGTTCCATGTAATCCATGCTCTTTTATTTATATTGCTTTTTCTTATTTTTTATTTTTTGAGACGGTGTCTCACTCTGTCGCCCAGGCTAGAGTGCAGTGGCGCAATCTTGGCTCATGCAACCTTCACTTCCCAGGTTCAAGCGATTCTTGTGCCTCAGCCTCCCAAGTAGCTGGGACTACAGGCATGAGTCACCTCACTCAGCTAATTTTTGGATTTTTAGTAGAGAGGGGTTTCACTGTGTTGTTCAGGCTGGTCTCAAACTCTTGACCTCAGGTGATCCGCCTGCCTCGGACCTCCCAAAGT
Organism: Homo sapiens; assembly: GCF_000001405.40. NCBI lineage: Eukaryota > Metazoa > Chordata > Mammalia > Primates > Hominidae > Homo > Homo sapiens. The sequence continues at coordinate 135,490,286 of NC_000009.12, forward strand.
GCTGGGATTACAGGCTTGCGCCACCGTGCCCGGCCTTATTTATATTTCTAAATAGTGCCTGTGGGGATGTTGGCTGGAAACCAACCCCCTTGTCCTGGGCCCACCAGGGGAGGAGCCACAGCCACAGTGCACGTAGCACTGAGCCTCTCCCACTCCTGCCCCCATGCCCACCCCAGGGTCGCTTGTCTCATCTCTTCCCCAAACCCCGGACCCTTTACACCTTCCCTGACGTTCACATGTCCTCTGCCAACACTCCACATAGCAGTGCAGGTCAGAGCTGCTGCTGCCCCAGAAAGAAGACCTCCTGAGGTTCAGGGACATGGCATCTGTAACACGGTCACCAGCTCTAGTTAGCGTGTTCTGCCCGTACATGTGTGTAGGGCATCCCCTATCCACATGCAGAGCAGTTGCCAATTGGCTTACAGTCACTGTGGGTTAATCACTCACTAAGAATGTTCCAGGAACCTGCATTTCTTTGTGGAACACTTTGGTCCATTTTCAGTTTTTGTAAAGAGGTGCCGTGTCGTCGCGGGGGTCACCCTGGTGGGGTGGACTCAAAACTGCACAAGATGTCCCCAGTTCAGAGCTCCTTACCGAGGCCCTTGGGGATCAGGCTTTGCTGTGACAAACAGTGGCTTGCTTAAATACCGACCAAATGGCCCTCCTGATGGGGTTAAAACAGGCGATCCATGCCAGTCTTCCCTGGAGCACGGGGGGGCTTCCTCCCACCTTTGTTCTGCCGATCACAGTTGCCCTTGGAGCTCCTCTTGTCCTGCTTTCAGGAGTCACTGGTGCTTTAAGACTCAGCTGGAGATGAGTCGGTTGGTGCCTTCTTTCTCTTCACAAACTGGAATTCCCTGGAATTGCCCATGGGCCATGTGACCTGAAAGTGGTGCTTCTTCACCCCCTGCACTGTCCTGTTTGTTTTAGAGAAGAGGCCAAGATCCAAGGTTCGTCCACACCTGCCAGCGGGTTTTCCTGTATGGGAGGGGGCTGCAGTCAGGGCAGCCAGGAGCTGCACAGGAGGGATGCCCGCCCCTGTGTTGGCAGTCTGTCTCCCAGCACCTCCGCAGATCCGGGTGTGACGACGCGGCTGCATCCCATGAATACGGGCCCGGCGCCGCTGTGGGAGTAAGTAGATGTGTGCCCGCCCTGTAGGAGTCTCCGGCGGACAGTGTGTCAGTAAGTCAAGCTCTTTGCAAGTCTGTAATTATTAAGACCTAGAGGTAAGTCATGTCCCAAGAGCCCCTCTCTTCCCAGGGAGTAGGGCCAGGGTCCATTTCATCCAATACAAATAATCGGGAGAGGCCAGGTTTTAAGGTTTCTCGTCCTCTGGGATGAGTCAGCCTGATGTCGGGGAACGGGGATGGGAAAAGGAAAAAGCTCTGGCGGGTCATGTCTGATATTCTCCACCCACCTCCCTATGTAGGGGGAGAAGCTTCCTTTAAGGAAGAGTCCCCCTTAATTTATCTGTCGCTCAGAATCTGAAGGCTCAGACAGCAGATTTTCCCAGCTTGAGATATATTTGCTTTGGAAAATCAAGCAGTACATGTAATTATTAGCACCTGTCTGCTCATATAAACATGTAAAAGGCATTGCCCCCTGGATCCCCCCTCCCTCAAAACGAATGAAAGGACCTGTTTAAAGGGGCGTAGGGAACAGCACAAAGTCCACATTCCATATCCGCAAATCACAACCAGGTTTATTCCCAGGCGTGGCTGTTGGGGAGGGTGGGGGACAGATCACATTATTTGCAAAATCTTTGAGGCTTCTGGTATTTTGTGTACTATATGTAAGAGATTTTTTTTTTCAATGTCAAGATATTTTACTACATAATAGAAACCATTCTAATATTGACTGTAATGAAAAGATAAAGGTTACTGATGAAAAATACAGAAATATAAATGAAAATGTACGTTTAAGAAGTGGCTGGTTTTAAACCAACCCAGCAGTAAAATTCAGTGATTAGTAAAGCGACATGAATTTTTTTTTTTTTTTTTTTTTTTTTTTTGGAGAAGGGGTCTCACTCTGTTGCCCAAGCTGGAGTGCAGTGGTGTCTTGGCTCGCTGCAGCTTCCACCTCCCGGGTTCAAGCAATCCTCCTGCTTCAACCTCCCGAGTAGCTGGGATTACAGGTGTGCACCACCATTCCTGGCTAATTTTTGTATTTTTAGTAGACACAGGGTTTCGCCATGTTGGCCAGACTGGTCTCAAACTTCTGGCCTCAGGTGATCCGCCCACATCAGCCTCCAAAAGTGCTGGGATTACAGGCATGAGCCATTGTGCCCAGCCTTAGCTTGTAATTTCTGAGTGGAATAAAAAGGCTAAACAAAGCAAAGACTGCTCTGTGGAGTGAAGAGAGAGGGTTTCAGAAATGGCTGTGTCCTTTTTTTTTTTTTTTTTTTTTCCAAATATCTCTGCAAACTGATGTTACACTGTGTTTCCGTCACCTTTCCTGTAATTCTGAGATTTTGAAAGAACACAGTATAGATGGGTGCCATTTTCTTTTCATTTTGCAACCCTCCGTTCTGTACGCTTTAATCCCAAACAGAAAACACACCCGTTGAGCGTTCCGTTAGATCAGTGGACTTGATTTTTCTCAGCATGTGAAGATTTCAGTTTGGAAATCTGTTCCAAAGAGGAAGGTCTCCAGATTTGTGATCCCTGGAGCTCTGTATGACTCACAAATGCGTAGTAGGTTAGGACTGAATCTGCGGCTCTAGTGCCGATGGCCTCCCGCCTCCAGGATGTCCCCAAGGCGGGCTCCAGCGAGGCCGGCTCGCAGCCTTCCATGCGGCTCTGTTTCCCATCTGAGAGGGAGGCCCCAGGTGTGAAGATCGGGCAAGGTGACAATGCCAAAGCCCTTAGAACACTGCGAGATGCCAAGAAACGGAGCGGCGGGCACACGCCCGGGCCTGGGCATGGGAGACAGGCAGGCTCACAATTCAGAGGTATTGGGGTTTTTCATCTCTCCAGATGCTTACTCTATTTAGAATAAATGAGTGGAGTCTAACTTTCCATCAGCTCATTAGCAGCTGTACAGAAGTAACATTTTATTAGACACGACCAACTAAATCACTCGGCACCCAACTGAGATGCCGGAATTGAGCCCGTGAAGCCCGTAGGAGGGAGGCACCTGTTGCTGTTGGTTGATACTCCCAGCCTGGGCCCCGACAGCGCCTCAGCTAGAATTGGGGGTGTTATCCGAGTGAAGTGGTTTCATCAGGTGTGACTTTGCCTGCAGGCGTGACTTTGCCTGGATGAAGCCATCTTGCTACAGCAGTGCAGGTGTTCAACAGTTCTAGGCTGGCGGGGAAACAAACGCAGTCATTTGGACTGATGGCTTTATCTTACCCTGGTGCTTTTCAAAATCATCTGTGGAGGAAGCAATGCATTCTTTTTTTTTTTTTTTTTTTTTTTTTTTTTGAGACAGAATCTTGCTCTGTCGCCTGAGCTGGAGTGCAGTGGCGTGATCTCGGCTCACTGCAATCTCCGCCTCCCAGGTTCAAGCATTTCTCCTGCCTCTGCCTCCCGAGTAGCTGGAATTACAGGCACACCCCACAACACCCCTGGCTAATTTTTGTATTTTTAGTAGAGACAGGGTTTCACCATGTTGGTCAGGATGGTCTGGAGCACCTGACCTCAAGTGATCTGCCCACCTCAGCCTCCCAAAGTGCTGGGATTACAAGGTGTGAGCCACCCACCATGCCCGGCCGGGAATGCATTCTTTTCAGTGTGTTGAGAAACCTGATTGATAAGGCATTTTTTTTTATTTATTTCAATAGAAGCTAAACACAGAGGGGTTACTGGTATTTCTGGTATTTTTAAGGAATAACTGCAAAAACATTTTCAGTTTGATGCCTGGAGTCTCTGCTGGTTTTTTAGCTCAGAAGAAAGATATTACATAGATCCTGGCTTCAGGGCCAATTTTGTATACTTTTTAATTAAATATATTGATTTTCTCTGGAAAGCATTTCCATCCCAAATTGGACATTAAGACTGTTGCCAAAATGTTTACTTTTGTGTATTAATAATAAAACGTTTATATGAAGAAATAACCCATCATGATGTTTAACTTCTTCCCTAATTCGTGAGTAGAATCCCTGCAGGTAAGAATCTATTAACAAGATATTATTGATGGTGTGTAAGAGGAGTTTCTTTTTTCTAGTTTCAGTACTTTCTAAATTTCCTATAATGAACACATCTTGCTCTCATAGAGGGAAAAAAAATCCATGTCATAGACAAATTTTTTTTTATTGAAGACCCTGTAGCTCATAGTAAACATGGATTTATGACTACATAGAGATAAAAATCCACTTCATGTAGTTATTACCCCCCTTAGCAAAATACAGGTAATCCCCTGCCTTTTTTTTTACTTTTTATTGAAATTTTAAAATAAACATAGAGAATGCCCATGTCTGCATCATCCCCTTCCACAATGAAGGGCATTCACCAACCTTGTCTCTGCCCCTGTCCCTGCCCCTGCCCCTTGCTGGAGCATGAAGCACACAAACATGGTGGAGGAGGTTCATCTGCAACCCCATGTGCTCCTCCAGTAATCTCACACAGTAACGGCCCCTCCTGCCTGTTCAGCCTCGACTTGGCTGACGAGGCATCTGCTCCTCCTCCTGCCCAGCGCCTGGCCCTCGCCCACACCCCAGTGGGGCATCTCATGCCCTCGTGGGAACCCCGCAGTGTTTGTGCAGATCTCAGCCAGGGTGCTGGGTGCTTTAGGACGGGAGATCTGCTCCCTAACTGGTCTTGTGTGTAACATGGCTCCCAAATACAGACACGAGCGGAGTTAGCCACCAGCGCTCCCGATGCTCAGGCCAGGACTTGGGCCCCGGGAGCCCACAGCCCCACTCCACCATGACAAACGTCAGACGAGACGGAAGCTCAGGATGTGACAACGTTTTTAATGCAAAGTCAACCATTAGCATCTTTCCCATGTACTTATTAGATGTGAAATGGCAGGACTTCACGGCCCCGTTTGCATATTTTCCTACTCCGCAGACGAATAATATTTTCAGGGAAGGCAGCGCAGTCTGTGCCGTCACAATCGGGCGACTGTGGGTGATGAGGGATGATGATTTTCCAGGAGGCCCTGGGGTCAGAGGACTCCTAGAGGGAGTTTCCAGCCCCTCAATCGCAGATGGATGGCCTGTTGATGTTGTAACTGGGGTGGAAGTTGAGCCGGTCACAGGAGGTGATGCAGTTATCGGGGCCAGTCACGATGCTTTTCTCCAGGTAAACATTGAGAGTATTGTTCCGGAACATTCCACCCGCTGCAAGTTGTTGGGAAAATTTATTCGAATTTGGATAAAATACTTTCTATAAGAGATAAAGGAACACGGATTAATGACGTATAATACTCTTGAGCAATCCGTTGAATATTTTTGAAAGAAAAATAAGAATTCATAAGAAAATGCAGAGAAGCCAGAGTGGGTAGGATGGCCTGGCTCACCCCAGACCATCCTAATCCATGCCCGATGCCTGGCACTTGCTGTTAACACTGCCCCCGGCACTGTTCTAAGGATAGAAGAATGAGCTGTGGGGCCACCTGTGTGCCATCTCTACCTCAGGATGTGGCTGTGAGCATCGCCTTGGGGGTCAGTCCTGGAGTCACCCCCAGGTCTGCTTTTGCTCACTGTGCTACTCTGGGAAAGCTGCCAGCCCTCTCTGAACTTCAGTTTTCTCTTCTATGGAATAGAAATGATATCCATGTCAGTGGGTTTCAACCTTAACTGGGGCTGGGTGCGGTGGCTCACGCCTGTAATCCCAGCACTCTGGGAGGCTGAGGCAGGTGGATCGCCTCAGGTCAGGAGTTCGAGACCAGCCTGGCCAACATAGTGAAATGCCGTCTCTACTAAAAATACAAAAATATTAGCCAGGTGTGGTGGCGGGCGCATGTAATCCCAGCTACTCGGGAGGCTGAGGCAGGAGAATTGCTTGAACCGGGGAGGCGGAGCTTGCAGTGAGCCGAGATTGTGCCATTGCAGTCCTGCCTGGGCAACAAGAGCAAAACTCCATTGAGAAGGGGTGTGCTGAGGCCACTCGTGTGGGCGGGCACCCAGTGGTAGGAGTTATTCTAGCAAGACAGCATCATTAGGTGACTGTGACATTCCTGAAGCGAGTGGTCTGGACCTCCGCCAAATATTTTACCCCATACGGGTGACCTGTCCTTAGAGGATCCTGTGCCACGCACATCACCTGATGTTTCATCTCCTTGGCAAGAAACAAGTGCAAAGAGAAAACTTTTCTTTGTTTTTGAGAAGTTTTAGATCTATAGAAAAATTGAACAGAAAGTACGGAGAGTTCCCAAATTACCTCCCTCAGCAAACACAGTTCCCCCTGTCCTTAGCATGTCGCACTTGTGTAGCACACTTTTTACGGTGGAGCCAGTGTTGATACTTTATTAGTAACTAAAGTCTACATTCTATGGGTGGGACAAATGTATCATCACAGGGATCCGCCCATGCAGTATCATGGAGAGGAATTCCCTTCAGTGCATTTTTTTTTTTTTTTTTTTGAGATGGAGTTTTTGCTCTAGTCACCCACGCCGGCGTGCAATGGCGCCATCTCAGCTCACTGCAACCTTCGCCTCTGGGTTCAAGCAATTCTCCTGCCTCAGCCTCCCAAGCAGCTGGGATTACAGGCGCCCACCACTATGCCCGGCTACTTTTTGTATTTTTAGTAGAGACGGGGTTTCGCCATGTTGGCCAGGCTGGTCTCAAACTCCTGACCTCAGGTGATCCACCCGCCTCGGCCTCCCAAAGTGCTGGGATTACAGGCGTGAGCCACCACGCCCAGCCTTTCAGTGCACTTTTTAATGCAAAGCATTTATCTTCTATTCCCACATGGGAGGTAAACAGCTTCTCCGGCATCCACCCTTGGTCACGAAACTGGAAAAGAGACTCCAGACGGAGCAGGTGGATAAGAAGGAGGAGAACCTCCTTGGAAACTTGTCAGTAGTACCTCATGCCTCCTACCCCACTGCCTGCTCCCATCAGTGACCTGAAGGCTCCTACCATTTACAATAGGAACATTTTTTCATGGCCTTTTATAAAACCTAAAACATCTGGACCCATGTTAGTGAGTGTGCTGGGTTTTTTTTTCTTTTTTTTTTGGTTTTTGTTTGTTTGCTTGTTTGTTTTGGTAACAGGGTCTGGCTCTCACCCAGGGTGGAATGCAATGGCATGATCAAGGCTGACTGCAGCCTCAACCTCCTGGGCTCAAGCAATCCTCCACCCTCAGCCTCCTGAATAGCTGGGACTACAGGTGCATGCCACCACACCCAGCTAATTATTTTATTTTATTTTTACAGGGATGGGGGTCTCATTACGTTGCCCAGGCTGGTCTTGATCTCTGAGCCTCAAGTGATCCTCTCACCTCAGCCTCCCAAAGTGCTGGGATTACAGGCGTGAGCCACCGCATCCAGCTGTGTCTGGTCTTTTTCATAGAAATACCTGATCCCCAGGGAAAACTCAGGGTCGTCTGATTACGGGAGAGTGATTCTCAAATGCTCCAGCATTTTTAGATAAGTAATCTTCTCACAAGGGCTCAGTCACTCACGCCACACAACTAAATAAGCACTCACCAGACCTTTTCAGTGATGAATGCTTTGACAACGAAAATACGTCCACAACATTCTCACCCCAGAATGGCTGGCCCAGTGTCCCAGGTGTGCAGGAGACACCGCACTAGTCCCTCTGTCCATTCACCTGGACCTTCATGGGGTTTGGTGTGGGGAGGTTCTAGGAGGGCCATCCTGGAGCCTAAGGTCAAGCTCAAAAAGGGTTTGGCTTCCCCAATGGCCCACAGACTCCTGTGCCCACCAATACAACTTGCCCACCCACAAGCTGTGCCGTCAGCCAGTACTGCCTCTTCAGGTTACACGTTAACATCTCATAAAGTACAATTCCAAAAAAAAAGTAGCCCTTCATTTATTTGCCTCAGAACTGAGCACCGTAAGTTGCAGGAGATGGTTGCGTGTGTGTGTGTGAGACTGCTGTGCGTGTGGTTGGGTGTATGGGGGCAGGGTGATGTCAGCAAGTCTATATCCTCCTCTTTTAAAACACTCCACTCCCAAATTCATTCACTCATTTAGTTCCATCCTACCCTCTCCCAAAGCGATTTTGGGAACCTCCCTCCTCCCCATTTGTGATGCTGGAACTTTGGCCTCCTCCCTGGGTGCACCCCTCCCCGTCTCATTGTTGACCTGTTGAGAACCCCAGGTTTTTAGCCTCTTCTTGAGGCCACCCACCCCCTGCCCCCCATGCCCGGTCTTGCATCCCACTTACAGGCATCTCGTGCACGGTGGGGGCTCTGCTCCCGTAAGCCTGGTTACTGGTCCTGTACACGGAGACAGCCTTCTGGGTCCTGGTAGATGAGAAACACTCTATTTTCATTCATTTACTCTAATTCTGCACAAGCCACAGCCTTGTATTTGGTTGACGGCACTCCCCTGGAAATGCCCCCATGGAAAGAGCAATATGCCCGGGCTGGTGATGTGGCCTCGAAGGCAGCCTCTGGGAGTACCTGGCTGATGACCGTTCTGAATGGCCCGGCCTCCCCGGCCCCCTCTGCTTGCCACTGTCCCTGCTCTTCCAAGGCAGGCCAAAGCCCTAAAGAGCAGGCAGCCAGCAAGTGCTGATCCCCAGCCCTGGCAGGGCCTCGGCACATGCTGCAATTTCTGGGTAACCTAGCTTGTCAGGAGCGGAGGCTTGGCCTCCAGACCCTGCCACCCAGAGGGTCCCTCTGCCTCTGAGCCCCCACCCTCACTGAGGCTATGCTTCTACTGGTACCACTGCCCCTACCTGTCAGTAGGACAGGCTACTGAGAGGCTGCAGGCCCACGACATAGCTTTACTTTATACTCCTAGATCTTGGCCAAGTTGTTCCTTCTACATCCCAGTCATCTCAATGCGAGAATGAGGATACTAACAGACCCTGCCCTAGAGGACTGTTGAGGGACCAAATGTGTGATGAGCACGGCAAGATGTTTGCACCTGCCTACAGGAATTGAGTTTCTTACTACTTCTTAGCCTGCAATGCCCTGTGGCAGCTCAGAGCTGGCTGAGTCTACAGCAAGACAGTGGAGGTGCTGCTGTGCTCACGCCCCGCAGCGGAGTTTCAGGGTAGAGAGGAGAGGAGACTCACCCGACACAAATCAGTGGAGCTGAGACCACAACTGGGCTTTCTCCCCCCACGGCCCTGCCCCCCACTGCCCTTATCCCCACTTCCTTGTATGAGGCTCTAGGGAGCACGGTCGCCGCTCACTGGCGGGCGATGACAGCGCGGGCCCCGGATGACCACTCGATCTTCTTGATTTCTGTAGCTAGGACCTTGGGGGTCTTGCGGGGTCTCTCACACACGGGGCTATCGAGCAGTGGACGCCAGGACCAGGCGGGCCCCAGCTTCCTCACCTGTAGCCCCGGAACCACCCCGGGTTGTTGAACCTGCCCGGCAGGTCCGCGCTCACGCGGTAGTAGTCGCTGGTCCTCTCCGGCGGGGCCGTGGCCTTGGGCGCCACAGGCTCCGCGCACGCTCTGGGGCATTCCTCAGCCATTGTGCCTGGAGGAGAAGCGGGACTCGGCGGCGTCCTGTTGCCAAGCGACGGCCAGGTCACGTGACTGGGGAGCGAGCGGAGGGGCCTTAAAGGCGCCGCGCGTGGGCCGGGTTCCTCTGCGGGTGGGTCCGGAACCTGCCGGGCGACTCCCCAAGGGCCGGGAAGGTCGGGACGGCGAGAGATTCCCTGCTGGGACCGTCGTGTGAGGCAGCCCCAGGCCCCCAGCCACCCGCGGGGGGACCGGGCCACCCCAGCATCAGGGCGTGGACTCCCGGGCGAAAGAAACCCCAGGGCCTGGGACCCCGCCAGCCGGGTGACGGGGTTTAAGCACTGCAGGTCCACTCGGCAGGCAACGATTGGACTTTTGCTGTCCAATGTACTCCAGGGATGCTATGCCCCCCAGCACCCCGAGTCTAAATTGAGACCCGAGATCTGGCTAACTTTATGAAATTCTCCTAAGCCAAATATCGTTTAAATATTACAAACAGTTTTGGAGAGCGAGAGGTTGCGCAGGACGTGGTTCACAGCTCACTTGGCGGGAGGCGAGGGTCCCCATCGCCCAGCGGGCTTCCCCAAGGGTCAGGGGCCTCCCGGGCTGGCCGGTCCCATTAGCAGGGCGGGGCGAGCTGCAGGGCGAGGACCGTGGCTCCACTCCCCGCCCGAGACTCTCAAGCCCAGGACCCCGGGCCCTGACCCCTCGCGTGCCCCGCCCCCGCAGGGAGGTCCCAGCCGCCTGGGGACAGCGCTGTGGCTCCTCCGGGCCTGTAGGCGGCACTGCGGCCCCGCGCGGATGGCGACGGAAGGGGAGGCCGCTCGGCCTGGCCTGGAGGGAGACCTCGCTCTGCCCCGCGTCCCAGCCATGGCGACATCCTCGGCCGCGCTGCCCCGAATACTCGGCGCGGGTGAGCGCGCGCTTGCGGGACCCTGGGGAGGAGCATGCGAGGAGGATGCGGAGGGGCGCGGGGACCCGATGGAGCGGCGGGGACGTGGAGGGGACCCGGGGCGAGCGCGGAGGGGACTCGGGGAGGGCGCGGGGACGCGGAGGGGACCCGTTAGGGACGCGGAGGGGCCCGTTGGGGATGCGGTGGGGAGCGGGCGTGGTGCATTCGGGACTCGGCGCCAGGACCTCTATCTACTTCCCCCCAGGTGCCCGGGCCCCGTCGCGCTGGTTGGGCTTTCTCGGGAAGGCGACCCCCCGGCCTGCTCGGCCGAGCCGCAGGACGCTTGGAAGCGCGACGGCCCTTATGATCCGCGAGTCGGAGGACAGCACCGGTAACACTGGGCGCCCAGCCGAGTTGGGTGGGAACGAGGAGAGGCCGGCAGCCGCGGGGGATGCGAACCCTAGAGGGGCCTGGGCGCTGCACGCGGTCGAAACTGCGCGCTCCGCTGGGCTCCTCCCACTCCCGTGCTCGCCGCCGCTCGGTCCTGCCTGACGTAGCACAGCGGGCTGAGGCCACCGCCTCACCATGGATAGGGTGAGAGGGAGCGGGCGGGCCAGTGGTTAGCACAGGCTTCGCTCCCTAGGGGGGTGTCACTGGACCACCGAGGCCCGGAGCCCCGAGCTCGCCCAGGCGGGCCCAAGTGACCTGGGGGCACTGGGCTTGGAGTCTGCCCACCTTGCTGGACTCCTGATGGGGACTTTCTGGCTGGCCACCTGAGACCACAAGGCGGGGAGGTGCCAGAAAGACCTGAGCAACCCGCTGGGCCCCTCTCTTTTTCTCCTCTGTCTTCCAAGTAAGACCAAGGGACGGGGTTGACCAGGTTCGACCAGGCTTACCCAGGAGCAAGGTCGGGATCAGAACCTGGCTCCAGCCCTCTGTTTCCTGAAAAGGTCCCTGTGCTTCCAGGTCTTTCCTGGGGCTGCTGGGCTCCCGGCTCCCCACCTCGGTGTCACAGAAGGCACTTGGGAGCAGGGGTGGGCGGGAACTGCGCTCTGCCTGTCTCTGCTGCCACCGGTGGGAGACGCAGCGTCGCTCCTCCTCCCTGCCGTAGATTTCAACGACAAGATTTTGAATGAGCCCCTCAAGCACTCTGACTTCTTCAATGTCAAGGAACTGTTTTCCGTGAGAAGCCTCTTCGATGCCCGAGTCCATCTGGGACACAAAGCTGGCTGTCGGCACAGGTAGGTGACACCCCCATCTGAGCCCGGGGCGGTTCCCAGGAGGAACCTGGGACCTGCTCTGGTTCTAGGGCCACTTTTGAACTGGCCTATGTCAGTTTTAGGTGATTACAGCCCCATCCTCCTCCACATGGGAATACAGAGCCCCACAGAGAAGCAGGAGTTTATTCCTCAGCTTGGCGGACGCTCTTGTGTGCCTTGGTGTGGCGCTCACAGCCCTTGATAGGGCAGGCCTGCTGGGGGTTGCAGGACTCCACGGGTTCAGAAATGGAAAGGCTGAGGGCAGAACCTGTAAGGTTGGTCCCCCCGGATCGGGCTGGGCCTTCTGGGCTGCGGGGAGGAGGAATGACTGGTCCTGTATTCTCACATGGTCATTTTGACTGCTGTGGGGGGAGGGGATGGGAGGGGCAGGTGGGAGGCCAGGGAGGAGGTTGGTGTGGGCGTTCAGGGTGAAGGTGGCGGGGCTTAAATCGCAGTAGCGGAAGAGCTGGAGCAGCAGGTGGACATGAGGCAGCAGGGCAGAGCCAGTGGGCCTTGGGCTGGGGTGGGAGGTGGCTGGGGCCGAAGGGATCAAACACCTGCTCTTCGGGTGGAGCCTGGTACTGGTTACTGAGATGGTGAAAACCAGGGGAGACCTGGGGGACATCACAAGCTTGGTTCCTACCAGGTATGAACCCTTTGCTGCCCCAGTGGAGAGGTCACACGGTTACCAGGAGGGATGGGCCTGGGCCCAGGGAGCCATCAGCATCGGGGGCTGGCAGGTGTTTCCAGAGCATCGGAAAAGGAGGTCCAAGGTGGAGCCCTGGGTGCTCCAGTGTTTGGAGTCAGTGAAGAGGGACAGCCGGGGGTAGGGGAGATGTGGTTCTCTGTTGATGCTGCTGAGAAGTGAATTCAAGGCTGTGACCTTGGCAAGATGGAGGTCGCCAGTGCCTTGATGGGCAGGGTTGCTTGAGAGGAAGGGACAGAACCCAGTGGGAGTAGACTGGAGGTGAGGACCTGGGAACCGCAAATGTGGATGACTCGCCTGTCACGCACCGAGAGGCGGGGGTGTCTCCCATGCCCCGCTTTTCTCAGCCCAGGCCAGCAGTGGTCCAGTGCTTTGGATCAGGGTTCCCCGCCCAGGCTTGGCCACTCCTGCCCTGATCCCTTAATGCTTTTGGCCCAGAGCACCCCGCTAAGTCCAACCCCAGAGGGGCCTCATCCGCAAAGCCTCGGGAAGAGGACAGTGACGGAGGCGGCTGCCCTGTGAGCTGCACGGGGCAGAATGTCCTTTTGGCGTCATGTTGGATGTCCACACATCCATATGGGGTCAGTTCTATTAGGATTCCTTCGGGAAGAGGTAGAGGGTAGGAGGGGTTAAGCCACGAGACGAGGCATGCAGAGGGGTGGCCTGGATGGGTCTGCACTGCTGTCCATGCACACGGGGAGCGTTGCAAATTGTGCTTCCCAGCCCATAGTGCCCCCACAGAGGAGCCCGGGAGTCCCTGGTGGGCGTCTGTGTTCCTGCAAGGAGCCAGTGGAGATGGCCCCGTGAACTCTCATCCCCCTTGCCTTGGTGGGGTCTCTGGCAGGTTTATGGAGCCGTACATCTTTGGGAGCCGCCTGGACCACGACATCATCGACCTGGAACAGACAGCCACGCACCTCCAGCTGGCCTTGAACTTCACCGCCCACATGGCCTACCGCAAGGGCATCATCTTGTTTATAAGCCGCAACCGGCAGTTCTCGTACCTGATTGAGAACATGGCCCGTGACTGTGGCGAGTACGCCCACACTCGCTACTTCAGGGGCGGCATGCTGACCAACGCGCGCCTCCTCTTTGGCCCCACGGTCCGCCTGCCGGACCTCATCATCTTCCTGCACACGCTCAACAACATCTTTGAGCCACACGTGGCCGTGAGAGACGCAGCCAAGATGAACATCCCCACAGTGGGCATCGTGGACACCAACTGCAACCCCTGCCTCATCACCTACCCTGTACCCGGCAATGACGACTCTCCGCTGGCTGTGCACCTCTACTGCAGGCTCTTCCAGACGGCCATCACCCGGGCCAAGGAGAAGCGGCAGCAGGTTGAGGCTCTCTATCGCCTGCAGGGCCAGAAGGAGCCCGGGGACCAGGGGCCAGCCCACCCTCCTGGGGCTGACATGAGCCATTCCCTGTGATGTTCACTCTCCTCCCAAAGCAAACCACAGCCAAGCCTGTCTGAGCTGGGAGTCCCCTTCCCCAGCCCTGGGTCAGCGGCATCCTCAGTCGTTGTTACTTACTCAGCTGATGTCACAGTGCAGACATCCACCGTTCCACCACAGAACCAGTGGCTGAGCGGACCAACGTTGCCATGTGCGTTTGCTCTGTGGGGAACAGAGCACAGAGGGTGAGCGACATGTGCAGAACGGCCCCTTGGCTGCAGTTAGGACCTCAGTGGCTGGTATGGCCAAGCTGCTAGAAGATGCTGCTGTCCCTGTGATCCCAGCAGCCCTCCCTTCACCGTGACCCCTGACCTTTGTCAGGAAGGTGCAGTTTTTCTTCTCAATCTAAATGCCTTTCAGGTGGGCCGCTTCCTTGGCTACCTGGTTCCAGGGGGCTGTTTTGTAATGAGATGCTGCTGGCAGGCCACTCAGAGGCTCCCAGCTGGGTTGGTGGGACAGCCAGGCCAGATGACCTGATTCCAGCAAAAATAAAACTCAGATTTGGGCAAAATGAGACTTGGAGTTTGGGGCTCTGTCTCGAGTGGGTTTGCTTTCATCCATGTGGTGTGGTTTTTCTTCAGGCACACACTGGGACCCCAGTGATGAGAGATGGGACGGGCACTGTGTGTGTGAGGCGCATGAATGAGGTCAGCAGAGGTGCCAGCTGCCACTAGAGGGCACCGTCTTCAGCAGTGGAGCTCGTGACAAGCCCACAGCCCGGCCAGCCTCATTCAGCAGAACAGGCTTGGTGTGGACCCAGTTTCAGGAAAGACGGGCACTTGCTGACAGGGACGCTTAACATCCCTCACCTGTGGGGATACAGCTGTGTTCCTGGAACAAGCTGCGGCCTCCTCCCAGCCCCATCCCGAGCTGCTTAGGACATAGGCCCCCCATGCACCTGACCACCCAAGGAGCCGTCTCTGGGCAGAGTCTGGGCAGCAGGGCCCTGTGGAGTCTGGTGCCCTGGGTAGGGTGAGGCCTGCCCTGCAGGAGCGGCACAGGGCAATGGGAGGCTGGAGTCCAGCGCCTATCCCTGTCCCTTCAGGGTTAGGCTGGTGAGGGGTTCATGGTAGGTGTCCCCAGGTTTGTCACAGGTTTGTGATCTGGTCGGGACAGGGAGCTGAGCTTCAGGTTGGTCTCTGGCCAGCATGGCTTTAATTTGCAAAGCCGAAGTCTGAAGATGCACGTGTATAAAGGCAGGTGAAGTGAGGGCCCCTCCAAGGCTCCCCCTAGAATCCCTCTCAGGGTGGGCAGGTGAGACACTCTGAGCTGGGTCTCCTGTCCCACCATGCTGGGGAGGCCAGCTGCGGGGAGCCAGGACCCTGGAGATGAGACAGGAGTACCAAACACTGGGGACTGACTGGGGGGCTTCCAGGAGGTGCCCCTGGAGCTGCGACTGATCCTTCCCTGGGAGAGGCCTTTGTAGCTTGGGTCCAGGCCTGGCCCTTCTCTGCTAAGCCATTAGTGAGGACGTTGCAGGCAGCTCCAGGGGTTGGACCTCAGGAGACACAGTGGGGCACAAGCCTACAGGAGGGACGGGGCGGTCTCTTCTGGGGTCATTAATTTTGAGGCCGGGTGGAGGGGAGCAGCCCAGGCAGAGCTGTGGCTAACCCAAGGCGCCTTGTAAGAATGGTGGGGGCTGGCAGGCCCGGGCAGGCTCCCTGGGTCCCGACCGGTCCCCCTTACCTTGCGCTGATGGCCTGCGTGGCTCCTGTTGTCCTCCCACTGGCCCCTGCACCTGGCACAGGCCGGCGAGGACCCGCTGAGGAGCTACGAGTGGGCGCTTGCTGGGCTTCCAGGGCAGGAGGGGCCCTGGCCGAGGGGATGACCCAGTGGATAAGCAGGCACTAGTGACCATGAGGAGCAGGGAGGGACGGGAAGGGTGCAGCGCAGAAGCCGCGGGGGCCATGCTGGGACAGCCAGGGTGGGCCTGAGGGCCCCCTCGGGGAGTGGAAAGAGCCAGCTCCCAGGATTCAGAGGGGCTCTGGGTGAAACAAAGGTTGAGGGCTGAGGGGATGGGGTCTCGCTGACCCCATCCTTGACTCTGCCAGGAGGGGCCCTCCAAGTTTTCCACCCTGGAGATGAACCCCAAGAGCCCCCAGAAGAGGCCAACGGAGATGATGAGAGTGCCTGAGGCTGGGGAAGGGCAAGGGAGCTGCCCCAGGAGTGGGGAGAGGGGCCCCCCGGCCCTTTCCTCCTGTGGCCACAATGCCTGCAGGCCCCATTAGAGGTGGCCTTCTCTGGACTGTGGCAAGGCTGTGCCTGGACCAGCTGGTGTCCCAGATGGTGGGGAAGACCAGAGGCAGCCACCAGAGGATGGGCCTGGCAGAGCTGGCTCAGGGCAGGGTGGGGTGGGGAGGGCCAAGGAGCCTTTCCAGCCCTGCCGAGGCTGGGCCACTCCCACTCCTGAGGCCCGGAAGATCCCTATTTGCCTGGAGGAGCTCAGGGCAGCCCTGAGGTCAGCACAGGCCAGGCTTCCGCTCTGATCCCCCGCAACCCTCCCTGGGTGTGTGGGGGGAGGGGACAAGAGGGGAGAGCCTGCCCTGGGCAAGAGCAGGGTGTTGGGGCAGGAGCCTAGCGGCCCATGAGGATTGAGGCCAGCTGGGCCAGCTACTGATGTGGGCCCTCTGCTGATGTGGGCCCTCTGCTGATGTGGGCCCTCTGCTGATGTGGGCCTCTGCTGATGTGGGCCCCAGCCCTTGAGATGGATCTCATGTCATCCTGGCTGGAGGTCTACACAGACACGGCTCTGTGCCTGATCCGGAGAGCAGAAGGTCAGGTGGGCAGAAGTGACAAGGGCCGGGCCGGGCTCTGATGTTCCTAGGTCGCTGTCTCTGCAGAGCTCCACGCAGGAGACTGGCCAAGGGGGCGACCCCCACTCTCTCCCCAAGTGAGGGACAGGGACTCCTCGACACCAACAAGGGCCAGTGCTGGCTGGGGGTGCAAGTGTGCAGGGGAGGTCTCCACAACCAGGGCCCCTGGATGGCTGGGAAGGCCTCCTGCCCAGATGTCACCAGGTGGCTCCCAGGGTCCTGCTAGAGTTCTGCCTCTCCAGCAGCCCCCAAGTCCCAATCCCAGCACCCTAGGCCTCCTCCCGCCCTCACCCCACCACCGTCCAGCCCCAGCTTGGCCAGGTGCAAAGTGACTTTTCATATTCCTATAGGAAGGAATAGCCCAGAAATTCTTCCTGAACTTCTCCAATTCACATGATGGCGATGAGCGACTGCATTTTGTTCATGTTCATATGTTTGGGCCGTCCTCCCTTTGGCTCACCCCAGAGTGAAAATGAGTCAGCCCTGTTCCTGGATGAGACCTGCAGGGTGGGAGTCCCCACGCAGGCTGCACAGAGAAGCTAGAGCGTCACCTGGGGGCAGAGCAGCGACCGTTCCTCGTTCCTGCTTTCCTGGGCACGTGTGGAAGCTTTGCCCCCACCCCACAGATGCTGGACCTGCTGTTCCACAGGCGAGCGTGTCCCGCTCCACCGCACAGGGGCTCCTCGCTCCCACACCCACCAACTGTGGGTCTTGGCAATGCCCCTTCACCCCTCTGAGCCTCGGTTGGTTTGTGTGAGAACTGGGAGCTAAGGGGACCTCGTGAGGCTGCTGTCAAGCCTGGGTGGGACGGGCCGTGGAAAGCGCTCTGCTCACGCCTGGCCCTGGGGAATGGGCTGCCCGGGCTGTAGTGTTCTTATTTATGATTTTCCTCTCCCCTCCATGGGGAAGCTGTCTGCCCTAGGCCTCACTTGTATGTGCAAAGCAGTTTTCCCACCTGTAGAGAACATTCCAGATTCCATGTGGGAGGTTCCCATCCTAGGTATAGCAGAGCAGGACCCTCTGGGGAGGGCTGAAGAGCCCAAGGGCCACTCAGATATCTGGGAAGGAGCTGGTTGGGGCTCATTCAATCAACAAACATGAAGCTGCCCTCCCGGACCTCCCTGAACCCACAACAGCGTGTACGCACTGATTAAACAGTGTGGAAATAAGGAACAGAATGTGGAGAGGCACAGAGGCAAATGTTTAGGACGACTTTTGTTCTATTGAAAGTGTTTAAAGCCCGGATTTTCTTGAAAGATTTCCATGATTTAGCACAAGGAAAATCTTACAGATGAGGACACTCGTATCCAGAAGGTGGAGACATCTGCTCCAGTCACAGCCAGTGTGGAACCTTGGCAGAGTTTGGGTCTCTGAAAGCAGACAGGGATTCGGGGACATGTTGTTTGCTGCAGCTGATCCCAGGAAGCCTGAGGGAGGACCTGGGAAGGTAGGCCTGGAGGTGGGAAGCCGGTGAGTGGCCTTGAGCAAACCCTGCAAGTGGGGACCCCACTCAGCCTCACAGGGAGTCCAGGTCCCACCTGGATGGGCTCTGTCCCCATGAGTGGAGGGTTATCCCTGGGAGATTAATGCCCTTGCTCTGCTGGCTGGTGCAGTGTAGAGGAGAGGAAGCCCCCGTGGTGCCTGAGAGAGCCCTCAGGAGGGACACATGCAGGCGTTTCATGGGATGCCGTGGCCTGATGGAGACCAGCTCCACCAGCTGCAGGTGGACTCGGGTGGGCTGAGGAGACATGGGTGGGTCAGCAGCAGCATGGCCACCCCAGCTCTCCCAGATCCAAGGTGCACTAGCCAGAATCTTGAGTGAGAATCAGGAAATAAGAGAGACACGTGAGCCTTGATAAGCTGCCACATGCCTCTGGTGATCTAGAAGATTCTGCTCATGTGCAGGGCTGTGTCCACTCAGGAAAAACCAGAGAGGGTCCTAGCTCTCTACTCATCCTTGGCTAAATATGAGGCCTTACACATGTTCAGAGGAGACAGGAGGAGGCCCAGAAGACAAGAACATCCAGGGCAGACTGGTAAACTTCCAGAACCTCGAATGCATTCCTCACCCCGCACACAGACCCACTGGCAAGAAGCAGAAGGCTTACTGGCTCAAGGCATTTGGGCACCACCTCTGACCAGGTATTGGCTGATCACTAAGATATGGTGACCCAGGAACAACACTTAGGAAGCCAGAATTCAAAATAAAAAGAATTAAAGTAAGCCATGTTAAGAATTAAAGTATGATGAAAATGACTCATTAGAGAAAATACATAAGGAGATACTCATTAATTAAAAAACTGAATAGCTATTCTGGAGCTGAAAAGTTTAATAATCGAAATGGAAATTCACTGGAAGGGATGGACAGCAGATCTGAGGAAAGAATCAGGGAAATTTGAAGGTAGATCAGTAAAAATGATCCAATCTGAAGACTGACAGCAAAAACTAATAATAAAGGAAGAGAAATGAACAGTGCCTTGAACCTGTGGGAAACAATCAACATATTAATATTCACATAATCAGAGTTCAAGGAGAGGAGAAAGCGAAGGGGCAGAAAAAATATTCAAAGAAGTACCTACTTGACACAAAAGGAAGCAGGAAAGGAAAAAAGACATGAGACATATCAGAAGCAGATAGCCAAATGTCAGAGATAAATCCAACCATAGCAATAACTGAACTAAATGTAAATGGATTAAATACTTCAATCAAAAGGCAGATACTGACACTGTGGTTGAGAAACAAGATCCAACTTTATGCTCTCTAGAGCCTAGAGCAGAAACGTTTCATATTCATAACACAAATAGGTTGAAAGCAAAATAATGGGAAAAGAAACACCATGCAAACCATAACCATGAGATGTGGAGTAGTTTTATATATACATAAATATTGTTTGTTTGTTTGTTTTGTTTTGAAATGGAGTTTTGCTCGTGTCACCCAGGCTGGGGTGCAGTGGCACAGTCTCGACTCACTGCAACCTCTGCCTCCTGAGTTCAAGTGATTCTCTTGCCTCAGCCTCCCAAGTAGCTGGGATTACAGGCATGTGCCACCAGGCCCAGCTAATTTTTGTATTTTTTTTAGCAGAGACGGGGTTTCACCATGTTGACCAGGCTGGTCTCAAACTCCTGACCTCAGGTGATCCGCCTGCCTCAGCCTCCCAAAGTGCTGGAATTACAAGCATTAGCCACCAGGCCCGGCCAGGAGGAGTTATATTAATATCACACAAAATAGACTTTAAGACAAAGCGTTAACTAGAGATAAGGAGGGGAATTTCATAATGAAGACAGCATTAATTATTCAGGAAGATAAAATAATTATAAATGTTTACGCATTTAACAGCATGGCCCTCTGAGTATATGAAAGTTATAGCCAGTGTGATATGGCAAAAAAAAAAAAATGAAAACAAACAAGCAACAGCACCAAAACCAGAAACAAACAAACAAAAAAAGAATTAAAGAAGAGATTAAAGTTCAAAATTACAAAGGAAGAAGTAAAATGACTTTTATTAACAGAAAACATAATCCTGTGTGTCGAAATCCTAAGGAATCAACGACGAACTGCAATAAATGAGTACTGCAGGGTCACAAGATTCCAGATCAATATTCAAATATCAACTGTGTTTCTCTATCCTAGTAATAAGCAATCCATAAATTAAGCCAAGAAAACAATTCCAATCACAATATCCCTCAAAAGAACAACATACTTTTTTTTAAAAAAAAGAACAAATTTAACAAAAGAAGAAGACTTGCATACTGAAAACTATAAAATATAAAACACTGCTGAGGGAAATTAAGGATGTTGTAAATGAATGGAGAGATACTCCATGGTATTAGAAGACTTGGTATTGTCAAGGTGGCAGATATCCCCCAACTGATGTACAGATTCAACTCGATCACTCAGAAAATCCCAGTTGGATTTGCTTGTTTCCAAACATTGACAAGTTGATCTTAAAATGTATATGAGACACCAAAACATTTTTTCAAAAGAAGAATAAAGTTGGAGGTCTTACATTTCTCTCTTCAAAGCTTCCTGGAGTGACATCAATCAGGACAGTGTCATCCTGGCATAAAGATGGGCACAAAGATCAATGGACTAAAGTTGGAGTCCAGTAATAAACGCTAACATTTATGGTTAGTTGATTTTGAAAAGATGCCAAGGCAGTTCTATAGGGAAAGAGTAATATTTTCAACAAATGATGCTGGAATAATTGGATATCCTCATGAAAGAGATTTATTTAGGCCTGTACCTCATACTAAAAAATTAACTCGAAATGGATCATAAATCTAGATGTTAGAGCCAAAACTATTAAACATCTAGAAGAAAACATAGAACATCTTCAGGACTTTAAGTTAGCCAGAGTGTTTAGACACATCATCAAAAGCATAATCCATAAAAAAAGTATTTCATCAAAGTTTAAAACTTTTGTGATTCAAGAAATACCCATTATGAAAGAGAAGCCACAGACTGGAAGAAAATATTTGTAAATTATACATCTGATAGAACTCTTACAACTAATAACAGGAAGACAAACAACTCAAACTAAAAAAAAAAATGTAAAATATATTTGAATATGCTTTTCACCCAGGAAGCATATTCACCCTGCATTTGCTTTTCACTTAGGAAGATGGATGAGTGACCAGTAAGCACATGAAGCTACTCAGCATCATGAGTCATTCAGGAAATGCAGATCAAACCACAATGAGATACCACTTCACACCACGTAGAATGGCATTAGTCAAAAACAAAGGACAATAACAAGTATTGTCATCCATGTGGAGAAACTGACACCTGGTTGCTGGTGGGAGTGTGAAATGGTGCAGCCATCCTGGAAAACAATCCAGCATTTCTCTAAATGGTTAAGTGTAGTGTGGCTGATGACCCCCAGTTCAACGCCTAGTCATATACCCAAGATAATGGAGAACATATGTCCTGTATCTGAATGCTCATACCACCATTCCTCATAATAACCAAAAAGTGGAAAAAGCCAAAATGTCTATCAACTGGTGAATGGATAAACAAAATGTGTTCTGTCCATACAATGGAACACTATTCACCCACGAAAAGGAATGAAGGTCTGACACACGCTGCAACACGGATGAACCTTGAAGATAATATACTCAGCCGGGCACGGTGGCTCATGCCTGTAATCCCAGCACTTTGGGGGGCCAAGGCGGACCGATCACCTGAGGTCAAGAGTTCAAGACCAGACTGGCCAACATGGCAAAACCCGTCTCTACTAAAAATACAAAAATTAGCCAGGTGTGGTGGTGCATGCCTGTAGTCCCAGCTACTCGGGAGGCTGGATGGGGCAGGAGAATCACTTGAACCCGGGAGGTGGAGGTTGCAGTGAGCTGAGAACGCACCACTGCACTCCAGCCTAGGCGACAAAGTGAGACTCTGTCTCAAACTAACAAACAAAAAAAAGACAGTACACTCAGGGCGGGGGGGGCGGAAAAACAGACACAAAAGGCCACATATGTATGATCCCACTTACGTGAAATGTTCAGAATAGAGAAGTCTCTAGAGATAGCAAGTGGATTCCTGTGTCAGGGTCTGGGGAAGGGATTGGAAATTGATTGCTCAGGGGCACGAGAGACCTTTCTGGGGTAGTGGGAACGTTCTAAAGCCAGATCGTGCTGGTGGCTGCACAGGCCTGCAGATGTACTAAGAGTGGTTGAATTGTACAGTGGATAAGCATTGTGATGTGTACACTATATGTCAACAAAGCTGGGAAAAGGAAGCGATCAGAGGTGATCCAGAAGCGATGCTGCCCCCAACTGAGGCAAAGGAAGAAGAAAGAACTTAGAAATGTTCCCAGAGCAAAAACAGCCGTTTTCTAAAGAATGACCCCACAATTGGTTCAAGTCGAAGAGCCTCCCTGAGGAATAACAGCTTCGTCACCCATCTAGTTTGGGGGTTGTTTCTATAGTAACCTGTGACATGGCCCCCTTCCCAAAAACAAAACAAAACAAAACAAAAAACAGAAACAAAGACAATGAATCCCTGAGAACAGTGAGAAAGAGAAAGCTCTTGCTTCTTTTGGCCTATGGAAGGGTGTGGCTGTTGAGCTGAGCCTTGGAGTTCCTGGGTTTGCCGGTTTCCCCGTCTGGCAGTGCTGGGGGCTTTGAGCCAGCAACCTCAAAGAACGCCCACGCCAGGGAGGCCAGTGTGCACGCAGGTATTGATGTTGGCTTTCCACGGGTGCAGTGAGCTGCGTGATTGATACCCATTTCCCCATAAAACAGCCAAGCCAGGGAGGCCAGCATGCACACAGGTATTGATGTTGGCTTTCCATGGGTGCAGTGAGCTGCATAATGGTTTGGGGTGAGGATTTAAATGTTTTGAGACAGGCACGGCTTGCCTCTGTTTTAAAGGTCAGCTGCTGCCATTTCAAAGATACATCCTGTTACTTTGCCAAGAGGCCTCATTCCGTGTTGCTGGGAATCAGCAGCAGTGCTGCTCTGACGTGGCTGGTGGCTGTCCCAAGCCCCCACGCCTCCCTGACCTCTCGCTGCCCAGCACTCCCCTCTCCAGAGGCACTCACACCAGCCATGACTCCCCGTCCCGATGCCCACATCCCATGCCTGTCTGCTGTGCCCTGTCCACAGCACAGCTGGCTCAACACATGCGGCATCCACACCGGGCACCGTGCTTTGCCTCACACCGCTGAGCCTGCCTGGCCCTGCGTGGCCCACGTGGCTGGAGTACGGGCGTGGGGCAGGCTTCCGTGATGGCGTCAAGAACTGGGCGCTTCCTGCCTCTCTCCTCAAGGCCCCCAGGGCTGGCTCATTCCAATTGGAGCCCCTGCTGCGGTTCTCAGATGCCCTGTGTGTGTTTCTTCTCCGGGATCCCTGGCCCATTCCAGAGCAATCACAGACCAGAGGGACAGTGCCCCGTTAGATCAACCAGATGCACTCCAGAGTGGCGAGCGTGGTCACCATCCATGAGGGTGCCGGTGTGTTGGGGGAATGCGAGGAGGGGAATGGATGCCGCGTCAGCCACCAACAGCCCTGACGGGCCCCTGACTTCCTGCACTAACATTGTCCCTGTGCTCACATCTGCCCAGTACCACTGGGGCCATTCTCACCTATGGCTCTACCAGGTGCCCAGGAAATGCCCCCAAACGGGCAGGATGCTCACAAGGCAAGGCCACCTGCCCTGAAGGCCGCGGGGGCCACAGGGTAATGGAAAGCAAAGGGATGGGGGAATTATCCCCAAATCAGTCACACGCCTGATGGCAGCCCTGTCAGAATCCCTAGGGAGGTTTTTTGTTTTGTTTTGTTTTTGGAGGGGGATGACTTTGTAGAGAAACTGCATTTTTTCTTAAAAATGTAAAATGATCTGCAATGCAAATATACCATGTTCTGTTTAGGGCAAGTAGCCTCTTCTGATTTTGAGTCTACGAATAATCAGAAGCACTGAAAATTCCAAAGCAGGAGTTAAAGTCCTCAGCAGCGCTTGGGTGTGTGGTGGGGTCCGTGATGGATGCTGAAACCGTGGGCTTCAAAGGCCAACACAGTAGGGAAGGAGAGGGTCTCAGAGGAGGGGGCAGGTCGGACCTGGTCCCCCCCCCAGCGTGGCACCCTCAGCCCTTCTCAGCTCTCGGTGCCTCAACATTGCTGGCGGGTGTAAGCCTGGGGTCATACCAGCCTCTGAGCGAGCTTGGCCCCTTACTCACCATTTCCAGCCTCACCTTCCTCTCCCATTGAAGGGGCACGAGAGTAACAGCTCCTTTGTGGGAATGTAAGGCTGGTACGGCTTCAGCTGCATCTCTGAGCCCTTTTGCCAAAAAGGAGTCACCGAACCAAAGAGCTGCACCCAACATTAGCACCCACTCCCACCCCAGAGAGGGCTTCCTGGAGCCCAGCAGGGGAGGGCAGGTGTGCAGGTGGGAGGACGGGGAACGTGGCCTCCCTCCACGTGGCTTGTGGTCTGAAACCCCCACCTCAGACATCTTCAGCTTCCCAGGCAGCAGCTGCCTGAGTGGCGGGTGGTATCTGGGGCCAGGAGACCTGATTCTGCCTGGCTGGGCCTCAGTTTCCCAGGAGACAACCTGGACAGGGTCACGCCACCCCCTCTCAGTGGCACCTGACTTGGGACTCCCTGCCTCCCTCCTGCCTGCCCTTCCTTCTCCTTATTCCTGGGGTCTTCCAGAAAAGTGCCGATCCCGGAGTAAGATTTGAGGGGCAGTTCCTTTGCTGGCCTCAAGCCCTCTGTGTACCCCTTCCCCAGGTGCAGAGTGAGGGCATCTGGTCCTCCAGAAGAGCTGGACTAGGAGCTTAGTGTGTTCCCCGTGTCACGGGGCCTCTTCCACCCCCTGGCTCACGGACCCCATGCTGGCTGCACTGCCTGCCACTCCCCTCCCGGGACCAGCCTTCTGGAAGGGGGTGTTGAGCCCATGAGGAGCTCCATGAGTCGGGAAGCAGGTGGGGACGGCCGTGTCCACAGCATCACCTTGGCAGCTGATGGGCAGGAGGACAGGTCCAGGCAGCCTCCAGGCACGTTCCTGTTTGTGTGACATTCACCGTGACATGGTGCATGCTGTGGCACACAGGGTCCTGTATTCAGATAAGCCAGGGCCTCGGAGGAACTCAGGCGGAGGAAAGAGCCGGAACACAAACACAGCGCGACCTTTCCCGGGAAGCAGCCCTTCCACGAATGCGCCCTGGGCCCCCCTGCCATGCCCTGGGCCTCCATGGCCAAGAGCCCGTCACTTCTACCACCCGCGACTCCACTCAGCCCAGTTGAGCCCCAAGAGCCTCTGCTGAGCCCAGCCCGGAAGGGCGAGGGACCCTGGGTGGCCAGAGAGGGCCGAGTCCTGTCAGGATGACTGGGCTCCTTCAGGACAGGCACCCATGTGTGACGGGGACATGCAGGGACCACTGCGGCTGCCCTGGCCCAAGACGCCCTGGAGGCCAGGCGGGCAGAGCCCCTTCCTCCCCGAGAAGGTGGGACTGGGCTGGGCTTTGAAGGATGACAGCGGTCTGGTGGATGCAGGGCACGGACAGAGAAGGCCACACACTAAAACACACAGACCAAGGCTGGCGGGAACTTTGAGGTCAAATCCCGGAGCCCTCGGAGGGGGACTCAGGAAATCAGATGCTCAGTAGGGGGCCGAGTTTGGAGCCTTGGCCTTGGGGCAGGCGCCGTGTCCAGCAGAGGGGCTGCTGCCCGCCACGGCTGGCCTTGCCCTTGGTGTTGGCCCCGGGGAAGTGCAGGGTGCAGGAGAGACACCACAAGGCCCTTGGGTGTCCTTCCTGCGGCTCCCTTCGGTCACAGGCAGGTGACACATCTGTGTCACCGCATCCATGCAAAACACTCTGTTAGAAAAAAGACAGGAAGGAAACTGTTCCATCTCACGAGTGAGTCACTGCGGAGGTGGGATTGGAAGTGATTTTCTCCCCTCTTCCACCTTTCTAAGATTTATAACACGTGTGCTTCCTTTAAACGTGTGTCAGGAAGTGACCTCACTAGGGCATTGTGTCTGGGCAGGAAGAACCTCAGGACTCCCTGGGTTTACTCATTTGAGCGCCAGCCTCCAGGAGACGGGGCAAAGGGCTGCTCGTCCTCCGTGACCAGGCGGCCCCTCTGCCTTTGTCTCATGTGTGGTCAACGGGGTGGCTGAAAGGCTCACGTGTTCCTCTAGCCCGGGGGACCTGAGAAACCTGACTGTCACCGTGTCTCTGTAGCCTAGTCGGTGGCCTGGCAGTGGACAGAGGCCCTGCAGGCCACCAAGGAGGACGGAACCCCGGGGACAGAGGAGGAGCTGCAGTGCGAGGAGTCCAGGCCCTGACCACAGCCCCACCCTCGGGACACCCCAACCCCTGCACCCTCTGTGCTTGTCTTGGGGCATTCACTTTTCAACTCCATGGAAAATATTGTGACAGTAACGTGGGAGCAGCAAGAACCCAAATAAAAGAACGTGTCATTCACGCTGCCTCCCTTTCTCCTGAGCTGCAGGTACCAGCACATCCGGGCACTTTTTCCATGGTCCGCTGTCCTAATCCTGACTATTTCAGCACCCAGAGAGCAAGCCGAAAACAAAAACACCCATCACCCATGCCCGGCATTAGAAAATCTCATTGGTATATGTTCAGATTATTTTAAAAGGAAATTAAACTCACAGATATAGCCAGGAGTAGATGGAGTTTGTGGGGCTTAAAATATACGTAAACTTTAGGGGTTACTTTAAATAATAATAGCAATATGAATCCAAGTTAGATATGAAAAGAAATATTTATTTGAAGTGATAAAAAATCACAAGGCTCGCACATGAAAAAGCTGATAGGTGCAATAAACATCACCAAATGGAAGAAAAAAAATTTGATTAGTTACTCCCAGGCATACCTCTATCAAACTTATTTTTTCTATATCTCTTGGCTGCTACCCCTTGATTACTGCTTCCTATGAAAATAATTTTTCATAAATAGAATGGAAAGGTAACTCAGCCTTCCCGCTGACGTGAGGTTCAGGTTGGTTTCTCATCATCAGTTGGGGGCTGCGTGACACACGCGGCCGCCGTCACGATGTGCATGTGGTGATGCTGCCACGGGCATCTGCCCCGTAAGCAGCAGCTCCGATCAATTCTCCTTTGCGAGGTGACCACCAAAGGACTGCAGAGCTGGCCGGGGCATTCGTGCGTGTTCATGACCGAGAACTTTTCACACAGAGAGGACTTCCGTCTTGACGAAGGAGCGCAGAGCTGGCCGGGCATTCGTGCATGTTCATGACCGAGAACTTTTCACACAGAGAGAGAAGACTTGTGTCCTGACGAAGGACCACAGAGCTGGCCGGGGCATAAATGCCTGTTCATGACCAAGAACTTTTCACACAGAGAGAGAGGACTTCTGTCCTGACGAAGGAGCGCAGAGCTGGCCGGGGGCATACGTGCGTGCTCATGACCGAGAACTTTTCACAGAGAGAGGACTTCTGTCCTGACATCTTTATTGTATTATAGATGCGTTTAAGGCTGTAAACTTGAAGTTTATATTTCTCTTTATGTAACAGTCTCTTCATTGTCGATTCTAGTTTATTGCCTTGTAGCTACAAAGGGCAGGCTCTGCTGCGTTAGTTCTGTGAAGTTCCCCATATTGCCTGGTATGTGGCCTATTTTAAAACTATTCCATGTGTATTTAATAAGAATTAGCAACTAAAATTTTTCATTGTAACAATTATAACAATATAATTGTTTAGCTTTTGAGGCAGTGTCTTTGTATACTTTACAATGTTGGTGCCAAAGCTCCAACATTGCTGTGAACTTTTAACACCCTCGCCCTCTGTTTCTAATGGAGAAGTTCTGGCGTCTCCCGTTCCGACTGTGTATTTGACCCCTTTGTTCTTCAGTCTGTTTTGGCTTCCTGCATTTTGATGCGGTATGCCTTCACATTCATGAACATTCGTCTTCTTGTGATTGTGCTTTTAATTGTTTTCATGTTGGCGCCCTTTTCATCTATACTGATGAAAAATAAATCATGCTTTTGTCTAACAGGCTTGTTTATGTATTTTGAAAATTTATTATCCCTGCCCACCCCTTTCCACTTCCCTCTCCATGCATCGCTATTCTCCCGTGCTTAACGTGCATCTTTTTGTTCATATGAACCCATGCATGTGGGCACAAGTGTGTTTTGTGTGTGCATTCTTGTTCATATGAACCCATGCGTGTGGGCACAAGTGTGTTTTGTGTGCATTCTTGTTCGTATGAACCCATGCATGTGGGCACAAGTGTGTTTTGTGTGCATTTAGCACTCTTTAAATATGCACTGAAACAGAACCTTTCCCCCACCATCAAAGTCTGCACCATTTGTGTTTGTACAGCCAGCAGGTAGTTTGCCTTGCTGACATCATTTATCCCCCTGACCTCGGTCTCCTATAGACTTGCTAAAATTCTCCCTTTCAAATTTCCTTTGATGGAGACCAGTGAGTGGTAGACGCTCTCAGTTGTTGTTGTTGTTTAATTTTTATTATTATTATTTTTTCGAGATGGAGTCTTGCTCTGTTGCCCAGGCTGGAGTGCAGTGGCATGATCTCAGCTCATTGCAACCTCTGCCTCCCAGGTTCAAGCAATTCTCCTGCCTTTGCCTCCTGAGTAGCTGGGATTACAGGTGCACGCCACCATGCCTGGCTAATTTTTGTATTTTTAGTCAAGATGGGGTTTCACCATGTTGGTCAGGTTGGTCTCAAACTCCTGACCTCACCTTGGCTTCCCAGAGTGCTGGTATTACAGGCATGAGCCACCACACTGGGCCTCAGTTGTTTTTTAATGTCCGAGATGTCTTTATTTTGCCTTCAATATTTTATGAAAGTTGCACTGAGAATAACATTCACAGGTAAATGTGATTTCTCCCGGGTCTGTTAAAGACGTCACTCCACTGTCTTCCGGAAGGCAGCGTTGCTATTGAGAGGTCTGCCATCAGTCCACATCCGCTTTTATGGTATGTAGTGTGGCTCTTCTTTCTGGTCATTTTGACTTTTTTTCTCCTTTCCTGGATGATCTGCATTTCACTGTAATATTCTAGGAGTGGATTTCTCAATTTTGATCATTCCTTGGTAATTTAGATCTGGGGTGTCATCTTCATGTCTTTTCAATTCTGAAGAATTCTGAGCTATTCTGTTGCTTTGTTGCCATTTTAGAAAATGTTTTTCTTTCAGAACTCCTATTCTGTTTATATTGGAACCTCCTGATCTATTCTCCATGTGTGTTAACTTTGTGCATGTGTGTGCATGTGTGTATGTGTGTGAGTGTGCATGTGTGTGTGTATGTGTGCATGTATGTGCATGTATGTATGAATGAATGGTGTGTGCACGCGTGTATGTCTGCGTGTGTATGTGGGTGTGCATGTGTATGGGTTTGTGTGCATTTGTATGTGTGCACATGTGTGTGTGTGCATGTGTGTGTGCGTGTGTGTGCATGTGTGTGTGTATATCTCTGTGTGTTGTGTTTTCAGAGCTGCTGCACTCTAGTTGGTTTCCTCCACTCATTTTATTACTAGCTCCAGGCTGGAGACTGAATCTATCTGTAACACCTCAATTTCTCTTTTGAATTTTTCTGCTTTCATTGATTTTGTTAGTACTATCTTCCATGACACTAAGTCTCTTTTCTACTATGTCAAGTCTGGAATTTAACCTGTCTATTGAGTTTTTTATTCACTTTATTATTCATCTTCAAGATTTGTAATTATTTCTATTTCGTCTCTCCTTATTTCTTATATTCTGGCCAGTTCTAATTTTATACTTTATATATTTTTAAATCACTAGGCATCTTGATCATACTCCTGCAGTTTTAAAGTGTGTGTCAGACTTTCCTTGGCTGGTGTAAGTTCCTGTACCAATTGCTCATTTTTAGCCTGCCTTTCTTAGTGTGGTGTTTCCTTGGGTAATTTGGAACCTGGCCTTTCTAGCTTATTTCAAGGTGAGGATATTGTGTCTCTGCATTTCTGCCTTTCTCTGCCATCTTGTTGTCACTGTCCTCTGTCTAGCAGTGTTTTGTAGCCTCTGCTCCCATCCCGGGTCCCAGGCTTCTGCTCTGCAGTGATGCAGAGCATGTCACAGATAAAGTCATCCTTTCCAAGGACGGCTTGTCTCAGCTTCTGCCCTTGAGGCTGTGTTGATGTCCTCTTGCCTTCCTATGCCCACAGTGCTCCACTAAGTTATACGAAGTTACAGCCCTGGGATGTGTCAAGGAGGGTTTCTCAGCCTTCTTTCTGGAGTCAGGGAAGCCCCTCCCATCACTCCCAGGAGCCGGACCTAGGCCCTCTCTGCCTGCCTTGGGACTTGGAGCTGACAGGCCCCTGCCTCTGCCCCATCACCAGCCTGTGCTTCTCCTCCATTCCTTGTTTTATGTGAGTGTGTGTGCGTTTGTGCATGTATATATGTACACACATGCATACACACACACACACCTGTCTTGGTCTTCTGTCTGTCTGACCTATTGCTGCTCTGTGTGTGGAGCAGAGAGGGTCGTTACTGCACACCTTGCTCAGGACAGTGGACACCGTCTTTAAATGCACACGGGATCGTGTTCACACAGGAGGGTCCCTTTTTTTCCATGATGAATCTGAGGCCAAGTAACCTGCCCAGAGATGCAGGAAGCTCAGCTGAGCCCCAAGCCCACGGCCCTCGGACTCCAACCCCAAACCCCCTTGACAGTGTGCACGTCAGCAAGTGTGGGATGGCTGGGGGGCATCTGTTACGGCTGCACACGTCCCCAGGAGGCCTGCACACCCTTCACTCCCTTCAGTTTCCCTTCAGGTGAAATCTGCAAATCTGCTCCTCTGGACCTGGTCCTGTCCAAGTGATCCTCTGGGATTAACAAGCTGTTATTCACCAGCCTCCAACAATAATGGCAGGTTATCTGCTCCATTGCAGAACTGGCAGTGGTTTACATCCAGGAAGGGATTGGTCAGTCTCCTGTGCCAGGTCCCTGGGGGACCCTGAGCCCAGCGGTATAAAGGGCGGCTGTGGGAGGACTGGTACAGCCTCTCCCAGCCCCAGCAAGCGACCTGTCAGGCGGCCGTGGACTCAGACTCCGGAGATGAAGCCCCTGCTCCTGGCCGTCAGCCTTGGCCTCATTGCTGCCCTGCAGGCCCACCACCTCCTGGCCTCAGACGAGGAGATTCAGGATGTGAGGCCCGGATGGGAAGGCTGGGCTGGAGGGGGCAAGGGGCGAGGCTGAGACTGGATGGAGACCCCATGCCTCCTCCATCCAAGGAGACCCTCGTTTTTGGGTTGGGCATTCAAGCCCTGCCCTGAGGGAATGGTGGGATGGGGCAGCAGGGGTCTGGGCTGGCAGGGTAGGTGGCGCAGGGGTGCAGAGTGGGCAGGGCTGGGAGGGTGGGGGTCTGGCTGACTTCACTTCTTCCCTGGGGATGAGGGCTCCTGTGGTCCTGGCTGGCTTGTGGGGGCTGGAGCCACCTTCAAGTGGGCCTGGCGAGGGTGCTGGGTGTTTTCTGGGTGGGTTAGATTGGGGAACGTTCCCCGTTTCCAGCCCTCGGGGTGCGGTAGAGTCTAGGGGCTGCAGGCCAGGGAAGGGGGAGGCTCTGGAGCAGTCGGCCTGAGCCTGATAGAGAGGGGCCTTCTCCAGGTGTCAGGGACGTGGTATCTGAAGGCCATGACGGTGGACAGGGAGTTCCCTGAGATGAATCTGGAATCGGTGACACCCATGACCCTCACGACCCTGGAAGGGGGCAACCTGGAAGCCAAGGTCACCATGCTGTGAGTGTCTGCCAGCCGGCCGGGCAGCCTGCAACCTGGTCTAGGGCCTTCCCTTTCCCCACCCAGGAGAGCTCTGGTGCTGGGGAGGTGGGCAGACCTGCTGGGAGGCCTCTCTCGGCCCCTCCTGCAATGCTTGAGGGCAAACTGTGCCACTGAGGTGCCTCGGCTGGAGGGGCCCTGAGGGGGCAGAGGCCCCGGATCAGACCCTGTGGGCTACCAGTGGCAGCCCTGGGTACCGCCCACTTCCTCCTCCGACTAGGGAATGTCTGGTGACGTGCAGGCCCCTTTGGGAAAAGGTGTTTACCCCCGACCAGAGTCAGAGCCAGTCCTGGCAGTAAATTTCTGCTTTGGAGAAGTGCAGGGATGGGGCTTGCAGAATGACCAAGAGGGGGCATAGGAGAAGACACCATGGAGAAGACCCCCTTGAAATCCCTGTGTAGCGCTCACCTGTGCGGCTCTCACCTGGGCTGCTTCCACCCGCGTGGCTCACATCTGTGACTTCCCACCTGTGTGATTTCACCCGCATGGCTCCCTCCTGAGTGGCATGCAGTGCCTGTGCTCCGGTCCTGGGGGCTGAATCTCAGGAAGTCACTGACCCTGGCAATGACCCCGATTTTTTTTTCCCCCAAAGCCCCTCACTGAACCTTTCCCTCTCTGGGCCAGATGATGATGGATATGGGGCTTGTGCCTGAATGTCTCTAAAAGGAAGAATGCAGCTGGCGGGATGAGGCTCAGGCCCACGCCACAGACGCTGCCTGCAAACCAGGCAGCCTGGGTGCCTCTGGCAGGAAATGTGTTGGGGGCGGGGGGTTTGGGAAGGCAGCCACCAGGAGGAGCGGTGCAGAGCTCCTGGCCATCTCGGGAGACCCCGGGAACTGCCGCATGGGACCCGGAGGGGCCGCTGGTGCCTGGGTCTGAGATGCAGAGAAGCACCCTCCTCCATGGGCCTGTGGCAGACTCGGGGCCACATTTGCAGGGCATTGCAGCATGGTTGCTCCAGGGCCGGGGGAGGCACAGGCCAGGGCCGCTTTGCCAGGGGGCTTCTGTTTTCCAGGATAAGTGGCCGGTGCCAGGAGGTGAAGGCCGTCCTGGAGAAAACTGACGAGCCGGGAAAATACACGGCCGGTGAGTCCCGGGGCCTGAGCCAGAGCCTGAGCTTGAACACACGCTGGATGTGCGGGGGCAGCCAGTGCCTTTTTGGGGTGGCCTTTTGGCCTGGGAAGCCTTTTGCTGCCTTCTGACTCCACTAAAAGCCCACTCTCTTCTCCCACTGGTCAATTTGCATTAGAGACTTGAACACCTGACCCCAAACACCAGGTGTGGCAGGTTTGTCCCGGGGCGGACCCTCTGGGCTTGCCCTGTAGCCCTGGCTGTGGCTCTGGCAGGGCCAGGAGCAGAGTCGTATTTGGCTGCGGGGGGCTGTACCCCAACTCCCACCTCCGCAGACCTCATACCCGGAGGAACCCCCCGTGACTCACTGGTTTGGGATGTGGCCGCCTCTTGGGTACATCAGGTTCCTGGGAAGTGGGGGTCCCATGGCCTGGGGCTCAGGCCTGGTGGGGAACCTGGGTCAGGGAGCTCTGGGAGGCTGGGAGGGTGCAGGAGCTGCGGGGCTTGCTGGGCCTGGCAACGCACGCTGTCCCGGGATCCTCTCTGAAGTCCCTGGTGGCTAATTCAGGAATGTGCTGCTGTCTTTCTGCAGACGGGGGCAAGCACGTGGCATACATCATCAGGTCGCACGTGAAGGACCACTACATCTTTTACTGTGAGGGCGAGCTGCACGGGAAGCCGGTCCGAGGGGTGAAGCTCGTGGGTGGGTCCCGCACCCTCACCCTGCAACCCATGCCTCCACCTGCCCTCCCTCCTCCCTCGGCCTCCTGCACCCTCTTCCCCATGGGAGAAGCCACTGGGACCCAGGAACCCACTGCAGTTTTCTTAGGATGAGTTTTCCTGATAAAGGCCTCAATTCCCACCCCTGGAGTTCAGGATTTGGGATGCCCCGGCCTCGGTATCTGCAGCAGAGGCAGGAAGGAGCCACGGCTGCAGGCACAGGGGTTCAAAGGTCACACATGTCCCAGAGTGGGCCAGGCCCTCCCCCGGAGCAGCTCCCTGCAGTGTCATCCTTGAGCGCGTTCCTGTGGGGTGTCCAGCAGGAGAGAGGAACAGGGATGTGAGCAGAAGTCTGCATGGAAAGAACGTTCCAGCTCCCGGGGTTGAATTCCGGACGCGGTGCCTCCCACAGATGGTGACTCATCAGTGCTGTCCCTGTCAGAGGACGAGGCCCATGAAGGCTCCTGAGTTCTCCCTGGAGCCAGGGGTGTGCGAATGACAGAGGATTGGGATCCTGGTGCCCCCAAGGGGAGAGGCGCTTCCTCCAGGGTGGGCCTGTCGTGCCGTCCATCCTCACTCCGG
This sequence comes from Homo sapiens, assembly GCF_000001405.40. Classification (NCBI taxonomy): domain Eukaryota; kingdom Metazoa; phylum Chordata; class Mammalia; order Primates; family Hominidae; genus Homo; species Homo sapiens. Next base: position 135,524,590 of record NC_000009.12, read on the forward strand.
GAGATGCTCAGGGATGGATGGAGAGCCCTTCCCGTTCTCCCGGTTCTGCTGCCACAGGAGCCTTCTCAGCCGTGCACGGCACCCTGGTCCCACTTTGCCAGCCTGAGGGCCTCTGGGTTCAATTCCCCCCACGGTGGGCGAGGTCCCCTTCCCCAGCCCAGCTCAGGCCTCCAGACTGGGATGGGGTGCCGTCGGCCCAGTGCTGCCTCGAGCACCCACATCTCGTCCTGGCACCCACAGGCAGAGACCCCAAGAACAACCTGGAAGCCTTGGAGGACTTTGAGAAAGCCGCAGGAGCCCGCGGACTCAGCACGGAGAGCATCCTCATCCCCAGGCAGAGCGGTAGGAGGCATGGCCCTGCAGAGCCCCCCATGTCCCCGCGTGGGGACATCAGCAGAGCTGCATTGCACGGGCGCATAACTGTGCTGCGTCTAATTCTGGCTTTGTCCTTCCTGGGGTGGTGGAGCTGGTGGCTGATGAGGGGCCCCGGTCCTGACTGCATTCCTGGGGTCTCCTAACGCCTGTGCTTCCTTTTCCTGCAGAAACCTGCTCTCCAGGGAGCGATTAGGGTGAGTGAACAGCTTTAGAGGACATTTGAGAAAATCCAGTTCTGGGGCTCAGTGGTGCTTCCAGAGGCCATGGGGTCTCTCCCACCCATCCCACTCCTACCTGGGTGGGAGATGCCCCACGTAGGTCAGGCAGGTGGGAGCTCTGCTCCTGAGCTGCCCACGCTCGGGCGTCAGACTCCGTTCTTGCCCTGGGTGTGACTCCTGGGCAGCTGGGAAGCCCACAGCGCTGAGCCCGCCTTTGCTGGCTGCTGGTGGAGACGGTGTCTACCCCCCAGTCACATGGGCAGGAGCAGGCAGGAGATTCGGGTTCCTCCTCAGCACCCCTCACCCTCGGCCATGCCTGTGACTCCACTTACCCGATAAGTTGCTCAAAGATTCAGCAAAGTGGCAGGCGTGCCTGTGCTCGCTGTGTCAGATGGGCCCCTTGCTGGCTGCACAAGGGGACCAGAGTTTGGAGACTCGCCCAAGGTCACCTGCCCAGGTGTGGGCAGAGCCAGAATCCTGGACAGCATCGCTGTCCTTCCCGCACCCTCCCCTTGGCCTGCAGTCACCCTGATGCCACTTCACTCAGCAGGGAGCTCTGTCAGCAGCCTGCGGGGGTGGTCCCTGCTCCATCCGCTCCAATCTAGAGGCTGGAGCCCCCACCTGCAGCCCCCAAGAGTCCGTGTGTGCCCCCCACACCATCGCCCCCAAGAGCTCGCATGTGCCCACCACACCATAGCCCCCTAGAGCCCGGTGCACGTCCCCCACACCATTGCCTCTGAGATCCAGCACGTGCCCCCGCAACCATCGCCCCCGAGAGCCCGCATGTGCCTTCCACCGTAACCCTCAAGAGCCCAGTGTGTACCCCCACCATAGCCCCCGAGAGCCCACATGTGCCCACACACCATAGCCCCCGAGAGCCCACATGTGCCCCCCACACCATGCCCCTGAGAGCCCACATGTGCCCCCCACACCATCACCCCTGAGAGCCTGCTGTGCCCCCCACACCATAGCCCCCGAGAGCCTGCATGTGCCCTCCACATCACAGCCCCCAAGAGTGCAGCGTGTGCCCCCCACACCATGCCCCTGAGAGCTCACATGGGCCCCCACACTGCAGCACCCAAGAGCCCACATGCGCCCCCACATTGCATCCCCCTCCCACCCTTGCTGTCCTGGCCTCACTCACCCTCCCCCCCTTTCCAGGGCAGGGGACACCTTGGCTCCTCAGCAGCCCAAGGACGGCACCATCCAGCACCTCCGTCATTCACAGGGACATGGAAAAAGCTCCCCACCCCTGCAGAACGCGGCTGGCTGCACCCCTTCCTACCACCCCCCGCCTTCCCCCTGCCCTGCGCCCCCTCTCCTGGTTCTCCATAAAGAGCTTCAGCAGTTCCCAGTGACTCCGCCTGTCTGTGGGGTCCCTCGGGGTGAGAGGTGCTGGCTGGGTGCTCTTTTGGGTGCAGGGACTGGGTGGGAAGCAGGAGGAAGGACAGGGAACCAGCCTGGACCCAGTTCTCCCTGGTGGGTGCCACAGGCCAACAGTGGGAGGGGCCTAGCAGGGGGGTGTGTGCTGGAGGCTGGGCCTGAAGGTCCCGGGGTGCTTCCTGCAGGTCAGCCGCCCGCTGAGCTCAGGCTGTAGGGGTTGCGGGGGTGGGGGCAGGGCTCCACTCCTCGGTCCTGCACAAGTAAGACCGGAAGGCCTGGGACCAAGCGCAGCTGCCACCCAGAGGGGACTGGGCAGAGCCACCAGTGCCCTCAGCACTGATGCTGAGTCCGTGAGGCTGGACGTGGGGGGAGGGGACAGCAGCTCAAGGCAGGGTGTGGCTCGGGCTTGAGCTCACCGGGGAAGCCAGTCCTGTCCTCCGGGGAGCCACACCAGCACTGCCCCCAGAGCCTGGCTCCACGCTGTCCCTCTCTGTGCCTGGGTAGGTTTGGGACAGCAAGTTCCCAGCTTGGGGGCAGCCACCAGAGGTCCCACCTGGCACAGGCGCCTTTCCTGACCCTGGCGGTCTGTAGGATTTAAAGTTTCTTTCGATGGCGCAACATCGCACAGTGACGCTGGGAGCGAGGAGAGGCAGACTCTTAGTGACTTGCTGCTCCGCAGGAGAGGGCAGTTGCCAGGCAGGGCCACACGGGGTGGCTTGAGCCTGGGACAGGACAACAGCCTGCAGAGCTCAGGGTAGGGAGCAGAAAGTGTAGCGGGTGACCCGGCTGCCTGTGGCCAGCTAACATGGGTCATTTCTCTGCTCCAGGGCTTAGGGGCTGTCCCTGGTTGTCTGGTACCTGGCTTTGGAGCAATGAGGGCTGGTGGGGAGCGGCCCCCCAGTGGGGCCGTCTGATTAGCGCAGGGCTGCCGTGTGGACCAATCAGCTGCTCAGGAAGGGGCCGGCCCCTAACCAGGCCTCAGTGCTCGATTCTGGCCAGGCATGGTGGCTCAGGCCTGTGTTCCCAGCACTCTGGGAGGCTGAGGTGAGAGAATCACTTGAAGCCAGGAGTTGGAGACCAGCCTGGGCAACATAGCGAGACCCCATCTCTAAAAAAAAAAAAAAATTAGCCAGGCTTGGTGGCGCAACCCTGTAGTCCCAGGTACTCGGGAGGCTGAGGTGGGAGGATTGCTTGAGCCCAGGAGGTCGAGGCTCTCCCTCATGCCGTAGACCTTGTGACGGCACAGGTGCGTCCTCCCCACTATGCCTCATGTCATAGACCTTGTGACCTCACAGGTGCATCCTCCCCACTATGCCTCGGGTCATAGACCTTGTGACCTCACAGGTGCATCCTCCCCACTATGCCTCGGGTCATAGACCTTGTGACCTCACAGGTGCGTCCTCCCCACTGTGCCTCGGGTCATAGACCTTGTGACCTCACAGGTGCGTCCTCCCCACTCTGCCTCATGTCACAGACCTTGTGACCTCACAGGTGCGTCCTCCCCACTATGCCTCATGTCACAGACCTTGTGACCTCACAGGTGCGTCCTCCCCACTCTGCCTCATGTCACAGACCTTGTGACCTCACAGGTGCGTCCTCCCCACTATGCCTCATGTCACAGACCTTGTGACCTCACAGGTGCGTCCTCCCCACTCTGCCTCATGTCACAGACCTTGTGACCTCACAGGTGCGTCCTCCCCACTATGCCTCATGTCACAGACCTTGTGACCTCACAGGTGCGTTCCCCCGCTCTGCCTCATGTCACAGACCTTGTGATGGCACAGGTGCGTCCTCCCCACTCTGCCTCATGTCACAGACCTTGTGACGGCACAGGTGCTCTCCCTCATGTCATTGCTGACACGCATCACATCTATATATGCTGGAGACGCCACAACACAGCACTGCAGAGCATGCTTGAAGCAGTCCCACATGTGATAAAGGAACAGAAAGGGAGTTTTCTCTGTACCCACAGACCTTCCGTGCTGAGTGCTCTTTGATCCTGAGTGTCCTGTCTCCATGCTGATCACGTCCCTCCAGCCTGAAGAATGGCTTTTATTAGGTAGGTGCAAAAGTAATTGCAGCTTTGGCCACTAAAAGTAATGACAAAAACCCCAATTACTTTTGCACCAACACAACCTAATAGCATTTTTTATACTGCTGGCTGCTGCCCACAGATTGTTTCCATTTTCTTTTATCTGCATGTGTTTCACTTTGCTTTTACCCTTGAAGGATATTTTCAGCAGACACAGAATTCTCGGCTGGACGTGGTGGCTCATGCCTGTAATCCTAGCACTTTGGGGGGCCAAGGCGGGAGATCACCTGAGATCGGGAATTCAGCTTGGCCAACATGGTGAAACCCTGTCTGTACTAAAAATACAAAAATTAGCCAGGCGTGGTGGCGCATGCTTGTAATCCCAGCTACGTAGGAGGCTGAGGCAGGAGAATCGCTTGAACCCGGGAGGTGGAGGTTGCAGTGAGCCGAGATCACATCGCTGCACTCCAGCCTAGGTGGCAGAGTGAGACTCTCTCTCAAAAATAAAATAAAATAAAATAAAATAAAATAAAATAAAATAAAATAAAATAAAATAAAATAAAATAAAAAGAACTCTTGACTGCAGTTCTTTTCCTTCTGCACTTTACAGATGCGGTTTCCCTGTCTCTGGCCCATGTGGTTTCCAGTGAGATCTCAATGCTTAGTCAGCTCATGCTTCTGCTGTATGTAATGTGTCTTTTTTCTCTGGTTGCTTGAAAATTCTGTCTTTAAATGTGGTTTTTGGCACTTTGACTTTAATGTACCTAATGTGTTTTCTTTCTGTTTATCCTGCATGGGGTTTTCTAAGCTTTCTGTATCTGTAATTTCATAAAACTTTTTTCCTCAAATGATTCTTCTGCCCATGATTGCTTTCCACTCCATCTGGAACTCAATTACATGGGTGTTAGGCCTTTGGATATTGTCTCTCAGCTCTCTGAGTCTCTCTCTCTCTCTCTCTTTAAAGAGACAGGGTCTTGCTCTGTTGCCCAGGCCAGACTGCAGTGGCACAATCATAGCTCACTACAGCCTGGAGCTCCTGGGCTCGAGCTCTTTTTGTTTTCAATATTTGTTCTCTTTATTCATAGGGCTGGATTATTTCTATTTATGTATCTTCCTGTTGACAGAGGTGTCTCAAGTTTTCTCTTCGCTGTATCTGGTGAATTTTCCTTCCATATGTTGTGATCTTTAGTTTTAGAATATCCCTTTGATTGCTGTTTGCAGTCGCTGTTTCTCTGCTGCCTCCATGTTGGCTCCGAGTCAGTCCTCTTGAGAACGGTCACATTTTCCTTTCTTCATGTGTATAATAATTTTGGATTGTATCCTGAACAGTTTGAATGATGTATAAACTCTGGGTTTTGTTAGGTTTCTGCAAAGAGTGCTGGTTTTTGTTTTTGGTTTTTGGTTTTTGGTTTTTGTTTTTTTAGAAGGAGTTTCACTCTTGTCGCCCAAGCTGGAGTTCAGTGGCACGATCTCAGCTCACTGCAAGCTCCACCTCCCGGGCTCAAACGATTCTCCTGCCTCAGCCTCCCGAGTAGCTGGGATTACAGGCACCCACCACCAGGCCTGGCTAAATTTTGTATGTTTAGTAGAGACGGGGTTTTGCCATGTTGGCCAGGCTGGTCTCAAAGTCCTGACCTCAGGTGATGTGCCCACCTCGGCCTCCCAAAGTGCTGGGCCTCCCAAAGTGAGCCAACACGCCTGGCCTGGTTTTTGTTTTGAAGCAGGAAGTTATTTGACCTCCAGCTGTCAGCTCTGCCTCTTCTGTGGTGCACAGCAATTCAGTTCACATTTCAGTCAGTTCTTCTAGGCTTTGCTGGGCTGCTTCGTGTCTTTCCTGTGTGTTCATTTTTTAGGGGTTAGCCTGAGATTTGGACGGTTTCTGCCTAGAACTTGGGGCTCTCTCTTTGGCTCTCTTCTTTCTTGAATTTCTCTCTTCACTTTCCAGCAGCTATCATTGCCTAGGACTCTGTCCTCTGGTTCTTCAAGCCAGCAAAATTGCAAGGTGTCTACCAGAGCTTGATCTGCTCCATGTGGTGCAGACAGGGACTGCCCTCCAGATAAAAGCAGTGAGAATGGGAAACTCATCTAGTGCTGTCACCTTCTTCCAGGTGCTAACCGACCTGCAGTGTCTGTTTGCCCAGGGAGAGTGGTTTCTGCATTTTGTCCAGAGTTAATCATTGCTACTTGAGGGAGGCTTGGTCAGATGGGAGCTCCTAGACCACGATGGGAAGTGGAACTCACCATTTAGCAAAATGCACTTCACAATCCCAATAGGAGAGGGCACGCTTGAGCTAAGAAATGGCCTAAGTCACCGATGTCTCCCACTCTGCAGGTAGAGTCACTGGTTACTACCAATGCGGGAAAATGTATCCAGCTTATCTTGACTGGAAAAAGGTACCATCATGTGTTTAGAGTCACTATAAAGAGAACACAGGAGGTGAGGGTCTCAGGTGGGGTCTCCCTCGGCCCTGTGTAGAGCACACTCAGATTGCTCTGCCCTCCAATCTGGCTGTGCTGGGTTGAGGGCCACAACAGGGACATTACCAGCCTGCAATGCAATCTGCCTGGTGTGGGCTGGGCACGCTTCAGCATCCGGAGAAAACCTTCAAGCGAGGAGTCATGGGCCATGGGGCATGCGGCCGGGAGCTGCCTGTGTACACGAGGAGGATGCATCTGGGAGCACACCATTGGGGTCTCACATGACTGTCTGTCCCCCACCCCTCAAGCCGCACAGATACACACAGCCCCATGGGATCGTCACTGAAGCTTCATCGGCCATTGCATTTCTGGGATCCCTTCACCCTCTGGGTTGTTTGCCCAGTGGGAAAGCTGCACATTCATCTCCAAGGTGTCTGAGTCCTGGGTCAGCGCTCTCATCAGGCTCTGGTCACTGTAGTGGCTTTGTCATGGTCACCACTGGGCAGGGAGGCACCTGTGGGTGCTCCCCTGAATCTCCTGAATTTTAGACTCACTCCTCTCTGCTCATCCTAAGTAGCAGCCACTTCACCAGCTCACAATAATCAGGGTTAACTACCCACCAATATACACAATCAGGGTCAATTACCTGCCAACATACATAATCGGGGTTAATAATTACCCACCAATATACACAATCAGGATCAATTACCCACCAATGTACACATTCAGGGTTAATTACTTACCAATATGAATAATTAGGGTCAATAATTACCAACATATGCACAATCAGGGTCAATAATTACCCACTAAGATACATAATCAGGGTCAATTACCCACCAAGATACAGAATCAGGGTCAGTAATTACCCACCAAGATACAAAATCAGGGTCAATTACTCACCAAATATACATGATTAGGATCAATTATCCACCTATATATAATCAGGGTCAATAATTACCCACCAATATACATAATCAGGATCAATAATTATCCCCCACTATACATGTTCAGGGTCAATAATTACCCACCAATATACATAATCAGGATCAATAATTATCCCACACTATACATGTTCAGGGTCAATAATTACCCACCAATATACAAAATCAGTCAATTACTCACCAATCTACATAATCAAGGGCAATAATTACCCACCAATATACATAATTAGGGTCAATAATTACCCACCAATATACATAATCAGGGTCAATTACCCACCAAGATACATAATCAGGGTCAATAACCCACCAATATACATAATCAGGGTCAACAATTACCCACCAATAAACATAATCAGAGTCAATAATTACCCACCAATATACATAATCAGGGTCAATTACCCACCAAGATACATATTTAGGGTCAATTACCCACCAAGATACATAATTAGGGTCAATTACCCACCGAGATACATAATCAGGTTCAATAATTACCTGACAATATACATAATTAGGGACAATAATTACCCACCAATATACATAATCAGGGTCAATTACTCACCAATAAACATAATCGGGGTTAATAACTACTCACCAATATACATAATTAGGGTCAATTACCCACCAAGATACACAATCAGGGTCAATAATTACCCAATAATATATATAATTGAGGTCAATTTCCCACCAATGTACATGCTCAGGGTCAATAATTACCCACCAATATACATAATCAGGGTCAGTTTCCCATCAATATGCATAATTAGGCTCAATAATTACCCACCAAGATACATAATCAGGGAAAATTACCCACCTATATACATAATCAGGGTCAATTACCCAACAATATACAGAATCAGGGTCAATAATTACCCACCAATATACAAAATCATGGTCAATTTCCCACCAAGATACATAATCAGGGTCAATTTCCTACCAATATGCATGCTCAGGGTCAATAATTACCCACCAATATATATAATCAGGGTCAATTTCCCATCAATATACATAATTAGGCTCAATAATGACCCACCAAGATACATAATCAGGGTCAATTACCCACCTATATACACAGTCAGGGTCAATTACCCACCGATGTACATAATCAGGGTCAATTTCCCACCAGTATACATTATCGGAGTCAACCACTCACCAATATACATAACAGGGTCGATCATTACCTACCAATACACATAATCAGGGTCAACTACCCACCAATATACATAATCAGTATAAAATACCCACTAGTATACAGTAACTCCGTTCTTTACCCGCTCATCTGCAGGCATGAGGATCCCAGTGTGGCCTGGTGGAGCCAACACAGCAGGTTTTCTGGAGCATTCACTGTGCTTCCTGGTAGCAGAGCTTTCCCTCTTGGTAACCTAAAGCTCTAATCTCACATAAGCTAAGGCTGCAGGGGTGGCAGCTTTATATGGTTATAGCTTTAAATGGTTATAGCTTTAAATGGTTCTAGTAGGAAAAATAAATGCTTAAGTCAATGGCCCAAGCCTCCACCTTAAGAAGAAATGATCAAATTGTGCCTAAAGAAAGTAGAAGAAAGGAAATAATAAAGAGAAGAAATTGACAATGGGGAAGCAGATGGGGTGGGTGAGTGTGCACCCCCACATTCTGATTCCTTGGCCATTGGGGTTCTATGCCAGCTATGGGTTTGTTGCCCCTCAGTTTCAAATTTGCTCTTAATTATCCTGCGTGTGACTGGAGCTAAACCCTGTCGACGTTTCTCCTTCGTAACTGGTGCACTGTTGGGCCTTGTTAACAGAGGGCACGGGGGTCGCTGGAGGAAGGGGCTTCCCTTTGGATTCAGGGGTCTTCTTCATTCTCTGTCCTGAGGGGCTTGGCTGGCAAGCTGGATGCCAGGTGGAGCTCAGCCCCAGTGAAGTCAGCAGTAGCCCCGTGGGTGGCTTTTGGTGAGTTCTTGGATACCCAAAGTCAGCAAACTTCTGTGCCATCCCCGGGGCCGCAGACACACCCTCTCCAGGGAGGCCTGAGCGCCTTCCAGGTTGTTCCTACCCCGGTGCGCAGCCTCGGCCCTGGGGTAGAGCTGGCTCCCATTTCTGTTATTTCTGTGGTTTTAGAGTCCTCTTTCCCCATTGGTAACCCCTCTCCTGTTACCAGTTGGGGATTCTTTACAGGAATTTGCTCTTCAAATGACTGCGTGACCTGTCTCTGACACCCTTTCTGTGTGAACCACGGCCTTTACTTTCTGAATTTGGACACTTTGACATCTGGAGCCTTGCTAACCCTGGAGGAAGTGCTTCTCCTGGAGTTGGCTAATTTCTAGAAATAGCAGATGACTTGCCTGTAAGTGTGCCTTCCATATGCAAACCGGTAACCAGTCAAGAGCCCACACCCTCCCCAGGGCAGGTACCATCTGTAAGTGTGCTTCCATATGCAAACCAACCAGTCCAGAGCCCACACCCTCCCCAGGGCAGGGACCAGACAGCTAGGGACAGCCAGCCCCCACACCCCAGGGCCCGGGACATTATTGAAACCAGCCCGCCCTGAGCCTGTTTACCCTGCTTCCTCTGTTCCTTCCCGTGGGAAACGTGGGAACCGCAGTGCAGGCTCCGCCCGCACTCTCCTCCTGCTCCCAGTGCCTCCAGACAGGCTCTGGTGCTTCTGTGAGGCCCCGCCCCTCCTGTTTCTAGGGGCCTAAGTGTAATAAGCCTCCGTCCCACAGTCATTCCTATGGCTGTGTCTCCCCCACCAGCCTAAAGCAAACCCTGGGAACCCTTCAAACACCTGCAGTGCAGAGTCCTTTCTCCATGTTATGTGGGGCCGCTCTGGTGTCCCAGCCCCTGTGAATGAGGTCACGACGCCAGCTCAGCCAGTCCTGGAAGCCATCTGAGAGCTGCTCTCCTGCTCAAGCCAATGTGTGAAATACGGCATTTTGGATACATCATCACCAGTGAGCCAAGCTGGACGCTAGTTAAAGCGGTGAGGACAGGTTTTATTCAGCAGCTTCTCAGAGCCAGGGACAGACTGGTTCCATGCCACTTTGTGCAGGGGAGAAGGGGTGTTCTGAAGGGAGAGTGGTTGGGGGTGCGGGAGGGAGTGGGGGCTCCAGTGAAGAGTTACAGAGTGCTGGTCAGGGTCAGTGCAGTGGGGCCAGCTGTGTGGCAGTTATGGAAGGAGGACTCTGTCCCCCAACAGAGTCTGGAAGAAGGAGGCCCATTCTTCCTGAAGGTCACATTTCTAAGGAATGGCTCTCAGGTCCTTGAGAAAGATTTCTTTTCTTTTTTCTCTCTTTTTTTTTTTTTAGACAGAGTCTTGCTCTGTCACCCAGGCTGGAGTGCAGTGGTGCGATCTCGGCTCACTGCAACCTCATCCACCTCCCAGGTTCAAGCAATTCTCCTGCCCCAGCCTCGCAAGTAGCTGAGATTACAGGCACCTGCCACCACACCTGGCTAATTTTTGTATTTTTAATAGAGATGGGGGGGGGGGTTTCACCATGTTGGCCAGGCTGGTCTCAAACTCCCGACCTCAAGGGATCCACCCACCTTGGCCTCCCAAAGTGCTGGGATTACGGATGTGAGCCACCATACCCAGCCTGAGAAAGAGTTCTGCGTTGTAGGAGAAATAGACTTCTCAAAGGGGCAGAGGAAGGAGTCACAGGTGTAAGCCCTTTTTAGCAAAAGCTCTAAGAAGGGGCAGCTGGGTGCTGGCCAGGACACACAGCAAATTCACCTGCAGTGCCGAGCTCTCAGGCAAGCATTTAGGGGGCTGGGGCCACCCCAGGGATGCGCCTCCTGCTGTTGGATGCCATGAGAGCTTGGCGATCTCCTGTCTCCTGGTGCAGGGGCTTGGGTGGAGCCGATCCATGCTGAGAGCTCTGCCGTGCTCAGTACATACGCACTGACACACTCAGCACATACGCACTGACACACTCAGCTTGGGTCCACATCGGAGCGCGGTTCTCCTGGTGTAAAGCCCCTAGAATCCATCCCGACACAACTGCCTCGGGGTAAGATGTCTGAGAAAGGGAAGTCTCATCTCCTCACGCAAAGGAGGAGGGGATGATTCTGCCCAGGCAGGTTCAGGGGGATTGGGGAGGGGAGGAGGGGGTGATTCTGCCCCGGCAGGTTCAGGGGGATTGGGGAGGGGATCAAGATTCTCACTTCCATCTGAGATCACATAAATGTCCCAGTTCTGTGTGTCATGGTCCCACTCCTTAAGCAGTGACCCAACTTTCACATAAAACACTTGGCGACTTTTGAATCCAACTCACCATGCAACCCACACTATTAAATGTGGAGTCTGATTTTCAGCCATTTCTGCTCTGTGGCTGCAAGAATGAAATATTATTCTATGGTCAGGATGGAATGTCTCCAGTGTCTTGCCTGTTACTCAAGCTCAGACCTTGGCATTTCCTTTCTGAAAGCCCCAGATCAGTCAGGCAGCCCCCGCCCCCTTCTCCTTGCAGTCATGATTACCACGTTTGTGGCCAAGCACAGCAGCCAGTTGGCTTCCCAAAGCCTTGGTTCCAGTGGGTGCCACGTCCCAATGAGCAACCACAGCAAACAATTTAGGGAATTGTGGTGTCACTTCATGCCGTGCCCATGAGTATCCCATTTTCCATCGACGAGATGCCCTCCCTGCATCTGTGCACACCCAAGAAATCTGCACACGCGCCTGTAGACATGAGAAAGCCCTGTGGTTGACAAGGGTGGGAAGAACGACTCCAAAGTTCCACTGAGTGAGGGGGAGAAGTCAAATAATTCCAAGTGCTTTCCCTCCTTGAGCTGCAGGAGAAAACCGTGAAGAAATGCATCCTCTGGTTGTGAGGCTGGGACTGGGAACAGATATTCACGCTCCCCTTCAGCCGACGGTGCATGGGGTCTTAGAACGCTTTCATTTGTTGGTCAAAAAACCCACAACCACAACCGAGCATGCAGGTTTTGCTGAGAGAACTTCAGATGCTTCATTCCAGCTCTTCTTTTCAGTATGTTTCACGGGGCTAAAACGAAGGTTGGCAGGGCTGGTTCCTTCTGGAGGCTCTTGGGGAGGAATCTGTCCCTGCCATTTCCAGCTTCCAGAGGCCTCCACATGCCTTGGCTTGTGGCCCCTCCTCCACCTTCAAAGCCAGCAGCACAGCCTCTTCTACTTCTGTTCATAAATATTCTCTCTCCCCACCCTTCTCTCTCTCCCTCCCTCGCTCCCCAGCCTCTCTCCTATAAGGGCCCCTGTGATAACAGTGGGCCCACCCAGATAATCCAGGCTAATTGCTCATCTCAGATCCTTCCTGAATTATATCTGCAAAGTCCCTTTTACCATACACACATCCATAGGGCCAGGGATGAGGATGTGGACATCTTTAGGGGACCATTATTCTGTCTACCACATACACACATCCACAGGGCCAGGGATGAGGATGTGGACATCTTCAGGGGACCATTATTCAGTCTACCACATACACACATCCACAGGGCCAGGGCTGAGGATGTGGACATCTTCAGGGAACCATTATTCAGTCTGCCCATGGGGGGAATTGGCAATCAATAGGACTGCAAGGAAATGAACAGGGTGTCTCCGGGGAGTGATGTGTCGTAATGGAGCGCAGCTCAGGGAAGTGACAGGGAGAGTAGGGGCTGCATCTTCCATTGTGTAGCCTGGAGAGGCTTCTCTGGGGAGGTGGTTTTTAAAATTTTTATTTGATATATATTTCACATGCCATCATACTCACTCTTTAAAAGTGCCCAATTCAGTGGGTTTCAGTAAATTCACAAGGCTGTGAAACCATCACCACTATCTAATCCAGGAGATCTTCATCATCTTACAAAGGTCCCCACGCCCGTCCGCTCTCACCCCCATTCTTCCCTCTGCACCCCAGAACCTCTCATCTACTTCCCGTCTGCATGAACTTGCCTGTTCTGCACACTTCATAGAAATGGAATCATACATATGTGTTTCTTGTGACTGGTTTCTTTCCCTTAGCATAATGTTTCAAGGTTTGCCCACGTGGTAGCATGTGTCAGTATTTTATTTCTTTTTATGACAGAATAATATTTCATTGTGTGGATAATACCACCTTTTTTATCCATTCACCCATTGGTAGACATCTGAGTTGTTTCTACTTCTTGGGTTTTGTAATGTTGCTAGGGACATTTGTGCATAAATGTTTTCGTGGGAACATATGTTTTCCTTTCACCTGGGTGTATACATGGGAGTGGAACTGCTGGGTCATAGGGTATTAAATAATTCTATGTGTAACTGTTGGATAAACTGCCAAACTATGTTTTTCTGAGCAGCTGTGCCATTTTACATTCCCACCAGCGATGCATGAGGGTTCTAATTTCTCCACATCCTTGCCAACCCTTGTCATTATCTGGCTTTGTGATTCTAGCCATCCTAATGAGTGTGAAGTGGTATTTCGCTGTAGTTTTGATTTGCATTTCCCTAATGACTAATGACATTGAGCATATTTTCATGTGCTTATTGGTCATTTTGATATCTTCTCTGAAGAAAGTCTATTCATTTCCCTTTTTAAAATCGGGCTAGTTGTGTTTTTATGTTGAGTTATAGGTGTATTTTATATATTGTTGATACTAGAATCTTATCAGATATGTGATCTGCAAGTATTTTCTCATGTTCTGTATCTTGTCTTCTCATTTCCTTGATAGTGTCCACTGATGTACACAAGTTTTTAATTTTGATGAAGTCCAATTTGTCTATTATTCCTGTGGCTGCATGCTCTTTGGGTATGTAGATAAGAATTCATTGTCAGCCAGGTGCAGCATCTCAGGCCTGTAATCCCAGTACTTTGGGAGGCTGAGGCGGGTGGATCACTTAAGGTCAGGAATTCGAGACCAGCCTGGTCAACATGGTGAGCCACGTCTCTACTAAAAATACAAAAATTAGCCAGGTGTGGTGGTGGGTGCCTGTAATCCCAGCTACTCGGGAGGCTGAGGCAGGAGAATCCCTTAAACCCAACAGGCGGAGTTTGCAGTGAGCTGAGATTGCACCACTGCACTCCAGCCTGGGCGACATGGTGAGAGTCTGTCTCAAAAAAAAAAAAAAAGAGAATTGATTGTCAAAGCCAAGGTCACAGAGATTTATGCATCTTCTTAGAGTTGTATAGTTTTAGCTCTTACGTTTAGGTCTTTGATCCATTTTGGGTGAAAGCTTGTGTGTGGCGTGAGGTCCCACCTCAGTCTTTTGCATGTGGACATCCAGTTGTCCCAGAGGCATTTGTTGAAGACAGTTCTTGTCTCGGCATCTCAACTCATTCTTGCACCTGTGTTTGTGGGGTGTTGATTTTCTTCAGTTCCTTGGAATCCTTCTTTATTCAAATGTCATTTTCTCTGGCCCTGTGGAGTTCCACCCTCTGCCTGCGTGGACCGGTATTTAGCTATGGTCTCGAGGACCGCTCTGCACATTTCTGGAGCTCTTCCTCTGCAGAGAGCTCTCCTGTCTGCTTCCTTGTCTCCCACATTCTAGTCGTCTGCGATGTCCAGAGTCCAATCTGTGTCCCGTCCACATCGTCTGACTCCTTGCTCTGTTGGGTTCCTCTCTCTGCGGTGGGTTGAAATTCCCTCCAGGCGTAAAGCTGCCATGATCCAGCTGAGCTCATTAGCTCCCACTCTCAGGGATCACAGCCTGTGCTGTCTGTGTCCGGTGTCTAAACACAAGCGTTTCACACCTGGGGGCCAGTTTCCCTCTGTGGTGGGACAGTTAGGTCCATCCCCTGTTCTCCTGGATGCCCAGGTAGAAATCAGTGCACCATCCTGGGTTATTGCCACGTCTTTTCTAACTGCTTTCTCTGCTTCTATATTCGGCCTCCAAATCTGTGCTCAATGCAGCAACTGGAGTGACCCCTTAAATACGTAAGTCACAGCTTGCCTTTGTCAGAGCTATCCAGGGTCTTTCACTCAGAGCAGAAGCTGAAGTCCTCGTGGTGGTCCTTAATCCCTACATGGCCGTTCCACCCACTCCCCAGCCTCATGTGTGGCCGGTCTCCCTGGATCATTTGCTGTGGCTGCTCTGCCGTGTGTTCCCGGAAACTGCCAGCGTTCTCCCACCTCTGGGCTGGCACTGGATGCTCCTGCCACCTGGACTCCTCTTCCAGCTGACGAGCTCATGGCTTGCTTCCTTCATGTCTTAAATTCGGTGTTTGAATGCCACCTTGGCGAGGCTGTTCCTCATCAATTCATGTAAAGGACAAATAACCCCTTGTCTGGCCACTCCTGTCCAACTTGTCCACTTTGCTTTTTCCATAGCACTGATCACCATTTAAAATAATGTATGAACCAGTGACCCATCAGTGACCAGAGACAGTAGATTGAACAGGTATTGCTTGCACAGTGAACAATCAGCTCTAGAGGTTTAAAGAGAACCACAAAGAATGGCTCAGGATTGCACGAGGGCAGTTAAGGAAGAAATAAACAGGGGTGGGGATCCTTTCCACAAGTGTGGGTTCAGACCGCATGGGAGAAGGTGTGGTTCTCCCAAGGGAAGCTGGAGAAGTTTGCTGGGTTGTCCCAGCCACAGCTGGCCCACGGTCAGGGCAGAGGCCAGCAGGCAGGGAAATGTAGGCTGGGTCTGGCAAGCAGGAAGCCTCTCTTCCCCCGCAAGGCAGGTGGGCTGGGGCTGGGAAGCCTACAAGAGTCACTGGGAACCCACAGGTGCAGATGCCACTGAATCTCAATAGGAAGCCATCTGGGGGGGTCCCCTGAATTCAATGTGGTGTGTGCCGCCAGACGTCCCCAACTTGTGCCACTGCCATTTATACAGGAAGAGAAAGAAAAAGGAAGAAATGGAAGCATCTGGAACCAGTCATCCTGGACCCATGCTAGGAGGTGCTTCCCCCTACGCCTCAACCAACAAAGCTTAGCATTGCACCAGGTGCACAAGAGAAGCGCCTGCTGGCTCCAGCTCCATTGCCTCGGAACCAGCCATGAAGGGTGCGTGTGGAGCTGGAGGCAAGACATTGATAGCTGGCACTGCAATTCACTTATTTATTTTGTTCATTTTAAGTCCCCTGCACCTAGAATATAAGCCCCCCAAGCACAGGACATTTGTTTTATTGATCGATGTATTCCTTGTGCCCCAAAGAATGAGAGGCATCTAGAAAGTCTGCAAAAATCAAACATAAAAATGAACCTTTATTCAGTCATTGTTATTTTGATGGATATTTGAGGCATTTCCAAGATTTGTAAGTAACAATTGAACCCTTCTGCTGGTTCATGTGTGGGAGTGTATCTGTTCAAATGATGCTTCTGAGTGGAGTTGCTGAGTCTTTGGCTCTAGGTTTTTTTTTTTTTTAAGCATTTATGCTCATTGTGGTTTTTAAATTAAACATTTAACCCTGAGACACTGTAGATTCCCATGCAATTGTAAAAAGCCACACAGAGCTATCATGTGTATCTTCACCTGGCTTGCTCCAGCCCCAACCCCAGCAATGACAGACCTGTTCTCCACTCCTGCAATCTGCTCATTGCAAGAATGTCGTCTATTGCAATCATAAAATTGTGGGATTGGCTTTTTTTTTCCTGTGCAGCATCATTCTCTGGAGATTCATCCTATTGTTGCATTTATCAATAGTTTATTCCATTTTACTTCTGAGTAGTGCTCTATGGTATGGATGTACCACAGTCTGTTTAACCATTCACCTGTTGGAGGAAGTCTGTGTTTATAGATTTGGGCTATGACACATGTATAGGTTTTTGCATGGACATCAGTTTTCATTTCCCTGGGACAAAGGCCCAGGGGTTCTATTGCTGGATTCTATGCTTGTTACAGGGCTCATTTTGTTTTGTTTTGCTTTGTTTTATTTTGTTTTTAACCTGTCAAGCCATTTTCCAGATCCAGTTTCCATGCATCCTCACCAGGCTTCAGTATGATCACTATGATCTTATCTCAGCCACCTTAATAGGTATGTACTGATATATCATGGCTTTTATTTGCATTTCACTGATGACTAATGGTGTTGAGCATCTTTTCATGTGTTTATTTGCCATCTGTATATCCTCTCTAGTCAAGTGTCCCTTCATGTCTTTTGTTTACGTTCTATTTTTGAAACTGTTGAGTTTTGAAAAATTCTTTATAAAGTATAGAAACTAATTCTTTGTTGAATATGTAGTTTGTCAATATTTTCTTTCAGTCTTTGGCTTGTCTTTTTATTCTGTTAACAGGGTCTCTTACAGAGCAAAAGGTTTTTATTTTGATGAAGTCTATTTTAACAATTTTTCCTTTTATGGATCATATTTTTGGCAACAAATCTAAAACCTCCTGACCCAGCTCCATATGTCAAAGATTTTCTTGTTTTCTAAAAGTTTTATAGTTTTAAGTTTTATGTTGAAGTCTATGATCCATTTTGAGTTAATTTTCATACAGGGTGTGAGACCAAGGTTGTGGTTCTTCTTTTTCTTTGGTGGTTTTGTCTGTGGATGTCCAGTTGCTCCAGCCCGTTTGCTACAAAAGCTATCTTTCCTCCACTGAATTACTTTTGCATCTTTGTAAAAATGTAATTGGGTGTATTTGTACAGGTCTGTTTGAGGATTCTTTATTGTCTGTCCCATTGATCTATGCATCTGTCCATGTGCTAGCTATATAAGTCTTGAAAGGGTAGCCTGTAGCTGGGTGTGGTGGCGAGAGCCTGTAATCCCAGCTATTCGGGAAGTGGAGGCAGGAGAATCGATTGAACCCAGGAGGTGGAGGTTGCAGTGAGTCAAGATCGTGCCACTGCACTCCAGCCTGGGTGACAGAGTGAACTCCATATAAAAAAATAAAAACAAAAATAAAGTAGCGTGATTTCTCCCACCTTATTCTTTTTTAAAAAAGTTTTAGCTATTCCAGTTCCTTTGCCTTTCCATATAAATTTTAGAATAATCTTGTCTATATCTACCACAATTCTTTCTGGAATTTTGATAGAAATTTTGTTACATCTTTATATTATTTGAGAGAAATGATATTTTTACTATGTTGAGTCTTCTAATCCATGGATATAACGTCTCTCCATTTGTTTAGATCTTCTTTGATTTATTTTATAATCATTGCATTGTTTTCAGCATACAAATCCAGCATATGGGTTGTTAGACTTATGCCTAGGCATCTCATTTTTTTAGCCATTATAAATAGTACTGTGTTTTTAAGTTTAGGGTCCATTACTAGTATGTAGACACACAATTGATCTTTGTATATTTATCTTGTGTCCTGCAACCTTGCTGAACTCACTTACTAGTTCTAGGAGGTGTATTGTTTTCTTTTGTTTTGTTTTTCAATTTCTTGGGATTTTCTACAGAGATAATAATGTCATCTGCAGATGCAGTTTTCTTCCTTCCTTTCCAATTTGTATGTCTTTAATTTCCTTTTTAAAAAACCTATATTACTCTGACTAGAACTTTCTGTACTATGTTAAATACAAGTGGTAGAGTGGACATCCTTGCCTTGTCCCTGATGTTAAAGAGAAAGCATTTGTAACTGAGTATCCCAGCCTCAAAATGTGCTTAAAAACTTTTTTCCTTTCTTGCTTTCAGCCTTGAAACATACTTCGAAACTCTTTATTTCTCCCTTTCCCACCAGGCACTTCCGTGAGCAGTGCTCGCTTATCTAATTATGTGCTTACTTAGAAATTCCAGGGGCCAATTTTGAAACAAACCAGGCAGAGAGACCCAGCTGCAGAATCCTCCCTCTTAGGGGGAGTTACAGGTAGCCTACCACTTCCCGGCTGAAATCAGGATGACGCAAACCAGACCTCCGGACAGACGATTGATGACTCACAATAACCATCAGAACAAGATGCAGACCAACATCCTCCTGCACCATTCCCACATATTTCCCACACCTTTTCCTCCTTAAACCCCTTCGCTCAGTCCAGAAAATCTGAATGGTCTTTTAAAGGCATGGGTCTGGCCATTCCCCAACTGCCAGTATTTGAATAAAGCTGCTTTCCTTTTACCACACCTCACTTCTCATGCCTTGACTTCTGAGCAGCGAGCAGCTGGACTTGAGCCAGTTACACATCAGTCTTTCACCATTAGAAATAATGTAGCCATAGGTTTTTTTTTCGTAGATGTTCTTTTTCAAGTTAAAGAAGTTCTCTTCTATTCCTATTTTTCTGAGAGGTGTTATCCCGAATGAGTGTTGAATTTTGTTAAATACTTTTAACAACCCAACAGGAACCACCATCAGAAGCCATCCAGAGAAACGCACCAGGCCACAAAGCACTGGGGGCCAGGGATCTTGCCCCTGCTGTCTGCCATGGGTTGACCCCCAGCCTCCAACCCTACCATCCCCTGACGGTGTCTGCAGCAGTTGAACCCAACCAGCATCTAAAAGAACACAGTTGGTGAACGAGACTGGGACACAGGGCAAGATGGGTGGACAATGGGAGGCTCCTGGAGAGCACCCGTACCAGCGAGCATAGAATTCATGGGGGTGACCTGTTCCCTGAAGCATCTGCGCGTGTTGTTCCAGCATTTTCTTCAAGGATTGAGCCAGCAGCACCAGTGTCATACGGTGCTTAAATCAATGATTCACAACCAACCAATGAAATACAAGGTGCCGGCTGGGCGCGGTGGCTCACGCCTGTAATCCCAGCACTTTGGGAGGCCGAGGCGGGCGGATCACAAGGTCAGGAGATCGAGACCATCCCGGCTAAAACGGTGAAACCCCGTCTCTACTAAAAATACAAAAAAAAATTAGCCGGGCGTAGTGGCGGGCGCCTGTAGTCCCAGCTACTTGGGAGGCTGAGGCAGGAGAATGGCGTGAACCCGGGAGGCGGAGCTTGCAGTGAGCCGAGATCCCGCCACTGCACTCCAGCCTGGGCGACAGAGCGAGATTCCGTCTCAAAAAAAAAAAAAAAAAAAAAAAAAGAAATACAAGGTGCCTGGGGTACAGGCAACAAAAATGGGGAACGGAGAAATCTTCCCGTTGAGGTAGAGACTCCAGCCTGTTTGCTCATCTCTGGTCCTGAAGAGCCCAGTCCCCGCCCTAAGGATGGGGTTTCTGCTCGGCAGCACTTGCCGTGAGAGGGGTGAGGCACTGGGTCACGCCAGCCCTTTCTTTATAGCCCCCAGGGTTTATTAGAGTGTGCATTAGTATTATTTAGCAAGCACTTGAGGGTGTCTGATCTTGGGCCAGAGAGGCACAAAGATTGTGTGGGCCCAGCACCTGCCTGCAGAGCGTGGGTCAGCCTTGGGTCCCAGGGCAGATGACGCAGGCCCGGGAACTACAGGGTCCAGGAGGGAGAAGGCAAAGTTCTGGCTCAGGTTGGCTGGGGATGAGGCCAGCGGAGCCAGGTGCCCAAGGGAGCTCAGCCACAAACTCTGAGCACAGGCTGGCAGGTGGCTCTTGATGCTCATGCCACCCATTTATCTAAAGGGATGAGATTCAAGGCCTGTCCCGGTGGCTGGGGGCCGTCGAAGCTGACGAGAGAGGGGATGTAGAGTGAATGTATATTCCACTCTACCACTTGTATTTAACAGGGAGATGGATGATGAACACGTGCAGGAAGAAACAGGCAGGACAATCCAGAGAGATCACGTGTTCTGAGGACAGCACAGCCAGGCTCCGGTACGGAGTGAAGCGGGGTGGGGCAGGCGGCGGGGTCCCTCATATGGCCCGAGGAGGCCGTATATATACTGACCTTGAACCACACAATAGTGCCCTTCTCTGCCCCTAGGAAGCTCGAGTGCAGGGTCCAGGTGGGGAAAATCAATGCAGAGTGGGTCCCAGAGTGGGCGGAAGCTTGGGCTCTAGGGCGTGCGGGACTCAGCTGGCAGCAGCCCCACGTCTCTATGGTTCTAAAGCCCAGTCCATTTCTGCTCAGCAGGGAGATGGCCAGTTCCCCAGAGGACTTGCCCAGGGTCCCAGCCGTGGCCCTGGGAGGGCTCAGGGGTGAGGGAGGAAGAATTCCGAGCCGTGGGCCCTCCCTCTGTGGCTCGGGGTGCAGACGTGCACTACCCTGCCCTGTCCTCTGGAGTCCTCCGGGCTCATCCAAGTGGGCGCATTTGGATGCAAACCCTGGACAGCATCGTGTGTCTTTTCTTCTCTGGCTGGCACTGAATTGCTGTTCACCAGATGCCAGCAATGAGGACACTCCCCCTCCCGGATGCAGGACTGGTTGCCACCATGGGGAGGGGTGCACCGTGCCACGTGCTCCCAGGACACTGGCCAGGGGGCTATAAAGAACATCTCGAGAGGAGCCAGCACAGCCTTGTTCAGACGCCCAGTGACCTGCCGAGGTCGGCAGCACAGAGCTCTGGAGATGAAGACCCTGTTCCTGGGTGTCACGCTCGGCCTGGCCGCTGCCCTGTCCTTCACCCTGGAGGAGGAGGATGTGAGCTGGGTTGGCGTGGGCGGATGGAGGAGCCAGGTGGACTCCTGGGCAGGGGGCAGTGCCAGGGGCCCTGCTTTAGGAGGTGTCACTGAAGGCTGGCTTCTGACCCCGTGCTCCCAGCCTGGGGTGGTGGTGGAGGGGTCCTATTGTTCCTCCAGCAGACACGGCCCCCCGAGGCCCAGGGCCGGAGCAGGCTCGGCTCAGGGGTTCCTGCTGCACTGACGCCTGAAGCCCGAAGGTCTCGCAGGGTTGGGCCCTGTGGAGGGAGGGCTCACCTGGTGCTGGGGCCCGGGGGTCCATGGGGTGCAGACATGCCCTCCTTCCACTGGGGGCTGGGAGCCCTGAGCAGGGGGCTGGCTCTAACTCACTCCAGCTGAGCTCTAACTAAGGTGCAGGAACCCAGCCTGCCTTTAGGGGTGGCAGCCGGGCACCATGGGTGTCTGGTTATAGCTGCAGGCCTGAGTGCCAGGGTCAGAGTAGAATCTGGGCCACCCATGGTGGGCTCACGGCCTTGGCCTGCTCCAGATCACAGGGACCTGGTACGTGAAGGCCATGGTGGTCGATAAGGACTTTCCGGAGGACAGGAGGCCCAGGAAGGTGTCCCCAGTGAAGGTGACAGCCCTGGGCGGTGGGAACTTGGAAGCCACGTTCACCTTCATGTGAGTGTTGCCCACTGCAGGGCCCCTCAGGCCACTTTCGCTCCCCGCCCCAGACCCACCTGGTGCCCATTGCCCCATCCACATTTCGGGTGTTGGGAAGAGTCACCCCCTGCCTTGGAGGGAAACAGCCAGGACATCCTGAAGCTCGGTGGGGTGGGGGGGCAGTGGAATTTTCAGGTTGCCGGGTCAGGGCCATGCACCAGGTGAGCTGAGGATGGGCCAGGTGTGTCCTGGGAGCCGCTGCCCGAGTGTCTCCTGTTTTCCAGGAGGGAGGATCGGTGCATCCAGAAGAAAATCCTGATGCGGAAGACGGAGGAGCCTGGCAAATTCAGCGCCTGTGAGCCCCTCCCCGACCCCCCACTCCCCATGCCCAACCCCGGATGCACCAGCCCCACTGCAGGTGGAGAGTGCCCAGGCCACACTTCTGCCAGGGTCCCAGCCCTGCCCACCTCCAAGGAGGGGCTGGCCTCTCCTTCCTGGGGGGCTGGTGGCCCTGACATCAGACACCAGGTGTGACAGGCTTGTCCACAGTAGAGATGGACCAGATCAAGCCTGCCCTCTGGGAGGCCCTAGCCATTGACACATTGAGGAATCCGAGTGTTAGGGACCAGGAGGCCGAGGGTTAGGGATGGGAAGCCAAGGCTGAGGGTTTGGGATCAGGAATCCGAGGGTTAGGGACAGGGAAGTGGGGCAGGAGCAGCTGCTGGAGCTGGGAAGGCCGGACTCTAGTCCTGGACGTGCTCTGGCCTTGTGGCTCCATTACTTGCATTGGGACCTTCCGAGAGGAGGCTCCTGCCTCCGTGTCCGGGTCCATGCTGTGCGGAGCAGCCAGGCCTGGCTCAGGCTGTCCAGGGCACCTGGGTGACCACTGAAACATTCCTGAGTGTTTCTTCGTGTGGTCCTGAGTGCTCTCTCCGGGAATGAGGGCACTGAAGACCCATCTTCTCTGTCATCTACAGATGGGGGCAGGAAGCTCATATACCTGCAGGAGCTGCCCGGGACGGACGACTACGTCTTTTACTGCAAAGACCAGCGCCGTGGGGGCCTGCGCTACATGGGAAAGCTTGTGGGTGAGGGGCCCGCTGGGGCCTGCATGTCCTGCCCCATGGTCTCTGCCTCCAGAAGCCAGTGGAACCACCATCATCACGCCCTGGCACGGGGGGAAAAGGAAGCCCCCTGCGCCGGCCTTCGTGTGCTAGGCACCAAGCGCTGCCCTGGATGGCTGGTCCAAGTTCCTGAAGTGGGAGTGGGGTGGGCCAGGCAGGGACAGACACGGCCCTCGGTGACATGAACCTGCCAAGGGCCGCTTGTGGGGTCTCAGGTGTAGGGGCCTCACCTTAAGGGGGAGGTAGCATCTTAACAGAGCTCTTCATGGGGCAGGGACTCTCCAGGGCGGCAGGGCAGCCAGTGCCTCTGGGACACAAGGTCCCTCCAGGTGAGGGTTATGACCCTGCAGAGTGGCTTTGGGAGCTGCCCAGGTCCCCCTGGGGTTGCTGAGTGGCTTGGACCCTGCCACTGTCCCCTTTCCTGGGGACCTCTCACCTGGGCGGTGGCCGTCTCCTCTGTCCCCAGTCCCACCCCTGAGCTCTTGTCCATTCTCAGGCCTCCTCTCCCCCTTGCCTGGTGCTGGACAGTTGCCATCTCTTCTGTCCCCAGCCCCACCCCTGAGCTCTGATCCACTCTCGGGCCTCTCCCCCGTCCTGATGCTGGGCCGTGGTCGTCTCCTTTTAGCATCTGCTCCCTGCAGGGCCGTGCCGCTGTCCCCACCTTGGCTCACCTGGCCACCTCACCTGCAGGTAGGAATCCTAATACCAACCTGGAGGCCCTGGAAGAATTTAAGAAATTGGTGCAGCACAAGGGACTCTCGGAGGAGGACATTTTCATGCCCCTGCAGACGGGTGAGGACGGCTGTGCCCAGTACCCCGTGTTCCCCTGTGTCTCTGTGTGATCTCCAGTGTCCCATGACCCCCATGTCCTCCCATGTCCCCCGCATTCCCCGTGTGCCCCGAGTCTCCTCGCAGGGGCTCTGGGCCCTGCTTAGCATCCTCGTCGTTGGAGGGTCTGCACTCTGGGCTGCGATGCGGTCTGGGGCTCCGCGCTCTGGGCTGCGATGGGGTCTGGGGCTCCGCGCTCTGGGCTGCGATGGGGTCTGGGGCTCCGCGCTCTGGGCTGCGATGGGGTCTGGGGCTCCGCGCTCTGGGCTGCGATGGGGTCTGGGGCTCCGCGCTCTGGGCTGCGATGGGGTCTGGGGCTCCGCGCTCTGGGCTGCGATGGGGTCTGGGGCTCCGCGCTCTGGGCTGCGATGGGGTCTGGGGCTCTGAGCCCTGGGCTGCGATGGGGTCTGGGCCCTGGTCTAGGGCGCCTTCTAATCCCTGGGTTTTTCTTGGTCTCTGCAGGAAGCTGCGTTCTCGAACACTAGGGTGAGTGAGCCTTTAGGAGGGCACTGGACAAGCCCAGAGTCCTGGGTTCCCGGGGTTCGAGGGTACATCTGCTCTGGCCCTTCCCATCCCACACAGCCAGGGAGACCCCCCCAGGGTCAGGCACGAGGTTGGCACCTCAGAGTCTGCCCACCCAAAATTCCTGGGACATTCGGGAAGTCCTTTGTTTTACCATTCCTGCACCTGCCAGCCCGAGTGAGGGTCCTCCTCGGCCTTTCCACAGCGAGGCCTCCCTCCGGCTCCCTCAGGTGTCAGCTCGGCCCATCGCCCCCTGCACCTGTCCCCACTCGGTCTACTCCCCCCCACCCACTCACCAAGGATGCTCAGAGGCCTGCCCAGTCATTGGAGGAGCTGAGGCTGCTCTGGAGCCCCGAGGCTGCCCAGCAGTGGCCGATGTGGAAGCTGCAGAGCCTGGGGAGGGAGCTCTGGGCCTGGCCTCTGCCCTACCCTGCAGCCTCCCTGACCTCTGCTCCTCTTCCCAGCACAGCAGCCCCCGGGTCTGCACCTCCAGAGCCCACCCTACCACCAGACACAGAGCCCGGACCACCTGGACCTACCCTCCAGCCATGACCCTTCCCTGCTCCCACCCACCTGACTCCAAATAAAGAGCTTCTCCCCCAGCTCTGGGCAGGCCTATCTGTGGGGACGGAGGGGCTCGCACCGGCTCCCTGGGAGGCCTGCTGGGAGGGGGAGCCACAAGGGAAGCTGGGGAGATGTTGGACCTAGCAAGGGCCAAACCACAAGAGGCACGATGTCCAACAGGCTGTGGGGCTGCGTGATGTCCTGGAGGGGCCTCCGGAAGAGCCGCCCTCGGATCTCAGGCTCAGCTTGGGACGGGCAGGGCTCTGGGCAGGAGCACTTGGGAAGCCACTGGGAGGGCGGGAGTGGGGACACGGCGTCAGAGCTGCAGCAGTGGGTCCACCACAGGGCTCCCGCCCCGGGGGTCTCAGTGGGATCCTCCGAGCGGCCCCACTTTAGCAGCCTGGGCTCAGTGGCAGCACTGGAGAGAGGGGCACTGGCACCTCCGTCATCACTCCTGGAGCAAGGCAGAGCTGGCCCTGTTCTCTGAGATCCTTGGCCCACCCTGGCCTTCTTATGGTTTGTCCAGAGCCAGGATCTGTCCAGACACTGGGGCTGCAGGGATGCGGGTATGTGGGGAGGCCGGCCACAGTGAGGGAGGATAGGCCACCATACCAGGGTGATAAACACGCCCCAGGAGCCACAAACCCACGTGGGACAGGCCTCCTGGGGGATGAGCCTGCAAAGCAACCGCCTCTCCCCAGGGCCGCTGGCTGTGCACCAAGCGACCACTGCCTGCCTGCCGCCCAGACTAGCATCCTCGCCTCTCCATCTCCTGCCTGGACGTGAGTCTTGGCAGAGGCCACAGGATGGCCCGGAAATGGGCCAAGATAGCAGGGCCGAGGTGAGCTGAGGCGGAGCCAGCCTGGTTGTCCACGGGCCACACGTGGAGGGCAGGGCAGACCCCATCCTACAAAGACGGGTGAGTGGTGAGGTATCTCCCTTTCCCCATGCTACTATGCAGATTCCAGAAGGGTTAGGAGGTCTGTGTAAAAATATAAGAAATAGGTAAAAGTCTTTACCTGATGGAAGAGGATTTGTGGTGCATGTAAGCAGTGGGGAGACTCACTGGGAAAGACGGAGATCGGACTGCAGAGCGGCGAGTGTGGGTGCAGGGGTGATGCTGGCGGGAACAGGAGTCAGCACGTGAGAAGCTGGGAAGTGGTTCTTACCTATGTGGAGAAGCTGGGAAGTCGGTTCCTGCCCATGAGGAGGGCCTGGCACTGCAGCTGGGGTTGGTTCCTGCCCACGAGGAGGGCCTGGCGCTGCATCTGGGATCGGTTCCTGCCTGGCGCTGTGGCTGTGGGTTTCCCGCATCCCTGCCCCAGCTGTTCGTCTGATCATCTGCCGGCCGGGTGACACTGCCTCCCTCCCTGCATTCTGCCAGCCCAGGAGGAAGTGAGGCCTGTGGGCCCTGGTGGCTCCTGAATGAAACTGAAGGCCTGCGTTCATTTTGCTCCCACAGTAGTGACTGGATCTCTCCTTCTACCACGTGCAATCGTGCAAGTCCCTCTGCTGCAGGGACAATGGAGGTGGGACTTTCCTGGGGCAGCTCAGGATGGGGGATAAATGGGTGGTGGAGAGGCCGGAGGAGCAGAGCAGAAGTGGGGTCCCCGGCCATGCGGCCACCCCTGCTGACCGGAGAGCTGAGCCTGATCCTGGTGCTGCAAGCCCAGAGGCCAGGCTGGTTCCCACCGCCCCCACGAGGTGAGGGCCTTGGGCAGGGCAGGGCAGGGAGGGATGCACGTTTCCGAGGTTGGGCGCCTGGACAGACTTAGAGTCTCAATGCTGTTGGGAGCCCCAGGGGGACCTCGGCCAGAGCCCACCTCTCGTGTCTTTGCTGACTTCCGCCCGACAGAGAAGGGGGTACCACTGGCTGCCTGGGCAGCTTAGGGAGGTGGGTGGAGTATCTCTGGGATGAGGTCCTGCCCAACCCACCCTGCCCGAGACACCGAGACACCTTTCCTCACCTGCCGGGCTGTGGGTTTTGAAGAAGCTGATCTCCTTCAAGCTTCTCCCGTGTGTCAGAATTCCACTTGGAATTTTTCACTTTGCGATGAAGGGCTACATTAAAACCACGTGTTTGCCAGTAATGTCAGACTTTCAAGAGCTCATGGTTTGCTTTTTGACGAAATGTAAACCCCTGGAAAGGGTCAGGCCCGGGCCCAGCATCGACAGTAAAAGGGCCCAGCTGAGGCTTCCCTTAGCTTTGTGTCCTCATCCCGGACACGAAAATGACCTGGCCCCAAATATGTGCCCAGGGTCGAGGCTGGTGGTCCAGGCACCTCCGGCTCCCTGTAGTGATACGTCCAGCTCCGGAACTACTCCATCCTGCCCCAGAGCACCTGCCCCTCCCCACCCACTGTGACCCCACGTCCTTCCCCGTCAGGGCTGGTCATGCTCTGGTCCACCTAGGCCTGAAGACAGAGCTCCCCTCTGCCCTTTCCTCACCAATCCCTGGTCGGCATCCTCCCCCTTCCCCCACACAAGGGCTCTGGGGCCTGCCAGTCCCAGGTGGCACCCACAGCCCTGAGGCCCTGGGCCCCCCTCCCCCGACCCTGGACACAGGAGATGAATGAAGTCAAGTGGTGTGGATCCTCGGGGGGGCCAGGAACGAGGTGGGAGCTGGCCCAGAGGCTGGGGCTGAGCTGTTTGTGTTCAGGACCTCCTGATTGTCTTGGGAAGGGGCAGTGCTGGTCACTTGCGGGCTGGTCACCCCCCAGCAGCCAGGACTGAGTCATCAGACGAGGCAGCACTCCGGCAAGGGCAGGTCGCCCACCCTTGACGGGTCAGCGCCTAAGCTCTGTCCACTCCTGCCCGGCCATCCTCCTATGTCAACCCCCCAACATAAAGGCTTGACCTGGTCCTTCAGGCCTCACAGGGCGGGCACCCCCGGCAGCCCCTGGCCAGGCTCCTCTTCTGCTGATGGACGCAGGGCCATCTTGGGACAGGTTCTCCTGCCTCCCCTGAAGCATCTCTGGCCCCTCATGCTGACACTAAGGAGACCAAACCAGACACTGTCACCACACCCACCCCACGCCTCTGCCTCCCACTCCGCCTCCCGGACCCGCCCCCATGCCTCTGCCTCCCACTCCGCCTCCCGGACCCGCCCCCACGCCTCTGCCTCCCACTCTGCCTCCTGGCCCCGCCCCCACGCCTCTGCCCACCCCCCAGCAGCCTCCTGACCCCGCCCCCCTTTTCCTGGCCCACCCCCGAGCCCCTCAGCCCTGTTCCTGGATGGTTCCCGCCCACCCACCAGCTTTTAGGAAACTCGCACATAAAGTGTTGGGCAGGAAACATGCCAATCCCTGCGGAGACGTGGACCCGCCCACTGCCTCCCTTCACGTTTGTCACAAACCATCTCAAAAAGGTGGCATTCCGGATGCTCCTCAGCTTGTGCCCCCAGCCCAGCTCCCTTCCCAGCTCCCTCTGCGTCTTTTCCACCCCAACCCTCTCTCCCATCTGGTCTCTGAGCTCAGCCTCACTCACTCGGTGCTGAAAATGACCTCTTCCAATGTTATTTCAGCAACATGGCAGCTTCCGGGCCTCTCCCAGACAACCTCACTCCCGAGGGTCCTGGTCCCAACAGGGATATCCAGGTGAGTCCAAGCGTACAAGCTGCTCCCATCGGCTGAGCTCTGTGCTAGGCACTGTGACACCAGCTTTTCATGCCTATATCGCCTACTCCTGGAAGAACCCAGTGGCGTGGGCACTGTCCTCATTTCTATGCAGAAACAGAGCCTTGGGATTAAGGATTTTGCTCGCGGTTGCACAGTCACGAAGTGGACCAGGCCGGGGCAAGGGCAGATCCAGGCAGGAGGAGCTTCAGCAGTGGAAGAATTTGCAGACCTGGGACACCACCTTGCCAGGGTGCTCCGGGGGAACAGGGGACCTCAAGCTTAAGCTCACAGCTGCGTGGGAAATCTGGCAAAGGAAGGGCACCAGGCCAGCCTGAGAGAGGAGAGAGGGGCCGTCGGAGAAAAAGAGAGCCCTTTCTCTCTTCGCTGCTGGGACTCTGTGTAGGTCAGACCCTTTGAGGTTGTCTCATGGGTCCCTGACCCCCGTCCCTTTTGGCCCTTTTCTTGTGGCTTCCTTGTGGATGGGTCTGCTACTGGGCCCCAAGCCCACCCCGCTTCCCTTGCTCCATCTGCTGTGAACCCAGGGTGTACTCATCACGTCAAATTCCATATTTTCCATCTCTAGGATTTCCATCTGGTTCTTTATTCCCCTTTAATTTCTTAAAACTTCACTGAGGTGAAATTCACAGTGTGTCAAATAACTGTTTTGAAGTGTACAATTGTGTAGCAATGAGGCCACACACCCTTGTGCGTATCCATGGCCCCTGCCTAGTTCCAAAACGTTCCCGTCGCCCCCAAAGGAAGCTCCGTCTCCAGCAGCATTCAACCCCCACTTTCTGTCTCTAAGGATTTACCTATTCTGGACCTTTCCTATCAATGGAATCATACAACATGTGACGTTTTGTGACTGGCTCCTTTCACTTAGCATGTTTTCAAGGTTCTTCTGTGCTGTAACATGGACCAGTACCCTGTTCCTTTTTATAGCTGAATAATATTCTACCATATGAATAAACACTATGCTTTTTTTGTTTTTCTTTTGAGATGGAGTCTTGCTCTGCCACCCAGGCTGGAGTGCAGTGGCAAAATCTTGGCTCACTGCAACCTCCACCTTCCAGGCTCAAGCAATTCTTGTGCCTCAGCCTCCCTAGTAGCTGGGATTACAGGTGCACACCAACATGATGCCAGGCTAATTTTTGTATTTTTAGTAGAGATGGGGTTTCACTATGTTGGCCAGACTGGTCTCAAACTCCTGACCTCAGGTGATCCACCCGCCTCAGCCTCCCAAAGTGCTGGGATTATAGGCATGAGCCACCTCGCCCAGCCAACCCCATGCTTTTCGTCCACTCATTGTTTGATAGACACTTGAGTTGTTTACATCTTTTGGTTCTTCTGAACAGTGCAGCCACAAATATGCACACACACAAATATTTGTTTGAATTCCTGTTTTCAATTCAAGCAAAGTTTCTGGGTCATGGGATAATGATGTGTTTAACTTTCTAAGAAGCTGCCAATTGTTTTCCACAGTGGAAGCACCGTTTTCCTTCCTGGGTCTTTTCCATGCCTTGCACTCTGCTTCTCCTTGAGCTCTTGCCTTTCAGTACCCTCTTGAGCACATAGAGATATTGCTAATGGGTCTTTAACACCCTGATCTGCTAAGTCCACCATCACTGTCATTTCTGGATCTGTTTCTATCACTCGATTTTTCTCCTGGTTATGTCTCATATATTCTTGCTTCATTGCCTGCCTGGTAATTGTTAACTGGATGTCATATTTACTTTGTGGATTTCACGTTGTTGGTTTCTTGACGTGGCAGCTGGCCTCCAGGATGGCTTCCGTTGTGTGATGCCTTCCATTGAGTGTGGGCTGGACCTGGTGACCCACTTCTAATAGATATGACAAGGAGGAAGGGATGGCGCATGAGTCAGACACAGAGTGTGACATCAGCCCCACTGGTCCTCATACTGGTTATGGTGGGGAACCATGTCACAAGCAGCCCCAGGAAGAGGCTCATGTGGCAGGAGCCTGAAGTTCCCACCAGCCATTGTGGCCCACCAGTTCCAAGACATTCTCCAGAGCCCAAAGTCCCAGCCCAGAACATGACCACAGCCTCATTGCAAACCCTGAGCCAGAACCACCCAGCTGGGCCACTCCCCACCTCCTGACCCTCAGAAATCATTGTTTGAAGCTGCTCTGTTTGGAGACAATTTCTTATGCAGCAAGAAATAACACACTCCATTTTGTTTTTCGTTAAATAATGTTAGACTCCGTGTGGCTACAGTTAAATTATTTTTAACGTGTTGGATCTTCCCAATACTTGCTTTTAATTGTATTCGAATGGGTTCAGAACAGCCCTTGCTAACCCCGCTACCAATTCAGTCTCTTTTTGAGAATTCTGCCCGCTGCCTCGTGTATTCTGAAGGCTTTCTTCTCGGCTGTGTGAGTTCTAAGAGTCACTCCATTGACCATTTCCGAGGTTTCCTTCCTGCCCCTCTGTGTGTCTCCTGAGCGCTCCGTGTAGCCCTTTCTCTCCGAAGCTTTGCCCAGCAAATTCGAGTCCCTCCGCCTCCCCACACTCTAACACTCTTCTCCTCAGCGTGTGTGGGGTGGCGCCCTGGGATCTGTTTGGGTTCGTTTGCCCTGAGCCAGGCCTTGCTGGGGTCACAGAGCTCAGCACTCGTGTTGTGTCTTTCAGGGATCATGATCCTTCGCGGCCTGTTGTCAAATATCCAGAAAGCACTGCTTCCGAAATCTCCTGGATTTCTAGTTGTTTAAGGTGAGCAAATACGATACCTGCTATTGTATGTTAGCCAGGAGGGGAAGTTTGAGTTGTGTTGTTATTTTTTAGCTTTTGTTTTGAAATAACTATAGATTCATGGGAAGCTGCAAAAATAGTACAGAGGGGTCCTGCTGTGCATAGCTACAGTCAGACCTCACATAACTACTGTGTGAAGATTTACATAACCATACATCGTGCAGAACCAGGTCTTATTCGTATTTCACCAGTTTTCTATTCATTTGTGTGTGTGTGTGTGTGTGTGTGTGTGTGTGTGGTTCTATGCAATTTTTTACATGTGTAGATGTGTGTAACCACTGCGGCAATCAACATATAGAATGGTACATCCCCACAGAGATCTCTTGTTCTACCCCTTTACAGACACACCCATTCCCCAGGCCCAGCCCTTGGCTACCACGAATAAGCTTTCCATTTCTTTTTTCTTTTTCTTTCTTTTTTTTTGAGACTGAGTCTGGCTCTGTCTCCCGGGCTGGAATGCAGTGGCGTGATCTTGACTCACTGCAAGCTCCGCCTTCCGGGGTTCACGCCATTCTCCTGCCTCAGCCTCCCGAGTAGCTGGGACTACAGGCGCCTGCCACCACGCCCGGCTAATTTTTTCTACTTTTTAGTAGAGACGGGGTTTCACCGTGTTAGCCAGGATGGTCTCAAT
The DNA here is from genome assembly GCF_000001405.40 of Homo sapiens. Lineage (NCBI taxonomy): Eukaryota > Metazoa > Chordata > Mammalia > Primates > Hominidae > Homo > Homo sapiens. Next base: position 135,556,950 of record NC_000009.12, read on the forward strand.
CTCCTGACCTCGTGATCCGCCCGCCTTGGCCTCCGAAAGTGCTGGGATTACAGGCGTGAGCCACCGCGCCCGGCCTCAGCTTTCAATTTCTATAATGTCATTTCGAGAATATTGTATAAACAAAGTCATAGAGTATGCGACCTTTTGGGGTTGGCCTTTTTCACTCAGCGTAGTTCCCTTGAACGCCCTCCTGCTGCTGTGGGTATCAGCAGTTCACCTCGTTTTATGGCTGAGTCTCCCATAAGGCAGATGTACTCGTCTGTCTAACCATTCATTCACGGATGGAGTTTTCCAGTTATTAGCTATTACAGGCAAAGCTGCTGTGGACAATTGTGTACCGGGTTTTCTGTGTCCATTTATCCCATTTCTCGGGATAAATGCCCAGGAGTAAAACTGCCAGGCTGTATAGTAAGCATATGCTTATTATTTTTGTGTTGTTTTGTTGTTTTTTTACACGGAGTCTTGCTCTGTCACCCAGGCTGGAGTGCAGTGGCGCAATCTCGGCTCACTGAAGCCTCCACCTCCCAGGTTCAAGCGATTCTCCTGCCTCAGCCTCCTGAGTAGCTGGGACTACAGGTGCACACCACCACACTCAGCTAATTTTTTGTATTTTTAGTAGAGATGGGGTTTTACCATGTTGGCCAGACTGGTCTCGAACTCCTGACCTCAGGTGATCCATCCCCCTCTGGCCTCCCAAAGTTGGGATTACAGGCGTGAGCCACCACTCCTGGACCAGCATATGCTTAGTTTTAAAAGAAACTTCCAGCTGGGCGTGGTGGCTCACACCTGTAATCTCAGCACTTTAGGAGGCCAAGGTGGGAGGATCTCTTGAGCCCAGGAGTTCAAGACCAGTCTGGCCAACATAGTGAGACCCAGTCTCTATTATTTAAGCTTAAAATTTTTTAAATAAAAAACAAAAGCAACTTCCAATTTCCAGCATGGCTGAACCATTTTAGAGCCACTCAAAGTATGCATTTCTCAACATTTTGAGAGATTCAGTTTGTCTCCATCCCCACTAATATTTGGTTTGGTCCCTACTTTTCATTGTAGCTGTCCTAATAGGTCCCTACTTTTCATTGTAGCTGTCCTAATAGGTCCCTACTTTTCATTGTAGCTGTCCTAATAGGTCCCTACTTTTCATTGTAGCTGTCCTAATAGCTGGGCTGTGATAGCTCACTGTGGCCTTAATTGGTGCTCCTTGATAGTCAATGACATTGAGCATCTTTTTAGGTGCTTATTTGCCACCCATAGATCTTCTCTGGGGAGATGTTCCTTCATGGTTTTTGCCCATTTTCTAGGTGGATTTTATTTTTGCTGTTGAATTTTCAAAGTTCTCTATATCTTCCAGACACCAGTCCTTTGTTGGATATGAAACTTTCAAATGTTTTCTCCAAGTTTGTAGCTTGCCTCTTCATCCTCTTTTTTTTTTTCTCTCTCTCTCTCTCTTTGTTTTTTGAGACGGAGTCTCACTCTGTCACCCAGGCTGGAGTGCAGTGGCGTGATCTTGGCTCACTACAACCTCTGCCTCCTGGGTTCAAGTGACTCTCCTGCCTCAGCCTCCTGAGTAGCTGGGATTACAGGCATGTGCCACCAGGCCTGGCTAATTTTGTATTTTTAGTAGAGATGGTGTTTCACCATGTTGGCCATAGGTGGTCTCGAACTCCTGACCTCAGGTGATCCGCCCACCTCGGACTCCCAGAGTGCTGGGATTACAGGTGTGACCCATCACGCCCGGCCCCGTTCATCCTCTTAACAAGGTCTTTCTGGAGCAAGAGTTTCAGATTTTGATGCAGTATGATTTACCAGTTTTTTTCTTTTGTGGATCTTGCATTTGGTGTCAAGTCTAAGAATTCTTTACCTAGCCCTACGTCCTGAAGATTTTCTCTCACGCTTTCTTCTAAAAGTTGTATAGTTTTATGTTTTACTTTTAAACTATGAGTTAATGCATATGTCAGGTGTGAGTTTTAGATGGAGGTTCTTCGTTTGCATGGGATCGATTGCACGTGATGAATTGCTCCAGCACCATTTGTTGCAAAGACTGTCCTTCTTTTAGAGGGACTCCCGCTTGCCAGGCCTCTGGTTTAATGAAACATGACCAGAGTGACTCCATCTTAACGTGAATAACTAGACACTCACAAGGCACCTATAAGGTTATATAACGAGGCTATGCTGCTCGATACTGACTACGACAATTTCCTGTTTCTCTGCCTACAGGACACCACCACCCCCATCCAGAGCATGATGTGCCAGTACCTGGGTGGGTCTCACAGCACATGAGCTCAACGTGGGTGAGAGGCAGCAGCTACTTCCATGGCTGGGAACCCTGGGGAGCTGACAACTGGCTTCCTGTCCACCTCAGTGCCTGTGGGCTGGTTTTTTCTTTCTTGGTTTTTTTTTTTATTTGTTTGTTTGCTTTGTTTTTTTTGAGACAGGGTCTCATTCTGTCACTCAGGCTGGAGTGCAGTGGCGTGATCTCGGCTCACTGCAACCTCCACCTCCCAGATTCAAGCGATTCTCGTGCCTCAGCTTCCCGAGTAGCTGGGATTACAGGCGCGAGCTTATGGTCTGAAAATACCCGCATACTAAGCTGACCACCAATTATAACTGCAGAACATTTATGCCCATACGAGGCATCTCCCACCAAGCCTGGAGAATGTACCGATGACCTGGGAGTGCAGGGGGTTATCTTTGCTCACAAATAACGTCAACGAGTAGGCTGAGGCTGAAGGGCAAATGGTCATTGATCACACTAGGAGCCCCTATCTTTAGCGAGTGCATCTGCATGATCCAGGTTTCACTGTAGCTCATTACAGCTTCTTACAAACAGAGGCACTCACAGAGGACGGGCGTTCCTCCTGCTCGCTGAGGTTGCCCGGCTCTGGCACAGAGTCATTTCCCATAAACTTGCTTTCACTGTGCTCTGTGAGTCACCTTGAATTCTTTCCCGTGTGAGATCTAAGAACCCATTCTTGGGGTCTGGACTGGGACCCTCTTTTCCGACAACACTTCCCCCACGCACTGTTCTTGCAGCTTTGTTAAAGGTCTGTTGTTGTTGTGTGTGAGTCCATGTTTGGACTCTCTATTTCCCATTGATCTATGTGTCCATTTCTCTGCCAATACCACAATCTCTTGGTGACTATTGATAATAGTGCTTGTAAACTTGGGTAGACTAACTCTTTATACTTTATTCTTCTTCAAAATGGCTTTAGCAATTGTAGCTCCTTTGCCTTGACATGTAAATTTTAGAAAAAAAAATTTCTCTATATATCTACATATGGTGGGGTGTGGTGGCTCACACCTATAATTCCAGCACTTTGGGAGGCCGAGGTGAGCAGATCACTTGAGGTCAGCAGTTCGAGACCAGCTTGGCCAAAATAGTGAAAACCCCTCTCTACTAAAAATACAAACATTAGCCAGGTGTGGTGGTGGGCGCCTATAATCCCAGCTACTCTGGAGGCTGAAGCAGCAGGATTACTTGAACCTGGGATGCAGAGGTTGCAGTGAGTCAAGATCGTACCACTGCACTCCACCCTGGGCAACAGAGCAAGACTTGGCCTCAAAAAAATGTATATATGTATATATGTGTGTGTGTGTGTCACACACATGTCTATAGCTACCTACAAAATATCTTGCTGAGAATTTGATAGGAATTGCATTAAATCTCTAGGTTGAGTTGAGGAGAGCTAACACCTTTGCTGTGTTGAAGCTTCCAGCCCATGAACACATTGTGCCTGTCCTTTACCTTAGGTCTTTGATTTCCCTTCCTTGGGTTCAGAGTTTAAGTCCTGTCCATATTTGGTGAGATTTTTGCCTACATGCTGTGTGTGTGATTACAAATCCTGAATTTCCAGTTTCGGGTTCTGTCTACTCCTTGACACTGTGTGGGAACACGGTGGATTTTTGTGCGATTGACCTTGCTGACCTCACTCGGTTCTAGGAGGGGTTTTGTAGAGTTCTTGCAATTTTGTACCTGGGCAATGATGTTATATGCGAATAGAGACAGGTATACCTCCCCCTTCCCAATCTGCCTGCCTTTAGTTACCATTTCTTGCCTAGCTGCTCTGGCCGGAATGACCTGCTCTGATGGATGGGGGAGTGGGAGTGGACACCCGTGTCTTGCCTCAGGACTCAAGTGCTCTCCAGGGAGTGAGATGCGGGCTCGATTGTAAGTTACAAAGTGATGCTTCCCTGTGGGAAAAAGTACATCCAATATAGACTGTAGGACAAAGTCTGAAAGTCCACTGCCTCCCATTTCCACCCAGTCTTGCCTGTGAGTCAGAGAGAAACAGTGCTAACAGGCAGTGTGCACCTGTCCAGAGGCTGGCTGTTTGAGGGACACAGGTGTGCACACCTGGGGATGTCTGAGTGGAAGGTACAGGTCAGGATTATGACCGTGCAGTCAGTCACCCACTGGCATGATGTCTGTGGCATCCTGGGGCAGCCATGGGGCTCTCAGGCCCTCTGCCTGCCCCACAGGCCATACCCCTGCCCTGGACACAGCTGTCCTCAGTGCTGGCCTCTGACCCAACATTGTCCAGGAGCCCCAACCCAGAAGGTGCTCCCGCCGCTGCCAGCCTGGACCCGACCCAGGCCCCTCCCGCCTGAGGCCCTGCCAAGAACTGCCCAGCCCGGACACAGAGGAGGTTCCCGCGTGGACGCAGGGAAGAGCCTCCCATTGCCCCAGTGGAGGAAGCTGCCCAGGGGCCAAGGATGAGTCACAGGTTCGAGGAATCACATGGCGAGGCTGTGGGCGGGGATCTTGTCTGCCCTCCTCCTACATAAGGCCCCCTGAGCCCACACTGCCTCAGCATCCCTCTGGCTCCAGAGCTCAGAGCCACCCACAGCCGCAGCCATGCTGTGCCTCCTGCTCACCCTGGGCGTGGCCCTGGTCTGTGGTGTCCCGGCCATGGACATCCCCCAGACCAAGCAGGACCTGGAGCTCCCAAAGGTTTGAGGCTGGGGGAGCGGGCACTTTACTGTGGGAGGCCTGGGGCGGGTGGGAGCTGCGGGCAGGCAGGAAGCCCAGGATCTCAGAAACCTACAGGAAGCACAGAATGGACGCCATGACGTCAGGAAGCCCTCAGCCCTGCTCTCCATCTTTAGGGTGGCCTCTCTGGTTTCCCAGCATCCTAGGTGACTCATTATTTGGACTTTGGAACACTCCTGAGTTAGCACACACTGGTCATTTTAAGTACAGGAAATTTCATAGCCCAGGATCTGGTAGATAGCAGACAACCATCCAATGCTCACTGTACCCATCCCAGTTAGACTCAGCCCCGTCTGCACCGGGTGCAACGAGAGCCATGGTGGGGTGGGACCGCCGTGCAGCCCAAGGCCCCCTCAGTTGGCAGGGACCTGGCACTCCATGGCCATGGCGACCAACAACATCTCCCTCATGGCGACACTGAAGGCCCCTCTGAGGGTCCACATCACCTCACTGTTGCCCACCCCCGAGGACAACCTGGAGATCGTTCTGCACAGATGGTGGGTTTCTCATCATTGAGACGGGCTGGGCGGGGGCTCAGTCTCCCCCCTCAGGGGTCCAGGACTGGGTGGGTTGGGCGGAGCTGGACTTAGCCCCAGGCATTTTCTGACAGCCAGGGGCTTCACTGTGGCCCTTCCATGAGGGTGGGGTGGAAAACCAGGGCTCCAGACGTTCCCTGTCCCCTTGGATCCCCTGCCCCAGGCTCTGGGCCAACAGCCAACCACACAGTGCAGCCCCAGGTCAGACTGAGGAGAAGGTCTGGGCGGCTGCGGGCTGCGGTGCTCCTTGGACCCGGGGAAGTTCCCGTGGTGACCTGATTTTAGGAGTGACAGTGAAGGCAACTCCAATTCAAGTGGCCACTCATCCTATTGTCACCACCTTTCAGGGAGAACAACAGCTGTGTTGAGAAGAAGGTCCTTGGAGAGAAGACTGAGAATCCAAAGAAGTTCAAGATCAACTGTGAGTGTCCCCAGGCCCCAAGGGCTGGCTCAGTGCTGGCATGCTAGCCACGCTCTCCCAGAGGCGGCTCTGCTGGGGCATGAGGGAGTGGGGCCTGGCCTGTCCCCACTCTCTCTGCTTCAGGGAGTCAGAGTGTTTACTCCGGTCAACCTGATGCTGACCCCAGAGGCATCTTTTACCTGGAGGGCAGGGGAAGCACTAATTCTTGGCATGACATGACTGGATGTGGGTCTGCACTGTGCCCAGGCACAGGGGACAGGTGCTTTGTTGCACTGTTCACTCTGGCCTCACAAAAGGCCAGGGAGGCTGCAGGCGAGCAGGTGGGCAGGTGGGCAGGTGGGTAGGTGGGTAGGTGGATATGTATACAGGTGGGCAGGAGGGTAGGTGAACAGGTGGGTAGGTGGGCAGGTGGCTAGGTGAGTAAGTGGTTAGGTGAACAGGTGGGCAGGTGAGCAGGTGGTTAGGTGAACAGGTGGGCAGGTGGGTAGGTGGGTAGGTATACAGGTGGACAGGTGGGTAGGTGGACAGGTGGGCAGGTGAGTAGGTGAACAGGTGGGTGGGTGAACAGGTGGCCAGGTGAACAAGTTGGTAGGTGGGCAGGTGGGTAGGTGAACAGGTGGGCAGGTGGGCAGGTGGGCAGGTGGGCAGGTGGGCAAGTGGCTGCTGTTCCCGTGGGCCTGGCTGCCTCCTGCGCACTCTGGGGCTGCAGCTCTGGTCTTAGGCTGAGCTCCCAGGCCTCTCTGGGGGAAGAGAGAGGGGCTTACAGCATGTCCTTGGTCCACTGAATTCTTCCTAACAATTTGCAACATTTTGTTCTATTTTGTTAATTATTATTTTTTTAAAAAGACAGAGGTGGTCAGGGTCTGGGGCCTCTTATCCCCTCATGGGCACATTTTCCCAGCAAATACAGTTTGCTTCTCATGCTTGGGACTTGCCTCAGGCCTTTCTGACCCTGCTTGCCCTCCCCAGAATCGAGCCACTCTCCAAGGTCCATTTCTTCTCCCTCTTCCCGCCCCTGTGCCCTGTTCCTGTGCCATCTCCCGCCATCCTCACCCGTACGTGACTTCTCAGTTGGAGTCTCTCCAGGTCACAGCCTCCCTGCCTGCCGTGTCTGCCTCTCCACGGCACACCTGGCCTCTCCCCCTCAGCCGGGGCTCCATGGCCCTCCACATTGCCTCTCCTCCCCTTTCCTCCCTGGCTTCCCTGATCATGGTCCACAGCAGGGGCCACGTCCCATGGTGTCAGTGGATGAGGAAGCCACTTAGTGTGGTGGGATGTCCACACACCTGCACAGGACTCTGCTGAGACGGAGGCTTCATCTTCCTTTTGGTTCTTCTCTTCTTTCCCCAGATACGGTGGCGAACGAGGCCACGCTGCTCGATACTGACTACGACAATTTCCTGTTTCTCTGCCTACAGGACACCACCACCCCCATCCAGAGCATGATGTGCCAGTACCTGGGTGGGTCTCACAGCACATGAGCTCAACGTGGGTGAGAGGCAGCAGCTACGTCCGTGGCTGGGAACCCTGGGGAGCTGACAACTGGCTTCCTGTCCACCTCGGTGCCTGTGGGCTGACTTTTTTTTTCTTGGTTTTTTTTATTTGTTTGTTGTTTGCTTTGTTTTTTTGAGAAAGGGTCTCATTCTGTCACTCAGGCTGGAGTGTAGTGACGTGATCTCGGCTCACTGCAACTTCTGCCTCCCAGATTCAAGCGATTCTCGTGCCTCAGCCTCCAGAGTAGCTGGGATTACAGGCGCACGCCACCATGCCCAGCTAATTTTTGTATTTTTTGGTAGAGACGGGGTTTCACCATGTTGGCCAGGCTGGTCTCCAACTCCTGGATCAAGTGATCCACCCGCCTTGGCCTCCCAAAGGGCTGGGATTACAGGCGTGAGCCACCACGCCCGGCCAGGCTGAGTTTTTCTCCAGCGGTTCATCGAGTCCTCTGACAAAGCAAGGAGCTGATATAGGGCCAGTGGGACGGTCGCCAGTCAAGGGGCTGGGCTTGGTGGATAGATTAATACTCACTGGGCGTCCAGTCAAAACGCCCTGAAACCTATGATGCTGTCAACCAAACGAAGGCCAGGAATACCAAAATAGCCACATAGGCACAGCCCTTCCCCATGTTTCTGAGCACAGTGTTTCCTCTGGGGTCACACAGGTGTCTTCTTGATCAGCCTCAGCCATGCTTGGTGAGAGCCGGGCACTGGGAGAGCCAGGCACTGTGCTCTCCTGTGACGCTGTAGACACCATCCTAAGCTGTGCAGACCCCAGCGCTGCCCAGAGCGGAGCAGAGGGGGCCGGGCCAAGGAGTGGGAGCTGGGGTCAGGGAACCTGGAGGTGCAGTGGACAGAGCCCCGGAGACCGCCCTAGGGACCTACTCCAGACCAAACTCTGCCAGACCTCGGAGCACTGGGGCCTCCTTCTCTGCCCTCCCTCCTCAGGCAAGGCCTCTGGAGCTCCCCAGCTCTCATGGAAGCCCCAGGGGCCCAGGACTGACCCAGCCTCTTCCACAGCCAGAGTCCTGGTGGAGGACGATGAGATCATGCAGGGATTCATCAGGGCTTTCAGGCCCCTGCCCAGGCACCTATGGTACTTGCTGGACTTGAAACAGATGGAAGGTGAGCTCTGCCTAGGACACGCCCAGCCTCAGCTGGAGGAGAAGCTGCCTCTTTCTTAGCCCGAGCCCCCTGCTGGCTCTGCAGGACTCAGGTCACTCCTTTTTGGCCCCTCCCCTGTTCTCCCCTGGCCTTCTGGGGTGCAGAGCCACCCTGAGGTGGGGTCCTGCCCTCTCCCACCATCCTTTCATCCCTTCTCTAGCCCTGGGGCTGCTGTGTCCCCAGCTGTCTCTTCTCTCGCTGACACCTCCACTGTCCCATCTCCTCCCACAGAGCCGTGCCGTTTCTAGGTGAGCTCCTGCCTGGTCCTGCCTCCTGGGTAATGTATCAGCCTCGCCCACTGTCTGCGGCTGCCTCTCTGGGCCCCTGGGACAGACCCTACTGTGTCCAGTTCAGGGCTGACCCTACAGGAATGAACTGGGGTCTGGTCTTGTGATTCCAGAAAGCCAGGCTGCTGACGTCCCCATTCACGAGCCCAGCCTGTGTCTTGCAGCCATTGTATTAGTCACGGGCTTGTGCCCTATAGTCAGACCTCATGCTTTCTTTTGGGGTTAGGGGTGTTGGTTGGAAATGGTGGGGGCTATAGGAGGAGGAAGGAGGATGGTTACATGGAAGGGCATGAGAAGCTGGGGACCTGCAGGTCTCGGTCCCACGTTCTTTTTTTTTTTTCTTTTTTTAAGATGGAGTCTCGCTCTGTCACCAGGCTGGAGTGCAGTGGCACAATCTCAGCTCACTGCAACCTCGACCTCCTGGGTTCAAGCGATTCTCCTGCCTCAACCCCCCGAGTTGCTGGAACCACAGGCGTGTGCCACCATGCCCAGCTAATTTTTGTATTTTTAATAGAAACGGGGTTTCACCATGTTGGCCACGATGGTCTCAATCTCTTGACCTCATGATCCCCCCGCTTTAGCCTCCCAAAGTGCTGGGATTTCAGTGCCACATTCTTAAGGGGGTGTCCTCAAGCCCACCACATCCTTCCAGGGCTCCCCCGAAACACCCTGCTCTTCCTCCCTCTACTTAAGTGACCTGTAAACCCAACAGCTCACCTCCGCCTCCAGGAAGACCAGACTCCCACCCTTCCACACCTCCAGAGCAGTGGGACTTCCTCCTGCCCTTTCAAAGAATAACCACAGCTCAGAAGACGATGACGTGGTCATCTGTGTCGCCATCCCCTTCCTGCTGCACACCTGCACCACGGCCATGGGGAGGCTGCTCCCTGGGGGCAGAGTCTCTGGCAGAGGTTATTAATAAACCCTTGGAGCATGTCCTGTCTGGATGCGCAGCCACTGCTGGGTGTGGGATTCAGGGACGAGGGCCTGGGGTCGGGGCAGGCCCAGGCCACCGCCTGGCAGAACCGGAGCTCCTACAGACCCATGGGCAGCTTCTGGTGGAGAAAATACCTCAAGTTTCTTATCTACAAAACAAAAGGGTCCACTTTCACAAACTTGTGAAATGTCTAGAACAATAAAACCAGGACACTCATATCAGAATTGATGAGCCCAGAGGAAAACTCATAGTCTTTAATACTGAAATGGGTTAGCAAGAAATAATTAAAATCAATGAATCTGTAATGAGCTCTTGTTAGAAAAAAAAGCGTTAGAATGAGGAAAGTAAGAAAATAGAATGAAGGAAGATAAAAGCAAAAATGACAAAATCAGAGAAACATATCAAATTCATGCACCTGTGCCCCCAGGTGGGGAGGGGTGGGCATGGTAGGATTTAGCTCACCTGTCAGAAACACCCAGGAAAAAAAATTCCAGCAAGTATCAATCACCACAGATTAAGAGAAAATAGATTAAAAGAGTCATAAGGGATTATGCTATTTGACTCCAGAATATATTTTTTACAATCCAAAAGAGATGATTTCAAGGCAAATATAAGCATCCAAAACAGATCAGAGAAGACTGGAGACAGAGTAGGTAAGGACCCTTCCCAAGGCAGACAGACAGACACAGTCAGAGGTCTGTGTCCCAGCCCAGCCCCCAGCATCGAGAGCAGCCGGGCAAGCGGCCAGGGATCTCCTGCTCCTTTCGGGAACAGGTGAAACGAGGCAATGTGAAGAGTCGCAGGCATGGGGAGGGGGCAAAGCTTCCACACTCGTTTCTAATGCTGGGAAAATATCTCCATCAAAACTCCACAAAACCAGGCCCTACCAGGAGTAACTAGGACTTGTGAGGCAGTAAGGAACGTCCGCACTGTCTATATAACAAACAGGCCATTTTAACCCAGGCATGGGGGCTCACACCTGTAATCCCAGCACTTTGGGAGGCCGAGGCAGGCAGATAACCTGAGGTCAGGGGTTCGGGACCAGGATGGCCAACATGGTGAAACCCCATCTGTATTGAAAATAAAAAAAATCAGCTGGGTGTGGTGGCGGACGACCTATAATCCCAGCTACTCTGGAGGCTGAAGCAGGAGAATCGCTTGAGCCCAGGAGGCAGAGGTTGCAATGAGCCGAGATCGCACCATTGCACTCCAGCCTGGGTGACAGAGCGAGACTCCATCTCAAAAAAAAAAAAACCCAAAAAAACAACAACAACAACAACAACACTCAAATAGGCCATTTCATCCTCATGACTGCCCATGGGGCAGAAGCCCTTACTGTCTCATTGCCCAGCTGGTGGGTGGCACATGGACTGGCAGGGAGTCTAATACCCACACATGCAACCATTGCACCTGCTGGCTCCATCACCACACCACCCTGTGTGTCGAAGCAAACACCCCGAACAGTACCGGTGCCCCTGGAACCCAGTCACACGGTGAGAGAATCACAGAGGCGTCTACCTGAGCTTCACCCCCGGAAGACATCTCTGGACATAATTGTGTAATTAAAGGATCAAGAATACCATGATTTCTCTGCAGATGCTGGAGTCTGTTAAAAACATTAAAACCCTTTCCCTTTAAGTTCTCTACAAATGGACACAGAGTAAATCTCTAGCACGTGTCATTAAGTGAGACAAATGAGGCAAAGAGGCAGGTACATGGTCTTTGCTGACTTTCATACAAGAAAGAATGGAATTAAGACTGTCCACACCTATTTGGAAAAAGACACAGGAGGAATGAATGGAAATTAATGAGTATGGTC